>NC_000001.11:143809587-144434587 GCF_000001405.40 Homo sapiens | reverse complement strand
CTGGACCCTGGTTCTCCACCCTGTCAATGCAATGGCTGATCCAATGTTTCTTTGTAGCATCGTGGATTTTTTTTTTTTTTTTTTTTTGCGATGGAGTCTTGCTCTGTCACCCAGGCTGGAGTGCAGTGGCACCATCTTGGCTTGGTGCAACCTCTCCCTCCCAGATTCAAGTGATTCTCCTGCCTCAGCCTCCTGAGTTGCTGGGACCACAGGTGCACAACATCACATCTGGCTAATTTTTGTATTTTTAGTAGAGACAGGGTTTCCCCATATTGGCCAGGGTAGTCCTGAACTCATGACCTCAAATGATTCACCTGTCTTGGCCTCCCAAATCACAGATTCTTTTTAAAGCAAGAGTTGTTCAAATTTATCTATCAGTCGTGTTTCATGTATAGATGCCTCTAAACATTTAATGTCCATGTTACCTGGTGATATAAGTCCGTATTGCAGCAACACTCTTAGAAAATTGTTTGACCAATTTTTGGAGATTTTTTTGGGGAAAAAATTTTGTTTAACTTTGACTCAGGCAGGGAATATGTCATTATGGTCTACACGTAGAGGGAGATTTTGGCCTGTGGGTCTGGAAAGCAGGGTCATCTAATTCTCACCAAAGTTAATCTAGGACACCCTAGAATATTCCTGTCAGAATCCTTATTCTTGCACTGAGAATAGTTATGTCCTTGTGCTATGACTGGACAGTGATTTGTTCCTATGTGAAGTATGAATTGCTTAATGTGACCTGCTTCTCTGAATTTATTTACAGAAAATGAAAGTGATGATGAGGAAGAGGAAGAAAAAGGGCCAGTGTCTCCCAGGTAATGTTGTGGAATTGTTGGCTGTTAATTCAGTAGTGACATCTGGAGATTGTAGATTTAGGGAAAATGAGGAAGTGATGAATAGAACTATTTCTTCCATTCACCCAGCTACAAATTGTGCTGATTTACAATGTTGTATGTTATTTGTGGCACTTGTATTGGTTTTAATTTCATAGTCCTCTCAAGATAGGAACTTGCCATCAGATGAGCCAGGTGAACTAGCCAAACAGGGTTTTCTTGTTGATCTTTTCAAAAAACCAGCCCTGGATTCATTGATTTTTTGAAGGGTTTTTTGTGTCTCTATCTCCTTTAGTTCTGCTCTGATCTTAGTTACTTCTTGTCTTCTGCTAGCTTTTGAATTTGTTTGCTTTGCTTCTCTCGTTATTTTAATTGTGATGTTAGGATGTCAATTTTAGATCTTTTCTGCTTTCTCTTGTGGGCATTTAGTGCTATAATTTTCCCTCTACACATTGCTTTAAATGTGTCTCAGAGATTCTGGTATGTTGTGTCTTTGTTCTCATTGGTTTCAAAGAACATCTTTATTTCTGCCTTCATTTTGTTATTTTCCCAGTAGTCATTCAGGAGCAGGTTGTTGAGTTTCCATGTAGTTGTGCGGTTTTGAGTGAGTTTCTTAATCCTGGGTTCTAATTTGATGGCACTGTGGTCTGACAGTTTGTTGTGATTTCCATTCTTTTACATTTGCTGACGAGTGCTTTACCTCCAACTATGTGGTCAATTTTGGAATAAGTGTGATGTGGTGCTGAGAAGAATGTATATTCTGTTGATTTGGGGTGGAGAGTTCTGTAGATGTCTTTTAGGTCTGCTTGGTGGAGAGCTGAGTTCAAGTCCTGGATATCCTTGTTAAGCTTCTGTCTCATTGATCTGTCTAATATTGACAGTGGGGTGTTAAAGTCTCCCATTATGATTGTGTGGAGTCTAAATCTCTTTGTAGGTCTCTCAGGACTTGCTTTATGAATCTGGGTGCTCCTGTATAGGGTGCATATATATTTAGGATAGTTAACTCTTGTTGAATTGATCCCTTTACCATTATGTAGTGGCCTTCTTTGTCTCTTTTGATCTTTGTTGGTTTAAAGTCTGTTTTATCAGAGACTAGGATTGCAACCCCTGCCTTTTTTTGTTTTCCATTTGCTTGGTAGATCTTCCTCCATCCCTTTATTTTGAGCCTATGTGTGTCTCTGCATGTGAGATGGGTTTCCTGAGTACAGCACACTGATGGGTCTTGACTCTTTATCCAATTTGCCATTCTGTGTTTTTTAACTGGGGCATTTAGCCCATTTACATTTAAGGTTAATATTGTTATGTGTGAATTTGATCCTGTCATTATGATATTAGCTGGTTATTTCGCCCGTTAGTTGATGCAGTTTCTTCCTAGCGTCAATGGTCTTTACAGTTTGGCATGTTTTTGTAGTGGCTGGTACCGGTTGTTCCTTTCCATGTTTAGTGCTTACTTTAGGAGCTCTTGTAAGGCAGGCCTGGTGGTGACAAAATCTCTCAGCATTTGCTTCTCTGTAAAGGATTTATTTCTCCTTCACTTATGAAGCTTTGTTTGGCTGGATATGAAATTCTGGGTTGAAAATTCTTTTCTTTAAGAAGGTTGAAGATGCTGGAGAGGATGTGGAGAAATAGGAACACTTTTACACTGTTGGTGGGACTGTAAACTAGTTCAATGATTGTGGAAGGCAGTGTGGCAATTCCTCAGGGATCTAGAACTAGAAATACTATTTGACCCAGCCATCCCATTACTGGGTGTGTACCCAAATGATTATAAATCATGCTGCTGTAAAGACACATGCACACATATGTTTATTGTGGCACTATTCACAATAGCAAAGACTTGGAACCAAGCCAAATATCCAGCAATGATAGACTGGATTAAGAAAATGTGGCACATATACACCATGGAATACTATGCAGCTATAAAAAATGATGAGTTCATGTCCTTTGTAGGGGCATGGATGAAGCTGGAAACCATCATTCTCAGCAAACTATTGCAAGGACAAAAAACCAAATACCGCATGTTCTTACTCACAGGTGGGAATTGAACAATGAGAACACATGGACACAGAAAGGGGAACATCACACACTGGGGCCTGTTGTAGGGTGGGGGGAGGGAGGAGGGGTAGCATTAGGAGATATACCTAATGTTAAATGATGAGTTAATGGGTGAAGCACACCAATGTGGACATGTATACATATGTAACTAACCTGCACGTTGTGCACATGTACCCTAAGACTTAAAGTATTAAAATATATATATCTGTATATATATATATATACATACACACAAAAAATAATAAAGGAAAACTATACATATGGAAAAAAAAAGAATGTTGAATATTGCTCCCACTCTCTTCTGGCTTGTAGGGTTTGTGCCAAGAGATCTGCTACTAGTCTGATGGGCTTCCCTTTGTGGGTAATCCGACCTTTCTCTCTGGCTGCCCTTAGCATTTTTTCCTTCATTTCAACCTTGGTGAATCTGACAATTAAGTGTTTTGGGGTTGCTCTTCTCGAGGAGTATCTTTATGGTGTTCTCTGTGTTTCCTGAATTTGAATGTTGGCCTTCCTTGCTAGGTTGGGGAAGTCCTCCTGGATAATATCCTGAAGAATGTTTCCCAGCTTGGTTCCATTCTCCCCGTCACTTTCAGTACACCAATCAAACGTAGATTTGGTCTTTCCACATAGTCCCATATTTATTGGAGGCTTGTTCATTTCTTTTTACTCTTTTTTCTCTAAACTTCTCTTCTCGCTTCATTTCATTAATTTGATCTTGAATCACTGATACCATTTCTTGCACTTGATCGAATTGGCTACTGAAGCTTGTGCATGCACCACGTAGTTCTCGTGCCATGGTTTTCAGCTCCATCAGGTCATTTAAGGTCTTCTCTACACTGTTCATTCTGGTTAGCCATTCGTCTAATCTTTTTTCAAGGTTTTTAGCTTCCTTGAGATGAGTTCGCACATCCTCCTTTAGCTCAGAGAAGTTTGTTATTACCGACTTTCTGAAGCCTACTTCTGTCAGCTCATCAAAGTCATTCTCCATCCTGCTTTGTTCCATTGCTGGCGAGGAGCTGCGATCCTTTGGAGGAGAAGGGATGTCAGGTTTTTGGAATTTTCAGCTTTTGTGCTCTGGTTTCTCCCCACCTTTGTGGTTTTATCTACCCTTGGTCTTTGATGATGGTGACCTACAGATGGGGTTTTGGGGTGGATGTCTTTTTTGTTGATGTTGATGCTATTCCTTTCTGTGTGTTAGTTTTCCTTCTAACAGTCAGGTCCCTCAGCTTCAGGTCTGTTGGAGTTTGCTGGAAGTCCACTCCAGACCCTCAAACAGGGATTTCTTGGTGTTGCCTATTCTCTCCCATGTGTTTAAATCCAGGGAGAGGTGTATACATGCTTTCTTCCTATTTGTTGGTAGTATGTTGGCTAGTATTTTTGCAAGAAAAGAAATTGAAAAAGTAAATATATTATATCAAAATATTGGGAAAATGGGGCCCTTAATACACAAGATCTGTGTCTGCACTGCGTCAAGAACTCTCTTCACTTGAATGCTGCATGTAAAATTCAACCCAATTTATGCAAAGTAGTTGAAGCCCTGTGTCAGTTCTCTGTGCTGCAAGTCATGATGGTAGTTTACAGGGAGAGTCTGGGTGCCCTGAGTTGGCTCATCTGTGGCAAATGTACTGAGCACATGCTGCCCATTTTTGCTGTGTCCCCAGAGCAGTCACCCTCCACCCTGTATTTAGAAGGATAGTTTTATTTCTCTTGAAGGAAAAATGCCTTTGGTTTCTGTGACCACTCCATTCTGTCTCCCATCAGATCATCTGGGAGGTTTTGTTGTCTAATGTCTGTTGGTTAAATCTTCTATCATCCCTGTCCTGCCTGGCTCATCAGGAATCTGCAGGAGTCTGAAGAGGAGGAAGTCCCCCAGGAGTCCTGGGATGAAGGTTATTCGACTCTCTCAATTCCTCCTGAAATGTTGGCCTCGTACCAGTCTTACAGCAGCACATTTCACTCATTAGAGGAACAGCAAGTCTGCATGGCTGTTGACATAGGCAGTGAGTACTCCATTGTGAAGGTGATAAAGCTCCAGTTCATGGCCCAGGTAGACCCCATAATCTTTGGGCCTTGTGCCCCTTGTTGGGCTGAGATTTGCCATCACCGTGGGCTGAATCTATATATCAATGTAGATTTCAATCACTCTGGAGTCGAGTCTGAAGCACAGGCATGGGGTGGGTCAGTGAGCTTTGCTCTCTTCCTAGTCTCAGGCCATGCCCGTGCCAACCTGGACTGACTGTCACGACATTGAACTCAAGGCAGGTGTGGCAAACTCACACCAAACTATGCAGCACATGCCCAGGAGCTGTCTGTCAGCTCAGCTCATCTGAATTAAATGTCTCTTGCCAGCTACAAAATTCCTTATGAGTTTTGTTCCCAAAGCATGTCTGTGTGGTTCTTTACCTGCCCAAGGCCAGTGTCACCCTTGTCTACTTCTCAGTGAAAGATGTGACCCAGGTTTCACTGAATTTATTCCCATTTTCTGTGTCTTCTAAGTGCGCTTGTTTTAGCTCATCTGTCCATCATGTTCCTGGTACGTTTTCTAGATAAACGGCTGACTTTTCACCCACAAAAGCCATAATAGCTGATGCTTCTGTGTAGAACCAAGTTTCATTTTGACTCAAGAGCTGGTACATTGCACCCCTTCATCAAATCTCTGTGTCCACAATCTCATAAACTATCAAATTCTGGGTATTTAATGAGAGAAAGCTTAATATTGAAGTATCTCTCCTATGAGGTGTTAGAACTATTTGCCTACAATTTATTGGGGAAAAAATTGCTCATTTGTGTACATAAACCTAGGACAGAGCACATAGGGAAGATAACATTCCAAAACAGGGGAATTTTGCCCAAGGCTCATGAAAGAACCCAAGCCAGTTTTCTCAAGACTTGACCTCAGGCCTACTGGAATATTTCTCTCAAAGTCTCCTGTTCTCACACTGACAAGACTGATGTCCCTGTGTTAGGATTGGACAGAGGAATGTTTCTGTGTGCAAGGAAGAACTGCTTAATGTAAGAGGGCCCATCTGAATTTATTTGCAGGACATCGGTGGGATCAAGTGAAAAAGGAGGACCAAGAGGCAACAGGTCCCAGGTGAGTCTGAGAAATTGTGGACAGTTAATTTGATGTTGACACCTGGAGATGCCAAGTCCAGGGAAAACAGTACATGCTGAAAATAATGATTTTGTCTTGTCAGACAAGTCTGAATTATGCCTACTACATTGCTTTTTGGTTCTCATTAGAGTAAATGTTTAGGTTTCCATTTCTTCCTACACTTATCATTTACTAACCTAGTGAAGGTTGACCATACCTCAAAAGCTGTATTCTCATGGTAACTGCAGGGAAACTTGAGCACATTTTATGCAAAATTATTGAGGACATGCTTTTCATGATCACTGTTCACTGTGTGTCCTGAGAGCACAAATACAGAGTGTCCTTTGATTCCCTCATCAGTGTGTCACCTGACCAATTCACTGAGCTCGCTCTGTGTGTGTGTGTGTGTGTGTGTGTGTGTGTGTGTCTTTCTCTTTCATCCTTTTCTACCTGGCCCTAGTCTATCCCAACATAAAGGCAATAATTTGTTACCTCATTAATGGATCTGTCCTTTTTCTTTTCAAACTCTTCCTTATGTTAGCCATGAAATCTAGCTGGGACTGTGTGGTTTCTGATTCCCCCTGGCTTATTCTTTACTTTTTCCCACTTTTCCAGGCTCAGCAGGGAGCTGCTGGATGAGAAAGAGCCTGAAGTCTTGCAGGACTCACTGGATAGATGTTATTCAACTCCTTCAGGTTGTCTTGAACTGACTGACTCATGCCAGCCCTACAGAAGTGCCTTTTACGTATTGGAGCAACAGCGTGTTGGCTTGGCTATTGACATGGATGGTGAGTACCTTTCTATGAAGGTGATAAGGATCCACTGAGTCTTCTGGTTAGGGTCATATTCCTACTGCAAGTGGCCCTTACTGAGCTGAGAGATGTCATTGCCACAGGGAGGACCTATAGGCACATGTAGGTTGAATGAAACTCTAGTTCCACTTGGAAGCCCAGACAAGGGATGGATCAGTGAGCAAGGCTCTCTTCCTAGTCTCAGGCCATGCCTGTGGCGCCCTAATCCTACTCTCATGACGTTGGACCTGGGCAGATGTGACAAATTCACACAACTCTGATTTTGTCTCAATTTTGTAGATCTTGTAGATTTCATCCTTCACTCTAATTTCAGCGTCTAAAATCCTTGCTACCATGAACAATCTGAGTATTTGATGAGACAGGGCTGAATAGTGCAGTTTTTCTCCTAGCAACCATTTGGGGGCATTTGCTTTAAATCGATTGGAAAAATATGGCATAACCATTTGCACAAACTTGGGACAAATGATATTGGGATAACGATCTACCAGAATAGGGAATTTTACCCACAGTTTCTGGGACAAAAACCAAGGAATCTCTATGGTGATCAGCCTTCAGGCCTCTTGAAGAATATCTCTCACAGTGTCCTATTCTCATGCTGAGGAGCCTGAAGTCCCTGTGTGAGGATTAGACAGTGGATTGTTATGTGTGTAGGAGAACCAGCTTAATATGTCTGTCCATGTCTGAACTTATTGCAGAAATTGAAAAGTACCAAGAAGTGGAAGAAGACCAAGACCCATCATGCCCCAGGTAACTTTGAGCAATTATGGATGCTTAATTGTGTGTTGACACCTGGAGATGCCAGGTCCAGGGAAAACAAGAGTGTGTTCAATTTCATGTTTTCAACGAAGGTTGAATTACTCCTCCTGACATTGCTGTTGGTTTTCATTGCAGTAGATGTTTAGGTTTCCATTTCTTCCTCCCCTTATCATTTACTAACTTACTATAGGTTGACCATACCTCAAAGGCTGTATGGCAACTGCATGGAATCTTGAGCAAGTTTATGGAAAATTATTGAGCCCACTCTTTTCATGACCACTGTTCGTTGTGTGTCCCGAGCGCACTAACTCAGAGTGTCCTTTGACCCCTTCATCAGTGTGTCACCCGGCCAATTCGCTGAGCTCACTTTCTCCTCTCTCTCTCTCTCCCTCTCCCTGTCTTTCTCTTTCATTCTTTTCTACCTGGCCCTGGTCTATCCCAACATAAAGGCAATAATTCATTACCTCATTAATGGATCCGTCCTTTTTCTTTTTAAACAGTTCCTTATGTTAGCCATGAAATCTAGCTGGGGCTGTGTGGTTTCTGATTCTCCCTGGCTTATTCTTTACTTTTTCCTACTTTTCCAGGCTCAGCAGGGAGCTGCTGGATGAGAAAGAGCCTGAAGTCTTGCAGGACTCACTGGATAGATGTTATTCGACTCCTTCAGATTATCTTGAACTGCCTGACTTAGGCCAGCCCTACAGCAGTGCTGTTTACTCATTGGAGGAACAGTACCTTGGCTTGGCTCTTGACGTGGACAGTGAGTACCTTACTGTGAAGGTGATAAGCCTCCACCTGGTCTTCCAGATAGGGGTGATATTCCTGTTCCAAGTGGCCCTTACTGACCCGAGAGATGTCATTGCCGCAGGCAGGACCTATGGGCGCATAAAGGTTGTAATGAAACTGTAGTCTCAGTTGGAAGCCTAGACATGAAATGGGTCAGTGAGCAAGGCTCTATTCCTAGTCTCCAGCCATGCCTGTGGCAAGCTGAGCCCGCTCTCAGCACATTGGACCCAGGCAGATGTAAAAAATTCACAGAAGTATGATTTGGACTGAAGGGTTTGTAGATTTCCTCCTTCATTCTAATTTCAGTGTCTAAAATTCTTGCATCCATGAACGAGCTGGGCATTTGATGAGACAGGGCTGAATACTGCAGTTTTCCTCCTAGAAATCATCTGGGGCATTTTCTTTGAACTGATGGGAACAATAAGGCATAACTGTTTGCACAAACTTGGGATAAATGATTTTGGGATAACGATCTACCAGAATGGGGATATTTCACCCTTGGTTCTGAGATGCAAACCAAAGAATATCATGACCAGCTTTCAGGCCTCCTGAAGTATCTCTCTCACATTGTCCTGTTCTCATGCTGAGAAGCCTGAGATCCCTGTGTGGGGATTAGACAGTGGACTGTTATGGGTGTAGGTGAATTGGCTTATTTTGTCTGTCCCTGTCTGAATGTATTGCAGGAATTAAAAAGGACCAAGAAGAGGAAGAAGACCAAGGCCCACCATGCCCCAGGTAACTGAGCAATTGTGAACAGCTACTTCTGTGTTGACATCTGGAGACTCCTGGTTCAGGGAAAACAGAGCGGGCTGACATTATCGATTACATCTTTTCCAGCAAGCCTGAATTATTCCTACTAACATTGCTGTTGGTTTTCATTGCAGTAGATATTTAGGTTTCCATTTCTTCCTCCCCTTATCATTTACTAACCTACTGTAGGTGGACCAGACTTCAAAAACTGTATTCTCATGGCGACTGCATGGAAACTTGAGCACATTTTATGGAAAATTATTGAGCACAGTCTTTTCATGATCACTGTATGCTGTGTGTCCTGAGGGCACTAACTCAGAGTGTCCTGTTACTCCCTCATCAGTGTGTCACCTGGACAATTCACTGAGCTCGTTCTCTCTCTCTGTGTGTGTGTGTCTGTGTGTGTGTGTGTGTGTGTGTGTGTGTGTGTGTGTGTGTGTGTCTATCTGTCTTTCTCTTTCATTCTTTTCCATTTGGCCCTGTTCTGTCCCAACATGAAGGCAATAATTTGTTACCTCATTAATGGATCTATCCTTTTAGTTTTTTAACCACTTCCCTATGCTACCCATGAAACCTAGTTGGGGCTCTGTTGTGTCTGATTTCCCCTGGCTTATTCTTTACTTTTTCCTCCTTTTCCAGGCTCAGCAGGGAGCTGCTGGAGGTAGTAGAGCCTGAAGTCTTGCAGGACTCACTGGATAGATGTTATTCAACTCCTTCCAGTTGTCTTGAACAGCCTGACTCCTGCCAGCCCTATGGAAGTTCCTTTTATGCATTGGAGGAAAAACATGTTGGCTTTTCTCTTGACGTGGGAGGTGAGTACCTTTCTATGAAGGTGATAAGGATCCACTGAGTCTTCCATATAAAGATCATATTCCTGCTCCAATTGGCCATTACTGAGCTGAGAGATGTCATTGCCGCAGTGAGGACCTATAGGCACATGTAGGTTGAATGAAACTCTAGTTCTACCTGGAAGCCCAGACAAGGGATGGGTCAGTGAGCAAGACTCTCTTCCTAGTCTCAGGCCATGCCTGTGGCACTCTGATTCTACTCTCATGACATTGGACCTGGGCAGATGTGACAAATTCAGAGAACTATGATTTTGACTCAAGGGTTTGTAGATTTCCTTTTTCACTCTAATTTCAGTGTCTAAAGTCCTCACAACCATGAACAATCTGAGTATTTGATGAGACAGGGCTAAATATTGCAGTTTTTCTCCTAGAAATCATTTGAGGGTATTTGCTTTAAATTGATTGGAAAAATATGGCATAACTGTTTGCACAAACTTGGGACAAATGTTATTGGGATAACGATCTACTAGAATAGGGACACTTTACCCACAGTTTCTGGGAGAAAAACTGAGGAATTTATATCATGACCAGCCTTCAGACCTCCTGAAATATATCTCTCATGGTGTCGTATTCTTATGCTGAGGAGCCTGAGGTCCCTGTGTGAGGATTAGACAGTGGATTGTTATATGTGTAGGGGAATCAGCTTAATGTGTCTGTCCATGTCTGAATTTATTGCAGAAATTGAAAAGAAGGGGAAGGGGAAGAAAAGAAGGGGAAGAAGATCAAAGAAGAAAAGAAGAAGGGGAAGAAAAGAAGGGGAAGATGACAACCCACCATGCCCCAGGTAACTTTCAGCAATTGTGGATGCTTAATTCTGTGTTAACACCTGGAGGCAACAGATTCAGGGAAACCAGAGTGTGTTTGATGTCATGTTTTCAACGAAGGCTGAATTACTCCTACTGTCATTGCTGTTGGTTTTCATTGCAGTAGATGTTTAGGTTTCCATTTCTTCCTCCCCTTATCATTTACTAACGTACCATAGGTTGACCATACTTCAAAAGCTGTACTCTGATGGCCACTGCATCAAATTTTGAGCATATTTTATGGAAAACTATTGAGCTCACTCTTTTTGTGATCACAGTTTGCTGTGTGTCATGAGGGCACTAACTCAGAGTGTCCTTTTACTCCCTTACCAGTATGTCACCTGGGCAATTCACTAGCTCACTTTCTCTCTGTCTCTGTCTCTGTCTCTCTCTCTCTGTCTTTCTCTTTCATTGTTTTCTACCTGGCCCTGTTCTATCCCAACATAAAGGCAATAAATTTTTTTTTTTTACCTCATTAATGAATCTATCCTTTTTCTTTTCTAACCACTTCCTTATATTACTTCTGAAATCTAGTGGGGCTCTGTGGTGTCTGATTTTCCCTGGCTGCTTCTTTAGTTTTGTCTCCTTTTCCAGGCTCTACGGCGTGCTGATGGAAGTGGAAGAGCCTGAAGTCTTACAGGACTCACTGGATAGATGTTATTCGACTCCGTCAATGTACTTTGAACAACCTGACTCATTCCAGCACTACAGAAGTGTGTTTTACTCATTTGAGGAAGAGCATATCAGCTTCGCCCTTTACGTGGACAATAGGTTTTTTACTTTGACGGTGACAAGTCTCCACCTGGTGTTCCAGATGGGAGTCATATTCCCACAATAAGCAGCTCTTACTAAGCCGAGAGATGTCATTCCTGCAGGCAGGACCTATAGGCACGAGAAGATTTGAATGAAAGTACAGTTCCATTTGGAAGCCCAGACATAGGATGGGTCAGTGAGCATGGCTCTATTCCTATTCTCAAACCATGCCATTGGCAACCTGTGCTCAATCTGAAGACAATGGACCCATGTTAGGTGTGACACGTTCACA
Source organism: Homo sapiens (assembly GCF_000001405.40). NCBI lineage: Eukaryota > Metazoa > Chordata > Mammalia > Primates > Hominidae > Homo > Homo sapiens. The sequence goes on along the minus strand of NC_000001.11, from coordinate 144,422,805 downwards.
TAACTGTGCAGAACATGCCGGGAGTGATCAGTCAGACATTTTAATTTGAACCACGTATCTCTGGGTAGCTACAAAATTCCTCAGGGATTTCATTTTGCAGGCATGTCTCTGAGCTTCTATACCTGCTCAAGGTCATTGTCATCTTTGTGTTTAGCTCATCCAAAGGTGTTACCCTGGTTTCAATGAACCTAACCTCATTCTTTGTGTCTTCAGTGTTGGCTTGTTTTAGCTGATCCATCTGTAACACAGGAGGGATCCTTGGCTGAGGATTGTATTTCAGAACCACCAACTGCTCTTGACAATTGTTAACCCGCTAGGCTCCTTTGGTTAGAGAAGCCACAGTCCTTCAGCCTCCAATTGGTGTCAGTACTTAGGAAGACCACAGCTAGATGGACAAACAGCATTGGGAGGCCTTAGCCCTGCTCCTCTCAATTCCATCCTGTAGAGAACAGGAGTCAGGAGCCGCTGGCAGGAGACAGCATGTCACCCAGGACTCTGCCGGTGCAGAATATGAACAATGCCATGTTCTTGCAGAAAACACTTAGCCTGAGTTTCATAGGAGGTAATCACCAGACAACTGCAGAATGTAGAACACTGAGCAGGACAACTGACCTGTCTCCTTCACATAGTCCATATCACCACAAATCACACAACAAAAAGGAGAAGAGATATTTTGGGTTCAAAAAAAGTAAAAAGATAATGTAGCTGCATTTCTTTAGTTATTTTGAACCCCAAATATTTCCTCATCTTTTTGTTGTTGTCATGGATGGTGGTGACATGGACTTGTTTATAGAGGACAGGTCAGCTGTCTGGCTCAATGATCTACATTCTGAAGTTGTCTGAAAATGTCTTCATGATTAAATTCAGCCTAAACATTTTGCCGGGAACACTGCAGAGACAATGCTGTGAGTTTCCAACCTCAGCCCATCTGCGGGCAGAGAAGGTCTAGTTTGTCCATCACCATTATGATATCAGGACTGGTTACTTGGTTAAGGAGGGGTCTAGGAGATCTGTCCCTTTTAGAGACACCTTACTTATAATGAAGTACTTGGGAAAGCGGTTTTCAAGAGTATAAATATCCTGTATTCTAATGATCATCCTCTAAACATTTTATCATTTATTAATCCTCCCTGCCTGTGTCTATTATTATATTCATATCTCTACACTGCAAATTTTGGGTCTCAATTTTTACTGTGCCTTTGTTTTTACTAGTGTCTGCTGTTGCAAAAAGAAGAAAACATTCTCTGCCTGAGTTTTAATTTTTGTCCAAAGTTAATTTTAATCTATACAATTAAAACCTTTTGCCTATCACTCTGGACTTCTGGATTGTTTTTTACATTCAGTGTTATAATATTTGATTATGCTGATTGGTTTTGGTGGGTACTGATGCGAATTAATAAAAACATTTCATTTCCATGTTTATTTTCTAATCTCTTCCACATTGTAGGCTATGTTTACCATACGTAGCAGAATGTATTTACATTTCTTGGTTCTAGTCATTTGTATTCTTCGTGAGTGTGAGTGTGTGTGTGTCTGTGTGTCTGCGTGTGTGTCTGTGTGTGCCTTTGGCATTTAGGAAGGGTTGTATAGCTCATGTTAAATATTGCACTAAAAATGTTTTTGATGGTTTTCCTCCCTTTGAACTAGACACACTTCTAATATTTGGTTTATAGTTTTAAATTATAACTTTCAGCATCAAATATTTCCATACAACAGTCAATTACATGATGTGTTTTCTTTTTCCTACCTCCTTTACCTGCCCCTTCTCATAATAGTATTTGAACCTAAACATATACCGTTGACATTCTGTGATTATCATCTTGCCCCTACCTTGGTTTTGGTTTTTGGTGCAGTTCCAGGCTCTTGGTGTCTTTGTTTGGGACACCAAGAGCCTGGTACTGCACGGCACCAGCTGGTAAGAATTAGGCTTTTTTGGCCGGGCGCGGTGGCTTATGCCTGTAATCCCAGCACTTTGCGAGGCCAAGGCGGGCGGATCACGAGGTCAGGAAATCGAGACCATCCTGGCTAACACGGTAAAACCCCATCTCTACTAAAAATAAAAAAAATTAGCCGGGCGTGGTGGCGGGCGCCTGTAGTCCCAGCTACTCGGGAGGCTGAGGCAGGAGAATGGCCTGAACCCGGGAGGCGGAGCTTGCAGTGAGCCGAGATCGCGCCACTGCACTCCAGCCTGGGGGACAGAGAGAGACTCCGTCTCAAAAAAAAAAAAAAAAGGCTTTTTTTTTCCCTAAGGGTTAACAACAAACCAGCCCTTTGGAAAGACTTGCTTCACCACTGTTACCAACCAACGGCCTGATGCTTTCCCTCAGTTTTGTGATTTTGACAAAACAAGCAAGCAGCATTCCCTCCTGATAAGAGACCACCGACCTAGGAATGATTCTGGCCAGACTAGAGAGGATGCACAGTGAGGGTTTTCATGTCCTCTGCTTCAGCTTTTGATGTCAGAGGGCCACAAACTCCACTCTCAGATGATTGCTAATGCCACCATTTTATGAACATGGACCCCATGGAGAGGCACGAAGCTCAATTGCACTTCTGCACATTTTTCCTCCTATAAATATTGCTATTGGAATATTATTTGGTACGGCTCCCGTGAAAGATACATTTGCAGAATGTACTCAAATTAGAAGCATCATGTAAAGCCTATAATGTAGCGATAGTGCATCAACTTCCCTACACTATAGAAATATCTGCGGTGTAGACATTTCCACAATGACCAGATATGTGTACAACAAAGGTGGCTGCAGCATTCTTTGTAATCCTAAAACAATGAAACCTACCTCATCTCAAAAACTTTATTTTTTTATTTTTATTTTTTTTTTGAGATGGAGTCTCGCTCTGTTGCCCAGGCGGGAGTGTAGTGGTGCAGCCTCCACTGGTGCAGCCTCCACTGCAGCCTCCACCTCCCAGGTTCAAATGATTCTCCTGCCTCAGAATCCCAAGTACCTGGGATTACAGGCACATGCCACCATGCCTGGCTAACAAAAACATTTTGAAAAGGGTTAAATAAATCATGCACAAACTGAGGAAAAATACTCTTCAAAAATGATGGAGAGGATCACTATGATGATGAATGATTCCACTGGTCACATTATTGATAGAGCAATCAGTAAATCCAGGCACATCCTCGGGATATTACTGACCTCCTATTATTAACATATGAAAAAATGGAGGCATGTAAATTACTCGTTTAAGCGTATAACGGACTGAATTAGAATTTTATCACACCAGAAGTGGGTTCCTAGGTCTCTGTTTCAGGATTCCTGAGTTACACACATATAAACCCAGGATTTCAGGAGATACCCGGTTAAGAATCCGGTCGGGGAGGTGGTCTGGCCCTTGACATGGATAAGTCACAAATTAGTGGCTTAGGACTCCAGGAAGATAAAATCTTCCCCATTTATCTAGTGATTGACAATGCATGAATACTTTAAAAGCTCAAACAAGCGTCCCTGGGTGGGCTCGAACCACCAACCTTTCGGTTAACAGCCGAATGCGCTAACCGATTGCGCCACAGAGACAGGTACTGTCAGTTCTACTGGGCGCTATAGGAAGGGCGCACGCACGAAACTTCCTCCGTCCCTTGCAACCTCAGGGCCCGCCCGGCAGGACGACTGAGCAAGGCCTTGGAAAACCGGAGAGATTGGAGCGGTAAGTCGCGCTGGTCACGTTGGACACCTGCGCGTTGGGAGATTCTGGAGCCAGAAGGATAGCCGAATGGCCTTCGCCCGCCCTGCCCCTCGCCTGCTTCAGAAACCCCCCGGAAACGTCCCGGTTGAGACCCCGGCCCGAGCCGCCTGGGGGCCCTAGGGAGGCTGAACGCCCGGTGGCTCCCGGGATGGCTCTTCCCGTTCTTCGCGCCGCCTTCACCCAGTGAGGGAGCCTGTGCCCTCCCTGCCCAGTCGCTTTTGGGGCCGCTGCGGAGCTTCCGCTGCCATCTTCGGATCCTGTGTTCCGCACGGGGGCTCCACCAGGGCAGGGATCGTGGTGAGGGTGGCTCGTGGGTCCCCCTCGCGGGGAGCAGGGTCTGGCACTCACCAGGGCGCAGGACTAGGACTTGTCGAATGAATCCATCCTTTTAGCTTTTAGTCCTTTGAAGAGCCTTGAGAATGGAAATCATGAGAGATTTTTCCATGGGGAAGTTCCTTTTACAAAGCATTTATTTACGTGGACTTCTTGGCACCCCGCGGGGCGGCAACGGGCAGGGCCTCCAGTGCCCCTTCTGCGCCGTGGAGCCGCGGGGGCTCAGCTGGGCGGTGGTCGGGTCCTGAGGCCGGAGGGCGGGAGCAGGGGAGGGGAAAAGCAAAAGCGGGGAAAGAAGCCGGGGAGCGGTGGACCAGACGTCCAGACCTCCTGAAAGGCTGGCGGGGAGGCACAGGCGGGATCTTCCGGAGGTGAGAATTTTTTTTTATTATAGCAGAATGGGGAGGAATTGAGGGGAAAATGGAGATAGAACCTGAAAGAGCCCCAAACGCCAGAACCTGTAGCTCCCCAAGAATAAGATCTTCCAGAAGAACTAGACCCAAAACTAGCCGTTGGGGAACACCGAAATCCTTGGAGGAGCAACATCCGCATGACCCTCTGTGTTCCTTTAGGCAAAAGGACTTGCTTCCATTGTTTGTTCAATTGTTTGTGTTTGTTAAATAAATAAAACGATTTTCATGTATCTTTGAAATTACTTTGGCGCTACTATTTTATGATTGCAAATAATTCGGCAGTGATCATTCTTGTACACTTCTCATTGGCCATTTGTGTATTTCTATAGGGTAGAGGCCTGGAGAGCAGTTGCTCCAGCATAGGGATTACACAGTTTTTGTTTGTTTGTTTGTTTGTTTATTTATTTATTTATTTATTTTTGAGACAGAGTCTCGCTCTGTCACCCAGGCTGGAGTGCAGTGGCGCCATCTCAGCTCTCACTGCAACCTCCGCCTCCCGGGTTCAAGCGAATCTCCTGCTTCAGCCTCCCAAGTAGCTGAGATTACAGGTCCGCGCGAGCCACCACATCGGGCTAATTTTTGTATTTTTAGTAGAGACGGGGTTTCATCGTTTTGGCCAGGCCGGTCTCAAACTCCTGACCTCAAGTGATCTGCCTGCCTTGGCCTCTCAAAGTGCTGGGATTACAGGCATGAGCCACCGCACCCAGCGATTACATGTTTTTTTTTTATATATCATTCTATTTTCTTTCCTTATTTGGCTTATTAGCTGTAACTCTTTCTTTTGTTATGTCAGTGATGGCTTTAGGGTCCCTAGAATACATCTTTATCCGTCTGCCATCAAGTGACATTATACCTCCCCTTCTGGCCTTTATGTTAGTGTTGTCAGGGAATTTGATTTTGGACATGTTATAAACCCCAACATCCAAGTACGTACATAGCGATTTTCAGTCGTCTCCATTTCTTTGTGTAGGTTCAGATTTCTGTTTGGTATCCTTATCCTTAGGCCTGGAGGACTCCTTTAATATTTCTTGTAGTGTGGTTCGGTGAATTCTGTCATTTTTTTGTATGTCTTTAAATGTCCTGATTTCAGTCACATTTTTGAAAGATATTTCAATTTGGCATAGAATTCTAGAATAACTTTTTTTCTCTCAGTACTTTAGGATGTTGCCACTTTGACGCTTTGTCATTGACATATCTTTCCTGTTTTTGTAAACTTGGCATAAAGTGGGTTTCCTGTACTTGTTATATGATTTTTGGATTGTGTATTCAAATTAAAAGTATTAAATTAAAATTAAAATGGCCTGGGCGAGGTGGCTCACACCTGTAATCCCAGCACTTTGGGAAGGGGAGGCAGAGGATCGCTTGAGACCCAGAGTTGGAGACCACCCTGGGCAAGATAGCAAGACCCTGTGTGTGTGTGTGTGTGTGTGTGTGTGTATATACACATAAATATGTATATATATTATATGTATGTATGTATATATAAGTCCTACAGTCACCTTAAGTTCCACCAACAGTGCACTTAAAGTAAAATGTGCCCAACCTGAGGCTCAAACCTACCTGCTGGCACGCAATTTGTGTTTGTGAGACAATCTCAACAGCATTTGCTTTTTCTAGCATAGTGGTTTTCCTGTTTTCCTCACATGTGAATGTCTTCAGTGCAAAACCTGTCAGAATTCATTTCCTTTGCTAAAATGTTTTAAAATAACTCTTACTTCAAGTAAGTGCATTAAAAACAAACTTCTCAGTTGCATCCCTGGAATCCATGGAAAGTCCAGGAGAGACAATCAAGTGCTACAGGATCAAGCCCAAACAGAACAGGACTAGGCATGGCTTCCTCACTAGGAGTCAGGCCAAAGTCATCTCCTTTGGTCTCCAATGGAGGCCAGAACTCGGTTCACCTGCAACGGGAGGACCTGGCCCAGAAGAGGTGGCCTTCATCTTCATGGTGCCTTCAGATAGGAAATCTAGGATTTCTTTTCTTCTCTTTGATCTACTTCCAACTCTCCCTTTCTATTTATTTATTTATTTATTTATTTATTTATTTATTTATTTATTTATTTGAGACAGAGTCTTGCTGTGTTGCCCAGGCTAGAGTGCAACGGGGCAGTCTCAGCTCACTGCAACCTCCGCCTCCTGGGTTCTAGAGATTCTCCTGCCTCAGCCTCCTGAGTAGCTGGGATTACAGGCGCCTGTCACCGCGCCCGGCTACTTGTTGTATTTTTAGTAGAGACAGGGTTTCACCATCTTGGACAGGCTGGTCTCGAACTCGTGACCTCGTGATCCACCCACCTCGGCCTCCCAAAGTGCTGGGATTACAGGCGTGAGCCACCGCATCTGGCCCTCCCTTTCTATTTCTTCAAGACCTTTTTCGGATCCCTCCTGCGCAGGACCTAAACGGGCGGTGCCCTTACCCACTGGTCCCTCCCTGCCTGGTGTCTTCGGAGCCCTAGCTCACCCGGAACGTTACTGCCCGCCGGTGACAGCGAGAGGACCAAAGAGGACCAAAGAGGGCAGCGGGTGTGGTGGGAACCACAGAGTCACCGCGCACCTGCGCCTCGCGGGCTCCTCGCAAATTGAATAAACGCCCCCTGAAGCTTCTCTTCAAGTCACAGGGAAGGGGAAGGTGGCTGCCGACCCGGCGGGAGAAGCCGGCCCTGCCCCTGGTCCTTGAAGACAGGTTTGGCCAGGCTGATTTTGACTGGTAGGCCCAAAGAAAAGCCTCAAGGGCAGACCAAACTCCGACAGGCTCCGAGATTAAGGCTTTCAAACGTCTGATCGTTTTCAGCTTGGTCAGTAAAATCGATCCCGCCTTTATCAGGAGATTCCTTTGCCAAAGTTCAGAGAACTGGGGTTCCCGCTGCTTGCCACACAGAAAACCGATCACTGAGACGGTTATTGCCAAGGAAGAGGCTTTAATAGGGTGCTGCAGCGGAGGAGATGAGAACTCAGTCTCAAATCCATCTCCCTGACCAACCAAAATTAGAGGCTTAGATGGCAGGGAAAGAATGTGACAATGTGTAAGAAAACAGGAACTAGACCAGGCGCGGTGGCTCACGCCTGTAATCCCAGCACTTTGGGAGGCCGAGGCGGGCGGATCACGAGGTCAGGAGATCGAGACCATCCTGGCTAACACGGTGAAACCCCGTCTCTACTAGAAATACGAAAAGAAATTAGCCGGGCGTGGTGGCGGGCGCCTGTAGTCCCAGCTACTCGGGAGGATGAGGCAGGAGAATGGCGTGAACCCGGGAGGCGGAGCTTGCAGTGAGCCAAGATAGCGCCACTGCACTCCAGCCTGGGAGGCAGAGGGAGACTCTGTCTCAAAAAGAAAAAAAAAAAAAGAAAGAAAAGAAAGAAAACAGGAACTAGGGAGGGGCAAGGAAGCAATCAGGATGAATGAGGGGTCCGGCGTCTCATTGTCTGGGTGACTTTCAGTTCTTTGATATCTTTTTTGAGAGGCCTGAAGGAAGGAACTCAAATAAAACAAATATCGAGTTTCAAACTTTCAGATCAGAAGGGTCCATTTCTATGTTTATCCAAAAATCTACGTATGGGACTATTGGGTGGGTTTCAGACCAAGAAAGAGTGTGCATATCAAAGTCTGCGGTTAACCAAAGAGAAAACATAATTTTCCGACCAATAGGATGTATGGGGGTCAAAGAACGACCAGCCTACAGTACTGTTTATTGGCCTGAGCATACGGAAGGATGAAGTTGCACCAGCGAAATGGGATTAAGCTGCAGGTGCGGGCTGGGCGCGGTAGCTCACACCTGTAATCCCAGCACTCTGGGAGGCTGAGGTGGGTGGATCACTTGAGATCAGGAGTTTGAGACCAGCCTGACCAACATGGTGAAACCTCGTCTCTAATAAAAATACAAAAATTAGCCGGGCGTCATGGCGGGCACCTGCAGTCCCAGCTACTAGGGAGGCCGAGGCAGGAGAATTGCTTGAACCCGGGAGATGGAGGTTTTAATGAGCCGAAATTGCGCCACTGCCCTCCAGCCCGGGCAACAGACCGAGACACCTTCTCAAGCAAAAATAAAAACAAAAAGCTGCAGGTGGAAAAAAAAAAGTCTGGATTTTGGTTCAGAGTCCCTGGGGCCTTCCTCAGTAGTTTTCTCTTTCCTTAAAAAAGGAAGCTTGTCTCAGTCTCTGCATCTCTCTGAGTCCTTTTGGAGATTGAGGATGGTGAGGTCTCAGTGCTTGGCCCCCTTCTAACTCTGGGTACCTCCCCTCCCGTGGGTCAACCTGGTCCAGTGCACAGGCCCCAGCTCCGACGACCATCTCCCCCCTACCCTTTGCTCCCAGCAAAGGCCATTTCTAGGTCAGTCGTGAGGTACAGCCAGGACAGGGCAGCTCGCTCCGAGATTTTTGGCTCTCGAAGGCCTTGAGCGCTGTGGTTCTGCAGAACGCTGTCTGTCTCTTGTGGAGGAACTGACACCCGCTGGAGAAAGTGTGGAGGGAAGCGAGGGCTGCACCTGCACGCAGGAGCTGAGGCAAGCGGCGGTTCCCAGCTCTCAGTGCAAAAGACATTTGTCATCTGAGAGGCTGGACTCAGTTATTATAATTTTCAATTTTGTCAATAAAAACCGAATGGAAATTTGTTTTCTTACTTGTAGAAACCTCCTCACAAGACCTCCCATCTTACATTCCAGGGAGACTTAGCAGGGTATTCCGCCAAGACATAGGTTAGACTGCGGTTCTGATCTGCAGGCCTCGATGCCCTGCGCCGGGGCACCAGGGCACGGGCAAAGCCCTCCCCCTACACAAAGCAAGGGTGTTATGCCTACAACCGAACGGGGACACTAAGAGCCCCCAACATGCACGGTTTTCATTCCAAAGAAAACCACCAGTTCTGAGTACAACTTCCACCTGGCTCTATTAACTGAGTACACGTTTCCCCAGCACAGAAATCCTACAAACTCCCGTGAATGCTGTGGTGAAAAGCAGGAGCTGCCAGGGCAAGATGGATCGCACCTGCAATCCCAGCACTTCAGAAGGCTGGGCGGACCACTTGAGCCCAGGAGGTGGAGCCCAGCCTGAGCAGAATGGTGAAACTGCTACGAAAAAAGAAAAAGAAAGGAAAGAGAAAGAAAAGAAAATAAAAAAAAAAAGAGAAAAAACTAGCCGGGTGTGGTGGCGTGCGGTTGTCCTACTCGGGAGCCTGAGATGGGAAGATCGCGCCAGTTCTCCAGCCTGGACGGTACAGCGAGACTTGTCTTAGGGAGGGGGGGAAAAAACAACAAAAAAAACAGAGGCTAAGAGGTAACTCCGAGGATGACAGAAAACACCAGAGTTTTTAAGAGATGTTAGAAGCCCTGGGAGCACTGAACAAACCAGAAAGCTCCCGACCCTTGATCCCTGAGCTCCACCTAGCAAGTACCGCGGCAGCTAACCTGGGAGAACACCCCAACCAACAGAGACTGAAATTCGCCTCCCAAGAGAGTAAGTGGATAGTTCTAAGCTGTCCCCAAACATGGCCTCACAAAGGAAAACTAACCGTTGCGAACGGAAACAACTGACCGGACAGAACACAGCCACAAAACACGAGCCCGCACCCTGAGTTACAAAAACACTTACGGCTCACCTACTATTCGCACCACAGAAGCACCAGGGGAAAGCGCGAACGCAGTCCCCTACTATCACAAGTTATGCAGTCGAGTTCCTCACATTGGGGGAAAATGGCAGGGGTCAGTACACCCGGAACATAACGGATAAGCCTCGCCCTGAGAAAACCACCTTCGTGATCATGGTATCTCCCCCGCCAAGTAAGTATGAGCTTTTGCACCTCCGCCCCGCCACAGCCTCACACGCTTCACCCTTTACACGCACGGTCACTTGCCCCGCGCACGCCCCCCCCCCCCACCCCCCCCGCCCCCAGCCCTCCTAGCCCTGACACATAGCTGGGACTCTCAGGTCCGACCAGCGGTCCTGAACCCGCTCCCACGGCACGGGAACTCCTTAGTGGCGAAGCAGCAGCCCCTGCGCTGCCTCATCTACATAGAAATCGCCCTATCCGTGATGTCACCGACAGCGCCTTTCCCAGACACCGTCTGCTCTTCCGCCCCACCCTCCGCCGACTCAGCCGATCAACCCGCTGCCGGAGCTGGCGGAGGAAGTGACGTCTGTCTCTTTCTCCTTTTCCTCCTGCCATTGTCCTTTGGGGAGGTGCGCAGAGATCCCACGTCTGGTCTCCCCCTAAGACTGTGGTACTTGATCTGTGTCCTGCAGAGAACCCTTCTGGCGGCCAACAGGAAGCTTGTGCACCCTTCTTCAGATAATGTCTTTTAATGCGCAGACTTGAACGTTTAGGATTACAAGGAAAACCGGTTCCTTTCAAACCTGTTTATCTTTGTGATGTAGCATTCCGTTTCAAGTTGAAAGCCATTCAATGTCAGAGAGAAAACATATCTATGAAACCAGAGAGGCTGCTCAGATGGGTTGCAAACTAGCCATCCTTACTGGTTTTACCACTAGAAGTGTTACAAAGACAGTTGTCCAATTTTATGAATCTTGAAGGGTTTTTTGTTGTTGTTGTTATTTCAAATACAGTGTAATACAAAAATATGTGGCCCCCGCAGAGACGATTGGACACTCTCAGGCATGGTGATGGAGTTTGTCATCTCTTCCACGGCCATCTCAGAACCTTAGTGCTTACCTCATGTTAGTATTTTATATTCTCCAAAGACACAAAAATAATCCCAATTTGACAAAACAAACAAAAAAACATCTAGGGCATGTCTTATTTGAGGCGCTTAACAAATGACTGGATCATCTCCCTTGTATATAACCCAGAAAACACTGTGAAGTAGAGCAAAATTGGAAAGCCCAAGTCAAAGACCATTTGCAAATTTCAAGTAGATTCCAGTCTGTTGCTCAAATCACAAAACATGAAATGGAGGGGTCTCCCTTGGAGACCATAAAGTCTGTGACATGGTGGCCAGTTGGGTCACTGGAAAACATGGCAAAATATTGAAAATGAGGGATTAGGTGAGAGTGTAGCAACTGAACACTAAATGCTTGATCCAGGTGCCATTCCTGGATACTGACAGGGAGACACATTGTCCAGGTAATACTGGAAAAATACTTTCTATAGTGTAAACCACAAATAAAATTCCAAGCCCCTCAACTATTTGAATGCACCCCTCCTCTCAGCCAGGGTCATTCCAAAGTTAACCTGAAAAACTGGTTCAGACCATGATGGGAAGTAGGGGTCAGATATGCCTCATTATACCCTCCTTCCTTTGGAATTCAGGCACAACTGACCAGCACATCCGACCAGGCCCAACTGACATTACAACAGCGATCTCAAGACTTTTTGTAGCAATAAGACACCAAACTCCAGGCTGACTCTAGTGTAGCATTACATGACAGATAGCAGGCCCTGAAAGAAATGAAAATATTTTACCCTAAAATACATTTTTTATCATATTTTGAAATGTCCCTACAAAGTTGTCTCTTGTGGGGAAAGTCTACATGCTATAGGGAATCCCTTTCCAGGCCTTTTCCCTAATCTAGGCACCTTTTTAAGTCTGATAAGAAACATTTACAATCAATTCTCTCTGAAGCCTGCTACCTGGAGGCTTCATCTGCATAATAAGAACAACCCCTTAACACAGAGACTGCCTTCTATGGATTCCAGGTCTTTAGATAAACTCTTTCAACCAATTGCCAGTCAAAGTATCAGAAAATAACGGCTGGTAACTATGTAATTATGCATATATATGAGTAGAATTTTGGGGGTGGACACAGTGGCTCATGCCTGTAATCCCAGCACTCCCTCAGGAGGCTGGCAGATTGCCTGAGTCCAGGAGTTTGAGACCAGCCTGGGAAACATGGTGAAACCCCATCTCTACAAAAAAAAAAAAAAAAAAAAAAAATTAGCCAGGCATGGTGGTGAGCACCTGTGGTCCCAGCTACTCAGGAGGCTGAGGTGGGAGGGTTACTTGAGCCTGGGAGGTGAAGGTTGCAGTGACCCAAGCTTGCAACACTGCACTTCAGCCTGGATGACAGAGGAATGGACCTTCACTAGACACTGAACCTGCTGGCAACTTGATCTTGGACTGACCATCCTCCATAACTGTGAGCAATAAATTTTTGTTGTTTATAAGTTACTCACTCTGTGGTATTTTGTTATAGCAGCACAACTGGATTAGGACATCAACCTGACCTTAAGAAATCATCTCATTCAGTCTTGGCTCTGGTGGGAAACAAGGGGCACACTCGGATGTGTGATTTAAAGAGAGTTGTGTTTTTTTTTTTTTTTTTTTTTTGAGACGGAGTCTCGCTCTGCCGCCCAGGATGGAGTGCAGTGGTGCCATCTCGGCTCACTGCAAGCTCCGCCTCCCGGGTTCACGCCATTCTCCTGCCTCAGCCTCCCGAGTAGCTGGGACTACAGGCGCCCGCTACCACACCCGGCTAATTTTTTGTATTTTTAGTAGAGAGCGGGTTTCACCACGTTGGCCAGGATGGTCTCGATCTCTTGACCTCCCAAAGTGCTGGGATTACAGGCGTGAGCCACCGCGCCCGGCCTAAAGAGAGTTTTATGAAGAGAATATTTATAAATATAATATGGACAGGATCAAAACAACCCAACCAAGGACTGAGAGGCGCTCAGAATCTGGAATCAGCAGAGAAGTTGTATTGCCTCTAGGACTGGATTGTTGTATAAGTCTGTTCAGGTTGCCATAACAACCTGGACAGGACCGTAGTTCTGTCCAGTGATCCTCCCCAAGACAACCGTTCTCTCTAGTAACTATGGTTTTCCTTTCTCATTTCAATTGCCACCTCAATTGACTGAAATGTGAACACCAACTCCCGCACTTAAACGTTGAAGCCCTAACACCTACTGTGATGATTTATGCAGCTGGGGCCTTTGAGAGGTAATCAGGATTAAAAGAGGTTATGAGAGTGGTGTCCTCATGCTGAGATTAATGCCATTACAAGAAGACAGACACTAGAAAGCTTGCTTGTCCGCCTTCCCCCTGGTGCACGAAGAAATGGTCACATGGGCACACAGTGAATCTACAGCCACTTACAGGCCATAGGAAGAGACCTTAGAAAGAAATCCGCTTTGCTACCACCTTTATCTTGGACTTCCCAACTTCCAGAAGTGTGAGAAATACATTTCTATAGTTTAAGCCACTTGGTGTATGGTATCTTGTTATGGCAACCTGAACAGACTTATACAACAATTAAGTTGCCTTTCCACTGATGGACTTAGACACAATCTCTTTCCCAAAAAAGAGCTATATTTAGCTACTTTTCTTTTGCATATTGTTCCATTTGCAGCCACACTATTTGTCTTCCCCCACACCACTTCTATCACCAGGAATCCATTTTCCTTGTTTTCTTTTTAATATCGGGAGCCTCTGCTCACTGCACTGCATAGTCCTTGGGGCTTTTTTTAAACTTTATTTTTAACAATCATTTGAGCAGAAAGTAGCCAATTCAGTTCTTTAATTTCCCATTTTATTCTTGGTTTGAAACTGACCTGATTGTGTCCCTTTTGTTATGACCAGTTACTTAGAAGCCATACAGCCCACAAGGTGCCCTTGGGTATAAATCCAACTTCTTCATTTTAATGGTGAGAAACCAAAAGCCCACGTTTCCTGATTTCTGGCCCAGCACTGGAACTGTTTTCATGGCACGTCAATTCATCATACATTTTAATAGTGATATTTTATATTTGCATAATTTTATTGCCTTTGCAATGGGCTTTCACATCTATCTTCTCATGTGTATATAGTTTAGAGGCCATTTTTACCCACTATTTCCTAATCATATCGACCACAGCCTCAGGAAATGTCTGCTCTATTATTTCACTTGCCTGTCTGGGTTCTTGGGCAACAGCATAGAATCCTGCACTGTGTTTTCCCTCACGCTTTCTCACTCTTTGCAGAACAAATTTTTGTTACATGCCTTATTATCATGGTAATATTGGCCTTCAGTCCTGTATAGAAGCATTAAAAATGTGCGTAATGTATATCCTTTTAAAATGTTATCCTAAGAAGCATCTTTTGGAGTTAAGGAGAGTTAGATGAATAAAGAAAGAATACAGTTTCTCCTAAACAAACCCACTAAGAAAATCATGGAAAGAATTATGACAACTATGAAAATGAAGGAGGTATACTTTGTCAACAAAAGCAAAATAACCAAGCTACTCTTAGACATAATCTCACGTTGTCTTTCTGTAGTGCTCTAGCATTTTCTAAGCATTTTCACACACTGTTATCTCTTTTTTTCTTTCTCCTTCTAGAAATTAATTATGACTTTTCCTTTCAAAAATGAAGGACTTTTTTTTTTTTTTACTCTTTTCATTTTTTCCTGAGACCATATGTCAAAGGGAATGTGAGTAACAACTTTGGTGTGGTAATAGCCAAATTCCTCCAGGTCTGCTCCTCAAGCTTGCAAAGTCAAGACTGGCAGAAGTGGTGATTTTTACCTGGGTATCCTGAGAACCTTGCACAGTCCTTATCACATGCAGGTGTTCAGAGTGTGCAAATAAACGAAGAAATGTGAGATTGTGATGATATTTTCATGGCATGCTTTTTTTCCACACTTCCTCATGCAGCCCAACATCCTCTACACTGTGTTGTTCTACCCGTTTAAGTGATTTACCACTTCTCCATTAAGCCAACTTAAACCATGTTGCCTTCAACTCAACATTGATTGATCCCCTATACAGTCCTGTAGGGAGGCAAGAAAACTTACAAACGAAGTGGTAAAGAAAGAGAGAGATTAAGCAATTTGCCCCAAATCTCATAACCACTAGGTGATAAATCTTCAACTAGAACTCAAATATCTGACTGAGAATTCAGTGCTTTTTTCATTTAAATCACATTGCTTCATAAAAATAGATCTGCAGGAAGAATAAAAATGTCCAAAGTGCAATGAGACAGAGAAGATAATATGGAGACAGACATATTGCACAGAAAGCATTTGACCATATGTCTGCCTGATCTCCTTCATGTGTCTTGTTCATAACTTACTTTACTCGGGCAGCAGGAGATAGCATAACAACTGTCAGAGTGAATTTAGGCCACAGTTTTGTGTTGCTGAATGTGTTGAGTCATTTCCCTTAGTTCACATTTCTACCTAACTTTATCTTTTAAGTCATCATCATGGCTTTAATCTCTTATTTATTTTGACTGTTGAGATTTTGTAGCCATTATCCAAATAAAACATTTATTTTCACTCGTGAGTCCCTAATCCTTCGTCAATGGAATTAGCTATTTATTTGATGCAATAGCTAGACCAGTAGGGTTAAAAATGCTTTTATAAAGACATTAATAGCTGGGTATGGTGATGTGCACCTAGGGAGGCTATGGCAGGAAGATCACTTGAGTCCATGAGTTTGAGGCCAATGCCTTCGCAACATAGTGAGACCCTGTCTTTAAAGTAAAAATTTAAAAATTAAAAGAAAAGACATTTAAAAAGGCTGTTTACCAAAATGATGGTTAATTGACAGAAAATAGAAACGGAAACTAGAAATCATTGCCATCAGCTTTCTCTAATGTGTACTTGATCCTTTTCTCCCTGTGATGGAAGTCGAAAGTCTTTTTGTTTTTTTCTTAATCCACTACTGTTCAAATGAGAATAAACAGCCAAATGACTGAATTAGTTGGTAGACATAATTCCTAGTCTTCAATTATTTTTATATTCTTTTGTAATACAGTCATTATTTTTTCAGACTTCTATAATATTGCATTTAACCAATCCCCAAATAGGGAAACGTTATGTAATTTTTCTATTATTTACAGTTCCTTGATTATAATCTTTTATTTGAAAAGATTATATATTTATATAAAAACCCAGTTTCTTTCTTACATATAAATATTATTAGTAGTCTAAAAATGTCACTCTCAATAAACAGGATGAGTCAACTTGAGGACTAGAGAATCAGGTAGTCAACATCAGAGAACTGGTTTAGCAAACAGAAGGGGCCTACCCAGATAGAGAGAAGTCAGGCAGGGCTGTGCTGTGAAAATATTAGAGAAGCTTGATGGGAGGCCTAATATAGTTTGTCTTTACACCTGTATATTTTGCTTCTTGCATCTGCTTCAATGCCCTCTGTCATTTATTATAACTAGATATATTGTTCTAATAGATTTGTACTACAGTCAGAACAAACAAATCACTGGATCCAGCAGAAGCCTTAGATATATGACATAACAGAGATTTGCACAAAGATTTGCCCCATTGCCTTCTCAAATTTCTCTTATCATCAATCCATCTAGCTGGAGCTCTCTGAAGGTCATCAGAGGTCAGTATAATTTTAATAAGATTTTAACTGAAGGCTAGCCTTGATGTTCAGTGACCTTCAGACATGTTTATAATCGAGAAGCCACTCCCCCTGTTGAATGATAACCTCTTCCATGAATTACCAAACCAATGGTGCTCACATTCTGATTAACGATTGATTCCCATAAACCCAGCTTCCCCCAACACTGATGATCTAAATAACCTGAATTATTTGCATTGCCTTATCAATTCCATCTCATTTCCTGTCTTGGTGGTTTTGCTCACACTGCTTCTATGTGGAATGTCCGTATGTAGCCACTCGAGTTTCCACTTCATCGTTCCATCATCTGTAGTCTCTATACACTATCCATCATCAGGACTAATGTGAGCTGACTTTCCTCCAAAAAGCTTTCCCTGAACTTATCCTGAAATAACGTTTTTCTCTGCTAACTTAGCATTTGTCACGTTAGTATACAGCTTCTCTAACTGTCATGAAATGAAATAAATGGGAAGAAGATGAAACATGAAAAGAAATCTGCTTCTTAAGGCAGGCCCTGGGGGAATAGCCCTGGCTGGAGGTAATGTAAGGTCTAGATGGTGTTTTTAGAATCTGAAGACTGCAACACCAAACACAACAAGTATAAGCCTAGGCAAGCTGTCAGTGCAGGGCCTAAAATTAGGTATTTCAACAAGTGGATGAATCAATTTGGGGAATTGTATTAGTAAACAGAGGAAGCCCGTCCAGTAAAAGGGAGAGTAAGCAGGGATGCAATTTAAAACTATTGAGGAAAAATGGCTAAGAAATAGTAAAATTAACACATGGCCTAAAATATTAAGAAATTATGCCTGTTACAGAATTACGGACCTGGCTAGTATATAGGAGCATTAACAACACAAAAACAGATTAGGTCGGGATTAGCAGTGGGGGTGAAATAATCTTCAGGGCTGAACTACTGAGCTAGAAATATTTAAATCCTCCTTGCAGATGAAAACTATAGAGGACAATTTATTGGTTCAGCATGAATTTCTGGTCTTCTGTTAAGAAATACGCTCTTTCATTGAAAGTGAACATTGAGGCAGTAAACTCCAAATACAGCTGCAGGTACTATCTCCTGCTGATTTGTGTGTATAGAGCATGAAAGAAAGGCTCAGAAACAAAAGCATGTTGGAAAAATAAGCAGAAGGAGACATTTACTTGCAAAGAAATGTGAGGAAGTCATTCTTCAAAAGAACTGCCCAAAAAATTAAAAAAATAGAACTTTTTAAGACAAACAATATTATGAAGACAATAGGGCTTATATTAATCTCTTCATGGCAGAAAACTGCAATTTTATCATGGTTATTGTATTCAGAAAGTTCATGACATATCTTCAGACAATAAACAGCATTGTAAAGTCAAGGATAAAGTGATTTTCATTAAGGAGTTAGCAACTCTCAGGAAATGCTCAAGGTTTTATTCATTTGGAGGACTGCAGGTAGACAGAGAGACCCTTTTATTGTTTCTTTATGTCAGAGTGCAGAGTTTTTTTTTCTCTGTTTCTTCAGCAGTGGGACATGATGAACGGGCCGACAATGGTGTCAGGCCCCGATGTCACTTTGGTTTTTACACTTCATCTTGCGGTCATGTTTCCTTCTCTACAGGACATGTTTGTCTACCTCCATTTGCTGAACAATGTTCCTAATCAGTACTATTGATTTTACATTTTAATTTGATCCATTTTATTTGCACAGATCTAAGAAGTGTTGATTAATATTTAATGACCTCCTAGTATTTTTTTGATGAAACAATAAACTAAGGCTCACAAGTTTACGTCTATCTATAGATTTATAAAGCCCTTGTGCTTTAAATTTACTTTTACATGTTTAACAGCTCAGTTTAGAGCAGACCAAACCAGTCCGTTCACCTCTACCTGATTTCATCTGCAGTATTTATAATGCAAATGTATCCTTTTTAATAAAAGTTATCCAATGTCTCGGTGTCCCTGCTCTGCCAAGAAAGGACATTCTTTCTTACCTCCAAGCCTGAGATTGCATAGTCCATAGAGCAAGCACCAGATTGGTTTCCTAGAAGGATGTTATAGGCATCGCTTCTGCATGAAAAACATAGAAATTATTCTTATTACTGGATTTGTCTTGTCTAATTAAATTGAATTTGTAGCACAGCTATAAATTTTTTATTAAAAAATTGATTCTTCCTGGCTGGGCAAGGTGGCTGATGCCTGTAATCCCAGCATTTTGAAAGGCTGAGGCCGGCAGATCACCTGAGGTCAGGAGTTTAAGACCAGCCAGGCCAACATGGTGAAACCCCGTCTCTATAAAAACACAAATAGTAGCCTAGCATGATGGTGGGTGCCTGTAATCCCAGCTACCTGGGAGGCTGAGGTGGGAGAAGTGTTTGAGCCCAAGATTGAGAGGTTGCAGTGAGTTGAGATCACGCCATTGCACTCCAGCCTGGGCAACAGAGCAAGACTCCATCTCAAAAAAAAAAAAAAAAAAAAAAAATTTCTAATCAGTAATATATTCAGGTAGAAGGGAGGACAAATTCTTATTGAACCAATACAAATAACTACATAGTCACATAAAGTAAATGTTTTTATTAAAGAAACTTTGTGCAAGATTTAAGCAATATTGCTAATTAAGTGTATGTTAATAGACAAAACCAAATATTGTATGTCACAATTCTTTACAAAATAATTATTTGTATGTTTTTCTTGGCAACTTATTAGCTTTGTTTTTATATTAAGAATTTCTGCAAGGTATTTTTTTCCTCAACACTAAGAATTCAGAGTGTTTTATTTAGTTTTTACAAATTTAATAATTTGTACATTTAATTGGAGATTAAAGGTAGATTAAGAAGAAAGAAAATGGGTTTCTCTCATGTTCATTAAAGTAGAAAATTAAACTAGCCTCAATTAAATTGCCTTACTGAGGCCCTTTAATCCTAAATAACAACCTCTTGTCGTGCTGGTCTTGAGTTAAGCAGTCTACTTTCATGAATTCATCGGCTTCTACACTGTGAGTGTCTTGGAACTCCTGACTCATTTACTTCGTATAGTTGGAATATTGTCTGTGGGGACAAGGTCAGCCTATTCTTGGAGGCCTATATCCATGAGTCAATTTCCTGTGGTATCAATAGTATCAACAGTGTCTGCTACCGTTATTACTGGAGCTCTTTTGATACTTCTTCCAGATGACTCAAATTCTGATTGGCGCTTTGTAGAGAGGCTTTTAGGTATGCTTAAAGGGAAAGGAGGGCTGGGCACAGTGGCTCATGTCTGTAATCCCAACACTTTAGGAGGCTGAGGCAGGCAGATCACTTGAGGTCCGGAGTTTGAGACCAGCCTGGCCAACATGGTGAAACCCTGTGTCTACTGAAAATAGAAAAATTAGCCATGCATGGTGGCGGGCACCTGAATATAGCTACTCGGGAGGCTGAGGTAGGAGGACAGCTTGAACCTGAGAGGTAGAGTTTGCAGTGAGCTGAGGTCATACCACTGCACTCCAGCCTGGGCAACAGAGCGAGATTCCATCTAAAAAAAAAAAAAAAAAGCAGCGGGGATAGGGGGAGGAGATGTTGCTAATAATAAAACTGTAAAGTTTGGTTAATTTTTTGCCATAGCAAACAACATCACAATGGGGGACAGTGGCATTCTCTGTTGAGGTGTAATACATACTCATCTAATGAAATTTTAATCAGTGATTACCGTAAAAGACAGAACACATGAAGAACAATTAGTGCATCCCGATACCTCTCCAGGGCCTTTAATTTTCCCCACAAAGTAGATATTATTATTTGTCACCAACTGATAAGTTTACTTTTTTTAATCAGTTGGTTGACATTTATTGCACCAGTCTTTGTACATGAACATAAATATGCCTGAATCCAACCTGAGAAGTGCACAATTATTATAACATAGCCACAGTAATCATACATAATTATTGCATTTAATTAATTTAAGATGATTTTATTGCTATTTTCTCAGAATATGGCCTTGAAAAACACAGCAGCTTCCACTATATTGAGCATAGTTTTGAGCAAATTAAACATCTGGAGAATGCAAAACATTACCTTTATTTCTAATATATCTTCATGTTAAGAGCTAGGAGGAGGATCTCTGGAGTTTCCCAGCAGCCATCTGAGAAACCCAGAGATACTGTATTCATAAGTAACATCTCAGTAGTTTTACTATTTTGGATTTGAGGGTTAAATTTGGGGAATATGGTATCAAAAACAGTGTCACAGGTGGGGGCTGCAGATGTGAAGGGCCTGCTATCAATCAGGTGACCCTGGATGGACTACCCACTCCCTGTGTCAGTCCAGGATCCCAGCTGTAGTGGGTTCCTCTCTGCTACAGCACATGTTTCTAAAGGGCAAGAATCTGGGCTCCCAATAACTGACCTCTGTCTCCTCCATCCTGGCTTGTCATGGTAGACCCGAACCACCCTCCCATTGAATTTGGGCCCTTGTGGCTCATAGCCACAAGGGAAATTGGGAGCTCACATGTGAAAGGCAGAATTAAGTTAATGCACCTTCTTCCAAAGTCTTACGTTTGTTTGTAGCCCAGGTGCCCCTGTTTCCAGCAGGAGTATTAGCAGTACCAGGCAGCCACTCCCCAGAGTTTGTGTTTCTGAGCTTTCCCATCATCAGTTAATTGGAAATTTCAGGAACTGTCCCTGCCTTACAATGCCTGCTCTGATCTACAGGTCTTTTGGAGACAGACAGCAGGTGATGGGGCATGCCAAAGAGATAAAAATGTCTTCTGATAATCAGGGGTCAGCAGATGAGTATGAAAGCTAATTATCCCCACTACTCAGGGAATTTAGAGGCTTCCCCTTTTGTCTTTGTAGGAATAGCAGACTTTCTGACTGTAATGTCCAAAGTTCTTTACAAGTTGAAGTACAGAAGAGATCAGAAAATGTCTTACGCACATGAGAGTTGTTATCCAAAGATTTGTCATAGGAGCAGCGACTCTAGGTGTTCTCTATTCTATTTAGAAGAATTACATTAGATTTTGATTCCTCAATGTGGCCAAGAAATAGAGCTACTTGCTGGGAACAAGAAAGACAACATGACTTCTGGAAACTATTTATTATGAAAAATGAATTTTCATTATGTAGCAAATTACACTGCAGAAGTATTACAAAGAATTCTCATAGACATGGTATATTAAATCTCAAATCAATAATCATACATAGTCAATTAAAAATATCTTTGTTGATATCTTTCAGAACCTGGGAAATAATTTTCTGACTTTCAAATTTTTTAGTTTCTATTCAGTGGCAGAAAATCTGTATTGTGCCAAACCAGTCTGAAAATTAGTAGTTGATTATATGCTGGACACAGAAAAATTTTCTATAACCTGTTAAATGCAACACTCCATTCATTGCTTAATTCTCCCCAAATAGCATAAGGTAATTAAGGCTTTTGTAAACTTTTTTCTTTTTTTAGAACAGCCTACAGTGACAGAGGAGAATGGTTATATTGTTAATTAAAGCTGGTTCATCACTCATGTGGTAAACCTGACTCACATGGAAACTTAACTATTTTATCACAAAGATAAATGTTTATCATTTAAATATGTATGTATTCACTTTTATACTTCTTGAAAGGATTTCTAGGAGTACAAAGTAAACTACTATAAATCTCTTTTCTCCCGGATGGCAATATTGTTGTGGGTGAGAAACAATTTAGTCCAGGAGAGCTATATCTAATCCGGTAGGACACTGTGGAGAATACAAGTGTTAAATTTTTGCTAAAAAACTAATATATGGCCGGGAGTGGTGGCTCACGCCTGTAATCCCAACACTTCGGGAGGCCGAGGAGGGTGGATCACCTGAGGTCAGGGGTTCGAGACCAGCCTGGCCAACATGGTGAAATCCCATTTCTACTAAAAATACAAAAATTAGCCAGGCATGGTGGCAGGCACCTGTAATCCCAGCTACTCAGGAGGCTGAGGCAGGAGAATCACTGGAACCCAGGAGGCAGAGGCTGCAGTGAGCCAAGATGGCACCATTGCACTCCAGCCTGAGGGACAAGAGCAAGACTTTGTCTCAAAAAAAAAAAAAAGGCTAATATATGGAGATTGATTTATCATTTTATCAAAAAGGTAACCCAAATACTAATATGACTTTTTTGAGACCATCCATTTAACAAATTGGACTAAAAGACTCAAAAGTTCTTTTATGTTTTATGCCCAAACTAATTAACATTGAGTAAAGTTAGTCCAAAAATTATAAACGTTTTATTGCTCATTTAAACTCATTATTTGCAGCTATTATAAGCTATAGCAAATGAAGTTTACTTCCCTCAGATATTCTACAATTATTGTATGCCCTTAAATTTGTATTTTAAAATTCAGTTTTATATTCTAGCAAAACTCTACAATTTGCCTTTTAGACAAAATTACTCTCTTTGCCTTGATAAGCAAAAACACATTAATTATATTGCATGCACTTTTCTAAATACTCAAACTGACTTAATTTCTTAAAGTAGTATAAAAGAACATGTGCATTAATCAGAACTAAGGGTACTTTTACATACTGTTCATTCTCCTACTTGATAGCCACTCTATAATGTGTAAAAATATGCAGCAAGGATATGTTAAAAATTTTATGAGACTCATCCAAAGATTTTTCACTAATTATCTCAATGAAATATTAGCCAAGCTCATAAAGCTAACTAGTATGTTAAAATTCATTTTAAACTGACACACTGCAGAGAATTTATACTAAAATATAAAAATTTACATGAAAATTGTGTTACATATGAAATTTGAATTTTTTACCATGTAGGGTATGTGTGGTTTTACCTATACAGTATAATTATTTGTAGCCCCATCTCAAGTTACAGGAACAAATGTTTTAAAAAATACTAGTTTAATAATTCAATTCAGCTGAGCCATAAATCCAGTAGGGGACATCTAGAAAGCTCTGGTAAGTTAAAATATTTTATAAACCAGAAAAATATGCTAACATTAATTCTAAGATTGTGATAAAATCAGAGAAAAAACATAATTAATTTAAACCAAAATTATCAAACCATATACATTTATCCAAGGATTTCCCATGATTAAAAATATTACTGAACTTTACTTCAGTCAAATTTTTAAAACGCTTCAATTTTGTTCTGAAGCACTGAAGTCCTTTGCGTTATGCGATTCTCTTACCCGCCTGCCTTCCCTTGCTTCTCGCCTTCTGACATAGCAACAAAGTCCATTAATTCACCTCAGAACTAAACCTCTCTATAGATTTTTTCTTCTGAGCTGCAGTTCAGCAAGTTACCTGTGCTAGTATACATAAGCCAAGGAAAACAGAAGCTCCATTAAACTTAAGAAATTGTTTAACCTAATTCATTAATTTTCTCCAGAGATAGGAAAATGTACAATAATTTGTTCAGAAGATATTTACATACATACAACAAGAAGTCATTATCAAATTCGGAGCCAGTGATGATTTTCTCCCTGCTTTATTGTAGACTTTCATATGCTATTTATTTATAGTCCTTATCCAGTCAGATTATAGATTATGGTAGAGACGTAATTTTTGAGGTTGAGTAATACTTTACTGTTGATGTATAGAATATTCCTCACAACTTATTTTAACTCATTTTTATATTTCTATGAGATTTTCCTTGTTTGGGGTTTTTTGTTTGTTTGAGAAAAGGGCTAGAGAAATTTAAATGCTTGAAAACCTTTAGAGTTTTCAGAAGCACCCAGAACTTCAAAGAAACACAAAGCTATTCTCATTAATGCTTTCTTAAGACAAATAAAGCAAAGCCCTATCAACAGTTAGAGCTCTCCATTTTTCAAGCTATGCAAGATTGTCTCCAATAGTTATGGCTTCAGCAGTGGTTCAGCTTGAGTGTGCATCAGAACCACCTGCAAAGCCTAATTAAACGGATTCCTTGGCTCACTTGGCAGTATATGACTCAGTAGGTAAGATTTGAGAATTTGCATATCTAACAAGTTGTCGGGTAATACTGATACCGATGTCTAGGGACTATGAGAATCACTAACCTAGAGTGTTTAAAAAATGACCAATTTCTGTGCCCAATTATCTGCCAAAGTTTCCTAAGAGAAGGAAAACAACAACAACAAACAAACAAACAAACCAAAACAGAGAGAAACTGAGAGAAACAGCCACAACTGGAAACTAGTAACACAAAAACAAACCATTGTAAAGGCTAATTAACTTATTTTCATACCAATGGGGAAAGATTTTTATTTCATTTTGCACCCACAAAAAGCTTTAGGAGTTTTTTCATGTGCCAGAAGGAAGCACATAACCTCCAAATTCACAATCTATTCTTTGCCCGTTTGCTGTAGTTACTCTTTGTACCAAAGGTTCTGAGTCTGGAGTCTCTGCTTCCACTGGTCAGATAGACTCTCTCCTTACATTGTGGTCTCTCACTGAATGTTCTCACCCACTGCTTCCTCACTACGTAATATCTGCCCAAGAAGCTCCCGTCTTCTCATTCTCCCATCCCATATGCTGACATTCTTTCCAGTCCCTGCATTGTTATGAGAGCTCAGTGGGGGAGGGAGCTGAATGTCTGTATTCAGTCCACAACTACGATCTAGGATACTCTGTATTAACCATAAATAATTGATGCAAGTTTCTTCCACTCAGCCATAGCTGAGCCAGATTACCCGCAATGCTATCTCATCCCACCACAGTCTCTACGACTAATTTCTATTATACAAGGTAAGATCAACATTTGAAGTGATTGAGTTTAAACATAAAAAGATGTATTGGCTCCTGCGACTGGGCAGTCTTCAGGGTTAGTTGCTTGAGTGATCAACGATACCATTAAGATTATGATTGGGACATGAAAAAAAGAACTGGCAAATAAGGAGAGAACTTTGACAATAGAAAGGCATTTAATCCTTGTGTTGTTTTGAGCGCCCTAAAGGAAAAGACAAATTAAAGGCAGATCCTAACAGAACTATTAACAAAGAAGGAAGAGGGTGAATGAGACTCTTGAATCAAAAATTCTTAATTCTTAACTCCACCTGTGAAATCTTACTTAATCTGGTTATACTGAGAATAATCATCACACCATTCTGTCTCACATTCTAGAAGGCTTTGTAGTGGTAGAACTGTAAACAACATATAAACATTTCTGAAATATTGTGGTTGTTTTATCTTCCATAAACCTCACACAAGCCGTGTGTATGATCATCCATCTTCTGGGCCATTATCTGATTATTGCTGCTATCTCTCGCTTTGGGGAAAGGAGGTCTCTTTCCTTATCAATACTATTGGATCAGCTCTTCTAATTTCATGATGACATGAGTGTTCAGGAATGATGGAAGGCAAATGTAACTCTGAGAAAACTTGGTTTAACTACTGCATTTCACAAGTCCATATCCATCCTAGAAGGTCTTCCAGCCTGCTCTCTGCCTTGCTCCCAAGATGGCCACATGTAGGTCTCTTCTTTCCCGTAACCAGAGGGTTATAGATTATATTATCCTTCAAAGTCTGGGATAAACCAATTTCTCACTCTAAAGAGAACAACGTGTTTTGATTTTTCCAACCCTAACCCTAGCCTAAAGTCTACCTTCTAATCCTATCTTATTACAAATGTCCCTGGATTGATCTTTCAAGGGATTTTTGCCTACTGAAAAAATATTACTCTCACTCAAAGAATTGTGGCCTGACAAGAAATCTACAAGAGTCTTGGACACAGAGGCCAAAACATCATAACATCTGGATTATTCAGGATAAAGTAATATCACCTGTGGGTTACCCACAGCCCAGTCCTCAGCTTCAGACAATGCCGGAGTCACTAGTGTTCTGTTTTCTTTCCTCTATCATTCCTATTCAAAAATTCTAAAAATTTGGAGTTCCATTTCTCTTAAGAAGACATGAATACATTAGTACAGTAACATATTTATTTCTACTTCCTTGAAATTTTATTGAGAAATCCATCATTTTCCAAACTTTTCTTTCTATTGGTGTAAAACAGGGATGAATGGCCATGAGCACTTCATTGCCTCATCTCAGGTGACACTTCTTTGCCCTTTGAAAAGCCTATAATGTACTTTATAATGTAGTTTAACTTTTCCACTTCACCTCATGTAAACAAACTGATTTTCCAACTTATCAATACAGTATGAACATTTCTCCAAGTCAATTAACAAAAAGAGGAAATATCACTTTAAATGAATGCACAGTTTCTCTATATAGAGAAAAATAATATGTGTGCATATATGCATGTGTAAATATATGTATATGACTAAATTCTACAAGTTTTTAAACTATCTTTTTACTGATGGAGACTCATCATGGTTTTTTTCCCCCTGTACTACAAACAAAGTAGCCATAAACATTCTAACATTCTGGAGTATGGTATCCCTTATATGAAATGCTTGGGACCAAAAATATTGTAGATTTTGGATTTTTTCAAATTTTGAAATATTTTCATATCATAACATGATATGTTAGGAATGAGACCCAATCTAAATTTATTTACATTCCCTACATATAGTATACATGTAGCCTGAAGGTAATTTTATGTATTTGTAAAATTTTGTGCAAGAAACAAAATTTTGACTGTCTTTTGGCTGTGACCAGTCATATAATGTCATATGTGAAATTTTTCACCTGTGGCATCATATCAGTGCTCAAAATGTTTCCAATTTTGAAGCATTTCAGATTTCAGATTTTTTAGTTGACCTTGGAACAACATGGGTTTCAACTGTGCAGGTCCGCCTACACTGGTATTTTTTTAAAAAAAAAATATATCAGAAAAAGTTTTGGAGAATTGCAATTGAAAAAACTAGCAGACTAACTGCATAGCCTAGAATATAAAAAAAAAAAATTAAGAAAAAGCTATGTACATCCTGAATGCATAAAGTATATGTATATATTAATCTATTTTATCATTTACTACCATAAAATATACACAAATCTATTATAAAAAGTTAAAACTTATCAAAATGTATGCACACAAACCGTACAAGTCACTATTTGCAGTCAAGAGAAACATAAACAAACATAAAGATGCTGTATTAAACCACAACTGCATACAATTAACAATAGCACATACTGTACTACCCAAATAATTACTTTTATTTTATTTTTATAAATGTGCTAGGTACAAGCATACTTTTATTATATGATTGTTTTGTTATTTGGATATATTGCTAGTGGTGAAGTCTGAGCTTTTACTGTACTCATCACCCCAATAGTGAACATTGTACCCAATAATAATTTTTCAACCCTCACTCCCCTCCAACCCTGGCATCTTTTGGAATATTCTCCAGCGTCTACTTTCCAGTGTATGTACTATTATAATAATTTTGTAGCCACCCCCTGTTGCTACTGTGGTGAGCTCATGTTGCCAGTATCTGCCATGAGCACTTGGTCTCTTCAGTAAATTCTGTATCTACGTAAATAGTGTGTTCTCTCACAGTTCTCTTTTCATTGTGCTTAGTGTAATACTATAAATCTTGAATAACACCATGAGACCAATACAAAGTGCCACAAGTGATGCTGGGAGTGCTCCCAAGAAGCAGAGAAAAGTTGTGACATTATGAGAAAAAGTTAGATTGCTTCCTATAGATTGAGTTTTTCAGCTGCCTGCCATTTCAAAATAAATGAATCCAGTGTAAGATCCCTTAAAAAAAAAAAGAGAAATTCATAAGGCCTCATTTTGTGCCAACAGGCATGAAAACCTTGTCCTTTCTTATCTCATATTCAAAATGCAGCTTTTATGTGGGGTACAGAATTGCTATAAGAAAGACATACCTATAGACTCTTATTTGATTCAAGAAATAGCGAAGTCATTATTTGACAACTTAAAGTAAAAGCAAGGTGAAAGATCTAAAGCTGGAGAATTTAATGGCAGCAAAGGATGATTTGATAATTTTAGAAAGTGGTTTGGTTTTAAAAATGTCAGGATAATGGGAGTAGCAACTTCTGCCAACCAAGAACCAGCAAGTGAATTCTCAAATGCCGTTAAGAAAAACATTGAGGAGAAAGGATATCTGCCTGAATAGGTATTAATGCAGCTGAAAGTGCCCTATTCCAGGGGGAAAAATAAAAGCCACAAAGGTCATTTATTAGTAAGGAAGAGAAGCAAGCACCAAGATTTAAGGCAGGAAGGGATAGGCTAACTCTACTGCTTTGTGCAAATGTAGTCGGGTTTATGATCAGGGCTGCCCTTAACTATAAAGCTGCTAACCCCTGAGTCTTGAAAGGGAAAAGAGAAACACTAGTTGCCAGTCTTTTGGTTGTACAACAAGAAGGCCTGGACTATGAGAATGCTTTTTCTGGATTAGTTCCATCAATGCTTTGTCCCTGAAGTCAGAAGTACCTTGCCAATAAGGGACTGCTTTTTAAAGTTTTTTGTTGTTGTTGTTGTTTAATTGGAAAATGCCCCCTGGCCACCCAGAACCCCATGAGTTCAACACCAAAGGCACTGAAGTGTTCTCCTTTTCCCCCAAACACATCTCTACTTCAGCTTCTAGATAAGGGAGTCATAAGGACCTTTAAGGCTCTACATATGGCACTCTATGGAAAGATTTGTCAACATTCCAAAAGAGAAACCCAATAGAGAGAACATCATGGAAGTCTGGGAGGCTTACACCTTTCAAGATGTCATCAGTTGATATAGAAAACCATGAAACTCAAAACAATAAATTCCTGCTGGACAAAAGTACAATTTGTGTCCAGATGTTGTGCATAGCTACAGAATTACGACAAACCCAATTTAGAGAAAACCATGGAAAGAAGTATGGATATGAAGGGAAAAAAAGGTGTGGAGTGAAGGGTTGTAAGATATGGATCTTGGAGGAATTTAAGAGCTAATACACACCACACCAGAGGAATTAACAAAAGATGACTTCATGGAGATGAGTGCTTCCTAACCAGTGCCAGATAATGAGGAAGAAGACATAGGAAAAGCAGTGCCAGAAAACAAATTGGCATTCAACAATCTGGCAAAAGAACTTTGATTATTCAAGACTACTTTTGACTTCTTTTATGACATAGACCGTTCCATGATACAGGAACTGAAACTAAAGCAAATGGTGGAAGACGGATAGGTACTACACTGAAATGTTTTTAGAGAAATGAAAAAGCAAAATAGACAGAAATAATGATGTATTTTTGTAAAGTCTCACCAAGTGTGCTTGCCTCTTTTGCTTCCCCTTCCATCCCTTCACCCTCTTCCACCTCTGCTACCCTAAGACACAAAGACCAGCTCCTCCTCCTCCTCCTCTGCCTACTCAACATGAACACAACAATGATGAAGACCTTTAGGATGATCCACTTCCACTTAATGAATGGGTCATATATTTTCTCTTCCTTACAATTTTCTTGACTATAATTTCTTTTCTGTAGCTTAGTTTATTGTAAGAATACAGTATATAATACACATAGCATGCAAAATATGTCTTAAATGTAACGCATGTTATCAGTAAGCCTTCTGGTCAACAATAGGTTATTAGTAGTTTGGGGGGAATCAAAATTTGTATGCAGATTTTTCACTGTGTGGGAGGCCAGCTCCCCTAACCCTATATTGTTCAAGGGGCAACAATATTCTTTCTCACTGGCACTTTACTTTCCATAAATTCAAATCCCAAAAGTAGAACTGCAAGTTCAAAAGGATTTTTAAAAAAATAATTACTGTCAGATTACAGAAAGTTTCCAATTTACATTTTCACTACCAATGTACAATGTTGGCATCCCTGAATCCTTATCAGCAATGAATTTTTAAATATACTATAAGAGATGAAAAAATTTTTTTAAAATTTGGAATTCCCTGATCACTAATGAAGTTAAGCATCAATATTATTCCTTTAATATGCAAATGCTGAAAATACATTTAACTATAATAGATGTCAAAAATCTGTAAATCAGGCTAGGTGTGGTAGGCACTCACCTGTATTCCCAGCCACTGGGAGACTTGAGTCCAGGAGTTCCAGACTGTAGTATGCAATGATCAAGCCTGTGAATAGCCACTGCACTCCAGCATGGACAACATAGCAAGACCCCATCTTTTTTTAAAGAAAAGAGTCTATAAGACAAAGGTCCTCATAAATTAAGAGAAGCCAAGACAGTCACTGTGACTGCAGAATATTTTAATTTTTTTTTATTATACTTTAAGTTCTAGGGTACATGTGAACAACGTGCAGGTTTGTTACATATGTATACATGTGCCATGTTGGTGTGCTGCACCCATTAACTCATCTTTTACATTAGGTATATCTCCTAATGCTATCCCTCCCCCAGCCCCCCACCACAGAGCAGGCCCCAGTGTGTGATGTTCCCTTTCCTGTATCCATGTGTTCTCATTGTTCAATTCCCACCTGTGAGTGAGAACATGCGGTGTTTGGTTTTTTGTCCTTGTGATAGTTTGCTGAGAATGATGGTTTCCAGCTTCATCCATGTCCCTACAAAGGACATGAACTCATCCTTTTTTATGGCTGCATAGTATTCCATGGTGTATATGTGCCACATTTTCTTAATACAGTCTATCATTGTTGGACATTTGGGTTGGTTCCAAGTCTTTGCTATTGTGAATAGTGCCGCAATAAACATACGTGTGCGTGTGTCTTTATAGCAGCATGATTTATAATCCTTTGGGTATATACCCAGTAATGGGATGGCTGGGTCAAATGGTATTTCTAGTTCTAGTTCCTTGAGGAATCACCACACTGTCTTCCACAATGATTTAACCAGTTTACAGTCCCACCAACAGTGTGAAAGTGTTCCTATTTCTCCACATCCTCTCCAGCACCTGTTGTTTCCTGACTTTTTAATGATCGCCATTCTAACTGGTGTGAGATGGTATCTCATTGTGGTTTTGATTTGCATTTCTCTGATGGCCAATGATGATGAGCATTTTTTCATGTGTCTGTTGGCTGCATAAATGTCTTCTTTTGAGAAGTGTCTGTTCATATACTTCGCCCACTTGTTGATGGGGTTGTTTGTTTTTTCTTGTAAATTTGTTTGAGTTCATTGTAGATTCTGGATATTAGCCCTTTGTCAGATGAGTAGATTGCAAAAATGTTCTCCCATTCTGTAGGCTGCCTGTTCACTCTGATGGTAGTTTCTTTTGCTGTGTAGGAGCCCTTTAGTTTAATTAGATCCCATTTGTCAATTTTGGCTTTTATTGCCATTGCTTTCAGTGTTTTAGACATGAAGTCCTTGCCATGCCTGTGTCCTGAATGGTATTGCCTAGGTTTTCTTCTAGGGTTTTTATGGTTTTAGGTCTAACATGTAAGTCTTTAATCCATCTTGAATTAATTTTTGTATAAGGTGTAAGGAAGGGACCCAGTTTCAGCTTTCTACATATGGCTAGCCAGTTTTCCCAGCACCATTTATTAAACAGGGAATCCTTTCCCCATTTCTTGCTTTTGTCAGGTTTGTCAAAGATCAGATGGTTGTAGATGTGTGGTGTTATTTCTGAGGGCTCTGTTCTGTTCCATTGGTCTATATCTCTGTTTTGGTACAAGTACCATGCTGTTTTGGTTATTGTAGCCTCATAGTCTAGTTTGAAGTCAGGTAGCGTGATGCCTCCAGCTTTGTTCTTTTTGCTTAGGATTGACTTGGCAATGCGGACTCTTTTTTGTTTCCGTGTGAACTTTAAAGTAGTTTTTTTCCAATTCTGTAAAGAAAGTCATTGGTAGCTTGATGGGGATGGCATTGAATCTATAAATTACCTTGGGCAGTATGGCCATTTTCACGATATTGATTCTTCCTATCCATGAGCATGGAATGTTCTTCCATTTGTTTGTGTCCTCTTTTATTTCCTTGAGCAGTGGTTTGTAGTTCTCCTTGAATAGGTCCTTCACATCCCTTGTAAGTTGGGTTCCTAGGTATTATTTCAAATATTATTGTAAAACAATGAGATATTGAAACATACATTGGAGCAAACTCTTCTTCATTTTTAAATCCTTTCAGCACAGAGACAATCAACTGACTGTCTGGGTACTACCTGACCACTATTGGAGTCTCTTTCATCTGCCTGAGTCTGTGCAACAATATGAAATTATAATTTTACTATGCACCTAAACGTTCCTCAATATATTGAATTCTTACAGAATTTGAAGAGTCAAATTTTGTAAATCCAGTTACCTTTTTCCACTACTCTAGGCCTCATATACTATCTGGCCTAAGGGTTAAAGGTCCACAATTGAATAAGCCAAACTTGTTAATTTGAAGGTAAAGCATGTCAAGAAATCTGGCCTTAATGTCCAATGAACTTATGTCATATTAAGTAGCTGGATAGAAACATGCATTCCAAAGTGGATACTGTTTATCAGGCTCAGTGCTCTATTCTTGATGGTAAATCCCAGAATAGGGTGGATGCTTTAATTTTGTATTAAATAGTATTAGGTGTAATATCAAAACCACTAAGGGAACACTAATGATGAGAATAGGAACACTAGCTGTGGAGCTGGTAACTTTCTATAGAAATCCTATCTCTTTCAATTGCCTGTTTAGTGGGCAAGTGTTTCAGTTCCTATAATATCTAAATTGGAGAAAATCACCCCACCTACTTCTTCAGGTGTTATGATAATTATGAGGGATAACATCTTTTTAAGTGTTTAACACAATTCCTCACACATAGAAAGCAATAATAAACATTGGCTAGCATTGTAAGGATGGATTATTGTCTTCCAATGTGTTTTCATACATTTTCTTTCTGGGATCTTGAGTGAAACATGTGGATCTAGAACAAGAACAAAATGATGTTACCTTGATGATCTCTATGTAGGGTCACACTCAAGGCATCTTAAAATATTTTGCTGGCCAACAAAAGACACCTCCTGTTCTAATTGGGCATTGTCCTTTTCTTTAAACTATGCAGACAAACAATATTATAAAGTGAGAACATCCGCATAAAAAACCTAAACATAAATCTTAATAGTGAGTTCATGAAAATTCTTACTGATGAAATGGCAATGTCACAGACTGACTGTTTATGTCCCCCCAAATTTGTATATTGAAATCCTAACCCCCAAGCTACTCGTGTTAGGAGATAGAGCCTTGGGGAGGTGATTAGGCCATGAGGACAAGATTCTCATGAATGGAATTTGTGCCCTTATAAAAGAGATCCCAGAGAGCTCATTGGCCCCTTCCAAAGTATGGGGATACAGCAGGAAGTTGCCATCTATGAGCCAGAAGGGTGAACCTCACCCCAGATGCTGAATCTGCCTTGATATTGGACTTCCCAGCCTGCACAACTGTAAGAAATTTCTGTTGTTTATAAGTTACTCAGCTTGTGGTATTTTGTTACAGCAGCCTACACAGACTAAGACAAGTAGCATTTTGAGGATTAAAATTTCTTCATAAATGAATAGAGTATGCCCTGTTAAACCATATTCTCAGCTAACCCCGTTTACTCACTGTTCCTCTTTATTTTAGTTTCACATTTTTGCTATTTATCTCTGTAATTTTATTCATTCTTCACAATTTGCCATTCTTATACTTCGAATCATGTTATCAGTTTATAATACCTCCATCAAATGATAGTCTGCATTTGTTTATCCTTGGCTGATTCAAAACACTTGGCATAATTTCCTTAAAGGAAATCATCTTCATCCCACCTCACAACACTGTATTATTTTCAATTAATTTCCAATAAACTCTTAATTGTCCATGCTCTGTCAGAGTTGGCAGAGTTAATCCCTGTTTAAGCTAATAGGTTCAACTTCTTCAACAAACAAATCTTTCATGAAAGCTGCTGACAAGCCAGAGTATTAATTAAATCTAGTTTCATTGCTTCTCACTTTCCTTGATCCTTCTCTCTTGTTCTTTGGGAAACAGTCACAGAGTTCTGGCGCTAATAAATACTATAAAAAGTAGGAAATACAGTCTAAAGAAGCAGAATATTCTGTTTAAAGTTGATGTGGTGCTTTTTGTGCACCAAGCATTGGCTCAAAAGCCTGAAAATTAGGCAGCAATACTTCCTAAGCTCATCTTCAACCATAAGGCAGAAAAGCCAAACATATCTGAAAATATAATATCACTGGTACCTTATACCAGCACTAAGAATAAGAAAACCCTGGAAAGTGGCTCGAGTACAGTATTTTTCTATTGGAATTAATTTTTCAAAATGGAAAGGACTTCATTGTTATTTTTATTATAAAATTAGTATATGTTTATTATTAAAAATAAGTACAAAAATCTCTAAAAGAAAAAGGGAAAAATTACCAGCAGTTCCACATTCCAGATATCATCACTGTTAGCATTTAGGATACAAATATCCAAACACTTTTTCTATCAATACATTTAATTTTTAAATTTGACCATTACGCAATGTACACATGCACTAAAGCACCACACTGTACCCCATAAACATGTGCAATTATTATGTCAATTAAAAACAAAATAAAAGCATTTTACAAAAAATCATGTTATTTTTAATAACTTGTTTTTCTAATTTTATACACCATAAAATAAATGTCTTTACATGACATTTATTTTATGATAATAACTAATTTATTCATTTAAACAGCAAGGTACATTTCATTCTACAGATATACTATATAATATTTACTCCGATCTCTGGATGAGAATTTATGTTGCCTGTAAATATTGTATCACAAACATTATAAGAATAATCTCTGTAAAGGTTTCCTTCCTGAATTATTATTTGGGTAGAAAAATTACTAGAAATAGAATAACTGGGTCAAAGATTAAAGACAATTTAAATTTCAATATATAGAATCAAATTATTCTCCAAAATATTGTACTCTACAGTATTTGAATTTTGATTTTTTTCTCCATTTTCACTACTGCCAATAACTTTAATCTTTGTCGATAAATGAGACAAAAAAGACAAATAATGCAATATTATACAAGGGAGATTAATAGGTAGAAAAAGAAATGCAATGGCCAGGAGTAACAGAAGATGTTCAACATCAATCCAATCAAATTAATGCGTCTTTAAAATGCAATAGCAGTCAATGTTAGCAAGAGTGTAGGTATTAGACATTCTCATAGGAATATAAACTAGGGCCATGTTTTAGGATCATATTAGATCGCAGCAATTAAAAAATGTTAAATTCATATGTTGTATAGCAACTTCTCAGGTTGGAATTTATCACATGGAGAATCTTGTAAAATACATAAACCAAGATATGTTATTAATGTTATTGGTAGCCTATTGTTTTAATAAAAAATATATTTATACAATACAGTTGTTAAAAGTTAAGAATATCTTGAAGGTAAATTATTAAACAAAAATAGAATGCCTAGGCCAGGCAAGACTTCATCTCATGCTTATAATCCCAACACTTTTGGAGACTGAGGTGGGAGGATTGCTTGAGCCCAGGAGTTTGAGACCAACCTGGGCAACACAGTGAGACCTCATCTCTAGAAAAAAAAAATACAAAGCCTAGTTCTGAACATCCTTTTGTGTAATACTAAAAGATAAAATTTTATTTTCTACCTTGTTTAAGATCTATATTCTATACGGGGGATGTGTATTAAGGTCATTTTTAAAAAGATACTCAAGAAATTGTCAACAGTGATTATCTTAAGGAGAGATTCTAGATGTCTGGGGGTAAGAGACAGGAGGAAAGAGAATTTTATATTTCATTTTTACCTTTATTTAACTTTTTGATTTTCTTACTGGGTGCATGAATTATATTTTTATGTCAGCATGTTTTATCAGATAAATAAAATTATGAGCTATTTCTGTTTTCTCTCATTTGTTTTATGTTTAAATAAAGGAAAATGAGATATGTCTTTTTAAATTAGATAATCTTGAGTCCATGATTATTATGAAAGCCCTCTGTTATCTTTTTCCTTCCTTTCACAATGACTATTTATGTTGTAGAATCATTAATTTCTCAAGACAAATGTCTTAGAAGGTAGATACAAAAAAATGGTATACATTTTTTGATTCAAGCTAATTTCATGTTACGAACAAAATTACGTAATGTCATTTCTAAGACCTTTCTGTGATCTATCAATCCACTAGGTTAAAGAGCAGAAATCACTTCCAAAACAAATCCTTTTGCAGTCAGCAAAATGAAGCAATTATATGAATAAGTTTTTCCACTTGGCCTATTTTTCTACCCATGGTTATTAATCAGTCTCACTGACTACATTTTCCGTTTTACATCCCCTTTCAGGCACTACTGCAGATGGCCAAGCATATCACATTATGTAAATAAAATAAAACAAAATCTTTTCCCATTGAGCAAATGGATATACTTCACCTCTAATGCTTCCAGTCTTTCTCAGATCATTCAAAAAGCATGATATGGTTTCCATGAAAGGACATTCATCCCATTTGACTAACTGGAATTTCTTTACTCCAGCTAATCTTTACCAAAGAGCTGAATTAATTCAAGTTGACACCCTGTTATCTACCAGCTCTTCCAGCCCTTTTGCTTGATTGTTTTGTCATTTTGCCTTTTCTTTTCTTCTAAAGTGGGAGTATGGAGATTTACCCTTCTGAAACAGCTGTGTCACATCATGATCCTTGAGAATATCAGCTCTTAACTGGCTGCACATCAAAATCACTGTTTCCTTTGACCAATACTCTAGACACACTCAAGCAGAGATTCTGGATTCTGATTTAATTGACACAGAGTAGGGCCTGGGCATTTTTACAGCTCCCCACATGATTCTATTGTGCCTCATCTATCCTAGCCCTTAAGCAGGACCAAACATTTGTTCTATCTTAATTATTATTCTCTTAAACTTAGTCCAATTCCTTACAACTGATAGCTTTCTATATACTCATCTGCCTTGAGTGATGACAATTGATATGGTTTGGCTGTGTCCACACCCAATCTCATCTTGTAGCTCCCATAATTCCCACATGTTGTGGGAGGGGCCCAGTGGGAGATAACTGAATCATGAGGATGGGTCTTTCCTGTGCTGTTCTTGGGTTAGTGAGTAAGTCTCATGAGATCTGATCATTTTTAAAATGGGAGTTTCCCTGCACAAGCTGTCTCTTTGCCTGCTGCCATCCATGTAAGATGTGACTTGCTCCTCTTTGTCCTCCACCATGATTGTGAGGCCTCCCCACCCATGTGGAACTGTAAGTCCATTAAACCTCTTTCTTTTGTAAATTGCCCGGTCTCAGGTATGTCTTTATCAGCAGCATGAAAACAGATGAATACAACAATACTGTAACAAATCGACTCACATCTGTTCTCTTTATAGGAATTGCAGTGCTACAATATTAGTGGCTCTTAATTCTAAGAGTGTTAAAAAATATTAATGCTTGTCTCACCCCTAAAGTCTAGGGTGTGACCTGAGTATTAGGTTATTTAAAACTTTTCTCAGGTAATAGACATGTGCAGCCAAGGTTGAGAACCACTCTATAGGGCCAAGATATGTAAGAAAATTCAAGTCCTTTAGCTGGGCGTGGTGGCACACAGCTGTAGCCCCAGGTACTCTGGAAGCTGAGGTGGGAGGATTGCTTGAGCCCAGGACAGAGAGGCTGCATTAAGCTATGATCACATCACTGCACTCTAGCCTGGGTGACAAAGTGAGATCATGTCAAAAAAAAAAGAAAAAGAAAGGAGAAAGAAAGGAAGAAGAGGAAGGAAGGAAGGAAGGAAGGAAGGAAAAGAAGAAAGAAAGAAGAAAGAAAGGAACAAAGAAAGAAAGAAAGAAGAGAAAAAGAGAGAGAGGAAGAAAGAAAGAGAGAAAGAAAGAAAAGAAAAAGGAAGGAAAGAAAGGAAGAAAGAAAGAAAAAGAGAGAAAGAAGAAAGAAGAAAAGGAAAGAAAGAAAGAGAGAGAGAAAGAAGGAAAAGAACGAAAATTCAAGTCCTGCCTTGTAAAATGCAGTACTCCATTTTCCCAAAGAGATCCCAAGGGAAACTTAACTACAGGATAAAGACAGACAAAAGGACATAAATTACAACTACTCTAGGTTCACATATTATTTTGTTTCTGAAATGGGTTTTAAAATATCTATGTCAGAGTTCATTTCTAGAACTTTATCTCTAGAAAACATATTTTCACTTCTCAATACAGGAAAATGGAGATTGGAAAAATGAGTTTGGAAAATGATTTCCATGCTTATCTCTCAGCTTCTTTTTTCAACTTCCCTTTTTCATCTCCGTATCTTCACTGATACCTAGGAATCTCTGTTACATCACAGTCTTCAAGAGCTTTGCTCACAGCGAATTAGTTAAGACATTAGCTTTCAAAAGTATATGATATTCTCTCACAAGCATTTGTCTACTTTTAATAGGGCAAGCTACGTAAAGATGTTAAATCTCATTCCAGAAATACCACATCTATTCTACCTATTTATGAGAACAGTCGTCTCTAGACCAAGATAGAAATTCATAGTTAGGAAATAAATCCCTGTAGGGTTTTTCCACAGTCCCAATATGTCCCCTACTGTCCCGATTTTAGCAACAAAAATCCCCCATCCAGAAAATCCTTCATTCCTGAGTAAGTTGAAAGATTGGTCACCCTATTTCTATCTGTGTCTCTTTCTTTCATAATTGGCTCATAATCATAGCAGTCACAATTTTGAAAAATGTTATTTTACTGAATTACTCATTGCTGTTTTCTCATTTTTTAAATAATAAACACTTATTAAGAAACATTGGAAATATACCAAAAATAGTAAACAATAAAACAGAAACCATTGGCAGAAATAGTCACTATTAAAATCTTAATATACTCCCTTCCAATGTTGTTTCTGTTAATGCAAATTAAAAAATCAGAGATTCGCCTCTGTGAACTAGATCTCTTTTTACCTTTAGATATTATTTGACAAATACATAGCTCAATCATCTATCCAAACTTCTCTTTTACAGACTCCATGCCAATTAACCTTCTCCTATGAAACTATTATTTCTTCACATAGGATAAATATGGTTATTGACACACAAACTTTCTTAGTTACACTGCAATCCAGTTGTGCGTTCCTAAATTTATACCAATTGGATTTAGAATGATCATTACTAAAGAGGCTTGGCCTTATCTCTTGCAATTTGCTTCTTCCTTCTTAAATTCAATTCTTGTAATGTAACTATAATTTGGGGGTATCTTTTTGCCTCATATTCAAATTCTCTTTCAAACTGAGGTACATTTCTGTATTTCTGTATTTGTATATTGCATATAATAGTATAGAAAACAATAATGAGATTATAGTGTACATAAAAGTTTTGAAGTATAATTAAATATTTAATATATAAATATATTAAATATGGGCTGCTGACTCACCAAGCCTGGTTTGGCTTCCATCACTTGTGTAATCAATCACCTGTATTAAATCACCTCTGCTTGAAAGACGAAGAATAGTTTCTGATTTATAAGCAAACACTGAAAGCTCTTCTATTTCTTGTTTGCTAAACAAGATTTGTCAAAGTTAAATATTTTATTTTATTGAATTCACTTTTTGCCTCTCCTACAATGATGATTTGCTTTTCCTCCTTTAACTTGTTAATGTGATGAATTATACATAGTTTTTTTTTTCTATTGTTAGAAATCCTTGCATTCATGGAACAAACACAATTTTCATACTATATTTTTTATAGACTTCTAAACTTAATTTGCTAACTTTTAATTTAAAATGTTTGCCGTTAGGTTCATGAGGAAAGTTGGCATGTAATTTTCCTGTCTTACACATTTCTCATA
Organism: Homo sapiens; assembly: GCF_000001405.40. Lineage (NCBI taxonomy): Eukaryota > Metazoa > Chordata > Mammalia > Primates > Hominidae > Homo > Homo sapiens. The sequence goes on along the minus strand of NC_000001.11, from coordinate 144,382,531 downwards.
TAACATTGGTATCAAGGTTGTACTGGCCTCATAAAATGAACGAACAAATGGACCTTTTTTTATTCTGGAGTTGTTTTTATAAAATGGAAATAATCCATTTCTTGAAAACATTTGATAGAACTCACCAGTAAAAATGTCTGGGCCTGCTGGTTCTCTTCTTCTAAGAAGAATTTGGAACTTATAATTAAAGCTCCTTTAATGTGTTAGAAAACTTTCCAGGTTTCCTTGAACATTAATAAATTCCAATGACGAAAAGCCCTCAGATATTAAATATAACCTTAAATATAACCTTCCCCCAATTCAATTTTTCTTTTGCAGATATGATTAGATACTCTAATTTTTCAACCTCTATTTCACATATCCATTTTCCTTTCCTCCTCTGTACTGTCTTCAGCATAATTTGTTTAGTCTAACTTCCAACTCACTTATTTTCTTTTTGGTTCTATCCAATATTGTGTTTAACCTGTCCATTTAGTTTTTAATTTTCATTATATTTTTTATTTCTAAAAGATCTCTTAAATTCAGTTTCAATCTGCTTAATATAAGATACATACACTGTCTCAATTTATATTCCTGGCACACCTCATTGATTTTTTAAACATATTAAACACAGCTTTTATAGTTATATAATCGTCCTAATATCTGAAATCTTTATGGGCATAATTCTGTTTCTGCTCATGATGTTTATTTCCTCATGAGTTTTGTAAGAGTCTTACTTTTTTCTCATTTTGGATGAAATTTTACCTGTGGCCATTCTTTGAGACATGGGCTGAATGTGGGTTTCTCCAAAGACACTTTGCCTTCGTCTTGTGTTTGGTGGTAATACCAACATGGGATAACTATAAAATAAATTATCAGTTTCATGTGTGGGTTTTTTTTAACTTATACTTACAGTGAAAATTTAAACCACAAATTCATGTGAAGATGGCCTTCTCATTTTTCCTCTAAATAGCACCGAGTTTGAGGCAGGAAAATTTCCTGGTTGTCTCCCCCTGAGGAACAGGTTTTTATCTAGTTTATCCTTTCCCTGAAATTATAGTCCTTCGTATCTCTGGCTTTCAGCAGTTTTCTCCTGTAAGACTGCTATACTGGGCAGGCACTAGGTTTTGTCTCACACTCTCCCATATCCCAGGTGGTCATAAAAATTGAAGCTCAGGGTACTAGGGCCAGGACTGTCCTTATGGAAGCTTCTGGTTTGGGGGTCTGCATACCTCTCTGGATTTATGTATTCTCCTTATGCTTGGCCTATGTGGTTCACCTTAATTTCTATTCAAGTCAGTAATATACTTTTGAAAAATGACATGTACATTTTATCTGGTATTTGTAGATTTCATATAGCAGGATAGTGATTCAGCAAATTTAGTCTACCACAATGCTGGGAATAGAATTCCCCTAATTTTTGAAAACATTATATTAAATCATGTTTATTGCCATTAATAGTCTTATAAATGTGCTTTTAACTAACTGCATTTTGTCATAGCTCATTGTGATTGTATATTTAACTAGTTCACCCCTACCTCATGTTTTTTGGGAGTGAAGGTTGTACTCAACTCATTAAGTTAAGTAATACTACAGTAAACATCAATCTATACATGCATTAATAATGATTTCCAAGAAAGTAGTGACACATGGTCATAATCATCTTTGAGGCTGATGGTACATATTTTCAAATTGCATCTCAGAAATAATATACCAATCTGTGCTCTAATCAGCCGCATATGAAAGTGTCATCTTTCTGTTCTCCAACCAATACAACTACTACTGTTTTTATACCTGCAAATCTGACAAAGATGTGAGAAGGCATCTTATAGTTTCAATTTGTATTTCTTTGGTGACCAATGTACTAAATTACTCAATGTACTAAATTACTCTTTTCCTGTTTATGATCCATTTCAAACAAAATGTAAACCATTTTTTAAATTTTTTTATATTAATGCAAATCGTAAATCACTACTTTATTTATTCAACTTCCTAAGCAAAATTATATGTTGTCCCATTTATACATTTTATATTAGATCTTTCTGCCTTACATTTATAACCTAAAAAATGTCAGAATTATATAATAATGATGAACAGTTGATTATAAATAATGTCTTTATTAGGATATTTCTCCATAAATCTAAATTTCATCAATCTTTCTTTAAATATCTCTACACAATGTCCTCTTGTATTATATTAATAATTGCAGATACACTTCTTTTTGCTATTTCTATTCTTTCCTATTCCTATTGTCTGTTAGTCTCCCATTTTCTCCCATAAAATAAATAAAAATTTTTCTATCAGATTCTGTGATATATTACTTCTTATTCCCAGCCTTCAACATTTTAAGAATTCATATTGACCTTTTCTCCCATTCTTATTTCAAGTTATCAGCATGTTGATACTTGGGAAATCCCATCAAGTGTTTAACAGTGCATACCTTACTGATTCATTATTTATTTCAATTTAATCTTTCTTATTTTCATTCAACTTTTTTCTCAGTAATACAACTTTTTCAAGCTTTTTATTTTCTAATGCATTTCTCCAAATAGCAGCCATAACCCTTATATGCCCTCTTTCAATGACAACAACAAAAGTGTGCTAGGCTTCTTGGAAGAAAATAATGATACCAATTCAAGAAGGAGAAAATTGATGTACTGATAAACAAATGGGCATCTTAGGATCATGTTTCTCACAAGTAAGGCAGTTCCAGAAATTCCTAGGACCATAATGGGTTTTATTCTAAATAGGTTAAACATATCACTTAAAAAATTGTTTTCTACAGTTCTCTAATATTGCTTACAATTGTCCACGTTTCCATGTTTATAAACTTGCACTTTTTTTTTTTTTATGGAGTTTTGCTGTTGTTGCCCAGGCTGGAGTGTAGTGGCGTGATCTTGGCTCACTGCAACCTCCACCTCCCAGGTTCAAGCAATTCTTCTGCCTCAGCCTTCTTAGTAGCTGGGATTACAGGTGCGTGCCACCACACCTGGCTAATTTTTTGTAGTTTTAGTAGAGACGGGGTTTCACCATGTTGGCCAGGCTGGTCTCGAACTCCTGACCTCAGGTGATCCACCCGCCTTGGCCTCCCAAAGTGCTGGGATTACAGGCATGAGCCACTGCTCCCGGCCTTATACTTGCACACTTTTTAATTCTAAGACCTTGCTACTCAGTGAGGGATCCTGGGACTAATACCATCAGCTTGACTTGAGGCCCTCTTTGAAAGCAGACTCAGAATCTGTAATTTATCAGGATCCCCAGGTAATTTGTATGTGCAGTCTAGTTTGGTAGATCTGCTCTGGCAGACTGGAAGACTCTTCTATCTGCCTCATGTAAGGTGCAGGTGACATAATTAGGTAATCAAGCAAAAGATCACATATTTTAATAAGAAAGAGACACTGGCTATTATTTTGAGTGGCAAAACAGGTTATTCAGTCCCAGTTTAAAATGGAAATGACAGAGACCAAGATGAAGATTTTTAATTTGAGATGTGCCTGCGATGCAATTACATTTGCTGAATGAAACTGCTTCAGTAATTAGATGCAGGTTTCTTCTCTCTTCTTTTTGAGATGTAAAGAAGACACAATAGACTCATGGAACTTAAAGAACTAGACGCCAGCTAACAAAACATGCTATCCAGGCTCTTTCGTTTCACCATATTGCTTTCTTGAAAACATAGGACAGTGCCAGTTTAGCACTGAAAAAAATCAGTTCTCCTAATTCTAAAAAGAGGAGACAGCCAGGCGTGGTGGGTCACTAAAAATACAAAAAATTAGCTGGGCATGGTGGTGCATGCCTGTAATCCCAGCTACTTGGGAGGCTGAGGCAAAAGAATCACTTAAACCCGGGAGGTGAAGGTTGCAGTGTGCTGAGATAGCGCCATTGCACTCTCGCCTGGGCAACAAGAGCGAAACTCCGTCTCAAGAAAAAAAAAAAAAAAAGAGAGAGAGAGAGAGAAACTGTAATTTCATTTCAGAAGTTTTATAGGGTACTATTTCCAATTCTTTTTTTCTTACTCCATTAAAGTGTAATTAGCAGTATGTGAAAATTTCCACTTTATCCTCAATCAGAAGCCTCTCCTTCCAATTAGCATATATTTTTTCTATTAACTTTGTAAAGTGGGATTCTTGTTTTATACATACCCCTGGAAAGTATACTTAAACTGTGAGACCCTGGGATTTTATATTTCCAAATAGAAGATACCATCCTCTTGTATCACAAAATGTACCTAAGATGGTTTGGATTATATTTAAATATTCTTGAATGAAATAGACTTACTGACTGAAGCCAATTATTATATTTTTCCACACCAAAATAAATGCAATAGGAAAAGATGACAGTTCTATGTAGTATTCCTGCTTCCATATTGCACAAATTAGAAACATACATATTCCATTATGTTACAGGGTCTAGGGCTTTGGGAGGACAAGGCTGCAGGCAGCCGAGATTGTGCCGCTGCACTCCAGCCTGGGCGACAGAGTGAGATCTTTTCTCAATAATAATAATAAAAGTAAAAAGAAATATAATATTTAATCAATATATGCACACACATGGGTTTATCATGACACACACGACATGTGTGTACAGTGAAAAAAATGAGTAAATCTAGAAACCTGTATTGCCTCAATAGCTAGCTAAGTACTTCAATATGCATGTTTATTTCAACAATTTTGTGTTAAGCTTCAGTGGTAAATAAGCAGAGTACACTGACCATAATGAATACTTCTTTTGATGAGGGTTATCACTACACAATTAAAATATTACATAGTTGGCTGGGCACGTTGGCTCACACCTATAATCCCAGCACTTTGGGAGGCCGAGGCAGGCAGATCACCTGAGGATGGGAGTTCAATACCAGCCTGACTAACATGGAGAAACCCCTTCTCTATTAAAAATACAAAATTAACCAGGCGTGGTGGCACATGCCTGTAATCCCAGCTACTCAGGACGCTGAGGCAGGAGAATCACTTGAACCTGGGAGGCAGAGGTTGTGGTGAGCCGAGATAGCGCCATTGCACTCCAGCCTGGGCAACAAAAGCAAAACTCCGTCTCAAAAAAATATATAATAATAAATATATATATATTATATATAATCAATATAAATATAATATATAATAAATATATAATATGTATTATACAAATAATAAATATATATATTATATATAATAAATATATCATATAGATGATATAGTTTAGAGTTAAATACTGACTGCTCTTGGGAACTTTGAGGTATTCTGAGGGATATAAATAACACGAAGAGAATAGCACATTGGCTTGAAGCAGATTAGAGTCTGCTACCTGCGTGAATACTTGTTTTTCATGAACTATGAGGATGCCCTTAGCTTTTGAACCACTTCTACTTGTGTTGAAATTTACCCTTTAATTTTGGGGTTTGACAGGCTCTGCCCTTCTGTTATGCTTGAGTCTGGCTTTTCCTACTCTGACTCACTTTGATTCTTGACCTCTGAATCTTATTCCTATTTTACAATAAACACACATCGCACATACGCCAATTAGTAGAGTGGAAGAGGGAAAAATTGCCAAGGAACTATGTTTAATTTTGTTCCTTTCGCAAACCAGACACCATAACAGAAAAATTTTAGGAACATGTGCATGTTCAGTAGCCTTCAATGCAATTATACTGGTTATTAAAAAGTGTTGGATAATCAATATTTTTTAAAGATTCACTAGTCCCTTCTGATAATTTTAGAACTTTGGGAAGTAATAATACAAATGTATTTTTAGCTGTGTCCTTTAATCTTTTACTGTTTCCTCTATGTGTGGTGTTTGGTTTGTGTGTGTGTGATAATTATTATAAAGATCAGAGGCTAACAGAGGTGTTAATCACGAACTTTTAAATTTTTTTTATTTTTATTTTTTTAGTTTTTTTAAGAGACAGAGTCTCACAGTGTTGCCAAGGCTGGATGCAGTCGCGCCAACTCAGCTCACTGCAACCTTCGCCTTCAGGGTTCAAGCGATTCTGCTGCCTCAGCCTCCCAAGTAGCTGGGACTGCAGGAGGGCACCACGATGCCCCACTAATTTTTGTATTTTTAGTAGAGATGTGGTTTCACCATATTGGCCAGGCTGGTCTTGAACTCCTGATCTCATGATCCGCCCACCTCAGCTTCCCTAAGTGCTGGGATTACAGGCGTGAGCCACCGCGTCTGGCTGCATGACCTTTTAACTTGTCTCATACACTCAATATTCTCAAGATATACCTTCCAAAGTGCAAAATTATGGCACTTTGCAGCCCTGACCACTAACTGAGAACTTTGATGCTTTGGATTTTGGAGACCTCATTTTATCACCTGGTCCTTTTACTTCATGACTTGTCATGCTGCCACCTTTTGATGGGATTGAGATGAAGATAATAATTCCCAACTGGTCAGGAATATTGTGCCCCTTTGTTTTTATATCCAGATGCAATAGAGCCTCTGACACACCACTACTATTGTTCTTAGGATTTGGAACAAAATGCATTTCTTTGACAAAATAAATGTTTTCTTTAAAGAACTCTTGATTGATCCTGGACCATTGTAGAAACTGAAGTCCTATCAATGCAAAAAAATATGACAACATGAGCTGCTTATCATGAAATAAGTGTTTTCCAATTAACTATCCTGCTTCATCAGCAGGTAGGAATAATAGAATCTATACCTATGTCTTCATGGGAAGTTCTCTATGGCCAGTTGATTAGTGAGGGAAAAATTGAGCCTGATTTACAGAAGTCACTGTACAACATCACAGCAGCAGCCAAAAGTAGATTGCTTAGGCATTATAACCTACGTGAATGCAATTTTAAAAGAAATTCAGCCTATGTAATTGGTTGTCCACGATGTCTAGAAGGAGAGATATTATTGATGTATATGTGGCAGCTAATAATTTGTCTAGATAATTAGGGACTTGGGGCCAGGCCTGATGGCTCACACCTGTAATCCCAGAACTTTTGGAGGACAGGACAGGTGGATTGTCTGAGGTCAGGAGTTCGAAACCAGCCTGGCTGACATGGTGAAACTCCGTCTCTACTAAAAATACAAAAATTAGCCAGATGTGGTGGTGTGTGCCTGCAATCCTAGCTACTTGGGAGGCTGAGGCAGGAGAATCTCTTGAATCCAGGAGGAAGAAGTTGCAGTGAACCAAGATTGCACCACTGCACTCCAGCCTGGGCAACAAAGCGAAACTCTGTCTCAAAAAAAAAAAAAAAAAAAAGAAAAGAAAAGATAATTAGGGACTCGGAAAGACAAAGACTGAAGGATTGGTGGCAATGAGTTTTGGGGAAAAAATATGTAGATGAACCACAGAAAATGAGCCAGAGTGTAAGAATATTTGTGCTTAATACGAATGCTCACCAAACTATCATCAGGAAGGTTATCAAATAGATATGAAGGTATGAAACAATCTCTTTCACCAGGCACTACATTGCTTGCTTAGAAGGCTAATAAACAGCAACATTGGTGGTAGCAGTAGAGAATACACATAGGTTTAGCAACATGTTGGACTTTACCACTCTCGCTTACAAAAGCCTATTTAGCTGTCAAGACTATTAGGTGTCCAACACACAAGCAACAAAGTCCAAGGCTAAGCACACAATAACATATCCTGGGTGAATAAACCAGTCACCTTTTGTCAGACTTGTTGATTTTATTGGAACTCCTCTATGATAAAGGCAACAAGGAATTTTGTAAATGGAATCTACCTTTAACCTTGAATTACATTTGCTTTACCTGACATCATTTTTCTCTGATCGCCACTCTCCACGGGTACATTGAATGCCTTATATATACTGCCATAATATCCTGTTCTACATCCTTCTCTTAAAAGAACTTGTTGTATAACAAATGAGTAGATATTCATTGGACTCACCTGGTCCACCATTTATCCTATCACTAACCAAAATTATTATTATTACAGAATGGTGAATATTTTATTAAAGACTCAATCACAGTGCCAGCTGGAGACAATGGCTTATAAGGTTGTACTCATGCTAGAGGATGTGGTGGTGTATCCTCTGAACTAGTAACTAAGTATAAGCTTGTCTGGTGTCTCCTATATAAAAAATACAACAATCTTTGATATTTGTTATGAATGTTGAAGTGACTCCTTTTGTCATTACATCTAATGATCCACTCCAAATACTTGTCTCTTGTCTCTGAGATTCTAGGTTTTTGCAGAATTAGTACCCAAAGGGAGAGTCTTAGCAGTATTCCATTTTACAATCCATCCTTCGTTAGAGGATGAGAGACTTCTATCTAGCCTTTTAGGTTGCCTGAGACCTTTAAACAAACAGTCAAAAATTTAAAATTTAAAATGCGGCTACACTGTGGCATGGGGTAGTAAATCTTGACCTTAAAACTGGTATTTGTAAGAAAAACAGAAAGAATTCAGGGATCCCCTTTGATGGCTCCTAATTCTATACAGTCCTGTAAATATTCCTGAAGACTAACCAGGCATGGTGGTGCACACCTGTAATCCCAGCTACTCCAGAGGCTGAGGAAGAGAATCACTTGAACCTGGGAGGCGGAGGTTGCAATGAGCTGAGATTGTGCCACTTCACTCCAGCCTGGGTGACAGAGCAAGACTCTGTCTCAAAAAAAAAAAAAAAAAAAGAAGAAAGAAAGAAAGAAAGAAAGAAAGAAAGAAAGAAAGAAAGAAAGAAAGAAAGAAATGAAGACTGCCACAACTTGGAAGCAACCAAGATGTCCTTCAATAGGTGACTGCATAAGCAAACTGTGGTATATTCCTACAGTGGAATATTATTCAGTGCTAAAAGGAAAAAACTATCAAGCCACAAAAAGATACAGAAAAACAAAGACATTTTGCTAAGTGAAAGAAGCCAGTCTGAAAAGGGTACATACTGTGATTTCAACTATACAACACTCTGGAAAAGGCCAAACTATAAAGACAGTGAAAAGATCAGTGGTTATCTTTGCAGACGCCACCATCGCTGTGAGCCCTGTACTATCAGCCATGGTCAACTCCGTCGTCTTTTTTGAAATCACCAGGGATGGCAAGCCCTTGGGCCGCATCTCCATCAAACTGTTTGCAGACAAGATTCCAAAGACAGCAGAAAACTTTCGTGCTCTGAGCACTGGAGAGAAAGGATTTCGTTATAAGGGTTCCTGCTTTCACAGAATTATTCCAGGGTTTATGTGTCAGGGTGGTGACTTCACACGCCCTAATGGCACCGGTGACAAGTCCATCTATGGGGAGAAATTTGATGATGAGAACCTCATCCGAAAGCATACAGGTTCTGGCATCTTGTCCATGGCAAATGCTGGACCCAACACAAATGGTTCCCAGTTTTTCATCTGCGCTGCCAAGACTGAGTGGTTGGATGGCAAGCATGTGGCGTTTGGCAAGGTGAAAGAACGTGTGAATATTGTGGAAGCCATGGAGCACTTTGGGTACAGGAATAGCAAGACCAGCAAGAAGATCACCATTGCTGACTGTGGACAATTCTAATGAGTTTGACTTGTGTTTTATTTTCACCACCAGACCCATTCCTTCTGTAGCTCAGGAGAGCACCCCTCCACCACATTTGCTTGCAATATCCTAGAATCTTTGTGCTCTTGCTGCAGTTCCCTTTGGGTTCCATGTTTTCCTTGTTCCCTTCCATGCCTAGCTGGATTGCAGAGTTGAGTTAAGTTTATGATTATGAAATAAAAACTAAGTAACAACAACAACAACAAAAAAGCTCAGTGGTTGCCAGGAGTTTGGGGATGGGTAGGGAGATAAATAGTTCTGAAACAGGCGATTTTTAGGGGATTGAAAATACGTTGGTAATAATGTAATGATGGGTACATGACATTATGCGTTTTGCAAAACTCCTAGACCTGTACCACACAAAGAGTGAACTCTAATGTAAACTGGGGGTGGGATAAAGGTGACAGTATGTGAGAACTCTGTACTTTCTGCTCGATCTTTCCATAAAGCTAAAACTGCTCAAAAAATAAAGTCTATTATTTTGTTAAATGAAAGAAATTAACAATGACCATGGCACGCTCACACAAAAAGATTATCAAGGACATTTCTCTGTCAGGAATGAATATTTGGTCATCTCACAAGGCAAAACCCTGACTAGCAGAGGTGTTAGCTGAGGGCACATGGCCATAGATGCCAATAGTGACCTGCTGGCCACTTGCAGAAAGGAGAGCCTTTACATCCAAACACATTGTTTCTCTTGTATTGTCCTGTGCATACTTATGTATCTTAACAACTTTCCTTCTTTCCTCTCCATTTATCCCTCTTTTTAAAACAGGGCTTATTGAGGGTGATTAACTTAATTTTTAAATGATATATGGCAGAATGTCAAGAGAGTATAGTGAAGAACTTCGTAGAGGAATGGACATAACCCAGAATTCTTAGACTTAGAGTACATGCTGTGATTGAGAATTTTTTATTGTTTCATTGTTCAAGAGATTGTAGGTACATGTTCAATTATTAGAGAAATAGTTGCACTCTGTTAGAAGGAAGCTTGGGTCTTTCGTGTTTACTTTCAAAAGGGAAAGTTTATATTGATATTGAGCAAGTTAAAGCATGAATATTTACTATTTGATGTTTGTTCCTGTGTTTGAGGAATTCCTCAGCCTCTCAGTTTTGACGAAAACAAGAAACCACCTCCTGCTTTAGAAGCTAAAATGTCAAATGCTTGCTTTCTCAGCCTCCTTTGCAGCTATCTGTTGCAAAGCGAACAAGTGGGAGTGGTGCTGGTGGCTTTGCAGTTAGCCTAGGATTGAGCAATTGCTGCAATTGTTGCTCTCTGCATCTTCGGTGTTACTTCTTACTGGTGGTGACAGTGGTTTCCTCCCTGGATGAGTTCTACAGCATGGTTTGGGGTACATTTCCTGGCTGCCTAGCTTTGATCTGGCTCTCTAGCCTTCTCAACAGTTCTACAAGTTCCCCACTATTTCTGTGATAAACCTATTTATTGTTAATGTCAGCCATAATTGGCTTCTGTGGTTTATATTTTTTAAAATTCCAAGATATACCAATGTAACAGATAGCTCAACAAACATATGTCTTTTTAAATTAAGATATATTCTGTGTCACATGAAGTACAATGGACAAAATGCAACAAATTGAATTGAGCTAAAGACCAAATATATATTAAGCCTGGCTGGTCTTAAAAATGTAACTGGATACAGCCAGGCATGGTGGCTCACGCCTATAATCCCAGCACTTTGGGATCCTGAGGTGGGCAGATCACCTGAAGTCAGGAGTTTGAGACCAGCCTGGCCAGCATGGTGAAACCCCATCTCTACTAAAAATGCAAAAATTAGCTGGGTGTGGTGGTATGCCCCTGTAATCCCAGCTACTCGGGAGGTTGAGGCAGGAGAATCACTTGAACCTGGGAGGCAGAGGTTGCAGTGAGCCCAGATCATGCCAATGCACTCCAGCTTTGGCAACAGAGTGAGACTTTGTTTCAAAATAAAAAAATAAAAATAAAAAAATAAAAACGTAACTGGATAGACCTAAGGATCTTGAATAAGCAGAAAATAATTTAGGTAAAAGCCAAATAATAAACTAACATTCTGAAAGGTTTAGGATTTGGAGGCCCAAATGTCTTAGCTAAAAGTGTTCATTCTAACCTCACAGGAAAATTGAAATATGAAAATATACAGAAAAATCTTAGGCAGTATTTATCAATTTTAAGAAACAACTATTTACAGGTTTTTCAATAGGCATTACATTAAAAACAAAATATATAGTTAATAAATATGAAAACTGTGGATATAATCAACACATTTATTTTACTTCTTGAAGTGTTAACATGTGCTGTCTCAAATATCAACAGTGTACACGTGAGAAAAAACATTTTACATAGATTTTCTGCGACAGAAAACAGCATCTCATTAGACATCCCAAGTTTTTTTCATTTGGAACACACACTCATTCCCCAGTATACTAGGGGTAATAATAATTTAGAGTTTAATTACTTTTTACTACTAGAAAACTAATTTTATGTTTGGCACAAATTTCTGAAATGATATTCCACTGCAAAGAATAATACCTATATATGGCCAGAATTACTTTTTTTCTATAACATTAAGATAATACTTGTCAGCCTGAGCAACAAAGTGAGACCTCATCTTTACAAAAAATAAATAAATTAGACGGGTGTTGTGGTGATGAGGGTCTGTAGTCCCAGATACTCAAGAGGCTGAGGTGGGAGGATCCCTTGAGCCTAGGAGGTCGCGGTTGCAGTGAACTATGATTGCACCACTGCACTCCAGCCTGGGTAACAGAGCAAGATCCTCTCTCAAAAAAAAAAAAAAAAAAAAAAAAAAGATAATATTGGTATAATTCAGGGTTTTTGCCTCAATCCCCATGCTTCTTCATTTGACCTTCCCTGACTCCCTGATGAATTTTAGTTTGAATTTTTGCTATAGTCCAGAAGTTAATTTAAAAGATCTTAAAATTTCCACCTGCCTAGATATTACTTATTTGTTACACTTTAGTCCATGATTTCTATTGTCATTTACATTACCCCAAAAATATGACCTGCTGAATTTCTGCTGTCATGAATTGACTAACATATTTTGGGCCTAAAACCTTTACATTTAGAATCTTTTTGTTTCGTATTGGAAAATATTGTAAGTCCTCCATTTATTGGTCAAAAGCACTGCCTATTTATTTCCATGCTTAATCAGAGAGACTTTCTAATAGTTATTTAATATTATTTACGTTCATTCACTTGTTGACTATAATGACGTTAGTTGCTATGATATTTTTAGGTCATTAATATAATAAAAATATGTCAACTTTTCTCTTCTGATGTGTCTTTGGGTTATTAATTTTTAACTCAGGTATCAAGCTTGTAAAATGTTTAATGGCTTATAATAATGTCTAACACATAGTATCCACTGAGTTCTGATAACTCTGGTTTATCAAATTCTCTTTTTTTGTACCATTCTCCAAATGCAATGCTATTTGGTTTTATTTTTATTTTTTAAAAATGTGCTGCCTGTTTTGAGTCTCTAAAAGTGTGAAATGCTCAGCATTTCCCAAATGTATTTGAACATGGAGTGTTATATTTACTAAAAAGTTAACAAGCAAGTATTCCCCTAAACACTCTAGCAAATACTACTAGTACAGACAAATTATGATGTAACATTATAGTACATTTTAACTTATTAGGTTAATTTTGGTTGCAAACAATCAAAATTCAAAATGGCTTGTATAATAAAGAGATTTTGAACAATAGTATAGGCTCAAGATAGCTTAATGCAGAAGTTTAATAATGACACAAAATAAATGCTTCTTGTCCTCCCTGTTTCTTCACTCTACCTTAAGTGATATAGATTGAATGTTTGTAGTCCCCCAAAATTTGTATGTTTAAATCTAATCCCTAGTGTGATGATATTTGGCAGTGGGTCTTCGGGGGGTGATTAGGTCATGAGGACAGAGCCCTCATGAATGGGATTAGTGCCCTTATAAAAGAGACCTTAGAGAACTTCCTTGCCCCTTCCTCCATGTGAGGACACAGCAAAAAGACAGCTGTCTGTGAACCAGGAAACAAATCCTCATTAGACCCTGAATCTGTTGACACCATGATCTTGGACTTCCTGGCCTCTAGAACTGTAAGAAATAAATTTATGTTGTTCATAAACCATCCAGGCTGTGATATTCTGGTATAGCGACCTGAAAGGACTAAGACATTAGGTCTCAGTTTTATTCTATGGCTTAAAATATCATGTCATGAGTAGACAACTTCCAATCCTAGTACCTCGTGCTTCCTCTGCTGCATTTGGAAAGAAGGCATTTCCCTCTTCAATCATGGAATGAAAAAGTTGTACTTCATTCTGATTTGATTAGCAGAAGGCACACGTTCCTTCCATGCACCAATTAAAATGACCAAGAATTGGGCATGGGACTCATGTCACTTAAACATTGTGAAGCTGAGAAATTCATTATTTGGTTAGGAGTGTGTGAGAGCAGGGAACACTGAATGCTTGAGACACCACCACGATGTCCACTACATGTATTTCCATTTCAGTAAACATTTCCATTAAGATAATGCTAGAACAAAATCAGAGGAGTAGATCTTGGTGTCCCCAACTTTTGTTGACCTAACAAAGTGAAGTTGCTTCAACTGGACACTTCTGAACCACATTTATGCCTATATGTTCAGTTCAAATTTATTATAAGCAATTTTCAGGTCCATATGTTTAGGATATTTCATTTGTTTGGTTATGCATTATATGTATACATGTTTTTAACATACATACGCCTCTACATATATTTTGGAGGCCTTTACACAAAAGTGTTTTCCCTGAAGGGAGAAGAGAAAAGTTGAATGCAGAAGTAGAAAAAAAAAATTCATTTGCACTTGTAGTAGTTATATCTAAATATTTTATATTACAGATGTATTAAAATTTTTATAATTTTAAACACTACTTTAAAACAGGGAGATGGTTTACCTTCAAAAAATTTGGCTCTCAACTCAAAGTTATCAAAGTATATCCTAGATGTAGTTTGCTTGTCAGGCTTCTACATGAAAATCTAAAATGCTCCTGCATTTCAGAATGAGCCTAACATATGTAATTGCACTCATCCACTATGTCTACATTGCCAACCAAATACTGACAGAGAGAGCTAGAGTGCCACAGAGAGCTGGCAGTTCCTCTGTTTGCATTAGCTTCTACTTGCTTCTTCATCTTTCCTCTATGTCTGACACATTTCATGTTACTGTTTTTAAATGTTCCCTTAGCTACAGAGCTAATGTGCTTATATCTGTAAGGGGTCTCATGTGAACCTCTAAATAATTAAAGATTCATTAGCTCCCTGGAGGGCCACCATGATTTCCAAAACAAGTCACAATACCTAAAGATCTAATTGTACAATTTCCCTCAGAAATAGCCTTGAGAAAGAAGTCACATCACTCAGCAATGAGTATTATAATTACTCACAGCAGTTTTCATGGTACTATATAACATCCAATTTACAGAATTAAAGGTAATGTAATTCAAAAGAAAAATAGCTGGTTTTAAGGAATGAAGGGCCATGTCAACTATTGGAAGCATCTTTGAACTGGAGCCTCTATGTTCGGGTTTCACCAGGTTTATGTTTTTAATTAATATCCGATTCAGCTTCCTGTAATTTCCATTGAGGTTTTCTAGAACAAGACAAGTCAGAAATTGATCTTTAATTATAAGCTAAGAGCAAACTGCCAAAGAACTGAGAGAAATTTTGAAGAAACAGGTCTATCAGGACTAACCATTTTAAGATAATAAAGACTAATCAGACACACACACATATGCACAAAAAGAGGGAGAGAGAGAACAAAAATCCTATGAAATACATTTTAAAAACTTAATTTTTTTAAGAAGAAGCATTTGATCTGCCAAAGAGAAGAGTTAGCAGTTTGGAGATCTGACATTGCTAATCTCAGGGCAAGAAAATAACAAAATAAGACACCAAAGAATTACCTAAACTGTGGAAGATGAAGCTTTCAGAGTTCTCACAGAGAAATGGGATACTAAAGTACCAAGTTTAAGAGGTGTAATCTATTAATGTTTAATTTATGTCCCAAATACTTAAAAACTATGTTTCATTGTTATACATATTTATTTTATTATAAAGATAATGAATGCAGTAGGGTTAGATTTAAATAATTCATTGGGTTTAAAATGAGAAATGAAAGTCTGGCTTTTTACAACCTACAGTCTTATCACCAAAGTTAGCTATTGTTAATAACTTCTTGTCCATTCTTGTATGTGTTATGGTTTCTTTCTTAGAAAGAAGTATGCTATACTAGTATACATGCTATTTATTCATGAACCTTGCACTTATCATGTAATCATATGTCTTAGTGGTCTTTTCATAATAGATGTCTCTCTTTCCCACGCTGTCAGTGGTGATTGCATGAGGCATTGTACAGACGTACCAATAATTACTTACTCTGTGTCATATTGTTGGTTATTCAGATTGTTTTCACTTTGCCCTTGCAGACAACACTGCAACGAACATCCTTATGCATATCTTATTCCAAATACATCATCGTGATGGCTGTGTGAGAGAAATATACATTGTTGATTTTATTTTTTTATTTTTTATAATTTCAACTTTTGATTTTAGATACAGTGGGTACATGTGCAGGTTTGTTACATGGGTATGTTGTGTAATGCTGAGGTTTGCAGCATGATTGATCCGATCACTCAGGTACTAGGCATAGTAGTTGTTTTTCAACCTTTACCCCCTCCCTCCTTCTACCCTCGAGTAGTCCCCAGTTTCTATTGTTCCCATCTTTGTGTCCACGTGTACTCAATGTTTAGCTCCTGCTTATAAGTGAGAATATGTGGTATTTGGTTTTCTATTCCTGTGTTAATTCGCTTAGCATAATGGCATCGAGTTGCATCCACGTTGCTGTAAAGGACATGATTTTATTATTTTTTATGGCTGCAAAGTATTCCATGACATATATGTACCATATTTTCTTTATCCAATCCACAGTTGATGGGCACCTAGGTTGATTCCATGTCTTAGCGATTGTGAATTACACTGCTGATTTTAATAGAAACCACTAATTTTTATGCCAAAAAAATCATCAATGTGCACATGCTCCAAGGCTGTGTGAGCATAGCCCTTTTCCTTGGGATGTCAACAACACTGGGTTTTATCAAAATATAATTTTTGCCAATTTATTAGTTAACAAATGCTAACTCAGTGCTATTTGGATTTGAACTACCACTGGTGCTGAGCAACTTTTTACATAGTCACTGGCAATTTATTTATCTTTCTCTGTTGTTTATCTTTTTCTGTGTAATAATTTTCCCTATCTTCTACTCTTTTAAACATTAAGTTTTCACTGTTTTCTTAATAATTTTTAAGTTTAAAAAGTGACCTTTTGGCTGGGCGCAGTGGCTCACGCCTGTAATCCCAACACTTTGGGAGGCCAAGGCGGGTGGATCACAAGGTCAGGAGATCAAGACCATCCTGCCCAACATGGTGAAACCCCGTCTCTGCTAAAAATACAAAAATTGGCTGGGGTGGTGGCACGTGCCTGTAATCCCAGCTACTCGGGAGGCTGAGGCAGAAGAATCACTTGAACCAGGGAGTTGGAGGTTGTAATGAGCCAAGATCACGCCACTGTGCTCCAGCCTGGCGACAGAGCGAGACTCCGTCTCAAAAGAAAAAGTGACCATTTTATCTGCTGCATATAATTCTAATGATATTTCTCAATTCGTTTATCTTTTAACAATGGTAATATATAATGTCTTGCTATTTAGAAAGATTTTTAAAAGTATTTTACATAAAGAAATTTTTATTCTTTGCCATTAATACTTGCAGGTTTGGAATTTTCAGGACCTCCTCAAAGGCCACCTACAGGAAATGCTCTTCAAAGACATTTCACTTTTTCCCCACTTGATTGTGGAGCAAAGACTAACACTGGCAATGCTTTGAAGTACTTGAGTCAAATGGGTCTCTCATGTGGTCATTACTATACTCACTCTCAGGCTCCAATGCAAATTGTTTCCTTACGCCAACTACTCTTGCTTTCCTTTAATAGACCTATTCCTCCTGGGCTGTCTGAAACTAACATTTCATTGTAAATAAAGTCCTGCAAATCCTTGGTATCTCAAAGAACCCTCCTTCCATTTAGTTTTAGGAGAACTCTCCTTCTAAAACTCTATTCTTCTCCCTGGAGTCCAGATCCCCATTCCTTGCAACAAATGAACGCTTGATTTGAGCACTGAAGGGAGATAATTGGAAGTTTGACTTTGTGTTCTAGGTTTTCCCTGCCAATATATGCAGCGTCTTTAAAACTAATTGGGCT
This sequence comes from Homo sapiens, assembly GCF_000001405.40. Taxonomy (NCBI): domain Eukaryota; kingdom Metazoa; phylum Chordata; class Mammalia; order Primates; family Hominidae; genus Homo; species Homo sapiens. The sequence goes on along the minus strand of NC_000001.11, from coordinate 144,364,775 downwards.
GAGGCAGGAGAACTGCTTGAACCCAGGAGGAGGAGGTTGCAGTGAGCCGAAATTGCACCATTGAACTCCAGCCTGGGTGATAGAGCAAGGCTCCATCTCAAAAAAAAAAAAAAAAAAACAGCAAAAAGAAACTAATTAGGTTCAAGAAGTTCGAATGAATTCAACTTAGACAAGCTCTTAAGCAGACATGTTGGAAGTTCCAGAAAAGACAGTTTGGGAAAATATTTTATTAAAAAAAAAAAAAGACTGCCCTCCACTTCCTCACTCTTTCTTCCCACTTATTTTCACTCCACTGGTGCAGTTTGGTGTCAACTCTCCTCACTCTACTGAAACTGCTGCAGCCGAGGTTACTAGTTATTTAATTAACAAAAGCAATAGATTTTGTTTTTTTTAATTGCATTATACTCTACTATTTTGTGACATTTAAACTATTGACAATGTCTTTCTTGAAAATGTGTCCTTTTTGTTTTTTTCAAAACACGACTTTCTCCTTGATGTCCTCCTTTTTCTCTCATTATTTCACCTTTACATTCTCTGCTGACACCTTTCACCTTACCAAACCTTAATTAAATGTGTATGCTTCCCAGTCTCCCATTCTTGGCTCTCTTCCCTTCCCTCTTATTGATCATTATTGTATTCTGTGATCTCACCAGTTCTCTTGGCTTTAACAATAACCAGATGACTCCAGAAAACTATTCAAAATTCCGGACCTATGGAGACTTTGCACCCAGATATGTACCAACAACTCAACCTCAGTTATCTCTAATATTATCTCATTAAGTGCCCTCTAACTACAGAATGACTCCTCCTTCTGGGTTTCCTCTGCCTGAATGGCACCACCATTCAGTGGCCCATGACAAATTTGGACCTCATTTGGAACTTCTCCCTTTCCCTCATGTTTCATTTTCTCTTGGCTAAAGAGTTATTAGATTCTTCATTTTTAGCTTTTCTCTAGCCTATCTTCAATTTTATAGTGGACAGTTATGTATATCCTATATCCCAGGAGAGAAGGGATATCTTCTTCTATGCCCATACTATGAACTAGCATATCCTTTGAGTCCTTTCTTTGTATGAAGCACTGGGGAAATTTAATCAACTTCATAATCACTTATAATCCTCACAGTAATTTTATGAGATAAGTTCTATTTATTATCCCTATCTTAAGGATGAGGAAACTGTGGTTTAAAGAGCTTAAGTAATTTGGGCAAATCATGAAAGAAGCAGTGAAGACAGAATTCAAATCTAGGCAACCTGAAATCTGAGCCTGAGCACTTTGCCTCCCTAATAACTATCTCCCTTTGAGAGTTGTATTACAAAGTTGACAACATTTAGCAACCCTTATTCCCCTCCCCACCCCTATCTCTCTCCAAGAAATCTGCTGTGAGGTAGAGAATGTGTTGATTTTCTCTGCAGTTTTTAGTGCATAGCATAGGGCTTAGAAAGGAGAAAATGATGAAAAATATTTATTAAAATAATTGTTTTTCTTTGATAGTTGTTATAACCATCGAATTGTGAGTGCTTAACAATTACTATAAAGGAGAATGGAAATCACAGATCTTTTCACAGAATTTTTTTTTTTTTTTTTGAGACAGAGTCCAGCTTGTCACCCAGGCTGGAGTGCAGTGGTGCGATCTCAGCTCACTGCAACCTCCACCTCCTGGGTTTAATCACTTGCCTTGGCCTCCTGAGTAGCTGAGATTACAGGTGTGCACCACCATGCCTGGCTAATTTTTGTATTTTTGGTAGAGATGGGGTTTCACCACATTGGCCAGGCTGGTCTCAAACTCCTGACCTCCAGTGATCCACCCATCTCAGACTCCCAAAGAGCTGGGATTATAGGCTTGAACCACCGTGCTGGGCCTTTCTTAGAGAATTTATAGTTTACCTGGAAATGTAAACTATATATATACTTAAACTGAGGGATATTTACAAAAGAGCTTTCTACTTAACCCACAAGAAGCTGTATTAATAACAAAGCAAATCAAGCTTGTTCACAGGCAACTGAATGGAATGAATGGTTTTGATTGGTGTTGCCAGTTATATTTCTAACAAGAGAAAATTCAATGTGAGCCTCATTTGGAAACAAGATATTACAGAGAGGAAAATTTGGGATTAAGGTCAGATTTGGTGCAACTATGCTAGATACAGAAAAGGCAAACTTTCAGCTCAATCCCCAGCTAAGTACAAGTTCAATGGTGAAGGCATAAGAAAATGAGCCATTATAATAAGTCTGAAATAAGTTTATGATTCCACCTCAATATGGGCATGCAATATATTCTAACATTTAATCCCTGGAAAAAATGATGACATCACACTGAAATCTTGACTCATAAGAGAACTTTTTTATGCTGTTCCCTAAGTCAGTTTATTTCTACTTCATTCTTGCGTTAAGGGTAGGCTCAATTCTTACTCATTCAAAAACGGTATCACCTGAAGCTTTTCTTTAATTCTTGTTTTCTCTGCAGTGAGAAAATTAATCAAGGGGTTAAAATGTATATTAAATTATATATGTATTATATGTAAAAGTTATATAATATAGATCAGAGAAGAATATATTGCATATGTTATAGGCTGAATTGTGTCCTTTCCCCAAATTAATATGCTGTACCCTGCCCCCTGCCATCCCAGTATATCAGAAGGTGGCTATATTTGGAGATAGAGACTTTTAAGAGGTAACTAATGTAAAATGAGGTCACATGTCTGGGTCCTAATCCAATATCACTGGTGTCCTTATTTGAAGAGGAAATTTAGGTACAGACATACATGTGCACAGAAAAAAGTCCATGAGAAGACAAGATGAGAAAATGACTATCTAAAAGCCAAGGAGAGAAATTTCAGAATAAAATTAACACATCTGATGCCTTGACCTCACACTTCTAGCCTCCAGAACCGTGAGAAAATAAATTTCTGTTGTTTAACTCACCCAGTCTGCAGTAATTGTTATAACAACCCTAGCAAAGTAATATAGGAAGTATATATATATATATATACACACATACATATATATATATACACATATTTGTGTGTGTGTGTGTGTGTATATATATATATATATATATATATATATATATATATATGTGATAGAGTAGATAGATAGAGACATATACAGTCATCCCTCAGTATTAGTGGGGTATTGCATTCAGGAGCCCTGCATATAAGGAAGTCTGCACATACTCAGGTCCCACAGTCAACCTTGCAGAGCTCGCATATGAAAAGTTGGCCCTCAACATATGTGGGTTTCACGTCCCACAAATACTATATTTTCAATCTGTATTTGGCTGAAAAAATCCACCTATAAGTGGACTCACACAGTTTAAACCAGTGTTATTCAAAGGTCAACTGTTGATATATAGATATATAAATATCTCATATGTATAGAGCAAGCGAGAGAAAAAATCTCTAATCTCTCTTCCTTCCTGCTCTTTTTGGATTGCAAACTCTTCTCTCATAAGTACAAAAAGTAATGTTAACAAAGTAAAGAGAATTGGAAATAGTAGTGTTTTTGACCACTAGTGTTTTGTAATTTTGGAAAAAAGAATTACTGAAATGTAACTTTTTATTTATATTGAGATGTTTTGACTCATACTCCAATCATACAGAAATAATAGATAAAATATGAAAAAGACTTCTTTTTACATACATAGCTGGATTAAAATATTAGAAATAATTTTCTTCCCTCAAAGGATCCCCTATTTAATAAACGGTGCTGGGAAAACTGGCTAGCCATATGTAGAAAGCTGAAACTGGATCCCTTTCTTACACCATACACAAAAATTAACTCAAGATGGATTAAAGACTTAAATGAAAGACCTAACACCATAAAAAACCCTAGAAGAAAACCTAGGCAATACCATTCAAGACATAGGCACGGGCAAAGACTTCACGACCAGAACACCAAAAGCAATGGCAACAAAAGCTAAAATAGACAAATGCGATCTAATTAAACTAAAGAGCTTCTGCACAGCAAAAGAAACTCTCATCAAAGTGAACAGGCAATCTAAAAAATAGGAGAAAAGTTTTGCAATATACCCATCTAACCAAGGGGTAATATCCAGAATCTACAAAGAACTTCAACAAATTTACAAGAAAAAAGCAACCCCATCAAAAAGTGGGCAAAGAATATGAACAGACACTTCTCAAAAGAAGACATTTATGCAGCCAACAGACACATAAAAAATGCTCATCATCTCTGGTCATCAGAGAAATGCATATCAAAACCACAATGAGATACCATCACATGCCAGTTAGAATGATGATCATTAAAAAGTCAGGAAACAACAGATACTGGAGAGGATGTGGAGAAATAGGAATGCTTTTACACTGCTGGTGGGAGCGTAAATTAGTTCAACCATTGTGGAAAGCAGTGTGGCGATTCCTCAAGGATCTAGAACTAGAAATACCATTTGACCCAGCGATCCCATTACTGGGTGTATATCCAAAGGATTATACATCATGCTACTATAAAGATGTATACATGCACACGTATGTTAATTGTGGTGTTATTCACAATAGCAAAGACTTGGAACCAACTCAAATGTCCATCAATGATAGATTGGATTAAAAAATGTGGCACATATGTGCCATGGAATACTATGAAGCCATAAAAAAGGATAAGTTCATGTCCTTTGCAAGGACATGGATGAAGCTGGAAACCATCATTCTCAGCAAACTATCACAAGGACAGAAAACCAAACACCGCATGTTCTCACTCACAGATGGGAGTTGAACAATGAGAATGCATGGACACAGGGTGGGGAACATCACACACTGGGGCCTGTCAGGGGGTGGGGGGCTGGGGGACAGATAGCATCAGGAGAAATACCTAATGTAAATGACAAGTTGATGGGTACAGCAAACCAACATGGCACATGTATACCTATGTAACAAACCTGCATGTGATGCACACGTACCCTAGAACTTAAGATTAAAAAAAAACATTTCTTCCCTCATGAGGTACAAAGCCAAGCATTACACTGGGGCCATGATAGTCCAGGTTGCTGAAAGATTTAGATCTAAAGACTGAAAATTGGGATATATATTGAGAGAGAGAGAGAGAGAGAACAAATGGTAACCTAAATTTAATAAAATAATAATAGACAAATTAGGGTAACAGGCATATGAGTACTTTTTGTTCTAACAATTCTTTTATTTTCAAACTTATCTATGATCTTACATTTATTTCCCAATAAAAAGGATTTTAAGTTAAAAAAAGAAAGTTTTTCTTTAGTAACATTTTCACAACTAGGGCCTTTAAGACTGAGGAAATACTCCAAGCTCTGAGCAAACTCAGTAAGTATAAATCCATATGTAGACATACCACAGTAAAATGCAAGATACTAAACACTAATACAATATTTTCAAATCAACCAGAGACGGAAGGCAGATTACCTGCAAAGGAAGGACAATTACTTTATCACAGACTTCTCTTCATCAACGAGAACAGACAATACAGGAATAACATCTCCCAAGTTGTGAGGGAGACTAACAGATGACATGAAATTCTACGACCAAATAAAGCATAATTCAATGGGCAGCAGTTAACAGAATTAAGCTGTTTCCAGACATCTATGGAGAGATTTAACTCAAAGATGTCACTGTAAATTTGATTGTTGAGATGTAGTAATGGATACTTGGCAAGGTTATTGAATTAGTTAAACGATCTTCAAAGCTTAGGTCATGTATCTTCATTAAACACATGGTGCTTTGCATTTACTAAAGAAGGGCCTCCGTTTTCTCTCCAAATAAATCATTGCGACCTTAGCACCCCAAGTGTAAAAACCTCTTTTATTTCTATTCTTGATCTCTAGTCCCTGCTTATGTGTATGCATAAATGCATGACACCGTGCTTCTCTTTTAGTTATTTATTTCTAGAGATCATGTCTTTGAAAATCATTATATTCCCAGCAACTATTTAGAGTGGTACTAAGCTAACTTGGTTTATGGTGTCAACCGCATAGCAGTTATTTGATTGGCCCATTCCTTTATAAAATATTTTATGCTTAGATGATGAACTCCACATAAATTCAGCCAGGAGAATGTTTTCCTTGGCAATCTCTGGGAGATTACAAATGTTCCTTTTTTTTTTTTTTTTTTTTTTTTTTTGAGATGGAGTCTCGCTCTGTCTCCCAGGCTGGAGCCTAGTGGCGCGATCTCGGCTCACTGCAAGCTCCACCTCCTGGGTTCACGCCATTCTCTTGCCTCAGCCTCCCGAGTAGCTGGGACTACAGGTGCCCGCCACCACGCCCGGCTAATTTTTTTGTACTTTAGTAGAGACAGAGTTTCACCGTGTTAGCCAGGATGGTCTCGATCTCCTGACCTCATGATCCACAAGTCTCGGCCTCCCAAAGTGTTGGGATTACAGGCGTGAGCCACCGTGCCCGGCCTACAAATGTTACCATTAACTCCTCCTTCTGCTAAGAAATAAACCAAAATAAAATTATTCACAAATATAACTGTTTTGATCATGCTTTCAGATGATATGTAAAGTAGCCCACAGAAGGTAAATAATATTCAGGGGAAATAAATTATTACTTAAGAGTGGGTGCTGAGAAAAAGAAATGTGTGAAGTGTGAGGTAGGAAGTATGTGAGAAAAGCTAGGGCACAGTTGTGTCTTATATTTTTGTTAAAATCTGCCTGTTAAGACTTCCTGATTGGGTAATGGGAATGACACAGTAAAATACTCTTCCTCAGAGTGTCTGACACCACTGTGATAATTTACTACATAAAAGTACAAGTTACATTATATAAAAAGAATGGCCTGGCTCAGTGGCTCACGCCTATAATCCCAGCACTTTGGGAGGCTGAGGCAGGTGGATCATCTGAGATCAGGAGTTCGGGACCAGCCTGGCCAAAAGGATGAAACCCTGTCTCTACTAAAAATACAAAAAATTAGCCAGGCATGGTGGCAGGCACCTGTAATCCCAGCTACTCAAGGGGCAGAGGCAGGAGAATCGCTTGAACCTGGGAGATGGAGGTTGCAGTGAACTGAGATCATGCCACTGCACTCCAGCCTGGGCAACAAGAGCGGAAACTCCGTCCCCCCAAAAAAAATGACACCAAGAAACTGAGGTTTCTAGATGAGGGTTACACAATGTGGATCTAAAAGCAACAGGGAAAGGAAAAGGATTTGGGCCTAGAATGTGGGGAATTTTAGATGCTGCAGAAAGCCTTCTGGTGTCTTTCTAGAATGGCTGGATTTTGGTTAAGGCAAAGAAGAAGTAACTTTTCATGGAGAACAGTAGCATACAGGAGTGCGGATGGTTTGATCATTTAAGGCAGGGATGTGAGGTTTGATGGAATATGTTGATAACAAAGATTCTTTGCTTGGCCAACTTTAGTCAGGCTTCTAAATCTTCAGCTAGGCTAAACTGTGCACTTCCTCGCAAAATCCAGCATTAGCAAAGAACACTGCCAAGTTTACCAAAGAACCCCTCATTCTCAATATCTGATCAGGTTCTTCATTCTTCACCATTCTGCAGGTGATGTCTGATCACCCTGGCCAGTCTTCAGCAAGAATTCTTTCAGGGCGGTTTAGCCAGAATCTCCCTTACTCCTGATGTTTCCTCTTAGTGATTTTCCATTCACTGACCCCTGCATTGCTCCTGGGCTATAAATTCCCACTTCCCCATGCTGTATTCAGAGTTAAGCCCATCTCTCTCCCCAGCTCCAAGACTGTGTTGCAGTGGTTCCTATATCTATGGTGATGGTCTTGAATAAAGTCTTCTTTACTGTGCATTTGAAGTATCACTGAATAATTTTTTATTTAACAACTATGGTGTTGAAACTCAACTAGGACAGATTCATCACTGGATCCTGGGCCTCTCACTCAGAACCCTAAATGCATGCCTTTGAAGTCTTTGTTGTCATTTCTGACTGATTAGGGATCCGTTGGTGAATCAGATTCCTGAGCCATTGTTCCAGACAAAAGCCCGTTGATGGCTAAGGACAGATTTTGAATCTGAAGGGATGAATATTCTCTCTGAAGCTGGAGTAGAGTCGCAGGCTTCTTTTGAAAGCAATCCTCTGGGCAGGAAGGTCTTCGTGTGGGCTTCTTGTTCTGAGTGGTCTATTCTCTGAGTCCCTAGGCTAGAAGTCTCTTCTTTCTGGCTCTCTTTTTCTGAGTGAGGGGTTATTCCCTGATTCCCTGGGCTACAAATTGTTCTTCCTGGCTCTCTATAAAACCACTCTGCTCTTTCTCTTCTCTCTATTGGATCCTGCTTCTCCCATGGGAGCTCTGTCACCTGAAACCCCTCTTCTCAAGTCTCTGCTGACTATTTCCATAGCTGGTAGTCACGACGAGGAGACAACTGTGTAGGGTCAATATCTGGGCCAACCATCCTGAGGAACTGTGAGGTTTAGAACTGGAAATTGTCAAGAGAATCCGAACCCAGCTACCATATAAGAGAGTTCAACTTATGTTCAATGTGAATGCCATGGCAATATTAAAAGGTAAGAATTCGATCCATACGTACTTGAGGTAAATAGGAGAAACCTAGAATTTATGTAAACAGTGAGAAGATTGGATGCGTTTTCCGTCTCATATTTTAATACTGGCAGCATATTATATATGTCAAACCATCAGGCATTCAGAAATACATGCTTATGAAAATTTTTTGCACCATCAGACAAAAGACAAGGGTAGAAGACATTTGTAACCCTATAAACACTAGTAAATTAAAAACAGAAGGACCTTAATGTCCTAACATACCTGTGTTGTGAAAGGCTGCCCTGTGAAATACCGGATTTCTTAAACATATTTTAAAAATCATAGGCGTCAATATTTTTTAGATATCCTTTTAAATTTTCTCGTTATTTTACAATGCCTATTTATTTATTTAGTGGCTCTGCTGATTTTGATGTATATCCAAAACTTTATATTTTCTTTAAAAGATGTTTTATACAACTTTATGTAAAATGTTTCTGTATCTTCACATTCTCTCCCTGTCCTTTTGTTTTGCTCTTATATGGTGGTCCTGAGTCTTTTCTCTGGCTTTTCAAACCTAGTAAGACTATGACACTAAAGTAACTTTGCCCGTGGTTTGATAATGCCTTCTAAAGCACATCCTAAGCTCTCGTGCATACAGGGGTCTCCTTTGAGCTCTGTGCTTTTGAGATCCCATACACCTAAATTCCAGTACTCCAAATCAGTACTGCTCAGTTTTAGTGACTAAGTTTAAAAATGTATTTTAATAGCAAGTTAGTTTAGTGCCCTCTTGCTTCTTTCTTGACTGCTTGTATACATGTATATTCCTTTAAATGAATCTTGGAATTTATTTAAAAATATTAAATTATACTAATGAAACTGTATAATGTTGTGAATTCATAAGTGAATTTGGAAAGAATTTGTCTTTATGATGCTAAATCCTTTTTATCCAAGAATCATATGTGTCTTTATATTTATTCCAGTCTATATTTATATCACTGAGTAAATACATAGAAATGTGGATAAATACAGCTGTAGTTACAGATACAAATATAGATATAGCCTGTTAAATCTATATCTATCCCATATAACATATATACATGTTATATGTGTGTGTTTATATATATATGTTTATGTCATTAAAGAGCTCCCTTAATATTTTTCTTTTATTTCCCATAAAATTTAGGTCGAGCTTGAATTTTGCTTGTATAAACAAGTAAAAATTTATACTAGTTTTAATACTGATGTTTAGACATTGTATCTTATTTTAGTGCTGAATATTTTCACAATTATTATAAATATCATCTAATAATAATAATGTACCTGATAAAAATATTTAAAATTTTACCTTTGAATTATTTTATTGTTGAATTAAAATTCCTTTAATATGATAGTCAATTTCTGTTTTATGCTTTCTCTATGCATATGCAAATTAATGTATCCACTTCTCTGTCTCTATGTAGTAACATATGAAAATCAGGCCTCTCTTCTTCTAATGGACATACACATGTTTGCATATAGAATATCAGACCCTTTATAGCATTTAAAACCTTTAAAGACATGAATATTGCCTTTTAACAAACATATTTTAGCATGTACTGAGAATCCCCTATTTATTTTTAATTTGGGCTAATCAATACGATTATTAATATTACTGGATTACCAAATTTGGAAACACACTTTCATCCCGAAGGTGGATATTTGTTTTTTTTTTTTTTTTTGCCAATTTCTTGTCTTACTGTTTCAAATATTGTTGGATATTATTTGTATTTTATTTGGCATTTTAGTATCAACATTTGTAATTGAGGTACTCTACATATTTTTTCATCAATATCTGGTGGGTTTCATAGTTACTGCTATATTGGATTTGTAGTAGACATTGACAAAAATTATTCCTGTATGTTTTATAGCTGTATGAAGGAAACTAATATATTTTACCCCTAAATATATTTCCTTGATATATTTCAAAATGGCTATTGAGAAGGGCTGGAAAAGCAATGTTAGCTGCAAAGCTGTCTTGGGGAGATTTGCATCGGTAGAGAATCTGCCCTGATGCAGCCAGGTTTTCTCTGAGGTCTGCCCCCTTGTCTGGATCTAGGAAAGGTTAACTGAGAGGCTAAGTCTCCAAAGGTCTGAAAGAAACATTTTCTTTCTATTCTCTCTGAGGACTACTCCCAGTGAGGTTCCACCTATATAATAAGTCCACTGTTGCTAGCCAGGGTCGTTTTCTCACATAACCTTTTTCTTTCTTTTCCCTGTGATCCAAGACCCCATTTTTCTGTAAACTTCATGTGGTAGATAAGCTTCTGCACGCATCGTGTGACTGGGTCTTCGTTCTAAGGGTTCCAGTGTACACACATTACAGAAACCTGCATGCCTTTTCTACTCTTTATCTGCCTCCTATTAGTGATTTTCAGGGAGACTTCAGAAGACAAAAGGGACATTCTCCTTTAGCCTATTCTCAGACCAATTCCCCCAACATTTAACTGATTCCTAATAGCTTAAAATCACTTTGAAAAATCCATATATTTATATCCTTTTCTTCCCTCTATGATTTCTGGTCAGCTTGGGTTTTGTTTTTCATTCCATTTACTTCATCCTCGAAAAGATCTATTTTACGTCTATTTATTCTCATTTATGGACATTGAGAAAAGAAAATAACTTTCATGTGAGAAATGCAAGTCCTTTGAAATAATCAGGCCCAGAGAGATATTCAAATGACACAGCAGTTCTGTCCTGCTCCTCTTTGAGCTGTGTGTTCATCTAGGCTGCTTGCTGTTGCCACAGTAGCTATAAATTAACCAATAAGGCCACACCAGACACTATAATCCACACCCCATAATAGTGTAACAGTGTGTAGCCAGTCACTAATAAATGTTATTTCCATAAGCCAATGAGAATTTGTGACAAACCTCTTTGCGTCATCACACTTCTGGACCCTTTTTTGCCTTTAAGTAACTTCTTGTTGCAAAGCTCCAAAGGGAGTTCACATCCAAGGATATTTGGGTCTGTTTCTTCCAGGCAGCTGTCCTCACTGTGGCTCAAGTAAACTCTTTGAATTACATTTTGTGCTTCAGCTCCTTCCACTTAGATTAACAACATGGATTTGTGTCACCATGTACAGCAATTAAAATGTTTACACTTTTCCCCTCGAGAGCACTGATGTGTTTTCCTGAGCACTTGGAATAGCTACGTAGTGTTTCCTGTCTAGATTATGGTTTCTCAACCTTGGTGCTACTTACCTTTAGGACCAGAGGATTCTTTGTTGTGGGAGGCTGCCCTAGCAATGATAGGTGTTTCGTTTGACCTCTAAATTTCACACCTCCACCAGTCTTGACATCCCCACGATAACCCTAGACATTGACAAATGTCTCCTGGGGAAAACTCTCCACCAGTTGACAGGTAAAGTTCTGGAAATATTGGATTTGTCAATTGAGATTTTATGTTATCCAAAACAAATATTTTTCTTTGTTCTTAAACATCTACTTCCATCTACTTATCTACTTATTTTTACTTTTATTTGTAACTTAATTCCATCAAGGAGAGAGAGTGCATTTTCTGTTATGCTAAATTTTTGAAGAATGTATTGATATTTTATGACCTGATATATGGATGATATGTAGATATTACATGTTTGTATTATCAAATTTCAGGGTGATAATAAAATAAATACTTATAATATTTATATTGTCACTGTATATTAGTTATTTTCTTTCTTCACTACAGGAGTTTTTCAACCTATAGGCTATGTTTCAATTCTAGGTTATCCAGTAGATTTTGAAATGTTATGATTAAATATCTACTTCTCAAGCATTCATCTTTGCAAATGAAACAATCCTAAGCTCTTATAATACACATCATATAAAGGGCAGACTAGTCAATGTATGGTTCAGAAATAATTAAGTAATATTTATAAGAAAATTAAAAATTTATATCCTTAACTCAGATAACAATAATCCAAATTAAAATTTGATTTCATTACATAATTTAAAATGACATCAGAATGCTAGTAAAAATTATACAAAAAATTTATGTAATCTTATTAAGCTGTGGGACTTTATTAGCATAAATTCAAATACAGGAACCAAAGTAAGATTGAGACCTATAGTCAAAGGTTAAAATGTACACATTATAGGGGCATGATTAAACTAATTTAAAGCATAATAACATGGAGAAATATTGCAAAACATACATTTTACTGAATTAATTGTTAGTATCTAATCATTTTGTGAGAACCAAATTAAAAAGTAGCTACACACGCACACACCCACACACAAGTGCAATACTGTCAAATAAACGATGTTCAGCTACACTAGAAATCACACCTGTGTTTTCTCCACAGAAAAGATTAAAAATCGCAATAATTTTTATTGTACATATGGAGGTAAAGATACTCAAAATATTACCCTAAAATACATTATTTTTTTGAGATGGAGTTTTGTTTTTATTGCCTAGGCTAGAGTGCAATGGCACAATCTTGGCTCACTGCAACTTCAGCCTCCCAGGGTCAGGTAATTCTCCTAGCTCGGCCTCCCAAGTAGCTGAGATTACAGGCATGCACCACCACACTCGGCTAATTTTTTGTATTTAGTAGAGACGGCGTTTCACCATGTTGGTCAGGCTGGTCTCCAACTCCTGACTTCAGGTGATCTACCCACTTCAGCCTCCCAAAGTGCTGGGATTACAGGCATGCGCCTGGCCAGCTTTTTGACATATTTCACGATGGCTACTCGGAAGACTGGAGATAGCTTCTTCTACAAGAATAGCTGAAAAGCTGTGTTTGTTGGGGAGATTTGCATTTGTAGAGAAAATCTGCATTGATATAGACAGGCTTTCCCTGAGATACTCCCTTGTCTGGGTATAGGAATGATTAACTGAGCCTGGCACGTTTACATTTCTAAAAGCCATTTCCTATCTATACTTCCCAAGAGGAGGGCTGCTCCCTGTGAGGTTTCATCCATGTAACAAGACCACCTCTGCTGCCAGGCTCCTCTTTCTTCCTTGTCGTCACCTGTCTTCCACAAAGCCTGATTTACCAACCTACAGCTCTGTGTTTTCTGCAACCTCAAGACAGCATAGGCGTGTTGACTACCTTGCCTTTCCTGGAGTTTTTATATAAAGAGTATATATTTGTATATCTCTTTATAATATACAAATATTTGTATAGATATATTTATATATATTATGTAAACTCCAAGTGCATACTTGTGCACATATCTGTAAACCTTTTTTTCCTGTTAATTTGTACATTATCAGTTTGTTTTATAGACTCAAATAATTAAAGCTTCAAGGGAAAAATTTAAATTTTCCTATAGAGAAAAGACAAATATATAGGTGACAAATAATATTTAGAGTGTAAGACGCTTTTTAAAGGTATATTTGCAATTTGTGTCAAAACATTGAAATGTACATTTGTTATTTTAACAATAAAATTTCAATTAATTTAAGCCAAATACATAGTATATGCAGAAAATTTAGCAATATATCTATGTAGCACCTTACTGTGCATTATTGTAACCAGCCGTCTAATATAAAGAATTAAGGTAGCAGCTGCTTTCCAAATAGCGCATTTTTTTCACAGACCTATTAAATAAGACAAATAACATTTAAACTTTATTTTTAAATTTGCAGAATAGCAGTTTTCAGCAGATGGTTTATTTTAGCAAATTCCATCTTCACATTGTGCTATGCTTTTATGAGTTCCAGCTGTTAACGGATACTATTTTACTGCTGAAACTATCCTGTGTGATATAATTGCTCATTATGTGCCTTAAAACACAAGCAATATAATTATTTTCAACTTGGAGCAAATTAAAATCTTATCAGCAATTTAAAATCTCTAGAGTCATCTTCTTCTGGTTAATTATTTTAAACTTGTATTTTTCTCTTTATGTTTTTAGTGAGTTCTCTTATCAAGGAGAAGATCTCAAGGTGATTATTCTTTTTTTTCTCTTCCATGCACCTCGCAGGTGTGTTAATAATTTCATTTCTCAGAAAATATTCTTTCATATCTATCTTACAAGATGAGAGACCTTTTAATATCTTCCATTCGGATGTGATACCAGTAATGGAACATATTCCAGCTTCATGAATATGGTGATACAAATAGTTATTCATCTAACCTCTTTCAGTGCCAAATGTTTACTATACTCAGTGAGTTACTCAGTTGACTGGTAATTTCTTCTGAAATCACTAATGAGAGGATCAGAGGTCTGGCTGTTGTCTGTACCTCATATGACTCCCAGTGCAGACAATTGTTTCTATGGAGCACAGACAGTTGAAAGGATTGACTTCCTGCCTAGAATAGTTTCTGCTGTGCTTCTTATCCTTCTTGTGGAGATTTCAGATTACCTGAATTGCTTTTCTATCTTAAGAAAAAACGCAACAATTCTCCCACCTGAGAGGAATGTAAACTGAAGTAAGTTAACAGAACCAATCCATAAAGTTTTTACATTGTTTGTTGCAAAATGCAGCGCTGGTGTCTCCATCACTAACCTTTTCTATCCCTCATTGCTCTTTCTTTGACTGCAATAGGATACCTCTATGCAAATCTGTATTCCCGAGACTGAGTGCCCTTTTGGTGAGCTATAAGCACACTCAATGGTAGGCTGAAATACTAGTTTTTATCTATGGCGAAATGGAATCATATCAGTGAATTTTTTAAAAAGGAAATTTAACTCTTGCTATGGTTTGAATGCTTGCCCCTTCCAATCTCATGTTAAAATTTGATCCCCAATGTTGCAGGTGGGGCTCACTGGGAGGTGTTTGGTCATGGGTTTGGACCTTCATGAATGGATAAAACTCTCCCTTAGAAATCTAAAGCTATCCTCCCTCCTCGGTGCCCTCAGGAATGAGTGTACCATTCCTTATTCACCTATGATTACCCCACCCATCCTTTTTGAGATATTGACTACATGTATGTTACACTGATGCACATTGTCTGACCTATGAGTGAGTTTCTGGTTTTCTTATTTTAGTTTACCGTTTGTCCTTTAGTTTGTAATGCTTCCAATTTGTTCTATAAATGTTCTGATGTTAGGGTAAAATCCATTACTTATTCTATCTCATGGAATTTTTATTTCAAGTATTTATTTTTCATCTATATATGTCACATTTTTCATTTTATAACTTTTATTTTTCTCCTATATTTAATTTTCATTTAAGTACCTTGACATATATATGTATTTATCTATATGTATTTATAAAATATATTTACTTTAAGGATCTTGAAATTTCCTTCTTTTCTGTCATTTATAAATGACTTATTTTTATCCTGTTAATATATATTTTAATTATATATGTCTTACAGCTTCTTTGCATTTCAGAGTTTTTTTTTGGGTATTTTGATGTTATGCTATTGAATATCTAGATTTTATTGGCTACCTTTGAATAATGTTGTGACAGGCAGTTCAGTAACTTCAGGATGAGTATTTGTCTGTTGTTTTAAATCTTCTCTTTAAACTTTGTTGAGTTAGTCTAGAGCCATCTGTAATTTGGAGCTAAATGAGCACTGTCACTAGGGCATGAACCTCCAGTGGTCTTTACTGAATATCCTGGAGGTACAGAGGGGATTCCCTTCTCTGATTAGAATTTGGAATATAAAGAGAAAAGAGAAAAATAGAAAGCTATGCATAAACACGTGCATTAAAATGAATTTTATGTGGGCTTTTTCATGAAAATGTTCCTAAGGTATTTTATTTTTTTTATTGTGGTAAAATGCACATAACATAAAATGTAATCTGTTAACCATTTTAAGTGTACAGTTCAGTGGTACTAAATATAGTCATAACATTGTGCAGCCGTCCCTACCATCCATCTCCATAATTCGTTTCATCTTGTAAAACTGAAACTCTATACCCATTAAACAATACTTCCCCATTTCCTCCTTCCCCCAGCTTCTGGCAACCATCATCGTACCATCTCTATAATGCTAATCAAGCATAGTGGCTGTGTTTCTTGCTTCCTCTAGTCCGCAGGTAGCATACAAATGTAATAAACTACTTATTCATGTCGCATCTATTTATTTTCTGCCTTATACCAAGCTTGTGGGATTCTCTTAAATACAACATTTTTATACTTACACCTATGCAATACCCATTAGCATCGCCTTCCTAAATCAGGGGAAATTGAGCTTCTGTCAGGTGGAGTAACTTCCTAAGATATAAAACTCAGCATTGAAGTCTGTATACTTCAATATCCTGCCCTCTTCTCATGTGTCTTTACTGCCTTTTATGTATGTGTTAGATGTTCAACAAATTCTCTTTTTTAAACTGAATTTAAGCCGTGGAGCAGTGTTTTGTTGAACAATAAATATGATATAGGACACTCTTCCTCCTTTTCATGTATGATCCTGTTCATGAAAAAGAGAAATTCTTTCATTGTGCTAGAAGCTTAAAATAATGAAAATGCCACTTTCTACATTAAACAGAAACTGAAGGGAATCAAGGTGAATTGCATGAGACATAGAAAACAAGTGGGAAAGAAATCTAGTATAATTTGCCCTTTGTGTACCTTTATTATTTAGCGTTTGAGTAAATGATTCCCCCAAATATCTTCCCATCTCAATTCATGTCTATAAAGTAGACGTTTATGTCTCACCTTGTCAAGAAGGGCAAAGTCTAACATAAACATTTCCCAAAAATGCTTCCTGCTAAAACGTAAGCTCAGTCTGGCTAGAAATGCAGCTCACTTCCTAAAGATTAATTGGTAGCTAATTTTGCATGCTGTTCTCTGAACTTGAGTGTAACCTGTCCGTCAGGCATACAGGGAATGACGGGAAAGGTGACAACAGAAGATGAATGCTATGTCACTAACCTTCAAAGATGACCTGCCTTTTCTTTCAAATTCTTGATATCTTAAGACTTCATTAATTCATCTCTCTTTTCCCTTGGTTCAACATTTTGCTATACCAAAACTCATGTGAGACAATGACCTAATGTAATAAAAATGGCATTTTTCTTTCATGTAGTTGCAAGCTAACTGGCATTTTTACAATCCACATATTTCCTTTGTCAATTTTTCATTCTGTATTGGAAGTAATTGATGGGTATTTCTGAAGGGATGAAGGTGTTTCTGTGTTCATTGTGATCCAAACTATTTCTAGACCTAGGGGCCTTTGTAAACAATTTGTGCCCACTGACCAAGGATCACTGTGGCAGAAAGCAGCAAACTTGCATAAGATGTCACTGCTTCATAGGTTGGCTTTGAAAACTAGGGGCTTACTCTATACTCTTATGAATAAAAGACATTGATAGATGTAGTATAAGATTACAATCATATTTTCCTTTTGACAGTCACATTATAAATCAAGATGTATTGCAATTAATCTCAATTAGCTGATCACAATTAAAATTAATAATGTTTATTATTGCTGATAAAAATCATGTCTCTCCTGTTCTCAAATGTGCAAGTAATTCTTGTAATTTTAATACAAATTTGCATATTATTATTAATTGATTTAATCTCATTGGATTTGGTTCATGGATCCAATTTATTAAAATATTGATAATGGGATAATGAGTTGTCTCCCCATTTCATGTACACTAAAAACAACATTTCTTACAATGGTCTGCAAGCCCATCATCATCTGCCTCATGTTAACCGCCAAAATTCTTTTATATCTTCACCCTTGATCTTACCAGTGGTCCTGGCCACCTCACTGTCCTCTGGACATACCAACATGCTGCTGCCTTACGATCAAGACTCTAGTTAATTTTTTGGCTTGGAAAGATAGCCCTCCATATATCCATTGATCAGCTCATTCAACTTCCTCAGGTCTTTACTGAAACTTCACATTCTCGATGAGGCCTATTCAGTATTTCAAACTGCATCCCAGCTGCAACATTCCAAAACCCCTTACTCTTCTGTGTATTTTTGAAAGGATTTATTGAGATATAATTTACATAGTGTAGAGTGCACACATTAATGTCTACAAGTCAGTGGCTTTTAGTATATGTACAGATAAGTGGAGCCACCATCACAATGAATTTTAGAGCATTTTCATCACTTCAAAAAGAAACCCCACCTTCCCTAGCTGTTAACCTCCTATGCACCCATCCCCTACTCAATCCTAAGCAACCACAAATCTGTTTTCTGTCTCTATAGATTTTCCTATTCTGTTTTCATCTAAATAGAATCGTACAATAGGTGGCCTTTTCTGCCCGGCTTCGTTCAGTTGGCATAATGCTATCAAGGTTCATGTACGTATTGGTACTTTATTTCTTTTTATAACTGTATAACATTCAATTTCATGGATATAACCTTTTGTTTATCCAATAGTATTTTTATTGACATTTGAGTTGTGTTCAGCCTTTGGCTATTTTAGGTACTGCTGCTAAAAATACTTGTGTACAATTTGTGTTTGAACACCTCTTTCCAATAATCTGGGTGTATACCTAGGAATAAATTTCTGGGTCATATGACAATTCTATGTTTCATATATTTAGAAGCCATCAAATTATTTTCCAATGTGGCCAGTTCTAGCCATAGAGTATCTAACTGTGGTTTTGATTTGTAGTTGCCTGAAGAGTGATGCTGTTGAGTATATTTTTATGGGATTATTGACCGTTCATGTATCTTCTTGGGAAACACATCTATTCCTATCATTTATCAGTTTTGAGTTGGGATATTTGTGACGGAGTTAAACCAATTTTTCTATATTCAAGATACATATATATATACAGACATATAGATACGTGTTTTTCAAATATCTTCTCACAATTTTGGAGCTGCCTTTTGACTTGCTTGGTTGTCCTCTGAAACACCGATGTCTTTAATTTTTAAGAAATTTTAAATATCTAATTTTTATTCTGTTGCTCATGTTTTTGGGGTTACAGCTATTTCTTTGCTAGATCCAAAATCCTGAAGATTTTCCCATATGCTTTATTCTACCTCTTGCATGTGTGTCTTTAATTCATTTGAGTTAATATTTTTGTATGCTTTGGGGTAAGGGTTCTAATTTATTATTTTGCAAGTGGTGATCCACGTGTACGTTGTTGACCCAGTGTGTTCAAAGACTGTCTCTTCCTCATTGAATTGCACATGGCACCACTTTAAGAATCCATTGACTGTAGACACATAGTTTTATATATGGACTCTCAATTCTCTTCCATCAATCTATATATTTTTCCTTCATCAATGTTGTGTTGTCTTGATTACTGATACTTTGCAGTAAGGTTTGGAGCATGGGGTGTGAATTATCCTAATATGTTTTCTTTCTTCAAGATTATTTTGGCTATTTTGAGTCCCTTACAATTTCATGTGTATTTTAGAATCAGCTTGTCAGTTTCTAGACACAAGTCTGTTGGGATACTTGCAGGGATTTCATCAAATCTGTAGTTCAAATTGTAAAGTACTACAATATCAAATCGTCCAATTCATGGGTGTAAGGTGTTTACTAATTATTTAAATATTCTTTAAACAATAATTTTTAATTTTCAGAGTAAAATCTTGTATCACATTTTCCAAATTAATTAATATTTCTTTTTTTATGCTATTTTAAATTGAAGTGTTTTCTTAAATTCATTTTGGGGTTTTCATTGCAGATGTGTGCAATTGATTTTTGCACATTTACCTTGTCTGCTGTAATATTGCTGAAATAATTTACGAGTTCTATCGTTCGGTGGATTCCTTAAAATTTTCTATATACAACAATGTTATTTTCAAATAAAGTTTTATTTCTTCCTGTTCAATATGGGTGACTCTTGTTATTTTAGTTGCCGATTTGCCCTGCATAAAATCTTTAGTACAGTGTTGACTAGAAGAGGTCAAAGTATATATCCTATTCTTATCTCTGACCATAGCGGGAAAGCATCCTTTACCATTAAGTTGCCTGCTTGCTGTTGGCTTTTCACAGGTGCCATGTATCTGGTGTAGAAAGTTCTCTATTCCTGGTTCATTGAGTTTTTATTTTTATTTTTAATCATTAAAGCTTTTGGATTCTGTTAAATGTGTTTTCCGAATCTATCGAGATGATCATGAATTCTCTTTTCTTATTCTATGGATAAGATGTATTACCTTAATGGATTTTGGGCTGTTAAACCAACCTGGGATTACTTGTATAAATTTCACTTTGTCATAGTGTATAATTCTTTTATATGTTGCTAGATCTGATTTGTTAGTATTTTTTAAGGAATTTTGCATTTATACTTATAGTAGTTTTATTTTTCTATGCTATTTGGACTAATTTTTGTATCAAAGTAACACTGGCCCCACAGAATAAATTGGAAAGTGAATATTTCTCTTTTTTAAAAAAGCTAGTCAAGAATTAATATCAATTATTCAACACTAACAAATATTATTATTATAAATTATTAATTTCTCTAATTTTAATTTTCTTCCTTCTGCTTGCTTTAGGTTTAGTTTGCTATTCGTTCCAGTGCCTTAATGTGGAACGTCATCTTATCTCATCCTTTCATTTGTCTTTTCATTTTGTAAATAGTGTCTTGTTAGCATCAGGTGAGCTCCCCAGGTTGGTAGTACTCCATGTTTGTTGCTGTACAACAATGACAGGTAATATGTCCTGAAGACAATGGAAACTTAACCTTCAAAATCTCCTAGATTCCACCTTATATGATATGTCTCTTCTATTGGTCCTAATTTCTACCCTTTCTCTATTATAAACCATGAGTACAATGGCATTCAATGAGTTCTGTGAGTCTTTCTAGTAAATTCTTGAAACTGAGGGTGTTCAGGGGAAACCCCTGAACTGGCAGTTGGTGTCAGAAGTGAGAATCTTCTTACATGGCCTCTTCCTTTGAACTGTGCAGCTGGACGCAAACTCTGCACAATTTGGGCCAGAACTCTCGTGTTGACTTTGTAGCCTAAAGTATCTTGTAGTTTGTCTAACCCTCAATAAATTTGCTTTCATCAAATATTGTATTTGTTACCCCAAAATTACCATCACGTTTTTTTTTCTCCAAATAACTAACATAGGAGAAATAGCCAGCTGAGTTTGTAACTCGACAGAAATAAGTGATCCATATACCATATACCATATAAGTGGCCATTTCATTTTGCCTTCTTCCACCAAATCTTAGCAACCTCAACCATTACCAAGAGCCACTGTAGGCCTACCAGCTACAAACAAACGAGTATCTTGTAAAAACACTTCATACTCCCATTTGATAATTTTCCCAGCAAAGAGATGCCTACTTTAACTCTATGCAAGTGGCTCATATTCACGAAGTCTGTAGATATTATTCATGTAGAGTGAGAAAATCATCCCAGCGGTGCCAGCACATTCTCCTTCCCATGATCTGCTTAGTTTGCAAACATATTCAGGCCATGGGTGAGAGATTTGTATTTCACAGTACAACAATTTTATGGAGGGCATTGAAACTTACATTGAGCATTTTAGTACAGTCACACATCACTGAATGATAGGGATACGTTTTAACAGATGTATTCATAGGCAATTTTACCATTTTGCAAACATCACAGAGAGTATTACAAACACCTAGATTGTACAGCCTACCACGTTTAGGTTATATGGTATAGCCTCTTTCTCCCAGGCTACAAATCTGTGTACTACATTACTGTACTGAATACTGCAGGCAATAAGAACACAGTGGTAAGAGGTTATGTATCTAAACATAATTAAACGTAGAAAAGTATGTAAAAATATCTATTATAATCTCATGGGACCACTTTTGTATATGTAATCCATCTTTGACTAAAATGTTATTATGCATGACATGACTCTATGACAAAAATAAAATAACACATTGTAAAAAAATATACACAGGTATCAAACATATTAATATTGTAAAAATAAAAATATTTATTCAGTGTAAGAATTTGTAATGATCACAAAATGTTCACAGCTTATATTTTAGTACAGTTTCAAATGCCTAGTGCAATTGCTATTTATTTCTGTGTGTATTTTAAACATGTATATAATAAATATTTTTCAGGTTCAACAATATATATCAATCCAACTGGCTCTTATAAATATTAGTTAACATCAATTGGTAAATTCATATATATATATACACACACGTGACTCAGTCTGTATGCGTGTATGTGTGTGTAAATGTAACTGTATGTGTGTGTAAATGTAACTGGATGCATCCTAATATTTACCCTTACCTACAAGATTTCCAAGACTCATTTATTCTCTTTAAATGGTGTGCCTTGAAAGATTTACCAAATAAAACCGCAATCGTGGAATATATCAAGATGTTATTAAATTCATCTTGTGCACATAATTGTTTCTTTAAATTTATGTTTCTTGCAAAACTTGCGGTAATGCTCATGCACAAAATAATTTTCTAAATAAAAAATAAAAACATTTTCTCAGTCATTAATTCTTAAAAAGTATTTCTCCCCAGTAATTAATGCGAATTCATTCTTAATTCTTAATTATAGAATAATGTTGCCCTTCAGAGTTCTGAATCTTTTGCACGTTGTATACATTTCACTGACTGGAACATCTTCTGGAATATTGGCATTAATTAATCTCACTCAGCAATTAATGATTTCAAAGAAATTAAATACCATTCATATTCTGAATCACAAGGGTACTTTGGCACCTAATTTAATCAAGCTCTTTGTATCATCATCTACAGTTTAATTACTTAACAAACATTTCTTTGTGTGAGAAAGATTGAGCAGGTTATTGTGCTTTTCGTTGTATACATTTCACTAAGTAGAACATCTTCTGGAATATTGGCATTAATTAATCTCACTCAGCAATTAATGATTTCAAAGAAATTAAATACCATTCATATTCTGAATCACAAGGGTACTTTGGCATCTAATTTAATCAAGCTCTTTGTATCATCATCTACACTTTAATTACTTAACAAACATTTCTCTGTGTGAGAAAGATTGAGCAGGTTATTGTGCTTTTTTATGATGCAACTTTTGCTTAATCTAGAGATAGGCAATGCTCCCTATAAGGGACAAAGAGAAAAATGAAAGAGCAATAGAGATGTGACAGGCATGGAAAAAGACAATACATTTATAAAACAAATAGGGCCACAGATGATGATAATGGGGATCAAATCTTGAGATACTGACTCAGTTTATAACCGCACTGTACAATAGAGCAAATCATTTGTTAATTATTTTACAAATGGAATCTAATTTAACTAAGATGAATACAGTGTTTTAAACAAGGCAGGTCATCTTAAAATAAAATAGTGGGAAAAGTGATAAAACCAATGTAAAAATCATAAACATTTTATAAAGAATTTTTGTCATGTAATTTAATATTTTTCTTTATTTAAAATCACCCAAATCAAAATAATTTTATCTTAATTAACAAATAATCATCAGAAGTTAACTAATTTTTACTTTATAATACTAGGTTTAAAAATTCTTCACTATATTTTTAATCATACATGCTTATACATAAAATAGACATAGGGTATATGTTTACATGTTCACAATATTATATTGTAATTGTTCCTATGGATGTGGTTTTTCAATAGAATTAATAAGTACTTTTAAAAAGTTTCAATTTCAATGATATATATGTTTGATTTTTCTTTGACAAAGCATACATATATTGATAGGTAATAATAAGAAAATCTTCTAAAGACATTACAGGAACATGAATAAGTAATTAAATCCTCAATAATTTGTAACGTTTTATGTAAGCGGAACACATTTAACTGAAAATTGCTTTTATATAATACTCAAACGAGACTAAAAACATATTAACTAGCGGAGTAAGTCTTCAAATTGATAATCTGAACTATAGAAGAGGAGAAACTTCAAGCACTCAAATATTTGAAATGCTACAAAATATTTATATAAACTATTATTTAACAATTTCTGTTTGTAGAGTGCTATAGAGTAATCCATATAAATGACATCTCAGTCTTTCTATAGCTTTGACCACATTTACCTCCTAATTTTAATTATTAATATGTTGGAGCAGTGCATACAACTAGATTCCGATCTTCCTTTTTAATGAGTAAAAATATGTCCTTTGAGACAGCATTAAAGAAAGAGCACCTTGTATAAATTCAATGCCAAGAGACAAGATATTCTTGATGCTGAAGTCTTGTTCTTTTATACAGCAATGTAATTAATAAGAAGAAGAAAAGCAGGACATAGAGATGGAGTCTATTTTCATCAAAAATTGTCTATAGATTTTGATGATAAAATTTAAAACTCTACTATATTTAGTTAGTCACAAAAAACTAGGTTGTGGGAACATATTTGGTCAATAAAACACCCCTACCAAATGCCGACAAGAAAAAAAGTTAGGTACCACCTTTCTTCTCTGCAGATGGCCTGAGATGGGTTAATTTGAAAGAATGCTTCCAAACCTGAGGTGACCCCTGAGAACAGCATAATCCACTGCTGTCTCCCACATTCAGTTTCTCAGTCTGTGCTCTTTTAATTTTGGGGGGAGGGAAGCCAGTCCTTTAAAGCGATCTTCAGCATGATGGCAGAGCCAAGGAGTGTGGACAGGTGGCACGGTGTCTGATTTTGTTCCAGCAGCCACTTGGGCTTTCTCTGGGTCTTCTCTGCCCTCGGGATAGCACTACTATTGAAAACATGTCTTTGTGACATTCTCTATGCCAGGAACTCCCAACATATTTTCCTTGAAACTGATGAAATGAAAAAAAATAAACCAAGAGGTGTGCTGTTTGTTTCTGTTTCCTCCTTTCTGCAGCCCTTCTTGATCATCTAATATTTTTAAATACATTGTCGATCACCAAAAGGAGCATAAGGGCTTTATTGGTTTGTAGCAGATGTATTCATAGCCCAGCCCCTATTCCTTAGCTGTAGCTGCTGGGAAGAAAACCATTCTTAACACTCTACAAGGTCTCATCTCCAGAATTTGCACCAGTTTCTAGCTGAGGACTTTCTCTAGCAGCACGGGAGCTTGTTACTGGGCATGAAGTGGGAAGAAAAGGTGAGGGTAACTAAGAAGAATCTCCCTGGATTCAGTGATGTAATTCTGAGGCATGCTCCACATAGCTTCCCATAAAATTAAGCCCAGATATCTAACACAGGAACTTACCTCTTAACACGTGTGGTATTGGCTTTTCTGTCTTTCCTGTTTTATTTTGTTCTCTTTTCCTTGTCTCACTTTCGCTGTGTCCTCACTCCTGCTTTAAGAATACCCAAACAAATACGTTCATTTATTTTTTTAGACTCTCAGAACACAGTTGATAGTTGAACTTGTAATCTATGATAATCAGCTTGGTTGCTGTATTGACAGGAAGATGGTGAACTCACAATGTCTAATTAAGATACAATTTAAAAAATATATTGTATCATGTCCAAAGACTTAAAAAGCCTAAGCGGCAGCGTCACAGTTTCTTCTTTTTAGTTTGCATGGTTTCTTAAATGCCTACAATTATTTTAAAGGAAGCCTTGAGTCTAGGAAAAATTGAGACATATGGAATAAATTACTAACCCATTTCTCCTTGAAATCCATTAGATGTTTGATGATTCTTCACATATATTTCTGAACTGAAAAGCTAGTTGGGAATTATTTTTATAAGCATATCCTTATGTAATATATTGTTTCTAAGAGTGAATGGAAGGTTTAAAGATTAAATTATTCTATCCAGAGAATAAAAAACAATTATTTCACAAGGAGAACATGTGTATGTTGACACGACATTTTAAAATCTAGATTTTAAAATAGGTCCCATATAATTTTGAGTCAATTAGAATACGTTTGTATCAGTCTGTCTACAGTTTTACACCTGTCAAATGTTACTTGAACTAAAAGAAGTACCTTGAACAATTTTGAAATTTATTATTCCTCTGAAACTGATGAAAAGAATGACGGTAGAGTGAAATTTGGATTGGCATAATTTAGGAGAGAAATTATTCCTTGGAGATCAACCTCTGCCAAGATAGTTTACAATGACATTGATACTTTTTGATTTACACAATTTGTTATATAAAAAATACTAAGACGATGACAGATAATACACAGACTTTAATTAAAATTGTACTAAAATTAAAAGTCTAAATAAATTACAAGTGTACGTGGTACATCTAAACGTATGTTTATATATTTTATTTGTGCATTTTATTCCTAGGGTTCCTTTTGCTTTAGTTTGTAAAACGTTCTTATTTTTATGGCAGTGTAGTATATACTAAATAAAGAAAAATCAGGAAATAGAAAATGAAGAAGAAAACATTAGCTATTGTCAACCAAATAAAAATTGTGCAATCTCTAAGTACATGAACGATGTATTATTTGTACAGCATGTACAATGTTTATGCTTCACAGGGTGAGGTAGAGACTGCAAAACATTGAACCTGGGACAAATAAGAAAGAAAGGAAATTTTCACAATATATTAATATTACAGAAAATGTTGAACTTAACAGTTAAGATACAAGTAGTGAAAAATGATAGTATTTAAGGAGATCTAGAAAATGTCATCCATACCAGTAATGTGTGAGAAGTATTAGAATAATGCTTGTATTTCTGGATTGGCATCGATTTCTATTGAGACTGGAAACATACTAGAAGTGAGCAAAAAAGAATTTAAATAGTGGATACTTGAGTTTTATACCTAGGAGTTCGAGAAATACATTTTGTTACTATCAAAGCAGTTGGCACAAGAGTGTACAACATTCCCTAATTGTGTCTATGTGGTGAAGACATAGACAAACAGAAAATAGCAAAACAGAAATAGCAAAAAAGCACAAATAAATTTTACCTGTATTTTTACGTAAAAGCCAATTAGAGTAGGAAAACATGAAATTTGTGTTTTATCGAAATTTTTCTCTTATAGTATAGTTGATTATATTACTGGAAAAAAATTGAAGCATTGGTATGTTCACAAAAAAAAGTAAAAGATAAGGTCAAAACCATGGGAATGCAGGGAGCAGACAAAATACACCTAAACACTGATACTGATTTTGCCCTACGGACATGTAGCAAAATGAATGAGTGCAGATTCCTATGGTCATACATCACATAGGACAGTAAAGAAATACATAGTGTTTCCCAAGATAGGGCATCACACAGGAGCTCTTCCCTAAAGCTAGCACCAAAATTTATCTCCTCAGTATAAAGAAGAATCAGAGGTAAATTAGTCTCATTTCACATTCCCTGGAAATGGCAAATAAAAATGACTTGAGATTGGACAGATTTAAAGAAACTCAATCATTAATGATTTACAGCAATTAATTTAAAAATTGTTTAAATGTGCTGTCCAAACATACGTCCAAACACCTTTAGGCCAAGAATTAATATAATGTGGTCCCAGAATGGTGGTGCCTTTAGTAGACTCACAAAAAATTCAAATTCTCTTTGGCAAATTTTCTTCTTACTAATATGCAAAAGTGCACAATAATAATTTTCAGAGAAAAATAAATCTTTGTCATTCAAAGGCATCTAAGTACGCAAGGAAATGATATTCCACCATTTGAAAGGAAAGCAGAAAAAGAGTACAAACAGATCCACAGAGGTTCATTAGTAGAAATATCACTGTTAGATTATAAAGCACATTTGCTTTCAAAAAATTTAAAAAAAGGAATATATTTTTAGGAGACTAAAAAGTTGATGTAGTAAATTTGAAAAGTAGTTTGTATGTAGTATTTTAAATTAAAAACTCAAAAATGAACTCATCAGATTAGACATGGCCATGGTGAGAGCTCATAAATATTTCAGAATGCATTACAGAAAATTTAAAAAAAGGCACAATGTGGACAGAATCATGAAGAGACATGGAAGATACAGTGAGAAAGTGTAGCATGTGTTTAGTGAGTGTTCTCATAGAGGAAGGGAACGGGGAAGGGACAATATGTGATGGTATTTTGGCTGAAAGTTCTCTAGAGTTTTGTAAGACACTAATCCACATATTCAAAACTTCTATGCATGCTAAGCAAGCTACGATGGAGATAAACCTACATCTACATATCTCCTAGAGAAATAGTAAACAATCAGGAAGGGAAAAATATTTCAATTAGCACTAGAAAAATCAAATTACCTTTAATCATATTGAAATCTGAAAGCATGAAAGGTAAAATAAACAATATTATTTGTTAAGAATAATAATGCCATTCTGAAATCCTCAACCAAGAAAAATATTCATCAACCTATGGCTAAATCACATATTTAGAGACAAAAAACAAAACACCACCAGCAGAATTCCACTAAAGAAACTCAAAGGAAACTCTGAAAACACGCTTCAGAAAGATTGAAGTTCTGAAATCAAAGAATGAACACAGAGCAAAATATATTGTAAACATAAAGATAGATCAAAATAGAAAATTAGGTGTTGAAACAAAAGAATATTTAAAATTAGATAAGCACTGCAATATGTATGTTAGGAAGCAAATTATTAGGGCTGAAGTATTCAAAGACCCCTTAATTGTCTGACAAGAGCAGAAAGGTATGACTTTGCAACTCTTTTTTTTTTTTTTTTTTTTTGAGAAGGAGTCTCATTCACCCTTTCTCCCAGGCTGGAGTATGGTGGCGTCATCTCCGCTCACTGCAACCTCTGCCTCCCAGGTTCAAGCAATTCTCCTGCCTCAGCCTCCTGAGTAGCGGGGATTACAGCCGCGTGCCACCCTGCCTGGCTAATTTTTGTATTTTAGTAGAGACGGGGTTTCACCATGTTGATCAGGCTAGTCTCCAACTCCTGACCTCGTGATCCACACGCCTCGGCCTCCCGAAGTGTTGAGATTACAGGCGTGAGCCACTGCGCGCGACCGACTTTGGAACTTTAATAAATTGACTGGACATTATGCATTTCTCTGTTGTATCTATGAAAACAATAAAAATAAAAGTCATAATTTTAAAACAAGAAGACAGAAAGTGATAGGAGAAAATGAGACATTTTATATATATATATATATATATATATATATATACACAACAAATTACTAATACAAAATTAAGTATAAATGATCAAAGATTAACTTAAACCTAAGTAGACAATGTTTTTGTTAAAATACAAAGATTGGCAAAATTTAAAACATCCGTCTCTATCATAGTTACAAGAGACACAACTAATATATAAATTTACAGAAACTTTGAAGTTCAAACAATACAGATACTGTGTATATATGATATACATACAAACATACTACATGAATATAATTTTTTAAAAAGTTGCTATGTAGACCAAATAGAATGTAAGTTAGAAACATTTATTAAAATAAGTTAGTGTAACCAGTGTGATAAAAGTTTTAAGTTATTAAGAAGATGTGATGACTTAAATGTGTATTAGCCTGATACATACATATATATATACACACAAACCACACACTCTCTCACACACACATACACACACGTATTTAGAGAGAGAGTCAAATTATATAAAGCAAAAATATCAGAAAGTAAGTAGAAATGGATAAGCCCCCAAATATTATAGACATTTCAAACACACGTCTTTCAGTAATAGATAAAAGAAAAAATTAAAAGAGTAAGTTTTAAAAGAAGCTAGTGGATTTTAAAACGGGCAAATATTATATAAGGAACTTGAATATTATAATTCATGTTATTTTCATGTTCATACAGAATACTTACAAAAATTAACATTTTCTAGACCATACCACAAATTCAAACAATTTTCACGGAAATAACGTGACACAGAATATACGTCCTAAACAAACAGCAATGAAGGCAGATATCAATACAAAAACGAAAGTTAGAAACATAAGTGTAATAATATTGGTTGGAAGCCATTTTATTGAATATTGAAATATTTTAAAGGTGAATAGTCACTACAAATAAACCAAACACTTTTGTGAGGCCACTAAGATACATGTGTAATGTGTAATGCCTCCTTTTATAAGGAGTAAATCTGTAAAATCACCTGGGCTATTTGACAACTGCAAAGTGAATGTGAGAAGGAGAGAAACAGTGAGAGAGAGAGAGATAAAAGCAGTAAAATAAACATAAAGAATGAAGGAGATAGCCAGGCGCCATTGTTCACGCCTGTAATCCCAGCACTTTGGGAGGCCGAGGCAGGTGGGTCACCTGAGGTCAGGAGTTCGAGACCAGCCTGGTCTAACATGGTGAAACCCACTCTCTACTAAATATACAAAAATTAGCCTGGCATGGTGGCATGCATCTGTAACCCCAGCTACTCGGGAGGCTGAGGTGGGAGAATTGCTTGAACGTGGGGGGTGGAAGTTGCAGTGAGTAGAGATCACGCGACTGCACTCCAGCTTGGGCGACAGAGCAAGACTCCGTGTCAGAAAAAAAAACCCAAAAAACAAGAAAGAAAAAAACGAGGAAATAGTACACGAAAAAGCAGAATTAAAGCAACTGGGTATATATTTAAAAATGCAAAAGCTCACTTTTTCAGAAAAATATTAAAATATTAAATCTAACAAATATCTAGGTAGACTGATGGAGAAAAATACAGAAAATGCACAAAAAAGCAATTACCTGGAATGCGAACGTTACAAAACGTCAGCAGTTGTAGATTTTAAATAAACAATGATTTTTGAGTTCAACCATGATGGGGCATATTGAAAAGAATCTCTCAGAAAAAAAGAAAAAGAAAACTGTTATAAAGCTATGTACAAAATGTTAAGCACTATTAAAGTCTTCCAAATCTACCAGTTACGGAGTTATTGGTCTTGGACTAACACTCCTGAAAAGAAAAAAAACAAACAAAATAAGACAATACCTAAAAACCTGGATAAAATGGCCTACCGTGGGCACCGGCAATGCATCCAAGCAGGTAGGACCTGGGTGCTACATTCTCTTTGTCAGAACACAAAGCATTCATACACTCTTCTCACCCTCACTTTCACCTTTTAATCTTTGATCTACTATTAAATGTATTCAACATTACTATCAATCCTTTGCTCAAAATTTCTTTACTCACATTTTGCTTGATGCACTTGGATAGACTGTTCAAGAAAGTGTGAGTAGTGAATTCCTCAAACTCTTGCATATTCAAAATCACATTTTTGAACCTCGATGCTTGAAGTGTAGCTTGGGTAACAGATGGGCTTTAAGCCAATTTTGGCATGCAAGGGGTTGAGTTTATTAGGCATCAGCACCGCTGAAAATCGTGGGGATGCAGGCTTAATTTCAACACTATTCTAAATACTTGAAAGATATTATATAAGTCTTTAATAAACTCCTGTGTCTACAAATGGTTCACATTAACTCAATATCCATGATGAAACATCTATAAAATCAAGGCACTGTTATTTAGTGGAGACTTGCTGGCTATTCTATGAGAGGAGGTATTGTTATTGTAATCTCATCATCTCATAAAATTGTATCATATTACTCATAACCAGCCCTTCATATTCTATTCCTATTTTGGTATTTTAAAATAAGATATCTTTGAAATTCTTGAATTCAAAGAGGGAATCTGAATAATTTTTAAAATGTCAATGAAATGCCATTTCTTCATGCTTCAACAACTAAAAATTGACTAAAGTGCTTCTCTTCAATCTTTCTGGGACATTTTTTATCTAAATTCTAAGAACAATCACAATAGGTTTTAACCACAAATGTGAGAATATTCTAAATGTTAGGGTGGAAAAAATTTTTAAATATTTTATAGTAATTTTTTTCATCATAGTGACAGTGTGCTAAATTTTTTTAAGCCAACTATTACTGTAGACATTTAAGTCAGGATTCTAAGAAGCTGTTCTAAAGTCCAAAATTCAGTTTCATATACACTGATATTATATATATATTTGCTTAAAAAATTAATACATGTGAGCCGTGTTTCAAATAGTTGAGAGATTATTATATCAAAGATTCTTGATTATATAAAATGCCAATTACTTATAGGCAGACATGCTTTAAATAATTACTAAGGCAGTTGTGGTTGATTGTACTCTTGCTACTGGCATTTATATGGACATACTATTATGGTCTGAAGAATATTTAGGCAAATTTATCCCTCATATGATCAGAAGAACAATGCAAGATAGTTTATATCTGAAAGGAAAAAAATCTTTATATGGTTCTGAAAGCGTAAATCATTAACAACTTGGATAATAATTAGCATAAAAATACACAAACATGCCCTCTTCCTAGCAGTAAGTACACAGTGACAACAGAATCAAAGCATGTGGCTATGTGCATGTTTATATTTCAAGACGCAGAGCACTCTATTCCTCCTCTCTGCCCTTTCTAGATGGCACAATCCCTCATGAATCTAAGTGCAGTCATAGGGTGGATTAGGGTGACCTGCCATTTGTATGCAACTGATCTCTAGTTTGGAAGTAATTAATGTCAAAATATATTTTTAAAAGGTAATTTCAAATTTCAGGGCAAACTAGCATGGTTTCGCCCCTTTTCTTTGGAACATTTTTTCTAAGGTTGGAAAAGTAAGGTAGGCTTTAGTACGATTTTAAATAATAAGTTTTCAAAGTGAGACGCAAAATGGTGGCGCCAACACATTTCAAATCTGCTACATTTTGAAGACACTTATTGGAGAAAAGACCTTCTCATCATTTTTCTCTTACAGGAAAGGAAATAACACGTACAGTTGACCCTTAAGCAACACGGAGGTTGGGGTGCTGGACCCCCTGCACGGTAGAAAATCCACTATAACTTTGACTCCCCCAAAACTTAACTACTAATAGCCTACTGTAAGCCTGACAAATAACACAGTCAATTAACACATATTTAATGTTATATGTCTTATATACCGTATTCTTAACAAACATGCCAGAGAAAAGAAAAAAGAAAATCATAAGGAAAATAGATTTACTAGTTATTAAATGGAAGTAGATGATCAAACAGGTCTTCATCCTCATCTTTCTCATGGGCAGGATGTGGATAAGGATGTAGAATTGTTGGTTTTGCTAAGTGGACGTGCACAGTTCAAACCCCTGTGGTGCAAAGGCCAACTGTATAGCCATTGAATAGCAATTTATATTTAGAAATTAACCTCACTAAAATACTCTTAGAAAGATGCCCAGAAAAAAAGTGAATAAGAATTTTTGGTTCATCTATTACATCATTTCATTTCATTAGTTCATTTCTTTTCATCATTTCATTTCATTTCCTCATTTCATCCTTTCATTTCATCATTTCATCTCATTTCCTCATTTCATCCTTTCATTTCATCATTTCATCATTTCATCTCATTTCCTCATTTCATCCTTTCATTTCATCATTTCATCA
Source organism: Homo sapiens (assembly GCF_000001405.40). Classification (NCBI taxonomy): domain Eukaryota; kingdom Metazoa; phylum Chordata; class Mammalia; order Primates; family Hominidae; genus Homo; species Homo sapiens. The sequence continues at coordinate 144,331,306 of NC_000001.11, read as the reverse complement.
TTTCATCTCATTTCCTCATTTCATCATTTCATTTCATCCTTCCATTTCATCATTTCATCTTATCATTTCATCTCATTTTATCATTTCATTTCATTCTTTCATTTCATTTCATCATTTCATCTCAACATTTCATTTCATCATTTCACTTCATCTCATCATTTCATCTCATTTCATTTCATCTCACCATTTCATTTCATCTCACCATTTCATTTCATCTCATCATTTCATCTTTTCATCTCATCATTTCATCATTTCATTTCATCTTTTCATCTCATTTCATTTCATCAATTCATCATTTCATCTCATCATTTCATCTCATTTCATTTCACTTCATTTCATTGTTTCATTTCATCATTTCATTTCATCACTTCATCTCAACATTTCATTTCGTCATTTCACTGTATCTCATTTCATCTTTTCATCTCATGATTTCATTTCATCTCATTTCATTTCATCTCATTTCATTTCATCTCATCATTTCATTTCATCTTTTCATCTCATCATTTCATCATTTCATCTCATTTCAGTTCATCATTTCATTTCATTTATTTCATCATTGCATCATTTGACTTCATGTCATCATTTCATATCATTTCATCATTTCATGTTTTCATTCAATCATTTCATCATTTCACTTATTCATTTCATTTCATCTTTTCATTTCCTCATTTCATCATTTCATTTCATCCTTTCATCATTTCATCTCATCATTTCATCCTTTCATTTCATTATTTCATTTCATAATTTCTTCTCATTGTTGCATTTTGTCATTCCATCATTTCATCATTTCACTTCATCTCATCATTTCATCATCTCACGATTTCATCTCATTTCATCTCGTTTCATCTTTTCATCTCGTCATTTCATTTCATCATTTCATTTCATCTCATCTTTTCATCTCATTTCATTTGATCATTTCATCAATTCATCATTTCATCATTTCATTTCATTATTTCATCATTTAATCATTTAACTTCATTTCATCACTTCATTTCATTTCATCATTTCATATCATTTCTTCATTTCACCATTTGATCTTCTCATTTCATTTCATCATTTCATCATTTCACTTCATTTCATTTCATCATTTCATTTCCTCATTTCATTTCACCATTTCATTTCATCATTTCATTTCATCATTCCATTTCATCATTTCATTACATTTCATCATTTCATCATTTCACTTCATCTCATCATTTCATCATTTCATCTCATGATTTCATTTCATCTCATTTCAACATTTCACTTCTTTCATTTCATTTCATCATTTCATCTCAACATTTCATTTCATTTCATCATTTCATTTCATCTCATCATTTCATCATTTCACTTCATCTCATCATTTCATCATCTCATGATTTCATTTCATCTCATGATTTCATCTCATTTCATCTTTTCATCTCGTCATTACATTTCATCATTTCATTTCATCTTTTCATCTCGTCATTTCATTTGATCATTTCATCAATTCATCATTTCATCATTTCATTTCATTTCATTATTTCATCATTTAATCATTTAACTTCATTTCCTCATTTCATTTCATTTCATCATTTCATATCATTTCTTCACTTCACCGTTTGATCTTTTCATTTCATTTCATCATTCCATTTCATTTCCTCATTTCATTTAACAATTTCATTTCATCATTTCATCATTCCATTTCATCACATTTCATCATTTCATCATTTCACTTCATCTCATCATTTCATCATCTCACGATTTCATTTCATCTCATTTCATCTCATTTCATCTTTTCATCTCGTCATTTCATCATTTCATTTCATCTCATCTTTTCATCTCATTTCATTTGATCATTTCATCAATTCATCATTTCATCATTTCATTTCATTATTTCATCATTTAATCATTTAACTTCATTTCATCACTTCATTTCATCATTTCATATCATTTCTTCATTTCACCATTTGATCTTCTCATTTCATTTCATCATTTCATCATTTCATCATTTCACTTCATTTCATTTCATCATTTCATTTCATTTCCTCATTTCATTTCACCATTTCATTTCATCATTTCATTTCATCATTCCATTTCATCATTTCATTACATTTCATCATTTCATCATTTCACTTCATCTCATCATTTCATCATTTCATCTCATGATTTCATTTCATCTCAGTTCATCATTTTTCATTCTTTCATTTCATTTCATCATTTCATCTCAATATTTCATTTCATCTCATCATTTCATCATTTCACTTCATCTCATCATTTCATCATCTCATGATTTCATTTCATCTCATGATTTCATCTCATTTCATCTTTTCATCTCGTCATTACATTTCATCATTTCATTTCATCTTTTCATCTCATTTCATTTGATCATTTCATCAATTCATCATTTCATCATTTCATTTCATTTCATTATTTCATCATTTAATCATTTAACTTCATTTCCTCATTTCATTTCATTTCATCATTTCATATCATTTCTTCACTTCACCGTTTGATCTTTTCATTTCATTTCATCATTCCATTTCATTTCCTCATTTCATTTAACAATTTCATTTCATCATTTCATCATTCCATTTCATCACATTTCATCATTTCATCATTTCACTTCATCTCATCATTTCATCATCTCACGATTTCATTTCATCTCATTTCATCTCATTTCATCTTTTCATCTCGTCATTTCATCATTTCATTTCATCTCATCTTTTCATCTCATTTCATTTGATCATTTCATCAATTCATCATTTCATCATTTCATTTCATTATTTCATCATTTAATCATTTAACTTCATTTCATCACTTCATTTCATTTCATCATTTCATATCATTTCTTCATTTCACCATTTGATCTTCTCATTTCATTTCATCATTTCATCATTTCATCATTTCACTTCATTTCATTTCATCATTTCATTTCATTTCCTCATTTCATTTCACCATTTCATTTCATCATTTCATTTCATCATTCCATTTCATCATTTCATTACATTTCATCATTTCATCATTTCACTTCATCTCATCATTTCATCATTTCATCTCATGATTTCATTTCATCACAGTTCATCATTTCATTTCATTCTTTCATTTCATTTCATCATTTCATCTCAATATTTCATTTCATCTCATCATTTCATCATTTCACTTCATCTCATCATTTCATCATCTCATGATTTCATTTCATCTCATGATTTCATCTCATTTCATCTTTTCATCTCGTCATTACATTTCATCATTTCATTTCATCTTTTCATCTCGTCATTTCATTTGATCATTTCATCAATTCATCATTTCATCATTTCATTTCATTTCATTATTTCATCATTTAATCATTTAACTTCATTTCCTCATTTCATTTCATTTCATCATTTCATATCATTTCTTCACTTCACCGTTTGATCTTTTCATTTCATTTCATCATTCCATTTCATTTCCTCATTTCATTTCACAATTTCATTTCATCATTTCATTTCATCATTCCATTTCATCACATTTCATCATTTCATCATTTCACTTCATCTCATCATATCTTCTTTCATTGCATTATTTCATTTCATCTCATCATTTCATTTCATCATTTCACTTCATCTCATCATTTCATCACATCATTTCATTTCATCTCATCATTTCATTTCATCTTTTCGTCTCATTTCATTTAATCATTTCGTTTCTTTTCACCTTTTCATCTCATCATTTCATTTCATCAATTCATCATTTAATTTCATTTTTTCGTCATTTCATCATTCACTTCATTTCATTTCATTTCATCATTTCATACATTTCCTCAATTCATCATTTCATCTTTTCATTTCATTTCATCATTTCATCATTTCATTTCATTTCACTTCATTATTTCATTTCATTTCATTTCACCATTTTATGTCATCATTTCATTTTTCATCATTCCATTTCATCATTTCATTTCATTTCATCATCATTTCATCTCATTATTTCATTTCTCCATTTCATCATTTCGTTTCATTTCATCATTTCATCATTTCATTTCATCATTTCATCATATCATTTCATTTCAGTGATACATGTATTTAATTGCTAATGCGATGCCCAGGAGACACCCTATTTCCCTTTCTAAAACACCTCCTTCAACAAAAGGCAACTTCTCATGGCTGGCTAAGTCTACAGGGATAGCAGCCTCTCCTCAACCACCCAATTTCATTTAAAACCTCAAACAGCACCTCAGTTTCATAAAAACCTAAAACATAAACACAACACTTGGTTGTAAGTGAGCCGACAGTTTCTTGTCTCTTTCTCTGCTCAAGGCTTAAGGCTGTGTCTCCCCAACTACATTCAGTGGAAGAGAAGATCCCATGGACAAATAAGTTTGAGAATTGTTGTTGCAGGAATTCTCAGAACTTTCAAAACAGAAATCTTCATCCGCAGGGATCTTCAGGAGGGAGATGGCTGATGCAGCACAACTTTCTTTCAGAGGAGTATCTTGCAGAATACAGTATGAGATACAGAAAGGCTGCATTGAGTCTTTTTAATGGCCCGGGCCTTGGTGAGGGTGGGGTAGGAGCTCTCCAGATAGCATCTAATGAGTAGGAACATTCAGGTGGCTTTTTATTTTTTCCTTATTCGCAAAACTGTGTGTACACCATGAATGAAGCTGGTCTCCCTTATCCACGTCAAAACTAAACCTAAATTAATTGGCTAAATTGGGACTCAACACCTCCAGGAGCCACGCGGCAGAAAGCCCCAACACACTTTAAATTAGCTTGCCTCATCATATTTGAGGAAAGCAAAACGCTTATGACCAGTATGCTGCTAATACAAGTCTACAGATAATGCTGTATGAAAAACTAGTTTTCCCAATCATAGCTGGCATAGTCCACATTTTGCATTACACTTTCCCCCCCTTTTTTTAAATTTTAAACACAGGTCTTTTTCTCTTCTTTTTTTCAATTTTAATTAAATTATACAAGACGGAGTCTCAGTATGTTGCCCAGGCTGGTCTTCAACTCCTGAGCTCAAGCGATACAACCGTCTCCGCCTCCCAAAGTGCTGAGATTGCAGGCCTGAGACACTGTGCCTGGCCTTAAACACAAATCTTAATTCATTCTTACAATTATTCTGAGGTTACAAAAATGGAAGGGGAAGAAAAATGGCAAGTAGGTAGGCTGACTTCGGCTTCATTATTTGGAAGGACAGTTTGCTCGGTTAAAACACACTACTGCCTACAAAGGCCAAGACAACAGAAAAATACAGACTTACATAAATAGATTTTATATGTGACAGCAGTTTGAATGGAGACTTTTTCAATGCAATGAGAAACAGCTGTGCTTGGGAATAAATGACAACGAATTTTTTTATCTCAACAGCTGTCCTGAGAGCATGTCTCTACATCTCTACCTGCATTCTGGAATCAGGGAGAAAGCCAAAACGGACGACAAGACACTAGATCAGCCGTGTCCAACCCTTTGCCTACAAGGACTTTTCCACCTATCTGTGGTGGTGGGTAGCATGAAAATTATGCACAAAACTTTTTTTTTTTTAACCCCATCAGCTGTTGTTAGCATTAGTGTATTTTATGTGCGGCCCAGGAGCATTCTTCTTCCAATGTGGCCCTGAGAAGCCAAAAGACTGGACACCTGTGCACCAGATCAAAAGGCTACTCCTTCTGGAAGCAATTGTAAAGAATTTCTGACATTATCTTGACATGAAAACCAATGGGTAGTGGGACAGAATGCAAAATCTTGAAGAATTTTTCTTGTCTTTTTTTTTTTTTTTTTTTTTTGAGTCACGGTCTTGCTCTGTGGCCCAGGCTGGAGTACACTGGTGAGATCAGAGCTCAGTGCAGGATCAAGTGCTCCTCCCGCCTCAGCCACAGTAGTAGCTGGGACTACAGATGCGCACAACCACCCCTGGCTAATATTTTATTTTTTGTAGAGATGGGGTCTCACTATATTGTCCAGGTTGGTCTCAAACTCCTTGACTCAAGGGATCCAGGAAAGGATAACAGGTGGGAGCCACCACACCTGGCTATGTGCATGAACTTTTAAGACAAACACAAGGCCCCACAAAAGTTAAGGTTTTTCCCACCTAATTTCCAGGGGGATCTTTTGGTGCAAGGCTGAGAAGCCCTTAAAAGTACACAGACAACTCCAAAGATTCAAGACAGTTCATTTGGGCTGAGCCAGCCCACTGGGCAGACTGACCTTCCAAAAAGACCCACCCATGACATACACCAGATGGCTCTCCAAGAATCTCTTCAGTCCTCAGGGTCCCTAACGTACTGGACAGAGCTAGGAAAGCAAACCCATTTGCTTCTTCCTGCAGGAAACCCCTTGAGGTTAAGACCCCACAATCACATGAGGATGGAGTGGCTCACCCTCAGTCAACAGGCCAGACTCAAGGTGGTATAATGTCTTAACCACGGGTGCGGGCCTCCAGGTCTGACTCCCAACTCAGTTCTTCTTTAATAACCACACTTTGTTAATTTTCCTTAACAGGGGTTCCTGGCAAGTCATTTCTCCCTCAGGCCTTCGGTTTCCTCACCTACAAGATGAGAGGGCTGGACCAGATGGAAATTCAGGGGGTAAGGGGATGTCCTCACGCAGCCCACCCCCACCCCCACGGGACCCTGGAGCCTCCATCCCAGTTCCCACCACGCACCCGCTCCACAAATCCTGCCCAAGGTGAGGGCTGGTCCTGGGTCCTCTGGCTGCCGCATCAGCGAGTGCAGGAGGGAGGGGAAGCCTCCAAGGGGGTGACGTGGGCTCAAAGATGCAACTCGGCCAGGAGTGAACTGGGGCCCCGAAGGAGGTGTCCGGGCCGCTCCTGGAGCCCAGCCCGGGTCCCCGAACCCCTTACCTCCGGGGTCTGTATCTCCTGCTGGGTGAGGTCGTTGGACACAGCGCACTTGGTGCACAGCCCGCACAGGCTGCCAATGAAGATGACGATGAGCTTCTGGAGCTGCCCGCACTGCTGCAGCGCCCGGCTGGCCGCAGCCCCTGTGCCACCCTCCGTGGCCGCCGCATCACCCCCACCACCGCCCTCCTTCTTCTCTCCCATCGCCTCCACAGGCAGCGCCACTCTATGCAGGCCACAGGGGCCTAGGCAAGGAGCCTGGGGCGCCGGCGCCTAGGCAAGGAATCCCTGAGCCAGGAGAGCTGGACCAGGAGCACCCCTCAGCGCTGCCCTTGCCAGGACGCCAGTAGAGCTGGCAGCCGAGTCTGCCGCTCCCGCCCTCAGAGCCGTGGCGGCGGGGACAAAAATCCTCGGCGGCGGGGGCAAAACGCCGCGGCGGCGAAAAAGTCGCTGTGGCAGGGGGACAAAAAGCCGTGACAGCGGGGCGCAAAAAGCCGCGGCGGGTAAAAGGCCGTGGCGAGTAAAAAGCCGCGATGGCAAAAAGCCGCGGCGGGCAAAAAGCCACGGCGGCGGTGGGGCAAAAAGCAGCGGCGGTGGCGGAGGGGCAAAAAGCCGCGGCAGCGAGGGGGCAGAAAGCCGCGGCGGCAAAAAGCCAAGGCGGCGAGTGTGCAAAAAGCTGTGTCGGCGGTGGGGCAAAAAGCCGCGGCGGCAGAGGGGCAAAAAGCCGCGGCGGCGGGTGTGTGGCAGAAAGCCGCGGCGGGCAAAAAGCCGCGGCGGCGCGGGGTATAAAGCCGCGGTGGGCAAGAAGCCGAGGCGGGGTGGGGGCAAAAAGCCGCGGCGGCGGGGGGCAAAAAGCTGCGGCGGGTAAAAGGCCGCGGGGGCAGGGGGGAAAAGCCACGGCGGCGAAAAAGCCGCGGCGGCGGGGTGCGAAAAGCGGCGGGGGGCAAAAAGCCGCGGCGGGCAAAAAGCCGAGGCAGGGTGGGGGCAAAAAGCCGCGGCGGGCAAAAAGCTGCGGCGGCGGGGGGTAAAAAGCCGTGGCGGGCAACAAGCCGAGGCGGGGTGGGGACAAAAAGCCGCGGCGGCGGGGGCTAAAAAGCCGCGGCGGGCAAAAAGCCGAGGCGGGGTGGGGGCAAAAAGTCGCGGCGGCAGGGGACAAAAAGCCGCGGCGGTGGGGGCTAAAAAGCCGCGGCGGGCAAAAAGCCGAGGCGGGGTGGGGGCAAAAAGCCGCGGCGGGTGAAAAGTCGCGGGGGCAGGGGGGAAAAATCCACGGCGGGAAAAAGCCGCGGCGGCGAGGGGGCAAAAAGCGGCGGGGTGCAAAAGGCGGCGGGGGGCAAAAAGCCGCAGCGGCGGGGGGCAGGCAAAAAGCCGCGGCGACAAAATTCGCAACGGCGAGGGGTCAAAAAGCCGGGGCGGACTAAAAGCCCTGGCGCCGGGGGGGCACAAAGCCGCGGCGGGCAAAAAGCCGCGGCGGCGGTGGGGCAAAAAGCCACCGCGGCGGGGGCGCAAAAAGCCGCAGCGACGGGTGGGGGCAGAAAGCCGCGGCGGGCAGAAAGCCGAGGCAAGGTGGGGGCAAAAAGCCGCGGCGGCAGAGGGGCAGAAAGCCGCTGCGGGCAAAAAGTCGCGGCGGCGGGGACAAAAAGGCGCGGCGGGCAAAAAGCCGCGGCGGGGGGCGGGGAAGCCACGGCGGGCAAAAAGCCTAGGCGGGATGGGGGGAATAAGCCGCGGCGGCGGGGGGGCAAAAAGCCGCGGCGGCGGCGGAGGGTGAAATAATGGAGATGGAGTGGAAGGCCGGCACAGCTTGGCATCGCTGGAGTGCGATGTGATAGGAAATGTGCAGCCAAAGACAAAAAGATGTAAGTAGGCTTGACTCATTGAAGCTAAGAACCCAGATGTTATCTTGAGGGTATTAACTAATAAGCAGTTTAAATCAGAATGGCACATTCTGATTTGTTTCTTGTACGTTCACATTTGGCAGGCATAGATACTGTTTGAAGAGAGAAAAGTCAGTAGAGAGAGGTAACAAACTTAAATATGTGCCAAGTCTAGAAACAAGAGACCAGGGGGATAGGGACCTTTCAAAATAAAATGCAAGATTTGAAAACTGATTGGCTGGGGGATGAGGAAAAGGCAGGTCTTTAAGGTCCATCCCTGTTTTGCTTTAAGTTGTTAGGGGGTGGTTTTATCACATGTTGTAGAATATGTCATTTCAGTTTTGAACATCTTGAGTTAAATTGTCCTAGCATATCTTATGAATTTGATTTTCTTCCCTGGAAAGCTAATATTTCAAACACTTAAAGAGTATATAGATTTCCAACTTGTATCCAGTTTATAAAACTATCTCTAGGCTGCTGATTTCAGGAGGAGGCTTATGAGTATTCTCCTTGCAGAGAATATATCAGGAGTTAACAGCAGCTTCAATATTTGTGGATGACCGGTTAACTAAGCCACCTCTTAGTGTCTTTAGTTGGGAAATCTTAGCTGAAGATATTCAATAATGAACCAAGAGTGACTAAGAAATTCAATATTTAAGTATATTTCATTGTAATTAATTTGAATTGAAGTAGCCATATACAGCTAGTATTTACTATATTGAACAATGCAAATAAGAGGAAAAAATTAATAACCATCTCTAATACCACAGGCCAAAATCCTCATCAATTTATTCTAGCTAAAGGAGTTGATCAGAAGCAGTAGTTGAAAGCACCAACTAAACCCAGCTGGGGTTAGTTCACTGTCATTCTCTCAGAACCGTCTCTTCTCTGAACAAAACAAGTACAAGAGTTCATTGTGAATCTGCATTCTCCTTGCCTATTTTAAGGTTTTGATGTTGACGCAAATTTGTGAAATCCCTCCTGTGGTGTGATATTTCGTTTTCCTTGCTTTGTGTTAGGACAAGAATGCTTCAGCTCTTAATTTAAAATTATGTTTCTCCCTCCTAGGTTGAGTGAACTTAGAATGCATTCTCTGACATATCCAAGATTTTGTTAATATGAATTTCGGGAAAAAAGCATACTTAATTAGCTAAGACGTCTTATTCTAAGCTTGACCCTATGTTCGACATCTTTTGAATTTCTGGTTGCGTGGGCTGCTCTCTGACACTGGTTAGTGACCTGGAAGCTCTATTAATGTTAGGGGAGGTGGTGTATGAGCATTAGAGGTATCCTTGCAAGGAAAGACTTGTCTTATCTCAATACGTCTTTTTTTTTGCACACAAGAAAGTCAATGTCTGAGTCTTCTAAAATCTTCCTATTTCCAAATTGCAGATTATGATTGATTCCTAAACAAAGACCTAATTTTTGACTCAGAGACGTGGCAAGCTAGTGAATCACCGTTATAATTTAACAATCTTCAAGATAAAATTATCTCTGATATTTAGATTTTGCCCAATTATTAAGATATTTGGGTGTTTCGTTAAGAATGGAAAACTCTAGTCTCTTGAGCAGAGACTATAAAGGCCTCAGATGATCATTTTTAATTTTATGCTCTTTTCTTTAACACCTTCAACACAGTTGGAAGCAGCCGATATTCCGCAGAGTTGTTGTGTTTTTTAAACCAAATGCATGGTTCAGTGGTAGAAAACTGGGCTGATCCAAGCTGTTTTCAGCAAACACTTCATTTCAGGTGACCCATTTCGTATTAAATAATCTCTAGATCCTGTCTTCGAAACTAACTAGATCAGATAAACTACCCTGGATTTTCTCTTTTTAGGGTCTGAGAGCTGCAGTCACTTTTGTGAAAATGATTACAATGACAAGATAGAGTTGTAGATGGGGAAAATGTTTTGACTAATTTAAGCATAGTGGTATTTCATATGAGAATTTAAGTTACACACATTTGAAAATTATAATGGAGTCTCTTGGCTGAGCTTTAAAAAGAAATAGCGTTTAGGCTAAAAAGGGAACTGCTACCTCTCCTAAAATCAGAAAGATGTTACAGTAATTCTCCATTCTCTAGAATTATCAAGAAGCACCTTTGTGATGATTTACTTTTGCTCTTGCGAGTGTGAGCCCGTGTAGTCGTGGAACCATCAATTAGAATGGTGGCTTTCTGATCCCAAAGTCACTCGTTCTGAAAACAATATTTTTCATAAATTTGAAAGTGAGAAGTTTTGATCTTGCCATTCCCAAGTAACTCTCTTAATAAGAGGCATCAGCATGCTTCAGTGACAGCTGTCACCTTCCATTGCTGAGAGTCATCTTTGAGTTCTCTATTTCACTCCCTACACTCCAATTTACCTGCAGTTCTCTTGGCCAGTCCTATGAAATACATCCATGGCCTAACGACTTCTCACCACTACTACCACTCATGCTGACAGCATTCTCACCTAGGTCACTACCTTTTTTCGCTGGATTAGAGTAGCCTCCCAATTTATTTGCTCACATAACCTATTTATTCTACACAGTGCACCAGATACACCCCTTTGAAATGCAAACACAATCATATTATTCTCTGGTGAAATTATCTCATATATTCCTATCGCATTTAAAATTAATTCAGAATCATCCCATGATTATCAAAACCCTACATGCTCTTCCACAACATGGTTTACTTCCAAGATATCTCTTCAACATTTTTTTCACTGTACTGAATTGGTGACTAATAGTCATATTTTTGTTTTTGCTCAAAAAGTCTTGACTTGTAAATTTTTCAGTTTCTCCTTTATCCACAGGTAACTCTTTCCTGATAAGGCGAATTGCTTGCTTCCTTGAATTCTGCTCTCAAAGATACCCTTCACTTTCTACCTAATATTAATAACTTTAATCATTCATTATTCCATTACTATGCTCTATGGTGTATACAATTTCTGTTCTTTGTCATGTTATTAACTAAATTATTTATTGGGTCCAGTAACGTATTCCATAAATATTGTACACATAAAAATTGTGTTATTTTTATTCCTGTATGCTGAGCTGCCCAATAACAGTCTGAGGATTAACATATTTGTTAAATGCACAAATACATTCTTTCACAAATATTAGTTTAATAATTTTATATTAAACTCCCTCTATACTTACAATATGAATTAGATAATTCAGAATAAACATTCCATTGGAAAAAGCTACACAATTTGTTATAAAACATCCTTAAAAGCATCAGAAAATTAATACAGCAATGAAGAATTACAGGACCAAATTAAGAATGGTATGAAAGCCTGTTTGTGACGCTTATGTTTGGGTTATCTCTTTATTTGAGTGACTATAAATCTCAAAAGAGAACTAAAGGGAGAAATAACCGTATCTACTAACACGCTGAGGGTACTTAAACATCTCTTAGTAATTGAGAAAATTGAAAGAAAAGAAAAAAGAGAAAGGGAGAAAGAGAAACAGCGAAAGGGATAATGAAGGAGAGAAAGAAGAAGAGAAAGGAAGAGGAAGAAAAGTAAAAAGGAGGAGGAGGGGGAAGGAAGAAGGCACAATCACAGCTCACTGCAGTCTCGATCTTCCAGGCTCAAATGATCCTCCCACCTCAGCATCCCAAGTAGCTCACACTACAGGCACCCACCACCACACCAAGCTAATTTTTATTTTTTTTGTAGAGATGGAGTCTCACTATATTGGCCAGGCTGGTCTTGAACTACTGTAGTCAAGTGGTCCTCCCACCTGAGCCTCCCAAAGTGCTGGGATTACAAGCATAAGCCACCATACTTGGTGAGATATGAATTTCTAGGAAAAAAAATCAAAATTGACTCAAAAAGTAGAAAAAAAACTTACATAGATTAAATATATTGAATCAGTAATGAAAAAACTTCCCATAAAGAAATTTCCAGGCCCAAGTGCCTTCACCAAAAAGTTTCATGAAACATACAAGAGAAACAAACCAACCAACCAAACAACAACAACAAAAAAAACTCTGCCACCAACACAGAGAATAAAAAAAGAAGACTCCCGAGTTCATTTTACAAGGTTAAAATAAAAATAACCTTGATATCAAAACCCAACAAGGCAAGTGCAAGAGAAAATATTTACAGGCCATCATTATTCAACGTGGATCAGCAATTATTTTTAAGATGTACTGGCCAGGTGTGGTGGTCATGCCTGTAATCCTAGTATTTTGGGAGGCCCGAGTGAGAGGATGGCCTGAGCTCAGGAGTTTGAGACCAGCCTGGGCAACAAGGCAAAATCACGTCTTTATAAAAAATACAAAAATTAGCTGGGCATGGCAGCACACCTATAGACCCAGCTATTCGGGAGGCTGAGGTGGGAGGATCACTTGAGCCTAGCAGGTTGAGAATGCAGTGATCCCTGATCATGCCACTGTGCTCCAGCCTGGGCAATAGAGTGAGACCCTGTCTCAAAACAACAACAGAAAGATATGCTGACCGCCTGTGATGCTGGCCAGGATGGCGTATGCATGCTACGGCCTGTCATTTCCACTGATCACAATTTGAAACTCTGGACAAAATATAAATAGCAATGACCCAAGTACTCTGAAAAGTAACCAGCAGACAGGTTGGGAAACGTCAAAACCTGAAGAATTATCTGGATGGTGGTGGTGAGAGATCATATTCTGGGTCATAAAACAAACCCTAAAGTTAAACAATTAAAATTCAGTGAATTATTTTCTCTGATGACAGAATTAAACTAGGAATCTAGAACATTTCTAGAACATCCCCAAATATGAGAAGTTAAATGGCATACTTCTAAATGGCCCATAGGTCAAAGAGAGTATCTTAAGACAAATTGGAAAACAGTTTGAACTTAATAAATATGACATCATCTTATCAAAATATGTGCTTACAGGGCAATTTATGGCACTAAATTATGAGAAATGAAGCATCAAATCAATAATGTAAGCATTTACTTTAAGTAAAAAAAGAACCAAATAAACTCAAATCAGGCATAAGAAAAACAGACTAAATCAGTAATATTTAAACAAAAACAGTAAAGGAAAAAAATTCAACGAAATCCAAAGTTGGTTCTTTGCAAGGGCGGTGGGAGGTGGAAGTCAATCAAATGAGGAAGCCTCTAGCAGACTGACAAAGGAAGAAGAGAAAACACAAATTGCCAATACCAGAAATGAAAGGAATATTATTACAAATCCTGTAGACACTAGAAGGCTAGAATGGACACTACAAAAACAAAACAAACAACTATATGCTTCTAAATTCTACAAATTAGGTGAAATAGATCAATTCCTTGAAAGACAGACTACCGAAACTCAAGAAGAAACAGACAGCTTGAATACCCCTGTATTTATTAAAGAAACAGAAGTGGCACAGCACTTTGGAAGACAATTTGGCAGGTTCTGATAAAGTCAAACGTACATGGACCATGTGACTCGGCAATCCTACCCTTAGGCATTTGCACAAGTGAAATGAAAACCTATGCTCAGACAAAAAGCACTTTGTGAATTCCAATCCACTTATAATTTATCAAAAAGTGAAAATAGTCCATATTCCTCCAACGACAAACCAATAAGCAAACCATGTAGTATTTATACAATGGATTACTATTTGGCAATTAAAAGGAATAACTGTTGATGCAGTATATGAAAGTAGCCAGACTCAAAAGGCTACATCCTGAACGATTCCATTTGTATAAAATTCTGAAAAAAAAGCAATGCCAGAGGAACACAGATCAGTTATTGCCAGAAGTTTACAATGGAAGGTTTTACTATAAAGGGCAAGGTAATTTTTGGAGTGATCATATAATTTTGTAATCTACCAAAAACAAACATAATAAATGGGCAGATAAGTAAAGTTCATGGATTGGAAAGTTCAATATTGCAAAGGTCTCCCAAAAATGACCTATCAATTTAATCCCAGTGGAAATTCCAATCAGTTTTGTGAAGGCTGCTAAGTCAACTCTAAAATGGCCAAGAATAGACAAGATCACCGGAGAGGAAGCAGGGAGGTGGACACAAATATCTTCTGATTGATGAGTGAAATCATTAGAAGGCCAGCAAAAATACAAGTAAGCCAGAATTTCTAAAGCACCACAAAAGAACACTAGTTAGTAGTGCATAAAGGTATCTCCTAAATTTGTTGTAAACATAGGCCTTTAAAAAAAATATTAGAAACTGATATTTAAAGAGATATAAACTCATATTAAGCTTTTAAAAAATTCTAAGCAAGGGCCTCACCTAATTTCATAAAAGGTTGCGTAGAACCAACCATTGCTGCAAACGATGTGCTGCCCTGAGATGTGAGGATCCCAGTGGTCCCTCTGGGTCAACAGCAGCTACCGCAGGTGAGCCCAAATTCTGATACATTATCTATCTACAATCATTATTTTTAACAATTTATATCAATGCTACCCATAAGGCACAGAGAAGCAGAAATGTTTATGTGGCCTCCTGCCAAAAACAATCACTTGCACTTATTTCTAGTACTCCAGAAAACAGTAATAGAAGTTTTTCAATTTAGAAAAACATTTACAGCAAAGAAAAAAATCTCTGTAAACTTCCTGCTTAACCAATCTAGTGAATTGTGATGAGCCATATAAATTCATTTAGCCACCTTATGAAAGACTTAATCCAAAGTCACTTCTAACTTCTAGAAGAGCTAATGTATTATAATCACAGTTGTGAAAGACTCAAAGGCCAGAAATGTCAAGGTGTGGTCTATATCCTAAGTCCAGAAAAAAAAACAAAAAGCAACATGTACAGGCCAAATGATTGCCAATTTCTTCTGCCTACGTCATCTTTCTTCACTATAGCCTGAAATTACATTTCATGTTTGACAATTCTCAGCAAGGAGACAAAACAAGCTTATGAGTAAAATAATAGAAAGCAGAGCCACAGAGAGGACGAGAGGCAGGAGTCATCTCCCAAGTCCAAGTTCAACTTCTATATTATTAGACAAGGCCTCAGTGTCTTTGAACTGCAAGGAATTAATATTGATTGTAGCATGAGTAAAATCTATCTTCTACTCAACATGAAAAGTCACAGTCGTTTTGTTTAAAGACTCCAGAATTATTATAGGCAGAAACAAGTAGGTTCCACACCTATTTGGTGAAACGAGGAATCAGGAATGAGCATTCCCAAGAGAATACAATTACAAAAGTAAAATCACCTAGAGTTTTTGGGCTGCTTAAAAAACCCAGAAAGAAGTGCCAAATGGGAAAATAATCAAATTCAGTGGAAAAACTCACTTGAAGGTATCATGGTCAGCTGGGTTTCCACCCCTTTGTTGCACTTCAAATCCTGTGTATTCCACAAAGACTTGCTCCTTTCTAAAGGCTATGGTTCACATTCAACAGAATAGCAGCAACCACCATGAGCCTGAGGGCTGGCTAGTCTTTAGTATTCTGCCTTATTCAAAGAAAGGATCATTTCCCTCATTCCTAAAGATCTCTTAGGTCCATCACAAAAAAAAAAGGAGCAGCAGCCAGGCGCAATGGCTCACACCTGTAATCCCAGCACTTTGAGAGGCCAAGGGGGGAGGATCACCTGAGGTCGAGAGTTCAAGACCAGCCTGGCCAACATGATGAAACTAAAAATACAAAAATCAGCCGGGTGTGGTGGTGTGTGCCTGTAATCCCAGCTACTTTGGAGCTGGGTAACTGGCAGAGGTTGAACAATTTGCAGGTCTCAGAAGACAGGAAAATGTGGGAAAGTTTGAAATTCCAAGAGACTTGTTGAATGGCTTTGACCAAAATGCTGATAATGATATGGACAATGAAATCCATGCTGAGGCAGTCTCTGATGGAGATGAGGAACTTGCTGGGAACTGGAGCAAAGGTGACTCTTGTCACCTTTGATAAGATGGTGGTTGAGGAGAGGTCTTGGCAAGCAGTGATGTGTGAATGTAGTGAGGGGCCTGAAAATGGAACTCAGAGAGGACACTGGGTTTTAGAGGCTGAAACTACAGAAAGTCCGCTGCGTTCAAGGCCTGCTTCCACCAAAATCTAGCAGTGTGGCCTCAAACCATTTCATTTCTCTTGGCCTCAGTTTCTACATCTGCAAAATGGGATTTATAATCCACCCCAGCCCACAGAATTCAGAGTTATATGAGAAGGCTAGAAGAGCTCACCTACCAAGGGACTCTTTTAATGACAAGGTGGGGAAACTGAGGCACCGAGAAGGCTAGGGCTCTGCTAGCTGTCACCCAGAGTCTGATGGACCTGAGATGAGAAACCAGAACTCCTGCCCCTAGTTCCCCCGGCTTTCCTCAGGCTGGGGAGTGAGTGCGGTGAGATAGAAAGGGCAAGCCCTCCTGCTGTTTCTCTCTGGACAGGGGCGGGATGCTGGGTGAAGGGTGAAAGGAAGAGGCTGGAGAAGGGAGAAAAGCTCCAGCTCACACTAAGTCTGAATTTTTTTAAAATGCGGACTCCGTGGCCCCTCCCTTACCCGCCCCAATCCTCTCTGAAGTCCTGGTTGTGAGGGGCCAAGTCCCAAAGTCTGCTGCTCCGCCTCTCTGTGTGCAGAGCCATGGGGCCTTCACAGGCTGCAGTGGGTCCCGAGCCCCCAGGGCTGTGCCTGCTGGTCCTGACCAAGATCGCGGCTGCCGAGGTCAGTCCAGCGCCAAGGGCACAGGGCCAGGGCAGGCGGGGCAGGGCTACCCGAAGCGCATAGAGGCTGCTGGTGTCAACGTGACGTCTTCTGGGGCGCCTGGCATCCCTAGGAGTGGAAGCCGCTGATGAAGTCAAAGCTGCCTCCTCCTTCAGGAAGACTTTGCTCCCATAGCTGGCGAACAGGAAGCGGAGCAGCGCCAGGAGGATCTGCGGGCGCTGCTGAGGGCTTCTTTGCAGGGACAGTGCAGCAGGCAGCCAGGGACAAGACTGCACGGCAGCGCCCCATGGCCAGGGGAAGCTCAGAACCGGAGTCGCCCGCTGCCCGGCGATTCTCCATCCCTGGATCGGTACAGGGGCATTTGGACGCTGTGGGGAAGTCGCGGTCTGGGGATATTGGGTCCAGCCTTCGGGTAGAAGCAGGTGATAAACGCACTCAGGCCAGCCCGGAGCGTCAGCCACACTGCGGTGCCCACGATGCCCAGGGTGAGCGCCACGAGGCGCAGGAAATTGGCTAGGGTGGGAGCTCACTGGTAGGCGGCCCTGGAAGTCAAAGATCTGCTGCTCCAGCGCTGCCACCAGTTGCAGGCAGCAGAAGGCGAGGAGCGTGTGGCACCCGCGTACTCGCCCATCGCTCCGCGGACCTCTTTATCCAACCTTCAATAATTATTCTTTTTATTATATTCAATGATTATTCTACTTTTCATAGAGAGCAGCTGTCAGTCCAATAACACACTTAACAAATGATATACCTAGTCCTCAAGGTTAACAAACACATGAAGACCAGCCCAACCCTGAAAATCAGTTTGCAAACCTTCGCTATATCTGATGCCATTCCTAAAAATTTTTAGGGACAAGTTTTGTTTGTGGTAAACAACATAAGGTGGGGTGTGTGCTGAGCCCAAAGCTGACCAATTGCTCACAATTACTCATAACTACCCATTGACTTGATTTTATCAAACTTCAGACAGTCTTGTCTCCTCTCCTCAGGCCCCTGGACCTTGGCTCACCACCTAAGACTGAACAAGCACTAAAGGACAGACCAGCCCGCTAACAGCTCACTCCAAAAATGAGCGGGACTCCCAGAGAAACTATTTTTATTGGAGCATCCTGGTTTTGCCACCTGCTCACCCGACTGCCTGTCCTTCTCTCCAAGGAGGCTTCTGCCAGCCCTGCTTGTCCTTCCCTAGAAAAGGAAAGCCTTTTCCTGTTTGATCCTGAGACACCTGTAGATTGAGTTTGGAATATTCTCCCTATTGCAATAGTATTTTTGAATAAGTTTTATTTTTCCCTACCTCTGGTTGATTTTTAATTAATACCAGTAAGCTTGGATGAAAGCCTGCACACCTTAGGTGTGTGTGTGTGTGTGTATGTATGTACTTTAGCATTATCATGAAAGTAATAACAGTAAAATCAAACAAACACAGATGGATAAGCAATATGTTGGACTAGTATGAAAATGGCATTGCCAGCAGTGATATGATTTTTTTTTCAAAATGGTACACTTTTTGAAGTATAATCTTATTTTAACCTAAAATCTTACTATCAGAAAATGCAGTGTACATTAAAATGTTCTGAACTGCTTTTATTCATATATTAAATGGTTGTACTCAAATATCTACAAATTTGTTTTTCACTTATGTAATTGTCTTATAGAATGTTCAAAAGTCTTGCAGAATGTGAGACAATTTTCTATTGAATACGATCGCTTTATCATTGCAAGACATCAAACATCCCTGTTTCCTGCCAAATAAATGTACAATAGCAATAAATGTAAAGGTGTGTTTTGTAAAAAAGATATATTTTTGAGTTACAAAACAAGGATTTTAAAACTTGAATTGTTACAGTGAATATGTCTTAATACAGGCCAGAGTCATTTAGGTAAAAAATTACCTCATATCTATTCTTTGCAGTATCACTTAAAGGTGTTTATTTAGCGGCAAAGATTTTTTTTTTTGTGCCTAGAGGCAGATATTTTGCCCCATGGCTATTTACGGTATGAAACTGTATTTAAATGAGTGTACATATATAAAAGCTGCCATTCTGGCTGTAAACTATTGCAGGTTATCAAGATTAAAAAATAAACAAATAAAAATATTTCAGTTTTTCTATGAAATGTCTTTACTCGAGTCCAAATGTAGAGATATAAAATGCTTGAAATTCATAAAACCAAGTGTTTCACATATTTCAGTTGTGATGGCCTTTGTCCTACTTTTGTTAGTGAAGCAGGCAGACTGCATTTTTTCCCTCTCATACATCTTCAAATGGTAGACAGAAAAATTTGATAAAACTTCTAGGGCATTATCTGATGAAACACATTAAACACTAAAGGAGAAATACAACTTCATTGTTTATAAAAGACGTATAAGAAGGAAACCTGCATACATATATCTATCAGTTTTGTATTTTCAAGAAATATTTGCCTTAAAATGAACTTCATTAGAATATGTGTTCTCCCACAGAGCCAAGGAAAGTAAGTTAGACACAGGATCTGGAAGTCTACCTGTGTGATGTAATTACATTGAAAACATTCCACAAATAATGCAGAAATGTATCATTGTGACCCAAAATATTCTCTAAATTTTCTCAAAGCAATGTGGCCACATCTATTATCTTTTACTATGACTAGTCATCATTCCATGCATTTGAACATTACCTCACCCATTTGCAGCCTCCTATCTCTGCAATTAATTATGGCTAACATTCTCAGCAGTCCAAACATCTTGCAAGTGACAGCTTGAAAAGGCCTACCAGAATGATGTTCACTCTGCCACCTGACTAGCTTGTCTTCCATCTAGACATTGCAGTATGTAGAAGAGTGCTTTTAGTATTATAAATTTGATCCAACACGTGTTCAATTAGATGAAATCTTAAATATTGCACTACATGTGAATTGGGAAAATGTTAATTTGCTTCTGTAGTTTTAAGTGTATTCTCAGAGGCAGATGAAGACATATTACATCACTGAGTTCAAGAAATAAAGTAAATAGAAGAAAAAAGGTGTTATTTTAGTTTGGTTATGTTTATATTTGAAGTTTTCTTATCATACCTTATTTTTTGTTTATTAATTCCAGGGTAGAGTAGAAAAATATGCTCTCATATAATATAAAAATGATATGGGGAAAAGAAGTAAAAAATTAACTTAGAGACACCATTAATTAATTTCTTTTATAAATGAAACACTAGATAGTTTCTATTTGTTTTGACAAATAGATAATATATTTAGAATCAATGCTTTATTTCTTGGAAAGTGGAGTGAAAAATTTAAATGTAGTATTCAGATTGTATTATAACTGTGCACTACAGATCACATACATTTGTCTTTTCTTTGTATTATACATTATTTAATGGTAAGCATCCTTTCAAGGGCTATTTTATATAAGTAGTAAGGTATCTGGAATTTCTGAAATAATAAAAGTGACCTAAATCACTGTGTTTGGTAAATTCACAATACCCAAATAGCAGGAGGGGAGTGCTAGAGGTAGGGAGGAGAATGCTCATGTTCTCATTATTCCCAAACAGATTCTTAAAGTCTTCTCACTGGACACATGGATGCACCTCTGTAATACCCAATGTCTTAGCCACAACTGTCTGCACTTTTTAATGAGATACATTTCAACATTATTCCTTGTCACCTCAATATCAGATACTTTCTCATGTAATCTTTTACTTCTGAGGAGTTGAATTCTTGATCCATAAACTGATTCCATAGTTATGCATCCGTGGATGTTTTTAAATTATGTGAAAATTTTGTATATGCATTTTTCAGGGGAAAGTATCAGATCACCCACCTGGTGATTGTAACAAAAACAATCACTCCTGTTGGTATTTAAGTCTTAATTAATTCAGAAAAATTTGCACACACCCTAAGGTCAGATAGTATTTTGTACCCTACATATAAAAACTCCTTTTTTTTTTTTTTTTTTGAGATGGAGTCTCACTCTGTTGCCCAGGTTGGAGTGCACTGGCATGATCTCTGCTCACTGCAAACTCTGCCTCCCATAACATTAATGATCACTGATCACAGATCACCGTAACGAATATAATAATAAGGAAATATTTTAAAAATTGTGAAGATTACCAAAGTGTGAAACCAAGACACAAAGTGAGCACAGGCTGTTTGTTAAATGGCACCAATAGACTTGCTTCACCAGGGTTGTCACAAACATCTCATTTGTAAATAAAGAAAAAATGTTCCTATCTGTGAAGCACAATAAAGAGAAGTGCAATAAAATATGTTTGTATTAATTTGGTTAACTTTATTCCAACTTAATGTAAATTAGTTTTAAAACAGTTTATAAAATTCTTAAATGAACCTGGCAAATTTAGAGCAATAATAAAATTATTTAAATTAGAAAAGTCTTTTTTAAAAAGGATAAATAACAAATGTCTCATTGGAATTATTAAAGTTGTTTCAAGTTCAGCTCTGAGGTTCTTAGAAACTAAAGTAAAAAAGTATGACCAGTTTCTGAAGTCAAGATAAAATCATACAATCTTTAACTTAGAAAATTATCTTCTGTGTTGTGTCCTAAGCATAAACAAATGTAAGGACTTGCCCTGACACTCTGTAAGTAGTTCCACTCCAATACGCCCTGCAGAAATATTTCCTGGCAAGAACAGCAAGTCAGAAGCCTTTTCAGCATGGCAAGGAGGGAGAGAGACTATGCTATTAAAAAAAAAAAAAAAAGATGAGGAGGAACAATAGTACCTTAGACAAGTGAGAAGTTTCAAAAGAGACATATAAGGAGAGCAGTTGCAATTATAAGGAGCAAAATATGGAATGATGAAAAAAGATACTTTAAAGAAAGTTTTCCTCAGTACTTTGCAATGCGCTTGCCACCTTCTGAAGAAAGCTGGCTCCTTCTGGAACCTTAGGGTATTTCGACTCATGCTTTGGAATGGGGTGACCAGCTACATCAAGCTAACTTAAATTCAAATTTGTGTTCATAGGATAAGAATAATTGGGTTAAATAAAATTCACTTTTAACCTAAAATGTCATTCATTAGTTTTGACCAACTTTCCTTACCACTGGCCACTTGGTCCTTGTCTTGTTTGACCAGGGTTGTCAAACAAGGTTTGTTGTTTCCTTCTTTGAAGGAAAGAGTCAGTGTTTCTTCCATTCCAATGCATCCACTTGAGGAATTTTTAATAAAATGGGCAATGAATGGGCAGCAGAAGAAGTTACAGGCCTGCTGATCAAATGCTAAGTAATAAACCCTGGAAATTCTAAACTCGTTTACATGAAGACCTTGCTTATTTTGTAACTATTATGTATTATCAAATGTATACTTAATTCTTTGAATGTGTTAGTATGTGTTCAAAGTACACCTTAATTTTATATATATATATATATATATATATATATATTTAAATTACATAAAATAAATAAGCCACTAAAAATTTTTAAACATTTTCTTATATTTCCTTTCAGTATTTTTAGGTGCATGCATCTGTACTTGGTAATATTGCTGAATGCATGTTTGCATTGACAAAGCCTCTCCCCTTGCCCAAACTCTAGTTGGGATCCTCTAAGCCACCTCTCAGCCTCAGCTTTCAGTGTTCATCCTAGTCTGGCCCACATCTCTCAGGTTTAGGAAGAAACTTGCAAAGAATCCCCCACTCTCAGTACTGATCACCTTTGATATCTGATCAAATTTGTTATCTCCCACCACCCTCCAGATGATTTCTGATCGGTCTGGCCTGCCTTCAGTAAGAATCCTGTTCGATCTGTTTAACCCAAATCCCCTTTGCCCCTGATATTTCCTCTTAGTATCCCCAGTTGAGCCAATTTTCAACCATTAAAAAAATCTTGGACAAAATTAAGTTCAGATAGGTTCCAGAGTGCTTATATTCAGTTCTTGGCTTTCTGAAGACCTGGCATATCCTCTTTAAATTGCCTCAATACAAGAAAATACAAAATGGAAAGAAGTAGACATTAGAAATTGGAAAAATGGAGAAATACAGGAATGAACATAAGTTTCTATTTCAAGTAATTAGGTAAATTGTAAGATGTTTATATTTAACTTTTTCTCATTAGCTTTAGCCCCTTGAATCTTTGAGAACATGTTATTACTATAGTTATCGAATGTTATATTTTTTATTTTAACGTAGAATGGTATTTTCACTCAAATCTCTTGAAACATATATTTATAGTCAATAGTTAAATTTTATTTAATATCAATTGTTCCTTTTTATTAGTATTTTCTTAAAAAAATAATATTGGCCCAGCGCAGTGGTTCACACCTGTAATCCCAGCACTTTGGGAGGCTAAGGTGGGCAGATCACTTGAGGTCGGGAGTTGGAGACCAGCCTGAGCAACTTGGAGACAACCTTTCTCTACTAAAAATACAAAAATTAGCCGGACGTGGTGGTGCATGCCTGTAATCCCAGCTACTCAGGAGGCTTGAGGCAAGAGAATTGCTTGAACCTGGGAGGTAGAGGTTGCAGTGAGCCGAGATCGCACCACCGCACTCTAGCCTGGGTGACAGAGCGAGACTCCATCTCAAAAAAAAAGAAAGAAAGAAAATGCCAGACATTTATTGAAGGGCTGGAATGGTATAGTGAAGTGTTCTGAGTCAGTTGGGCTCTGATTGATAAAGAGCTTGGCATGTTTGAAGGACAGCAAGGAAGCCAGAATAGCTGGAGCATAGCAGCAGGGAGACAAGTGCCACAAGATGAGCTGGAGAAAGGCACTGGGAAAGGTTTGTCTTTTAAGTGCTCTGAGAAGCAATTGAAGATTTGAAATAGAATAGTGACTTGCTTGATCACATTTGTACTTTTGAAAAGTTCCTCTGGCTGCTGTGGGGAAAGGCTTGAGTAGATGCAGGGTGGGAGAAGCATAACCAGCAGTAGACTCTTGTAGCAGGTTAGGTGAGAGATGGTGGTGGCCACGAGTGGGCTGCTAGTGGTGGAAGTGACAAGAAGCAGAAGGATCGGAGACAAAACTTGAAGATAAAAAGTCTTGAATTTGCTGATGATTTGCATTGACGAGGTGTTGGGGGAGAGGACTGAAGGAGCAGAGGAGAGTGACAAGGGACTGGATGCCATTTATAAGGATGGGGAAGACTGGGATGAAACCGGTTAAGGGAGAAATTTTAACCATGGCAAAATTAAGAGGGGTTTTATGTGAGAAAATGGAAATGCTAAGGAGGAAGTTGAAAATCCTGCTAATTTGGAGATCTTTGATTAAAACTAGAAATAAGAATGTGGGAAGCATCAACTTGCAAGATGCCCTCATTGTAGATAACACCATTTAGGATCTAGGCTCAAGCCCTGGGAAACTCCAGGGCTTTGGAAGTCAAATAGAGGAAGAACACGTACAGGAGATGAAGAAAGATTAGCGAGGAAGTCAGTGAATTATCCACAGGTGGGCTGCTGCCAAATCCAGCAGAACAGTATGCCAGATGTTAGGAGCATGAGTAAAATGAGAAAAGAGAAATGGCTTTTGACAACACTTCCCTACTAATAGTAGGGAAGAAGACATAGGTACAGATTCAAGTTGATTTGAAATTATGAAAGTGAGGTAATTGACCTGCAGTGGTTGCTGCTCAGTGAAATCAGCATAGTGATTACCTGAGCTAGGTTAGAGATTTGATGGGTAAGAAAGAACACCTGAGGGTAATCCTGGAGGGGGAAAAAAATAAAGTGTTTGCTGGAGAGAATGAGTTGGATTGCTGGACTTCAATGTGTGTGGGTTGAGTTTGTGACTTAAAAATGAAACCAGTCTATTGCTTGTGTGGCTTTTCCAAAATACCGTTATTCCGTTACCTATCTCTTACCCCAAGAGTAGTCACATTCTTATTTCTGGTTATTTTAATTCCTGGTGGTATTTTTATGTGATTAATGAGATAGTACTTGTTAATTTGATGATATTCTAGAAACCTGGTAAGTACTATGTACCTTGTCTTAAGTTTTGGTTACTTGATTGGTAAAATTATGCATGCACCATTGAATTACCTAATTCAAAATATATCCTTTTATTGTTTGACATTTGTCTTGTTTTTCTTTAAAATGTTACCTTTGTGGAGTAAACATTTTTCTTTATGCTGTTTAGCATCTTCAGATTAGTTCAGGGTATTGCTGAATGTGGTTGTTTGGAAGTAAAATGCTTTAGTTTTAGTTATATAGATTTTAATAAGATACTACTTTCTATATAATTTATCAGGTACTTTAGGCATTTTAATTTGCAAATTTAGGACAATTTGCTTTAACGTTTCTTCACTTTTGTCCATTGGATGTAATTTCC
Organism: Homo sapiens; assembly: GCF_000001405.40. Lineage (NCBI taxonomy): Eukaryota > Metazoa > Chordata > Mammalia > Primates > Hominidae > Homo > Homo sapiens. The sequence continues at coordinate 144,305,805 of NC_000001.11, read as the reverse complement.
ATAAAGTATTCATTTCCCTGAGTAAAAACCGAAACCAAACCGGCAACTAATGGTCACTGAAGAAAGAGTGATTAAATGCTAAGATTATAATGGTATTTGCATTTTAATGTTACCAGCTCTCTACAGTGTAAAGTTTATGCATTTATCTATTGCTTATGTTTCTCATTGCATTCTTTGGCCTACTGGTTTTGGTTGTTTATAGCTATAGAATATAGAATTCCTTATGGTTATCCATTTCTCCTTTTAAGTAGAGTGATAGTTGTTAGAAGAAAAATAACCCCCCAATACTTTCTTCTAGTGTTAATTCTTAAAGTGTGATTGACTTTTATTTACTTTTTGGTGCAGTAATTGCAGTTCATGAGTCAATGTTGATGTCATATAAACCTTAATTTTTAATGTTTCATTGTAGTGATGTCTCTGTAGCAGCAAACATTTAAGTTATTTGTTATACTTAAATGTTTAAATCACTGTTAGTGATTAGCTTATTTTGCCTTCCTTGAAGCAATTTGTCCTAAATTTCCATATGTTTGCATTTGTTTTTGCTGTTCTAAAATTCCTTAGTTGCTGGCTTTGACCTTTTATGTTGCTGAGTTTTACACATCTATTTTCTCAACTGCCATATCCTAGGAGGCTTGGAGTACCCATAATACAGTGAGCCCACCTTCCTGATCCCCAGACATTTCAGGAGGTCGGGAAATTTTTAAACCCAGGCAGCTTCCTGGCAGTGCCATTTGGAGCATCAAAGTGGTAAATAAAATTGCATTTACATTCATATATCATTTCTGTCTGATTTGTTTTGCCCTACTGGGTGTAAAGAATTAAATCTTTCTTTTCTAGATTGAGCTTCCAGAAACACTTTTTAAATCTAAAAATTTTAATGTAAAGAAATAATATGCTTGCATTTAAAAATCAATATACATTTTTAATACCTCTTTTTATGGTTAATTCCTTTTGTTGTGATTACTACCGGTTTTATGAGGGAGAAGTCCTTGACATGTAGACCAAAAGGTAATTAAGGACCTTTTCATTCATGATATCATAAAACTTTGTTGCTTAGAAAAAAGCAAAAGAAAAAACTCCATTAATTTATTATGTTCTTATGGAGAAGAAATACCAAAATTGTGGCAGATTTCATTGTCTGTTTAATACCTTAAAATGACAAGGCTTTTTTCCCCATGACATTGGTTGATGGCTGTGCCAGTCCTTGAAGTGAGTTAAGTAGTGTGATGCATTTTGAAGAGAAAAAAATTAATTTGAAAAAGTATTAACTCAAAAGTTAAAATACTTCATTGACTGGAGATGACAGTTTTTCTTCATATTCTATATTTAATATTCTGGAATATGGCTGTTTAATTCAGACTAATCAAGGATTTTAAGGAATTCTAGATTATACTTTATTTTCTTTCATGACTGGAAGAACTATTTTTTTTTAACCTCCCTACCTCCCCCTGATATCATCCAAGATATTGAGGTATAAATATACCTCATTTGACAGTTTGATAATATAGACCACCAATTTTTACTTACCTTTTTTCTGGGTCAGCATTTCATGTTTGAGAAAATAAATTGAGAGATTACTGTAGTCTTGATTTTTAATCACTGACTTAATTTTTCAAAAATCTTTTATACCAGTTTAATAACAAAACAAACTCGGCCGGGCGCAGTGGCTCACGCCTGTAATCCCAGCACTTTGGGAGGCTGAGGGGGCAGATCACCGGAGGTCAGGAGTTCGAGGCCAACCTGGCCAAAGTGGTGAAACCCCGTCTCTACTAAAAATACAAAGAGATTTAGCCGTGCGTGGTGGCATGTGCCTGTAATCCCAGCTGCTAGGGAGGCTGAGGCAGGAGAATTGCTTGAACCCAGGAGATGGAGGTTGCAGTGAGCCAAGATCACATCATTGCACTCCAGCCTGGGCAAAGAAGCGAGACTCCATCTCAAAAACAAACAAACAAACAAAAAACCCAAAAAACTAACCTGACCCCATCTATCTGTTGTGCAAAGAAGCTGATGCACTTCTCAAAAGGGATCTCAAGGAGAGCAGGGTAAGAGAAGACAGGAGTGGCAGTTTGAAACTGGGAGCTGGCTGTATTTATTACATCCAAAGGGAAAAAAGCCATTCCTCCCATTCCTTTTGTTCATGTGTTTCTATTTTATGCTTACAGTATCATCATAAATTTTTGACTTGGAAACCATTCTGCTAAATAGGGAATCAGTTTATTTCAAACTATGATAAGGGACATCAGTTGAAGATATGACATATTATTTAACTTATGGTGAGGGAAACACCTAAGTATTTTCCTGAGCATCTGGATAATTTTAAATACACATAATTCATCTACTTAGGTAGGTGCCAGGTTTTTTCAAGGAGTAATTAATTAGTACGAACAAGGGTGAGGGGGCAGGGAACACCATACTCTGGTACTTAATGTCTGAAATTATCAGGGAATTTAACACATTTTCCCATAGGTTTATTTCTTGTGTAAGAAGTCAGATAAATTATTTCCATTTCAAGTATTTATTATTCAGATTATTTAAAGCAAAGCTTTCACAAAGCCTTTTGTCAGCTTTCCTGTAATCCTCAAATAATTTTTCCTGGCTGGACGCTTTGGCTTACTCCTGTAATCCTGGCACTTTGGGAGGCAGAAGCAGGAGGATCACTTGAGCCCAAGAGTTCTAGGCTGCAGTGAGCTGTGATCACACCACTGCACTCCAACCTGAGTGACGGATCAAGTTCTTGTCTCAAAAATAAAAGTAATAACAATAATAATAAATTTTCCTCTAAATACAATGGTGAATGAGGTAGAAATGTTGAGTTCATAAGAGAACTGTTGAATAGTGAAGGAAACTGACTTAATTTTAATGACAGGAAGAATACTGTTACACACTAGCAAAAATAAACTTTCATGCTGATGTAGCAGTACAGAATATGCTTCCAACCCAGGGACGCTGGAGCCAGGCTTGCTAGCTAAGCGACCTTGGACAAGTTACTTAACCATTTTATTCCTCAGCACACTCATCTCAAACGAGGATAATAAAACCTACTATATGGGATTGTTGAGAGTAAAAAATACTTAGATTAGTACATAGTAAGTACTCAATAGATGTTAGCTATTACTGTAATCACCGCGAGACCAGTTAATGAGAGAGTTCTTCCTTATCCTTACTCTATATTGAATACAATTTGTTGCACTTCGAAATATCTGGATAAGGCTATAGTTGTTGTCGTCACCGAGAATGTAGGAGTGGCAAAGAGAAAAATCATGCAAAGGCTTGCTGATAGCGTTCACAGTGACAGCCCGAAAGTATGATTCTAAGGTTGTAAGCATTTTATATTTAGAATTTTAAGTTGTGGAATATACTTTTAAAGATAAAAATAATAAGCCAGGTCTCTTAATACTTATCTAAAGAAGTGTTTGTATAACATTTAATAAAATGTTTTATCTCAGTGGCATTTGGATTTAAAAATTATTTTGGGCTGTCACAGAATGTTGACTTTTCCTAATCTGTTACATAGGGCCATGGGTCTGGATTTCCAGGAAAGCGGAGACCTCGAGGTGCAGGACTGTCGGGGCGAGGTGGCCGAGGCAGGTCAAAGCTGAAAAGTGGAATCGGAGCTGTTGTATTGCCTGGGGTGAGGCTTGCTTCATGTATATTTTCTCTAATCTAAATGTCAGTTAATGATGAAAATCTCATAGCAAGTTATTTTGAACTTAAAAATCATATAAATAGGTCAAAATGTTTATTTTACTGTCCTACTTTGCTTTTTTTTTTTTTTTGAGCCTCTGGTTACGTTTTCTTGTATATTTACTTTCTCATCCTTTCTCTTTTCTTACCTTCCTCTTTGACTCCTTATCTTTCTATGCCAACCCTCTCTAAAAAGTCAGTATGTAATATAGTTGCTCTTTTATTTAAAAAATTTTAAGATTGATATTTGCTTACTATCATGTTACGAGGCTTTATTTATATGTGTATTACAAATATATTTGTTAACTACTAGCAAATATTTTATGTAATAACTTCGCTATTTTATTAAAATCCTGTTTTTAAAATTCTGAAATGTCATTTTAAGTATAGGAGACAGGTGAAATTGTTCAAGTTTACTACTAAACCAGGAATAAGGAAGCTTAGATTCTTGTCCTTTTTTCAAAAAGAAAAATTTTAAAACCAGGCTTATTGAGGTATAGTTGATATAAGCTATATTTGACATGTACAATTCCATAAGCTTTGATATATACATATACACCCTTGAAAACGATACCACAATCATGATAGTGAATATATTCATCTCCCAACGTTTCTTCATGTCCCTCTGTAATTTTCTGCATTCCCCCTGCCATCCGTCCTTGTCCCCAAGATTAGTTTGCATTTTCTAGAGTTGTATATAAGTGGAATCATACAGAACTGTGTGCTTTTTGGACTGATTTATTTCAGCACAATTATTTGGAGATTAATCTATGCTGTTGTACTTGTTAACAGTGTACTTCCTTTTCTTGCTGAATATTAATAAAACTGTGGATGCACCACGGTTGTAGACCTGTGCACTTTTTTTCTTCTTTTTTTTTTTTTTTTTTTTTCTGAGACAGGTTCTCGTTCTAATTCCTGGCTGGAGTGCAGTGGTGCGATCATAGCTAACTCCAGCTTTGACCTCCCACCTCTGTCTCACAAGTAGCTGGGACCATAGCTGTGTGCCAACACACCCAACTACTTTTTTAAAATTTTTAATAGAGACAGCATCTCACTATGTTGTCCAGGCTGGTCTCGAACATCTGAGCTCAAGCAATTTTCCCACCTTGGCTTCCCAAAATGCTGGGATTACAGGCGTGAGTCACCATGCCCCAGCCTGTAGTCTTAATTTCTTGTAATGTCTTCATCTGGTTTTGGTATCAGCATAACTCCAGCTTCATAGAATGAATCAGAAAGTATATTCTCATCTTCAGTTTTCTGGAAAAGTTGTGTAGTAGTGGAAATGTATCTTCTTATATTATACATGAATTTATTAGTGAAACCATCTTGGCCTGAAATTTTCTTTGTGGGGGGTTTTTGTTGTGTTTTCTTTTTTTTTTTCTTTCTTTTGAGATGGAGTTTCGCTCTTGTTGCCTAGGCTGGAGTGCAATGGCACAATCTCAGCTCATGCAACCACTGCCTCCCAGGTTCAAGTGATTCCCCTGCCTCAGCCCCCTGGATAGCTGGGATTACATGTGCCTGCCACCATGCCTGGCTAATTTTTTTTTTTTTTTTTTTTGTATTTTTAGTAGAGACAGTTTTTCACCATGTTGGCCAGGCTGGTCTCGAACTCCTGACCTCATGTGATCCACCTGCCTTGGCCTCCCAAAGTGTTGGGATTACAGGCATGAGCCACCATGCCCAGGCTGGAGTGCAGTGGCGTGATCTCTGCTCACTACAGCCTCCACCTCCCAGGTTCAAGCAATTCTCCTGCCTCAGCCTTCTGAGTAGCTGGGATTACTGGCATGCACCAACATGCCTAGCTAATTTTTGTGTTTTGGGTAGAGATGGGGTTTCGCCATGTTGGCCAGGCTGGTCTCGAACTCCTGACCTCAGGTGATCCATCTCCCAAAGTGCTAGGATTATGGGATGAGCCACTGGTGCCCAGCCTGTGGGACAGTTTTTAACAACAAATTTTATTTCTTTAATAGGTACCTATTTAGGTTATCTGTCTCTCCTTGCATAAATTTGCACCTTTCAAGAAATTTGTTCATTTTGTCTATCTTGACAAATTAAAGGAATGGAGTTGATCATAATGTTTCTTATTATTTTAATACCTGTAGAATCTGTAGTGATTTCACCTTCCTCATTCTTGATACTAATAATTTGTATCTTGTCTTATTTTTTTCCTGATCAGTCTGGCTAGAGATTTATCAATCTTATTGATCTTCTTGAGTCAGCCTTTGTTTTCATGGACTTTTCTCTATTTTCTTTCCCCTTTCTGTTTTATTGATTTATATTCTCATCTTTATTTTTTCCTATCTTCTCACTTTGAGTTTAGTTTGATCTTCTTTTTTTGTTTACTCTTACGTGTCCCTGCTTGGAAGGGACACTTGTGAAGTTTAGGTCAGAGCTTTCTATTCTCCTTGGCTTATATCTGTGGTCTAGGAAAATGAAATTTCTATCACCTTCTGGATAAATCACACTATTATCTATGCAGGCAACAATAGCACATATTTTCTCAAAGATTACCTTTGCCCTCAAGTTAGGTTTTATTTTTCTAGCAGTCTAAAGGTCATGAAATAAATTATAAAATAAAAACAGTGGGTCTTCAAGCTAGAGGATACTGTTTTCTTTCTTGCATGGACAATTATTTTAAAATATTTTGGTTTTTCTGCACTTATTATTTAAATATGACTCCCCACCCCCACTTGAATCTAGGGACATTGTAGTTTTCTACTGCAGACTTTGTTTCTGGTTTATACTGGGAATATATTGTTTATCATTTTCAGTGAAAGCATCCACTGGTTAAATTTCCTTTTAAAAATAATAATGGATCTTTACAATTTCTTTGAGCTGCTCAGTGTGTATAATGTGTTGAATTTTCTGTTAGTGGTTGGGAGGTAGAAATAGATACTTTATCTCTATTTTAGCCATTTCCATAATTATATATCTCAATAACCTTGTCAATGCATCATTAGTCCTATGACTGAATTAATGATTACTTTTAGTAGTCACTTAGTTTCTTACTGGTGATGATGATTCTACTTTTGTGAATCATCTTGGATGATTCTCTAAAATCTTAGAAAGCTAATTTTGTTAATGCTATGCATACAACACATCAATACATTTTCTCTATTAAAAAAATTAAAGCGTTATAGGTAGATCAGAATTTACCATTACTAACTCCTCAAGTCCTCCTTATTTCCCTGTTACCAGTTTGGTATATTTATATATTAGGTTGATCCATATGAAATTGCCAATATTATTTCTGAACTGATGAAAAGCAGCAATTTCTTATGATTCAACCTATTATATGTGCCCATAGACTACATATAATGACTTTGCATGTTTTTATATTATAGTGCTATACCTCAAATACTGTTCTGCAATTTATTTTTTCATCAACAACGTCTTTTGATAATTTCTTTCATGGCAGTCTATACAAGTTTCTACCTCCCTACTTTTAAAATGTTGCGTAATTTTCTAATGTTTGGATTTGTCATGGCTTTACTTACTCCCTAATGATGAATATTGGCATTATTAACACTTGTAGTCATTAGGGTTCATATGAATATAAATTGCTCTTATAAAGCATTAGTACTATCCATTAAAACTGCTTTTAGGCTGGGCACGGTGGCTCATGCCTGTAATCCCAGCACTTCGGGAGGCCGAGGTGGGTGGATCGTGAGGTCTGGAGATCGAGACCATCCTGGCTAACATGGTGAAGCCCCATCTCTACTAAAAATACAAAAAATTAGCTGGGCATGGTGGCAGGCGCCTGTAGTCCCAGCTACTCGGGAGGCTGAGGCAGGAGAATGCCGTGAAGACAGAGCTTGCAGTGAGCTGAGATTGTGCCACTGCACTCCAGCCTGGGTGACATAGCGAGACTCCATCTCAAAAACAAACAAACAAAAAAACAAACAAACAAAAAAAACTGCTTTTAAATGTATTTGTATTGAAAAATACTGAGATATAGTCCTTCTATTTAGTTAACCAACCAACCTTCCTTCCTTCCTCTTTTTTTTTTTTTTTTTTTTTGAGACAGGGTCTCCCTCTGTCACCCAGGCTGGAGTGCAGTGGCGTAATCTTGGCTCACTGTAACCTCTGCCTCCTGGGTTCAAGTGATTCTCCTGCCTCAGCCTCCTGAGTAGCTGAGACTACAGGCGTGTGCCACCACGCTCGGCTGTTTTTTGTATTTTTGGTAGAGACAGGATTTCACCATGTTGCCCAGGCTGGTCTCGAACTCCTGAGCTCAAGCGATCCACACACTTTAGCCTCTCAAAGTGCTAAGATTATAGGCATGAGCCACCACACCCAGCTGGTTAATCTTTCAGTTGTTCCTCAAGAAAAGTAATTCAGTCGTTTTATGTTTTGACCTTGAACATAACCTGTTGTGTTTCAACTCTGTCTTTCCAGGCTTCGGTTGTAAGCTTTTTAAAGAAAGAGGATTGTATTTTATGATTTTGGCAGTGCCCTCCTTGTCTTCTTCTACAACTTCTAGTTCAGAGCTTTATTTTGTTTCATATCACTCTAGAAATTATTAACAAACCAGTGGCTACTTAGTTGATTTAGTCAAATAGAACTAAGTCCAGACTGAACAATATTGGTTGATAATCATTTGGCTGATACTGAAATTTGGATGTTATTCAAAATAATATTCTAAAGCGGTGCTAATAGAAATATAATGAGAACCACATATGCAATTTAAAACTTCCTAGTAGCCACATTAAAAAGTTACAGTGAGCTGGGTGCAGTGGATCATTTGAGGTCAGGAGTTAAGAGACCAGCCTGACCAATATGGTGAAACCCCGTCTCTACTAAAAATACAGAAATTAGCTGGGCATGGTGGTGGACAACTGTAATCCCAGCTACTTGGGAGGCTGAGTCAGGGAGAACAGCTTGAACCAGGAGGCAGAGGTTGCAACGAGCCGAGATCGCGCCATTACACTCCAGCCTGGTCAACAAGAGTGAAACTCCTCTCGAAACAAAATAAAGGTTATAGTGAACAGGCGAAATTAATTTTAATGCCTTCCATTTTGACCGATATATCTAAAATATTACCATTTCAACATGTAATATGTAATTATGTGCTGTATTTTATGTTTGCAGGACATCTCAGTTCAGACTAACTACATTGCAGATCCCAAGTGTGTGTCATTAAAATAGTGATAGATTTGTGGTGTACATACCTATAATATTATCATTTATAGTTTCTTGATTAGAATTCTGCATAATCAAGTCTTACTAAGACAGGTTTATTATATTTTCTCATTACCTCTTGGTCTAAAGGAATTCTACCTCTAAAGAGAGAATGAGTTGAATAATAAAATGTCATGACTCCATTTTGCTGTAGTATCTTAGCATTAATATTTGGAATTGTTATTCTAGACCTTAGCAAAAATATATGTTTTGATTATGAATTTTCTGAAGCTTTCCAGTTAAGTGTAAAACAAGTGAAAAATATAACTTCGTATTTTGTGTATTTTGCTTTTTATAGGTGTCTACTGCAGATATTTCATCAAATAAGGATGATGAAGAAAACTCTGTGCTCGATATGGTTGTGTTGTTTTCTAGCAGTGACAAATTCACTTTGAATCAGGTTTGAACTTGACAATTTACTGTCTTCCTCATTGAATTCCTCCTTGCACATTTCTGCTTTATCTCATATACACAGAAGTGATCCAATATTTAGCTATAGAGCTATATTAGTTAAGAAGGTATTTTTAAAGTAAAATTTGTAGGTTTTTAGCTTAGTCTCCATTTAAAATATGTTCTGTTTTCTTAACTTCAGGATACATGTGTAGTTTGTGGCAGTTTTGGCCAAGGAGCAGAAGGAAGATTACTTGCCTGTTCTCAGTGTGGTCAGTGTTACCATCCATACTGTGTCAGTATTAAGGTAAACATCCTTAAACTGAGTTAACAAATATGTATTGAATTTTTATTTGGTTTTAGTAGTAACATGAGCTCCCAGTTCTCACAATTAAGTATTATGATTATTAAACATATGTGACAGTATTTAAGTACTTTAAATACTGCTTTTAAGGGTTTCCTATCTCAAGAAATTTGCTCCTCTATAAATCTTATATTGTACTAATATCCTGCTTTTGTCTTGAAAAAGTAAAACATAAAAATATATGCATTTAATTTAAAAGACAATTTATACTATTCACAAAGATTTTAGGTTTAGCTGATTCATTTTGTCTGTTGACTTATAAAGCTGAGAACTGGAGTATTTAGTAAAAAATTATTATCCCATTCTGTTCTTTCCCACATTCTGTCTCCTCTGTGCTCACTCATATACAAAATGACATTTTCTCCTTATAGCCAAAAGAAAGAAAACAAGTGTCATATTTAATGCAATCGGTAATAATCGAGAGTCAGCACTGCTCACTTTCAAGCATTTCAGGATAGAGGCTTTCTGGGGAACCTTTTAAGTGGTATCGTGTGCTTGGTTTTAAATATGGACAGGTCTCAATACTTCACTAGTTGTATCTAAGGTTCTTGGTTTTTTCTTTTTAAGAACTCAGTCTTAATAAAACTTACATATTTGAATAAAGTGTCATGGCCACTGGAAGCAAGCATGGAGGTATAGCTGTACAGCAGAGGTCTTAAACTGTATACTCCACAAGGAAATCTTTTCTAGTATTGCCATACCATGTAATATAAATACTAACCTCAGTTTCAATAATAGGTTGTGAACCATGAGTGATTTTTATGCCATTCTCCCCTGCCCTTCAGACATCACTGTGTTATATCATTGTCAGTAAAATGTCAGTATAGTAAGCAAATCAACATTATCTCCTTCAGAATTCTTTGTTGATAACTACACTAGTATTTATTTTATAGGGTAATACAGGTTTTTGTGAATTTAGGAATCAAAATGAAAGATTGTAATTAATACTATCCAAAATAGAAGACTAGTACGGTTAATTTCTGTAGTTTTTTAAAATTAGTTGCTCATGCTATGTGACTGAAAAACACAGAGTATATAAAGCCAATTAAAAATGGAGTTATATATGCATAAAACATGTTTCTTTTCTTCTTTGTACTTTATATTCTGTATAAAAGTAGCTGCTATCATTAGATTTTGTTTTTTAGAATGCTTAATGTTTTGGACCTAAGGAAATTGAATAAGATCCCTTTCAAGATAGTAATGTATTTCTTTTAACCCATCCAACAATTACCGAATTCCCATTTTACAGATGAGTACGACTTACATAAGTTAAGATTGGACAATTAGTGCACTATCAGACACCTAGTTATTCCTGTTTTTAAAAATTATGTGTGGTTCCTTTTACATGACACTGTTTTGGACAGTATAGAATACTGCAGTCTCATTGAGAAATACAGCAGTATCTAGAAATATACTAGGGATATATGAATTGGCTCAGCTTGCATTTTTATTGCAGGAGGCAATTGTTTGTGGATAAGTTTGATACCTTTGAAGCTTCTTTTTAAGCTTGCTGGGGCAAGTCTAGAAAGCCTTCACTCTAAGGTGGATATTTTCAAACTTTATGGTTTTAGAACCTTAACACTCTTTAAAATTACTGGGGACGCCATAGTTTTTGTTCATGAGGATTTTAACTATGGACTATTCAGCATTTTAGAAATTAAAACTAGGAACATTTTGTAACACAAGACTACAGAAGCACAACCTGTACAATGTCAATGTAATATTATGATACAACATGTAGCTTCTATAAACACCACTGTATAATTGTGAATAAATTAAAGTGAAAAAAGGCAAATTAAATCTTAGTATTATTTAAACTTGTTTTAACTTTACAGACCCACTGGGGTTCCCTAGTCCACATTTTGGTAGCTGCAGTCCTAGCATTAGTTTAACCCTATACTTAAGACTTGGCCTTTCTGGGATCACTACTGAATTCTACCCCCTGTTCACCAGTGTCTTTGTACTCTGACTGGTTGTGCTTCACTTGTCTTTGAGCCTTTTGCAAGCTCTGGTAATTGTGCAGCTTACACATTCCCAGTAGATGTACTTTCCCCTGGTTGTGGGTCTTTGGGCTTCTAGAAGTACGGCTTGGTGTTCCACCAAAGACTTCAGGGGATCCTTTGTAGATTTCTGGAGCTCTTAGTCCTTATTGCTTCTTCATTTTGAGTACTGTGTCCTGCAAATTCCACTGCCTCGCCTCCCCTAACCTCAGCGAGGCCATTGATTGTACTCTGCTGAGGTTCTCCCTCCCTGGGCAGCATTCTGGAAAATGTTTCTAGGCAGAATATCATAGGACTCCCTGAGTGTTTCCTTCCTCTCAGAGACCACTGTCTCCTTTACTATGTGTTGTCCAATATCTGAAAACAGTTGTTTCATACACTTTGTCCAATTTTCTACTATCTTATGGGAAAACAGGCTGGTCCCATATACTCCATTATCGTTGAAGCATGTATCCGTATTAGATTATAAAACATATCTGTAACAACTTTGGACATGGTACCATGGATGGAATCCTGGATGACATCTTATTTGAAAAAACTTTTAAAACTAAGGCTAAACTGGTTCAATGGAAGAAAAAAATGATAGTACAACCCCAGTACCTAAGTTAAAAGGAAATTTCAAAGACAGAGAAATTGTTGAAGTGTTGAAGTACTAGAAGTCAAGAAACACAAACACTAATGTTTCCATTAGATTTGAGAATAAGAAGGTCTTGACAAGCCTGGCTTAAGCAGTTATGAGTGGATGTGGGTGTAGAGACCAGACTGTAGTGTTTTGAAGAGTGAATATAAGTGGAGAAACTTGAGAGTTTGGTTGTAAAAGGGACCACAGGTATCTGTGAAGAAAACTTAGTAGGAATGAAGATAAATATTTTAAAAATTCTGCCACTAAACACCTCAGATCTGTCTGCCACTTTGTCTTCAGGTCATTGTTTAAGCCAGGGTCAGGCAGACTGGCCCATAGACTAAATCTGGCCCATTTCCTGTGTTTGCAAATAAACTTTTATTGAAATATGGCCAAGTTCTTTTGTTTACATATATTTGTAGCGGTTTTTGCATTACACTGGCAGAGTTTTTATAAAGTTGCAACAGATCATATGGCCCTCAAAACTTTCTGTTTACTCTCTGGCCCTTTATTGGAAATGTTTGCTGGCTACTGCTCTAAGCCACCCTGATCTTACCCCAGGCCATTTCCTTCATTTGGGCAAATAATATACTAACTTGGTAATCTAAGACAAATTCTTAAAAATCAATAAGCTAATCAAAATAATAAATATACATGTTTAAAAATCAAATGACATTAAAAGCCTCGTAATGGGCCAGGTGTGGTGCCTCACACCTGTCATCCCAGCACTTTGGGAGGCCGAGGTGGGTGGATCACTTGAGGGCAGGAGTTCAAGCCAGCCTGGCCAACACAGTAAAACCCCATCTCTACTAAAAATACAAAAATTAGCCGAGTGTGGTGGCTCATTCCTCTAGTCCTAGCTACTCAGGAGGCTGAGCCAGGAGAATTATTTGAACATGGGAGCCGGAGGTTGCAGTGAGCTGAGATCACACCACTGCACTCCAGCCCAGGCAACAGAGCAAGACTCCATCTCAAAAAAAAAAAAAAAAAAAAAAGGCCTTGTAATGAGCAACCAACTCTTGTCTTACTCTACGTCCACATCTGAGGGAATCACTTTTAATCTTTTCAGGTCTTTTTTCTTGTGGTTAATGCTATAGCTCTAAATAATCAACTGGTTTACTGCTTTATCAATGCTAGATTTTGTTGACTTTCTGCTGTGAATAAATAAATTCTGATTTAGGTCTTAAAATACACCTCCTTCCTTCTCCCAATATAGTTGTATTACTATGTTTAGTTCAATTAATAAGGTGTTGGTTATGACTCAGTAAATGTTCACTGCAGATCTAAACAGTATACTATGAGTTTCTTTTGTCTTTCATGGAGTTTTTAATAACAAGAAAGTAATAGTGACTCTCCATTCGTACTTTGTTTTTGCCTACTATAGAACTATCATATAAGATTATTTTTTAAAGTACTGTTTTTTTCTGGGAGAAGTCCTACCCTCTTTCTAGACATTCCCTTCTCCTGCTCTGATATGTGCCAGTGGCTTCTGGGTGTGTTGTTCTCATCCTTAAACTTCCCTGGCCTGATGTCCTTTGTCGGATCTGTTGATTTATAGATCCCAAGTCTTCCTTTTCTTTGTAATACATCCTCATTCTGTTCTGCATATCTCTAAGTAACTTTATTAGAAGGAGAATGAAGGAGCTGAATTTTGAGTCTTCCTGTGTCTACAACGTATTCTGTCTTCACACATAGTTGCTTGTGTAGCTAGGTTGAGAATTGTACTTTGAAAAGTATTTTCCTGTAGAATTGGAAGATTATACTCTTCTAGCATCTGGAGTTGGGAAGTTTTGTGCCATTCTGATGGGTGTTCCTTTGAATTTAACTCTTTTATTTTCTTCTCTGGTAGCTTTTAGGCTTTCTTGTACCTCATGATCTGAATTTTTATTCTGTACCCTCATTACTTGCTGTTTCATTATAATGTGGGCACTTGATTGGTTCTGTCTGAGGATCCTAGTCTTTTGAGATCTTTAAGAAGTTCCGCAATCTTAATATTACATGGTGTGGCTTCCTTCAGGAGTTTGTTAGGGATTTGGAAATTCCCAAATATTCTGCTAACTTATACCCTTGAGAGAGGGGAGAATAAACAGAGGAGTGAATGTGAACTTCAGAATTCCTAGCTTCATAGTCTAAATAGAAATCTTCTAAGATCATAAAATGTCCCTAAGAACTCATGCTTTACATTATTTTTTTTGGTATTTTTTCTATTGATTCTAAGCATGGAAATGTAGATGGAGATTTTGTTGATGTATTTTCAAATTATGTATCAATAATAGTGAAGCTTACTTGATTTCTTTAAAATCTGGTCACTATATCTATAAATACAGTGGACATTAAATGTACAGCATAAGGTAATTATGTGGACTTTAAAAAGGCATTAAAATATGTGCCATTTTCTATTATTCTGCTCAGTAGCCTCCTAAAAGCGTGTATGAACATGCCCAACCCAGTATTGGGCCTCCGTAGGCGCTCAATAAATGTTAGTTGATTGCCCCTTTCTGCTTCTAGGTACATAAGCACCATATTAATTTATATAGTATATTTGATTATGTTAGGTTAATGCATAAATCACATGGATTGGTTGTTTCTTTTACAGATCACTAAAGTGGTTCTTAGCAAAGGTTGGAGGTGTCTTGAGTGCACTGTGTGTGAGGCCTGTGGGAAGGCAACTGACCCAGGAAGATTCCTGCTGTGTGATGATTGTGACATAAGTTATCACACCTACTGCCTAGACCCTCCATTGCAGACAGTTCCCAAAGGAGACTGGAAGTGCAAATGGTTCTCTAGGGTTTGTTTGCCTTGTTAGTCTTTCAAGTTCAGAGCTTTCTCATACCACTTTAGTTTTTAAAAATTAGCCATACCTATTTAATTGAATAATACACATATTCTATGATAGATACCACTAATCAGAAAAATTTTCACATACACATTAAATCATTTGCCCCATTATGTTCGTATGTAGCTTCCTGAATTACAGTAACTGAATAACTAAGAAAATAAAATTGAGACTTTTCGGGGGGATTTGGATTTCAGGTGTGTTTGGTGCAGACACTGTGGAGCAACATCTGCAGGTCTAAGATGTGAATGGCAGAACAATTACACACAGTGCGCTCCTTGTGCAAGTTTATCTTCCTGTCCAGTCTGCTATTGAAACTATAGAGAAGAAGATCTTATTCTGCAATGAAGACAATGTGATAGGTATTGTGCTATTTTTTCATCTTTTTAAAGCTTTTCTCTTTGAAATGTAGCAAAAAAAAAAAAAAAGGAAAATAGCTTTTCCTTAATCACAAGTTTTAGGTACAGAGCTTTTTGCCTTGTAGATTTTTAGTCACCTAGAAACTTACAGAATTGATTTCCTGTTTTGAACTCTCAACTCCAGACTAAAGTTTTGTTTTGTTTTGTTTTGTTTTGTTTTGTTTTTAAATTTACAGACAGAGTCTTGCTCTGTCGCCAGGCTGGAGTGCATCGGCGCTATCTCGGCTCACTGCAAACTCCACCTCCGCCTCCTGGGTTCAAGCGATTCTCCTGCCTCAGCCTCCGGAGTAGCAGGGACTACAGGTGCATGCCACCACGCCCAGCTAATTTTTGTATTTTTAGTAGAGACAGGGTTTCACCATGTTGGCCAGGATGGTCTCCATCTTTTGACCTTGTGATCCACCCGCCTCAGCCTCCCAAAGTTTTATGATTATAGGTGTGAGCCACTGTGTCCACCCAAGACTGAAGATTTTTAATTTAGGCCTTTTTGAGGGTTTAGGAATCCCTTGAAATTAGATGGAGAATTATTGCCTTCATCTATGCTGTTTCTTATGAAGGGTTTCTGAATCTTTTAATAGATTATAAAAAATATCTAACACTTTCTGTTCTCCTTAAACCACTTTCTCTTAAAGCTCTAGATACTAGATATCTAGGTATTAGATAGCACCTTCTGCCCTCCCTACGTAATTATGTGGAATTTCAAAATCAAGAATGTTTCCTTGCTTTCATTGGTATATTGTTGTACTCTTTAGAAGTTAAGCAGTGAACATATATTGATAGTATTATTTTATCAGTAGTACAGTATTCTTGGGACTCTGGCTACTAATTATCTGTTCCATTGCAAGACAACTTTTTACTTTATTTCCCAATTACCATTCAACATCGCTTTCCATGATATATGTCTACTTCAAGTTAGATGCATTGCCTGGAGCCCATATATGCTAGCACTGCCATTTGCCGTTTTCTGAATACCTTTGTGTTTGCCCTAACTAGCTTCCTTGCTGTCTTTGAAATATTTAATATATGATGATAAAATAATTAGCTTCCTTATGTAATGTGCTTTGCTTCCTCTCTAATAGTTGTTCTCATTCCTTTTTATTTCCTCCTTAGCTCTATGAAAGTTTTTCTGTTAATAGGGATAGTTAGGAGAAAAGGGCAAGGTAGGAGGAGCATGTGAGGCTTAGGGCTTTTAAGTTTGATGACTCAGTGTTACAGGTTTTAAAAGGTAGCAGTTCTCAGTATATTCCATTTTTTTAAAAAAATGTACAAATATGGTCTTTTTAGATGGATGCATGCAGTTCGTCAGAACTTAAATACTGAGGAAGAAGTGGAAAATGTAGCAGACATTGGTTTTGATTGTAACATGTGCAGACCCTATATGCCTGCGTCTAATGGTAAGAGAATAATTTAAACTGTGAGTCTGCACTCTTGTACCACTCACTTGCACCTTACTGTCCATAACCAATGAATTAGCTTAGCTCTACTCTATTTTGTCTTTGTGAAACTTACTTTGACAAGTATTTTATGAAAAATATTATTGTTGGTTATACATGACTTATCACAACTTGTTATAAAACAATTTACATGAAACAATAAAAAGCATATACTTTAGATGTAAACTATAATTTTGCTTCCAAGGAACATGATCTTGTAGTTATTGACAATATGTTAAAATCCAATGTGTTGATTCTTTCTTAGCCAGGTTTTCCTCCATGACTTGAGTATTTCCTTCATCACTTCTTGTTTTGTTGTTGCTTTAAAAAGTGCTTTTAACTTTAGTGTTCAAACATTTATTTTAATAAAATGAGTATAGAAACAGAAATTTTAATCATATGTAAGTATGTAAATACACTCTACCTTTTCTGAAAAGAATTACCTGGATTTTTTTTTTTTTCATTTCAGTGCCTTCCTCAGACTGCTGTGGATCTTCACTTGTAGCACAAATTGTCACAAAAGTAAAAGAGCTAGTTAAAATTTGAAATGCTTTACTTAATTTAATTAATTTACTTTGCTTAATTTTTACATAATTGGCTTACCACTTGTAAAATCTGCTTCAATCATATGGGTGTTCTATCCAAATTCTGTAATGTTGGTAATCATTTCCACAATGATATATAAAATGTCATCCAGCTTTACTGGGGCAGTATTCCTATAAATTTCAGCAAGTTGGCAACAAAAATAACAGCTCTTAGAATAACCATTAATGCCATACTTGCTTTGGTTTCATTGATATATTACTGTGCTTAATTATCAGTTAGCAGAAAATACGGCCTAGTTAGCAAGCAGATTTCTTTTAGAATTAATTCAATCTCTTAATTTTTTAAAATAATTAATAAGCCTAGTATGGTGATTAATATGATATTCTTATTAAACAGTCATTCTTTTGAATACTTGTATTTAATAGCACCTGATACAAAAACATTTGGATAGTACAGAAATTGTTCTAAGGAACAACAGTTTTGTACATTTAAAATTAAATCTGCAGGATTTGTACTTATTTATTACTTCTCCCTATTAGTAATTATGTTGATACTCTGATTTTTCCAGATGAGCTTCTGGAGTATTCTCTCTTCTCTTGTGTAAATAGATCCCTGCCTTTTGATCTTTTCCAGGAAAAAGCTCATAGTGGATTAGCTGAGCATTGCATATATTTGCAGTGCTTCTAACTCTTTTTATTGGGACATGAACATAAAAATGCCAGGAAGACTTTTTTGAGACGGAGTCTCACCCTGTTGCCCAGGCTGGAGTGCAGTGGCACGATCTCGGCTCACTGCAACCTCCGCCTCCCGGGTTCAAGCGATTCTCCTGCCTCAGCCTCACGCACAGCTGGGATTACAGGTGCCCGCCACCACGCCGGGCTAATTTTTTGTATTTTTAGAAGAGACAGGGTTTCACTGTGTTTGCCAGGATGGTCTCGATCTCCTGACCTCGTGATCTGCCTGCCGCCTCGGCCTCCCAGAGTGCTGGGATTACAGGCATGAGCCCCCACAACGGGCCCAGGAAGACCATTTTTTAAAAACATGTAACATTTCTGCCTATAATCCAAGGAAGTTTGACCTATTGTTCCTAGTTTTTATTGGGTATCATGAAATTAATTATTCATGCATTTCATAGATACGTAATTACTTTCTAGAACTACAGTCACATTCCCTTGACATGGGTATTTTGGAACAGTAATCAGTCAAATTTAAAATGAAAGTTTAAATTTGTATTCTTGGGATTTTGTAATTTTAGACCCACCCAAGACTTATACCCAGGATGGTGTGTGTTTGACTGAATCAGGGAAGACTCAGTTACAGAGCCTCACAGTTACAGTTCCAAGAAGAAAACTGTCAAAACCAAAACTGAAATTGAAGATTATAAATCAGAATAGCGTGGCCGTCCTTCAGACCCCTCCAGACATCCAATCAGAACATTCAAGGGATGGTGATATGGATGATAGTCGAGGTAATACTAATTTATTTTCCGTGAAATATGTGTGCAAGAATTACAGCATATAAAGTAACTTTTGAAATATGTGTATGGTTTACCAAAGGGTAAATCACACTGACTTAGATAACCCCGATGTGACCCTTGCCATCTCCAAATGAGTGATCTTCTTAGACCTTGCCTTTTCGGGTTCTCTTCCTTTCACACATTTTAGAACAGACCTACCTTACAGAAATCTCAAGGAGCACCATATCTTTGAAGATCACAGGTGGGGAAATACAGAGGTCTTGACTTTAGTTTGCTAGATAACGACACAAACCTTCTCAGATACTGTGAGCTTGGATAATACCATGTTTAAGTTAAGGTAGTTGAGGCATACATTCTAGAAATGGAAAAGCTGTCATTTAATATTACTTCAGGTATAACTTCATATTCACCAGTGTGCATCATAAAGTATTGGTTTATAAACATTTTCTTAATCAAAGTAAATATAAGGTTTTTCTAGCTGAATTCTTTTTTTTTTTTTTTTTTTTTTTTTTGGTTGGGAGACAGGGTCTTGCTCTGTTGCCCAGGTTAGAGTGCAGTGGCATGATCTTGGCTTACTACAACCTCTGCCTACTGGGTTCATGCGACCCTCCTACCTCAGCCTCCTGAGTAGCTGGGACCATGGATGTGGGCCCCCACGCCTGGCTAATTTTTGTATTTTTTTGTAGAGATGGGGTTTTGCCATTTTGCCAAGAGTGGTCTTGAACTCCTGGGCTCAAGCCATCTGCTCTGCTCAGCCTGCTGAATTCTTGAGATAGCAAAATATTTTAATAGTAACCTAAAATCCAATATGAATTAAAGAGGATTACTGTAGGTTTCCTCATTTTTGGGGCAGTTATTTATTTTCAACTGATTCAGAAGTGAAGTGATAATTATTTCTGTTCCATTACATTTTATTTCATAGCTTTTTTTTTTTTTTTTTTTTTTTAAGGGGCAGTGTCTTGTTACATTGCCCAGGCTGGTTTCCAACTCCTGGGCTCAAGTGATCCTCCTGCCTCAGCCTCTCAAGTAGCAGGTACTATAGGCATGCGCCACTGCAGCCGGCTTTTAGACAATAGAATTTATTGAATACCTACTGTATGTCAGATGTTGGAAATCATACCAGTGTACAAAGCAGGTAGAATTCTCTGCATAGAGTTTATATTTTAATGTTAGGTAACTCAACTCTTAAAAAAAATCAGTTAATTATAATGTGTTTGGCAAGTTCCATGGTAAAAATAAAGTTTGATAAAGAGGAATTGCCTGGCCAGGCACAGTGGCTTATGCCTGTAATCTCAGCACTTTGGGAGGCCGAGGTAGGTAGATCACTTGAGGTCAGGAGTTCGAGACCAGACTGGCCAACATGGTGAAACCCGTTCTCTGCTAAAAATACAAAAATTAGCCGGGCTCAGTGGCATGCACCTCTAATCCCAGCTACTTAGGAGGCCAAGGCAGGAGAATTGCTTGAACCTGGGAGGCGGAGGTTACAGTGAGCCGAGATTGCACCACTGCACTCCAGCGTGGGTAACAGAGCAAGACTCCGTCTCCAAAAAAAAAAAAAAAAAAAAAAAAGGAATTGGAAGTACAGACAGGTGTTTAGGGTCCATATGAACAGAAAGCAGTATTTGAGCACAGATTTTAAAGAGGTGAGTGAGTGAGCCACTTGATTACCTGAGAGAAGAGCACCCCAGACAGTGAAGAAGCCAGTGTAAAGGCTCTGGGTGAGAGTGTGCTGAGCATGTTTGAAGAGTGTTGTGGAGACCAACAGAGTGAGCAGAGGGGACAGTCAGAAGGTGAGAAGATTAGAGATGTGAGGACAAGAAGGACGGCTCAGTATATCTCACACAACCATAAGGTGATGTGTCAGTAGTTTGTGCTTAATAGCAATGGAATGGGAGGCCATTGAATGTTCCTGAAAAGAAGAACACCATGATCTTATTTATATTTTAAGAGGAACACTCTCCTATGATATAAGTAGATGATTAGGTGCAAGAGTTATGACAGGTAGATCAGTGAGAAACAATGGTCCAGGTGAGAGGTAATTGTGGCTTTGAAAAGGTATGTCTTTTGTGGCCGGGCTCGGTGGCTCATGCCTGTAATCCCAGCACTTTGGGAGGCCAAGGCGGGTGGATCACCTGAGGTCAGGAGATCAAGACCATCCTGGCCAACATGGTGAAACCTCGTCTTTACTAAAAATACAAAAATTAGCTGGGCGTGGTGGCAGGCACCTGTAATCCCAGCTATTTGGGAGGCAGAGGCAGAGGATTGCTTGAACCCAGGAGGCAGAGGTTGCAGTGAGCCAAGATCGAGCCACTGCACTCCAGCCTGGTGACAGAGTGAGACTCCATCTCAAAAAATAAATAAATACATGAAAAGATATGTCTTTTGTATGTTCTTGATAATTTTTGTTTTGTAGTGTGTTTTGGGTCTATGTTGCTGGGAGAAACACTTTCTGATGCTTGTATGTAACTGATTTTCAGATACAGTTGAACAGGTAATTTGATTTGGGGGCTTGGAGTTTGCAAAGAAGTAGTCCATATACTTGGAGGAATTGATCAGATCAGCATTAACAAGAATTTCCATTTCTGAGGATGTTAAAAAATGTCTGAAAAAGGTTTCCATAGTCTCTTAAATTTGGGAAGTGCTCCATTTCACAAAATATGAAAGGTTTCTTGATAATAGTACACATTGTTTCCCAAATTATGTGATTATAATACCTTTTAAAAACAACACAGAAGATCTTGGAAGGTTTTCCTTGTGACTTACCACTTGTAAACACTGAGAAATGGTGATATGTTTCAATTTCATATTTTCTCATTGACTCGTATCATGGTAAAAGAAAATCAGTTGAAAAATTACCCTTGCTTTTTTAAAATTTACGTGATAAAATAGCCCATCTGAATTTACTGAATTTGTCTTTATTTTTATTGAATATGAAAAAAGATTGTTTAGTGTGTTAGATGTTAAATGCTAAGACAATTTTAGAATTTAAGGAATTGAATATACAGTATTTTCATGACTAGTCCCTCACGTTCCTTTACATGCCAGGATCTCACATCCTTTGCAGAAGGAAAGGTACATTCCTAGGGATAAAATAAATGCATGTTACTTGGACAACATTTTTGCTTTCTGTTTGCTAAATAAAAATCCTTTTTAAAAATTTAGTATTGCCAAACTTTGCCATATTAAAAATGTTCTAGATTACTATATTATCCTGAAACTACATGTACACACACACCACTAAAATAAGTTTTATGGTATTTCATATGCCTGTACGGGAGAAAAAATAGGAAAAGAATACAATCATCATAAGTTCTTATTATTACATTATGCTGAGATTTCTAATAACGCTGCCCTTTTCTGGGTATTTTGTATTAAACCTAAAATTTGTGATGTTTTAGACTGTTTCACTAACATGTTTTGATAACGTCTCAGTACCCTTGGGAAAGCATTATAAAGTAGTGGGCAATGATGAAACCTACTCTGGATGTTTTTAGGCAAATTTTTTAACTTCTCTGATTCTAGTGTTCTCTTTTATAAAATAGGTGAACCAGGATGAGCCCATAGGATAGTTGTGCTGATGAGGTGCAAGGATGCATGCCAGGCACCCAGCACTGGCTCTTCCCAGACATGGAGTGCTCAGTAATCGTGAGCTATTAGAATACAGGTGCCCAACCAGTGCTTGAGCAATTGTGTTCTGTGTCCAACAGAACTCAACAGAATCCCACGTTTGTCTTTATATGTGAATTCAGTTCCTTTTGAGTTAGTAAGAAATTTTGCCTGTGTTGGGGTAATTGAACTTTCAGGAGGAGGGAATTGTCTGCCACAATTATTCTCTGAACTTAATGTTTCCATGTCTTTTTCTTCATTTTGGAAGTTGTGGAAAAATTATAATGAAAGAGTATATAAACGTTTTCCTCTGTATTATAGCGTATCTGACAGTTTCCTTTATTAAAAAGTACGATACATTAGGGAGAGACTTAATGAATTTAAAATTAAAGTTTGAAAAGTGTTATTGACTATAAGTGATCTTCAGCTGTGCAGTTTTCAACTTGAGGTTGTCAGAATGTAATATTACACATTATATTACACACATCTACAGAATCCAAATTGTGATGTTCCTGGAGTATTGGAACAATACCTATGACTTTTTGTTTCTATTGATTTTTAACTCTTCTAATAACCACTTCTTTAAGAAAAGTCATACATCATCACTTTGGTGTATCAGAAACAAATTCCTTATGCAATAAAAGCATACTTCTTTCTCATTCACCTACTGGGATCTAGAAACCCTGTTAATGCAAGAAAAAATCCCAAACCTCAATAAAATAACACTCTGTTTGTCTGAAGAGTGGAAACACAACACATTTCCTCTCAACTGGTGGTCCCAGATCGACCATCACAGTGTATGGATGTGTTTGGAGGTGTGGGAATAGGACTGCTCTGAGGCTCTAGAAGGCCAGCAGGTTGGGCAGACTGAATGGAGGGAGGGGACTGGCATTCAGTAACTACTGGAGCGTGGGAAGAGTGAGGTAGACTGTCCATCTGGTGAAGGTGGCTGCTTCCTTGAGGTTTGTTACTTTCTGTAATGTTAATTCCCTCAACTTTTAAAATTTGATTTTTAGACAAGTTATACATTCAAATGATTTAAAATTGGAAAATAATAAAAAGGTAAACAGTGAAGTCTCTCCCTTTCCCCTGCCTTCATGCCCCCAGTTTGCATCTCCAGAAACCTCAGAGGTTTCTCGTGTAACTTTCCAGATGTGTTTTATGCATGTACAAGGAAATGTGTGTTTATATATATATATAGTGTGTGTGTGTGTGTGTATATATATTTTGTTCCTTTTGTCTTACTACTTTTTACTGTCCTTCATTTTTTTATGGCTGCAAATATTCCTTTGTATGGAAATATAAGCAATTTAATTTACCTGTTCTTTCCCCTGTTGATAGACCTTTGGGTTTCTTTCAATCTTTTTTTTTTTTTTTTTTTTTTTTTTTTTGAGACAGAGTCTCACTCTGTCACCCAGGCTGGAGTGCAGTGGCATGATCTTCGCTCACTGCAAGCTCCGCCTCCTGGGTTCACGCCATTCTCCTGCCTCAGCCTCCCGAGTAGCTGGGACTACAGGCACCCGCCACCACGCCCGGCTAATTTTTTTGTATTTTTAGTAGAGACGGGGTTTCACCATGTTAGTCAGGATGGTCTCGATCTCCTGACCTCGTGATCTGCCCGCCTCGGCCTCCCAAAGTGCTGGGATTACAGGCGTGAGCCACCACTCCCGGCGTTCTTTCAATCTTTTACTGTGAATAGTACAATGAATCACCTGGTATATTTATAATGTTGTAGGTAAGTGGGCCTGCAAAGGTGAATTCCATGCTAAATCCAAAGACATAATGCATTTGAAACTGTTTTTGGCAGGTAGGATACAGTTTTTTGTTTTTTTCTTCATTTATTTTTATTATACATATCTGAGGTATACAACATGCTTTGTATACATAGTGAAATGATTACTATGGTCAAACAAATGTCTGTATCCTTCACCTTCCATAGTTACTCTCTGTGTATGTACACCTAAAATCTCTTTCAGCAAATTTTCAGTACACAATATTATTAACTATGGTTCTCATGCTGTGTATTAATTTGATCTCTAGAATTATTCATCTTACCTAACTGCAGATTTGTACCCTCCGACCTACTTCTGCCCATCCCACCCATCCCCTACCTCCAGACTCTTGATAACCACCATTCTACTCTCTATACATTCAGCTTCTCACCCCCCGGCCTCCCATTCTGCTTCTTAAGTGAGATCATACAGTATTTTTCTGTGTCTGGCTTACTTTATTTAGCATACTTTCCTCCCGGTTCATCCATGTTGTCACAAATGGCAGTATCTCCTTTCTTAAAGCTAACTATTCCATTGTATAAAGTCCTCATTGTCATCAGTAAGTTCTTAGAAACTGTGGTTAAGAGGGGAAAAAAAGTATGACAAAACTGATTTTTTTTTTCATTTTGCATTATGCCAAAATTAGATTGAAGGAAACAGTGTTACTTGAGGACCTGCTGTATGTTCATTTAGCTTAACGTCTCAGTTCCCAAGAACCTATTGATGACATTAAGGGAGGACTTAATATATGTATAAACAAATGTCACAATTTCTTTATCCATTCATCTGTCCTTGAATGGGTAAGTAAATTGTCCATTAGGACACTTAGTTTGTTTCCATGTCTTGGCTATTGGGAGTAATGCCGCCATGAACGTGGGAATCCAGATGTCTCTCTCAGATGCTGATTTTATTACCTTTGAATATATGCCCAACAGAGGCATTGTTGGATCTTATGGTAGTTGTATTTTTTTTAAGGAAACTCTATACTGTTTTCAATAATGGCTATACTAATTTACATTCCTATCAACCATGTACAAAGGTTTCATTTTCTACACATCCTCACCAACACTTATGTCTTTGCCTTTTTGTTAATAGTCATTCTAAGAGACACGAGATGATATCTATTGTGGTTTTAATTTTCATTTTCCTCATGATTATGATATTGAGCATCTTTTCATATACCATTTGACCATTTGTGTGACTTTGGAAAAATGGCTATTCAGGTCCTTGCCTATTTTAAAATCCAGTTATTTGGGGATTTTTTTTTTTGCTACTGAGTTGTGTGAGTTCCTTATATGTTTTGGATTTTAACCCCTTATCAGATGTGTGGTTTGCCAATATTTTCCCCTAATCCCTGTGCTACCTTTTTACCCCATTTTTTTTTATTGCTATGCAGAAGCTTATTTGCTTGATGTGGTCCCACTTGCTTATTTTTGCTTTTGCTGCCTGAGCTTTTGGTGTGATATCCAAAAAATCATTGTCAAGGAGGATATTAAGGAGTTTTTCTCCTATATTTCCTTCTAGGAGTTTTATGGTTTCAGGTGTTAGGTATTTAATCTATTTGAGTTGCTTTTTATGTATGATGTGTAAGATAGGCATCAGGTCCAGTTTCATTCTTTTGCATATAGATATCTAGTTTTCTTACCACTACTTATTGAAGACACCATCTTTTCCCTATTGTATCTTATTGGACTTGTCAAAAATCAGCTCATAATATATGTTTGGGTTTATTTTTGGGCTCTGTATTCAGTTCCATTGATCCATGTGTCTGCTTTTATGCCAGTACCATACGTTTTGATAACTATCACTTTGTAATATAAGTTGAAATCAGGTAGTGTGATACCTTCTACTTTGTTTTTCTTTCTCAAGATTCTTTTGGCTATTCAGGGTCTTTTATGATTTAATACAAATTTTAGAATTGTGTTTTCTATTTTTGTAAAAAATGCCTTTGGAAATTTGATAGGGATTGCATTGAATCTGTAGATCACTTTGGATAGTATGGACATTTTAACAATATTCTTCCAATCCACAAACTTGGGGATATCGTTATATTTATTTGTGTCTGTAAGTTTTTTCTGTTTTTTGAGACAGAGTCACGCTCTGTTGCCCAGGCAGAAGTGCAGTGGTGTGATCTCAGCTCACTGCAACTTCCACCGCCTCCTGGGTTCAAGCAATTCTGCTGCCTCAGCCCCCCAAGTAGCTGGGATTACAGGTGCCTGCCACCATGCCCGACTGGCCAATTTTTGTATTTTTAGTAGAGACAGGGTTTCACCATGTTGGCCAGGCTGGTCTTGAACTCCTGACTTCAGGTGATCTACCTGCCTTGGCATCCCAAAGTGCTGGGATTACAGGCGTGAGCCACCATGCCCGGCTGTGTGTCTTCAGTTTACTTTGTCAGTATTTTATAGTGTTTAGTATATAAAGCTTTCACTTCCTTCATTAAATTTGTTTCTCGGTGTTTTATTCTTTTTGATGTTATTTTAAGTGGAAATGTTTTCTTGATTTTTTTTCAGATCATTATTTGTATAAAGAAATGCATCTGATTTTTGTATGTTGATTTTGTATCCTGCTACTTGACTGAATTCATTTATTCTAGTAACTGTGGAATTTTTAGGGGTTTCTACATACAGGATCATGTCATCTGCACACAGGGATAATTTTACCCCCTTTTTTCTGCTGATGCCTTTTATTTCCTTTTCTTATGTGATTGCTCTGGCTAGGACTATGGTGAATATAAGTGTTAAGAGTAGGCATCCTTGCCTTGTAGCAGATATTGAAGAAAAGCTTTCAGTCTTTCCCTGTTTTGTAGGTTTGTTTTTGAATAGGCAATACCTGTGCATGATACAAGAAATACAAAGGTCTTAAAAAGAGTGAACAATGTTAAGTTAGCCTACCTTTTGGCCATCCCTTCCTTGGAAAGAACCAGTGTTTTCTTATAACTTTCCAGAGATTAGTCATCTAGATACAAGTATGTATATATGGGAGAATTTCTCATATTTGGGTGATATGGTCTTTTTCTCTTTTCTTTTCTTTTCTTCCGGTCTGTCTTTCTTTCTGTCCTCGTCTCGTCTCTTCTCTTCTCTTTTCTTCATTTCTTTTGATGGAGTCTTGCTTTGTCATCCAGGCTGGAGTGTAGTGGCGCAATCTCGGCTCACTGCAAGCTCTGCCTCCCAGGTTCACGCCATTCTCTTGCCTCAGCCTCTGGAGTAGCTGGGACTACAGGCACCCACCACCACGCCCAGCTAATTTTTTGTATTTTTGTGTTTTTAGTTCCTCTCCTCTCCAGGAGAGGAACAGGGGCCACAGGGAGCTGATCATGAAACACACTGAGGGTGTTTCATCAGGGAAGTGACAGGAGCATAGTCACATTCAGGAAAGATCACTGCCTCTGGGAAGACAGAGGGTCAGGGCAGAGCCTGGAGGCCAGGAGAGTGCCACCTTCAAACAGGGTGGAGGAGGCACAATTCTGGACAGGGATGTCCATGGCCAGAGGAGTGATCCAGCTCCTAGAAGATGAGGAGAGACCGAAGGTGAGGATGGCTCTTCAGTTTCAGGTTTAGGCACCTGGACAGATGGTCTTGCCTTCTCCAGCGGCAGAAAGCACTGAAGGGGAAAGAGGTTGGGGGAAGGGACTGTGTAGGCTGAGCAGCCTAAGTCTGAGAAGCTGGGCCACTTGCAGGTGTTGGTCCAGGGTGCAAGTGCATTTGGTGAAGGGGGAGACTAGGAAGGGAGGAGAAAGTCTAGTCTGTTACTAGACCTCACCATGCTGCAGGTGTCTGGGCCAGCAGGTCGCAGCCGGAGCTGTGCAGCTGGCTGCTGTCACATCCCTTTCTCTCCCAGCTGCCTTCAGCTGAGCTTAACGCCAGCAGAGGCCGAAACACTTCACAAATGCAACTTGTCAGCTGGGAGGTGCACTCAGAGCTCAGGAACACTGTTTTCCCTCTTTATTGTTTTCCATCATTTTTTTTTTTCAGTCTGGGTTTTGGGCCCCGTCAGTTCCTTTTCTGTTCAACACTGAGCTATGTATCCACCCCTCTCAAGGTTGAAAAAGAGAAAGACTGTAAAAGTGCCCTGCAAAGAAGAGGCTTCCAACTCTCTGGGGGTGGGGGGGGGTGGGGGGCTCTCTTCCTCCTCTTGTCTTCTGGGTTCATTCCAAATTATTCCCCAAAGGAAAAATCACTGAAGGACTGGGGGCGGTGGTGGGGAAAAGGACAGTCTCCCAAGAGGTCAGGTGAAGCCCCAGCCTCAT
This sequence comes from Homo sapiens, assembly GCF_000001405.40. NCBI lineage: Eukaryota > Metazoa > Chordata > Mammalia > Primates > Hominidae > Homo > Homo sapiens. The sequence goes on along the minus strand of NC_000001.11, from coordinate 144,277,226 downwards.
GGTGTTGAGGGAGGGGCTGGGGGAAGCGGGAGCCTGTTCCTAGGAGACACTGTCTACTGGACACCTCATCCTAGAAGGCTTCCCTGAGTTCTGACACTGTTCTAGGAGTAGGAATCATTATCCCACGCTGTGGAGAAGGAAACCAAGGCCGGGTAAAGTAATGTAGGGCCCTTAAAGTTGCAGAGCCAGGAATAAAGTCCGGATTGGGACTCAGGTCTGTGGGCAATCCAAGGCCGTCCCCTTTACACTTCAAATGCTCTTTCCCCCTCCGGAAGCCCTCGCGTCCTCATCCCTACCCCACCTCTTGTTCCCCAAGCGTGGCTAGGGCTAGGGCTCCAGGGCTACACCAAGCACCCTTCGGTCTTCCCGGGAAGAATTTTCCCCGGCCCGGGGCTAGGGTCTGGCGCTGGGGCGCTCCTGGGACCTGCGGGATCACCACTACACTCTGGCGCGCCGAGCGCGGTGAGCTAGGGCGCCAAGGCACAGGTGGGGCTGGAGTCCAGCGCGGAGGCGCGGGGGGCGGGACGCGGGGCCGGGGAGCGGCCAGGGACCGCGGCAGCGCCGCAGTGCCAGCCCGGCGCTGGCGACTGCCTGCCCCAGCCCCTCAGTGGCGGCTTGCTCTCTTCTCTCGCTCCGAACCAGACACAGCCGCTGTCGCTGCCATGTGGCGCGCCGCAGACTCCCGAGAACAGCCCTGGCTGTCAGCGGGCACCAGCCGCTTCCTGTGCCCATCGCGTAGACTGGAGGGGCGCACCACGGCCACCGAGCCAGAGGCGCTTCAGGAAGCAAGAGAAGTCCCCGCGCGCTCCGGGACCCGGCGCAGCTCATGGTGAGCGCCCTCTAGGGCTCGAGGGTCCCTTGGCTGAGGGGGCGCATCCTCGGGGTGCCCGATGGGGCTGCCTGGGGGTCGCAGGGCTGTAGTTGGGATCGCGCACAAACCGACTCTGCGGCCCAGCCCGAAATGCTGCCGCCAAGGAGCAACGGCACCGCGTACCCGGGGCAGTTAGCGCTGTACCAGCAGCTGGCGCAGGGGAATGCCGTGGGGGGCTCGGCGGGGGCACCGCCACTGGGGCCCGTGCAGGTGGTCACCGCCTGCCTGCTGACCCTACTCATCATCTGGACCTTGCTGGGCAACGTGCTGGTGTCCGCAGCCATCGTGCGGAGCCGCCACCTGCGCGCCAAGATGACCAACGTCTTCATCGTGTCTCTACCTGTGTCAGACCTCTTCGTGGCGCTGCTGGTCATGTCCTGGAAGGCAGTCGCCGAGGTGGCCGGTTACTGGCCCTTTGAAGCGTTCTGCGACGTCTGGGTGGCCTTCGACATCATGTGCTCCACCGCCTCCATCCTGAACCTGTGCGTCAGCAGGTCATCAGCGTGGCCCGCTACTGGGCCATCTCCAGGCCCTTCCGCTACGAGCGCAAGATGACCCAGCGCATGGCCTTGGTCATGGTCCGCCCGGCCTGGACCTTGTCCAGCCTCATCTCCTTCATTCCGGTCCAGCTCAACTGGCACAGGGACCAGGCGGTCTCTTGAGGTGGGCTGGACCTGCCAAACAACCTGGCCAACTGGACGCCCTGGGAGGAGGCCGTTTGGGAGCCCGACGTGAGGGCAGAGAACTGTGACTCCAGCCTGAATCGAACCTACGCCATCTCTTCCTCGCTCATCAGCTTCTACATCCCCATGGCCATCATGATCGTGACCTACACGCGCATCTACCGCATCGCCCAGGTGCAGATCCGCAGGATTTCCTCCCTGGAGAGGGCCGCAGAGCACGTGCAGAGCTGCCGGAGCAGCGCAGGCTGCGCGCCCGACACCAGCCTGCGGTTTTCCATCAAGAAGGAGACCGAGGTTCTCAAGACCCTGTCGGTGATCATGGGGGTCTTCGTGTGTTGCTGGCTGCCCTTCTTCATCCTTAACTGCATGGTCCCTTTCTGCAGTGGACACCCCAAAGGCCCTCCGGCCGGCTTCCCCTGCGTCAGTGAGACCACATTCGACGTCTTCATCTGGTTCTGCTGGGCCAACTCCTCACTCAACCCAGTCACTATGCCTTCAACGCCGACTTCCGGAAGGTGTTTGCCCAGCTGCTGGGGTGCAGCCACGTCTGCTCCCGCACGCCGGTGGAGACGGTGAACATCAGCAATGAGCTCATCTCCTACAACCAAGACACGGTCTTCCACAAGGAAATCGCAGCTGCCTACATCCACATGATGCCCAACGCCGTTCCCCCCGGGGACCGGGAGGTGGACAACGATGAGGAGGAGGAGAGTCCTTTCGATCGCATGTCCCAGATCTATCAGACATCCCCAGATGGTGACCCTGTTGCAGAGTCTGTCTGAGAGCTGGACTGCGAGGGGGAGATTTCTTTAGACAAAATAACACCTTTCACCCCAAATGGATTCCATTAAACTGCATTAAGAAACCCCCTCATGGATCTGCATAACCACACAGACATTGACAAGCATGCACACACAAGCAAATACATGGCTTTCCAGTACTGCTCCCTTTATCATGTGTTTCTGTGTAGTAGCTGGTGTGCTTAGAAACCTCACCCCATTGATTGATAGTTCAAAGAATTGGCAGAAGCAGTTGCAATAAACTCAGTCAAATGTACCCAGCCTACCAGAGATGGAACAATGATCCTGTGAGAGAAGAGAGTATGGTGCTGGCTCCTTAAAAAAAAAAAAAAAAAAAAAAAAGATACTTGGTCCTTAAAAAATATGCTCTCCCCTCCCTTTTTAAACAAATGGCTTTTTCAGTCACTTGTTTGTGTTTGAATTGATTTTTAAACAGCAGGTTTTGTGTGTGTGCAGTGATGTGGTGGGAGCACAGCTTTCCTGGGTCTGGATTCCCGTGGCTTTGTGCTTGTGTCATTTCTTCTCTCTGTGCTGGTGGGGGTCTCTTTACCATAGCTTAAGAAGTCTCCCTGATTTATTCTGGTATCTAATAAACACAGATTATTTGTATTATGTGGTGACTATCTTTGCTTTGCTACACTGGGTTTCAGGATTGCTTCTGAAGAAACGATGAGTGCATCCTTAAAATGCAAAGAAGACATTTGCTGGGTCTGGAAGTACATGCTTATTCTCTTTACAGTTTGGCCTTAAAGATACACCAGGGCAAAGGACCTTGAGGAGCTTCTGTTTTCTCAGGTTTCTTTTTATTACTTATACACATGTTGGGTCTGTGCTGAAACCTGGCTTCAATGGCATGGCATTAGATCTTCTCAAGCCCAGATTTTTTTTTTCATTTGGAATCTTTTTTGAAGTAACATGAGACAACTCTCCTTATTCCTAGACAGATGCGATCAGTTCATTGAAAAGTTCATGTAGAATAATATCTTGAATCTTTCTCCATCTGAAATCTGTAGCATGTTTTAGAATCACATGGCTTTTGAGAAATCCTGTTTTCTGAAGGGCTTTGAAATGTGTGAATCAAGATGCTTTAAAAAAGAAATCTATTTTTAAATAGGCATTTTCCTTAGTGGACAATAGCAAATAGAGAAATGCTTTTTAACTAAAATGTAGAAGCCAGAGATGAAATGTGAATGAACTTGAAATTGGAAAATCTGTAGGTCGAGGTGCTCAATAGAAAAGCCCAGCTGACTCCAATCATTTTGTTTTTCCTCTCTGCAGTGTGCACAGTCAAGGGGAGTGTTTTATTCCAGACCCACACCAGTTGAGAGCATAGTATTACCATCAGATCTAAATATGAGCACTATTAATGGAAGCAAATGAAATGTGAATATGCAATTTCTTGCAAGTCCCTGCTTTGAAGCAGTTTTATCAAGGACAGTTCAATCAATTTTGATCTCTCTAAGGCTAATTTTATTGTCAGTCTTCTGTGCAGCCAACTGCAAAATGTGCAGCTCCTGGCACATCGTACTTAATAAATATTTGTTGAATGAATGACTATTCTGGAATAGTGAGATTGAAAGCAAATCCTATTCGGTACATCAATTTTTATATATAATTTAGTCAAAATGATACTGGAATCTGAGGCCCGTGTTCAGTTTCTGACCTCCTGTGAATGGATAGCTAAGTGAACCATTAGGCAACATTAGGGGCAGTGAAAAGCACACAGCTCTACGATTCAGGAGATGGTCGCATGACCTTGAGTGAGTCAATTAACCTTTCTGGGCCTCATTTTCTGTCTGTGTCTGTAAATGGAAGGACTTCAGCTGGATCACTGTTTACCCAATTGTGCTTTGTGATGCAGATGTTAATGGATGGGGTCTCTGGTGAAATAAGTTCAGCAAACCCAGGTTCAACACCTGTTTTCTCGATAGGACTTCTTAGAGCTTCTCCTGTGCATGATGCATCCTCCAGTGCGAGAAGATTCTGTATCATTTCCCAATGCCATTCACTTTGTGAACCTTGTTTGGTGGAATTCCTGTTACTGTTTCACTGGAGTCCACAGTCACTACTTGAGAAACTCAAATCTAACTGATCTGGAAGTCTTTACAATATTCTGTTCTAAAGCATGGGTTGCTATAAGCAAAATCTTTTGTGAAAAACACTGTTCTAGGCTCCAGTTTAAATAAGTTCTGTGTTATGGAAAATGGGTTATGTGAGGACTTTGGAATTTCCTTCTGTAAAATATCACTCACCATTCATTATAATTATGTACTATGCTCTAGGCATTGTTCTAGATGCTGGGAATATAGTTGTCAATCAAATTCTCTGCTCTCTTGGAACATTTATGTGAGCTGTGGGAGAGATAAGCCAATAAAGAGATCTGTACTATACTGCACTGCATTGCACTGTGCTGTACTGACCAGGATAGATAATGCCAGGCAGGGGTAATTGCTATGTTGCAAAAAGCCCAGGGTGAGTAGGGTGGTGAAGCTGCTGTTTTATTTATGGTGGTCAGGGGAGGACTTTCCAAAGAGCCACATGAAGAGAGACCTTGATGAAGTAAGGATTGGAGGGCTGCTAATGTCTGGGAAGGAGAGCAATCCAGGCAGAGGGAGTGGCAAGTGCAAAGGCTTGGAAATGGGATTGTTCTTGGCACCCTCAGAGGAGTGTGGCTGGAGGGCTATAAAAGAGGAGTGTGATAGGATTAATGTTAATTGCTGTAGCAGCAATTGCAGCAGGCATGATGGAGACCCAGCCTGTGCTGGGTACAATACATGTATTAATTCATTTCACTCTCATTGCCCTGTGAGGTAAGCACTTTTATTACCCCATTTTACAGATAAGGAAATGAAGGCATTGGCAGGCTAAATAACCAGCCTGTGGTCACATAACTCCTGAGTGGCAGAGCTCAACTTGAACCCAGGTAGCCTGGCTGTGGAGTCTTTAATCCTAACTGCTCTTTGATGGTGAGAGAGGATGCCAGGACATCTTCAGTCAGCAAATGCACTAGTGCACAGATCAGGACATTCAGTTTTTTGTTCATTTGTTACTGAAATGGTTAATTGATTCATCCCCACAGCTATACAACAGCAGATCTTCACTGTGTACCTCCTCTGTGCACAGCTTTGTGTTTGGAGGGAAGGCACCCTAGGGTTATGGGCAAAGTAGCTCTTACATGATGGGCCAATTGCTTTCCTGGATTCTTATTTATTCCTCACATTAACCTCACATGTTATTATTTTTCCATTTTACAGGTGAGGACATGGGGGCACAGAGGACCTTGAGGACAAGGTTGTTTGTCCAAGGTCATGTGAAAAGTAAGTAGTGGAACCACGGTTCACCCTAGGTCAGTGGTTCTTAAATGAGGGAACTTTGCACCCTGCACCCCCACAGATATTTGGCAATGTCTGGAGACATTTTTGGTTGTCACAACTGGGTGTCAGGTGCTCCTGCCGTCTTCTGGGTAGAGGCCAAAGATGTTGCTAAACAACTTATGGTGCACAGAGAATTATCCGGCCCCAAATACCCATCTTGCAGCACTCGAGAGGCCTTGGCCAGGCGGGCAGACTCCAGGTCCCAGCTCCCCATCCACAAGGCCACCTGCCTGGGATTGGAGGCTCCGGTGCCCTAAGTTTGAAGTTTGGCTCCACCATTTATTAGTCTTCTGAATTTGGGCACCTTTCTGAGCTCCAGCTTCTTTATCTGAGCAATGGGCACATGAACCACACAGAGCGTGAATTACACAAAACACATGCCCCAGAACTTCCTTGTTCTGATACATGCTGAATGTTCTTTTATAATTAGGCATCCATACACCATATTCATTGGTTAGAAATGAGTCATTACGTCCAAATCATATTCAAGGGGAGGTGATTAGACTTTACCTCTTCATGGGAGGAGTGCCAAAGAATTTGCAGAAGAGATGTTTTACATTTTATGCTTTATTTTTAAACACTTGTTCTCACATAGTTTCAGACTTACAGAAACCTTGCAACACGGTACAAAGAATTTCTAAATATTGTTTACCCAGATCCCCCAAACATCAGGGTTTCACTGTATCACTTATCTCTGTTCTTCCCTTTTTCTTCTGAGTCATCTAAGGTGTGATGCCCATTTACTCTTGAATATTTTGTTGCATATTTCCTAAAAACAGGGAATTCTCTCGTCTCATCTACAGACTTTATTCAGACTTCACAATAATGTCCTTTATAACAAAACAATCCAAGACCATGTGTTGCATTTAGCTGTCCCCTGTAATTTGAAAGTTTCTGCTGCTTTGTCTTTCTTGACACAGACCTTTGTGAAGATTACCTGGCCAGTTACTTGGTATAATTGTCCTTCAACTTCGGTTTTTTGGTGCTTTTCCATGATCAGATTCTGTTATGCATGTTGGGCAGGAATATCACTGATGCCATGCTGAGCTCCTGTAGCTCAAGGCATGAGGGGCAGGTGCTATTAATTAGTCCCATTACTAGCAATGTTAACTTTGTTCATGGGGTTACGGTGCTGTCCACCGTTTTACTCTTTATAATTAATATGTATTTCCTTTGGAGAAATACTTTGAGACTATGAAGATATCCTATTATTTCTCAAACTTGCATCCATTGGTTTTAGCATTTATTAGTAGCCCTTCCCTGAATCAGTTATTACTGTGGTTGTCAAATCATGTTTTTTAAAAAAATTCTGTAATCTTTCTAAATGTATTGTTGGTTTTCTACTGTAAGGAAGAACACTTGTTTATATTATTGACATCGGCATAGAATCTTGGTTTTCTAGTTTTCTGTTTGTTTTTGAGACAGGGTCTCACTCTGTTGTCTAGGCTGGAGAGCAGTGGCATGATCACAGATCACTGCAACCTTGACTCCAGGGCTGAAGTGATCCTCCCACCTCAGCCTCCCAAGTAGCTGGGACCACAGGCATATGCCACCATGCCCAGGTAATTTTTTTTTTTTTTTTTTTTTTTGTAGAGACGGGGCCTCCCTATGTTGTCCAGGCTGGTCTCAAGCTCCTGGGCTCAAACAGACTTCCCGCCTCAGCCTCCCAAAGTGCTGAGATTTACAGGCTTGAGTCACCATGCCCAGCCCGGGTTTCTAGTTTTTATAATAGGTTATAATCTTTTACTTGACGCTGTTAATGGATACTATTTTTACATTCCAGGTATGGGACCTGGGGACACATGTGTCCCATTTCTATGATATTAACACAATGCTCATTCTAGGGGCAACACTCAGAACACTGTTTTCTATTGTCTTCTAAGACTGTCCCTGACCTCAAATCTCTCAGTGAACTGAGGGTATCCATACTTATCATGATATTTAGGTTGCCCTAGATTTGGTGAGTGGGAGCCCTTTAAGTTGGTTCTTGTGTCCTTTTGACATGCTGTCATTATTCTTTGAGTAGTTTGTTACTTTTCAACATGAGATATGTCAGACTCATCTTGTGTATTCCCTGTCCAAGCCTTGGAATCATCCATTTTTCCAAGGAGACCAGGGTTCCTTCTAGCAGAAAATGATATGGAGAAATCAAGATGTGGGCACTAGGGTGTTTATTGTTACTGGGGTGATATTGTTTCTATATCCTCTTAAAAGACAGAGTTGGGAAATGGATACATGTATATACATGCACACATATTCATATGTGCATATACACATATCCTTGAGCATCTCTATCTATTTCTATGCCTACCTATGTACATATATCAAATCCCATGCACTCATTTTGATATCTAGCAGACATATTTTAAAAACCATCACCTCTGGTTCAAATCTCGATTCTCTAATGTTCTAGTTCATGAGAACTGGAAGTCAAAGAGATTAAGTTACCTTCCTAGGTTTAAAAAATATTAAAAAGGGAATAATTAGTTGCTTACCTTGTAGTTTATTGTCAGAGTTATGTGCTATGATGCATGTGGAATGTGTAAGGGTGTTACACAATGAGAATTTAAAAATGGTCTTCTTGTGACTGTGCCCTTAAGAGCTGAGAGTACAGGGCAGAACCTTCCTGTTTCTATGTAGTGGTTCCATGCTCCATTTTACAGACAGTGTGAGAAGCTACTAGGGATCAAGAATTCAAGAGTCAATATGCAGGAGAGGGATAGAGTAGCTGAAGAGCAAACTAGACTTGCCTACACCTAGAATAGGAAGAAATAGCACAAGATGTCAAGCTTGATAGGAGGAAGTTGTTGATATGAGGGGAGAGTTAATCAGAGAATGTTGAGCCCATGTGGAACCCCCTGGACCTCTAGGCCAATTTGGGGGAAGGGCTTAAAGGGAATATGAGTACCCCTACTCACAAGAGCAGGCAGAGCCATCAGACTTTTGCTTTGACACTGTTAATGAAGTACCATTTTGATATTCCAGGTATGAGACCAGGGGATGCATGTCTCCCATTTGTAGGATATTAATAATACAATGCCAGTTCCAGGGAAAACACTCAGAACTTTGATCTGATTCTCTTCTAAGATCATTGCTGTCCTAAAAACTCTTAGTGAACTATGAGTACCAGCACTCCACCAACACTGACAGAATAAAGGTGACAACCAGCATTTGTTGACTATCTATTGGGCAAGGTGCTTTGTATACATCTTCTCATGGAATCACTGCAATATTCTTGTGACATAGGCACCATTGTCCTCATTTGGAAAAGGAGGCTGAGAGAGGCTCAATAGCAAGCCAGGTTATACTTCTAGTAAGGGATAGAAGTGGGATTTGAAGAGCATCTACTCCTGGAGAGCCCCCCTTTTGGGCTTTACACAACTCTTTGGAGGGACTCAGGAAGAGGAGAGCTCCTTCATGTATATTGCCCATGGGTCCTCTCCAGGTGAAGTATTTTGAGGTTCTGAAACCATTATCAGACTTGGCTGTAAATTCCCTCTCCATCTTGGACCTTTTCCTGTGCTCTTCCAATGGCCCTTTCCAATGGGTAATTAGACCTCAGTTGTCTACATGAGTGAGATCTGCTCAGCATGGAGAGGGCTCTATTTTTCTACACCCTTGATAATTTGTAGGTTTGGGAAAGCATGCCCAGTGTGGCTTGTCAGGGCTAACACATATGCCTTCATTCATATGTCAACTTGGCTTCATGGGTAGGGGCTGCCTGGAGTCCTGGGATGAGAAAGACTACACAATTGCATTCCAACCAATGACATTGAGGGGACTGGCTAATAAATGATTTCTGTTAGGAGCTTGGGAGGTGGGGGATGTGTGAATGTTCTAAGTACTTGCCATTCTGTGTCTCTCCACAGCCCCTAAACCTGTCTTTCCTAGAACCACTTGAAAGTTAAAATATTGATGTCTGGGGCCCACTCCAAATTAGTTAAATCTGAATTTCTAAGGAATAGGACCTAAGCTTCACTTTTTAAAAAAAATTGAATGTGTTAGAATGTATATAGCCACAATTGAAAAACACCATTGGTCTACACTATCATTAGGCATGTTTGAAAATTATCTGCCTTGACCCTGCCCTGATCTTGCCTTTGCTACAATATTAAATGGGCTCTTATTAACAATGAATATATCTAATTATTCTCTAGATCTTTTATTAGCTTGAATTATTCTTAGATATTCTGCCACATAAAAGTATTTGAATGTGTAGTCTTTGTGGTTGATGGTCTAATCAGCTAAACTCAAACCTCACTGCAGCTGTGACTAGAAAGTCCTCATTGATGGAGAATCCTAGAGGTCCTTTCAGAGAAGAAAAAATAATTCAGTGGGCCAAGCTGTAATATTTTGCCTCTGATTCTCAGATTCCTTGTTGGCAAAATGGGAATGCAAAATAAATAGAGTCTATAGTCAGTACCTAATAAGTATTTGTTGAATGAATAAATTAGTGGAATACAAAATTAAAATACTTGTCTCATCAAACATCTAGAGAAAAAGGAGACAGATATAGAGCTAACCCATGCCTGTTATACCATTTAATGCTAGGAGTATGGAAGCAGATACTGTGTCTCTCTAGTTTCACAGGCTCTCAGAGAGAGAGGAACTGTACTCTAGGAGCTGCATGTGACTAGTCATTCTCAAGAAGTCCCCACCCCAATACCTGATTTGATGAGATTCTGAACTTTAGTTGATGCTGAAGGGGGAGGAGATTTTTAGGGATCTTGGCAGGACACAAGTGTATTTTGCATGGGGTGGAGGATGTGAATCACTGGGGGCTGGAGGACAGGCTTCCCAGCAGCCCCTAAGATGGCCTCCAGTGATCCATGTCTCCTGGTATTCATGCCCTTGTATAATCCTCTCCACTCCCTTATATCTTGGCTGAACCTAATGTCTTGTTCCTAACAAACACAATATGGTGAAACTGATGAACAGCACCTCTGAGAAGTTACAAAAAGAAAATGACTTCCATCCTGCTCACCCTCTCTTGCTCTCTTGCTTTCTTGTTCTGATGGAAGCCAGCAGCCATGTTGTGGGTGTTCTATGAAGAGGCCCAGTAGCAAGAAACCAGAGGCTGGGGGAGTGTCTGACCAAGAGTCAGCCAAAACCTGAACCTGCTAATAATCACATGAGTGAGCTTGGAAAGGAAGCATCCCTCATTTGAGCCTTCAGATGAGACCATAGCCTTATATTACTCCTTGATTGCGGCCTTTGGGAGACTGTGAGCCAGAAGACCCAGCGAAGCTTTGCCTGGGCTCCTGACTCATAGACACTATCAGAAAAACACTTGCTGTTTTAAGCTGCTAAGTTCTGGGTTAATTTGTTATTTAGCAATAGATAACTAATATAGAAGAAAAGGGAGAGAACATTTATTGAATCCTTTGCTATGCCCCAGGTACTTTGTAAATCTTTTTCCATTTCATCCTTAAGTCAACCTGGATGAAAATATTCAGGTTCAGAGATGCTGGGTGAGTGCCAGGGGCAGGATATGAATCACTACTGTTTGATTTGAAAGCCTGTGCTCATTTCTCTATTCCAGGATGCAAACCAGGAGACGTTTTCTATTCTATGTTTCTTTTTCCTTTTCTTTTCTTTTCTTTTTTTGTGGCAGGGGGACAGGGTCCTGCTCTGTCATCCAGGCTAGAGTGAAGTGGAGCAATCATGGTTCACTGCAGCCTGAAACTCTTGGGCTCTGGTGATCCTCCTGCTACAGCCTACCAAGTAGCTGGGATTATAGGCATGCGCCACCACACCTGGATAGTTTTTTTTTTTTTTTTTTAATTTTTATTAGAGACTAGGTCGCACTACGTCACCCAGGTTGGTCTCAAACTCCTGAGCTCAAGGGCTTCTTCTGCCTCAGCCCCTACAAAGTGCTAGGATTACAGGTAGGAGCCATTGTGTCCGGCCACATTTTCTCTGTTCGTAAAGTCAGCAGTAGAATAGCTAACATTGTTGCTAAACAGTTTGTATAAAATGAGTAATTATTAGTGCCCCTGCATGCAGCCACCTGCTGTTGCTGACCTTCTGTGCCTCTGCAGCCAAACATACATCAGGTACTTATGTATACACACTCCACAGGCACACAGATGCCTCCACAATACACATGTGCCCAAGATGCAATTGCAAGCACACAAGTGCACAAATAAGTACACACATGTGTCTTCACAAAGAACTATCTCCACCTTCATTTTCTCCCATCCAAGTACTAATCAGGTCTGACCCTTTTTAGCTTCCAAGATCAGATGAGATTGGGCATGTTCAGGGTATATGGCTGTAGCCTACATCCTCTTTTTTTTTTTTTTTTTTTTTTTTTGAGACGGAATTTCGCTCTTGTTGCCCAGGCTGGAATGCAATGGTGCTATCTCGGCTCACAGCAACCTCTGCCTCCCGGGTTCAAGCCATTCTCCTGCCTCAGCCTCCGGAGTAGCTGGGATTACAGGCATGCGCTACCACGCCTGGCTAATTTTGTATTTTTAGTAGAGATGGGGTTTCTCCATGTTGGTCATTTTTAAATGAAAGACCCTTTGAGACAGTTCATACCTAAATATGTAAATAGTGCACAAGATTTTGCAGCCTGAACAGAAATGGCCACTATAGTTTTTTCTCTTTAGCAATTTTCTGTGTGCTGTAAACAAATTTGAAATCTGGCTAGAGACTTTGGAAATCATGTTGACCACTCCCCATATTGTGCAGATGCAGAAATTGAGGCCCTGAGGGACTTGCCCAAGTACCCCAGCAAAGTGGTGTGAACTGAAGTCCAGGTCTCCCAACTCCCAGTTGACTGTCCTTGCTGTGGCACTGTGCACCGTCGGTGGGGAGAACACTCCTGGTCCTTAGGAATCCATTTCTAAAGGACATCAGGAGCACAAACAAGTTCATGCCCTATTGTTCTTTCCACGTAAAAGAAGTTGATGACATTTATGCTTTTCTCACAATACACCATTAAGATAGAACATTGTTGAATTATTTGTGGATTAAATACAGATGTGCAGGGATTTTAGGGCCCTGATTGATTTTCTGTTGAAAGAAGCGAAAGGAATGTTAATTTACAACTGGCAAATGTTAGCTCTTAGGAGGAGGCAAAACAGCATTTCGAAGGCCTGTTTTTTGTTTGGTTTTGGTATTTCATGAAAGAGATTTTTCTGTGCAAAGTGGCAGGAAGCCATTTTCAACAAGAGCTAAAGGGAATGAAGATTTAAAAAATGGACCAAAAACAAACTCAAAGGTGCCAGGCCTTTGTTACTGCAAGCCCCTCTTGCAGGATGAGAGGCTGCTAAAACAAAATCAATAATTTAAGCAACTTTCTGTCCCTCTCTCCCCTGCTATTCTGGTAAAATGATTTGACATTTCAGACAACAAGGAATGAACATCAGACCAGGAAGAAAAGGGCTTGGTTATGAGTCCCAGTTGTGTGATTTTAAGTACATGATTAAACGTTTATTAATTTGGTTCTCTCATCTCTAATAATGAAACCATCACTCTTACATCTTGAGTGTAAAAAATGCTCATTTACTAGAACTCGCCCTGTATCAGATGCCACATTAGGATTTGTGCGGAGTGATCTCATTAATTCCTTTTTTTTTTTTTTTTGAGATGGAATTTCACTCTTGTCACCCAGGCTGGAGTGCAGTGGTGCAATCTTGGCTCACTGCAACCTCTCTCTGCCACCCGGTTTTGGTTTCAAGCGATTCTCCTGCCTCAGCCTCCCAAGTAGCTGGGATTACAGGCGCCCACCACCATGCCCGGCTAATTTTTTGTATTATTAGTAGAGACGGGGCTTCACCATGTTGGTCAGGCTGGTCTCGAACTCCTGACTTCAGGTGATCCACCCACCTCGGCCTCAAGTGCTAGGATTGCAGGTGGGAGCCACCATGCCCAGCCTCGTTAATTCTTTATAGCAGCCTTGTGAGGAGGTCTGTTCATTCTCACTGTACAGCTGAAGGTGCTGAGGCTCAGAAAACTCAAGCTTGTCGCTCAGGGTCACACAGCTAAGAAATGACAAGGTGGAGATTTAAACCTATGCTTGTCTGGCTAGGCACTGTCTTATATAGTAAGAGTGTGGGGATGACAGATTGCAAAACAAAGCAAAATAAAACTCACAAGCTCTGAAGATGTAGTGACTGCCTACTCTGCCCCTGTGCTAGCGACCCAGAGTTAAAGATGGGTTCTCATCATGGTCTCTGCTTCTATGGATCCCTCAGTGGCTTGAGAGGAAAGCAAACCTGGTGGTGGCAACGAGGGCATCTAATATTTTGGATTCCATTTTGGACTCATGTTTAAAGTGCATATGGGCTATACAGGTGGGTGTATGAGCCGAGGACAAGAGCAGAGGTCTGGGTTTGGGACCAACATCACCAAAGATGATAGCCAACACTGAGTGACTGCTGAATTTGTGCTGGGCACTGTGCCAAAGAGTTCTCAGGCATTAACCCATTCTTTTTTTTTTTTTTTTTTTTTTTTTGCGGAGACAAAGTCTCACTCTGTCACCCAGGCTGGAGTGCAGTGGTGTGATCTTGGCTCACTGCAACCTCCGTCTCCCAGGTTCAAGCAATTCTCCTGCCTCAGCCTCCCAAGTAGCTGGGCCTACAGGCATGCACCACCACACTCAGCTAGTATTTTTGTATTTTAGTATAGACGGGGTTTCACCGTGTTGGCCAGGGTGTCTTGATCTCTTGACCTCATGATCCGCCTGCTTCGGCCTCCTAAAGTGCTGGGATTACAAGCATGAGCCACTGTGCCTGGCTGCATTAACCCATTCTATCCTCAGACTGATGCTGTGAGGCTGCTGTCCTTACCCTGCTGTACAGAGCAGTGAGAAAACTTGCTTGTAGGTGAAAGTTAAAACTTCAAGGAGGATTTTTCTTGAAAGCCATCCCAAGGTTTTTCTATTTGGTGATTCATGATCAATCTTATGCCCCAAGTCCCCACATTCCCTCTATTTTGAGTCACTCTGTCTCATAAGAGCCCCTGGTGCCTTTGTTTTGCTTCATTTGAATTCTGGATTCAGCATGCATCAGAAATGTTCTCGCTGAGAGCTGGAAAGCATTTTTGTGATGGCTGGGCTGCAGGGCCATTAAGAAAATACCTTTGCACACCAACAAAAAAGACTAAAGCCTTAATTGCTGATCCAAAAGGCAACAGGAAAGGATGCACCACTGCATATATGGTGAGGGATGCATTGCCTTGGTCAGGGCACAGGTCCTCTGTCCCTGAGTCCTGTTTCCTTGTGTGGGTAGAGGGCATTTTCACACTCTCTGTCCCCAAAAGACCTCAGGGGGAACAAAAGAGCAGCATGAGCAGGGGGCCATGGTCATGGGCATTGACTGGGTGCTTGCTGCATGCAAAGGCTCTGTGTTAAGCACCTTGGGAACACTAACTCATTTACTGTCCCAACAAATCCAGGATGTAGGTACAAGTAATAATCCCACTTTACAGGTGACAAAAATGAGGAATAGAGAGGTTTGGTGATTTGCTCAAGATCACACAGTATGTGTGGCACAGCTGAGATTCTGACCCACAGGTAAGACTCTTGAGCTTATTCTTCTCACTGAACCCCCTGCCTCTCATGGTTATGTGGCTCATGCTCCCATAGCCTTAAGTCCTGAGGCTAAGGAAGGGTCCTCAGATAAAAGACGTCAATTTCTGTGTCTTTTTTGAGCAGGCTTCATGAACATCAACACTCATTTGAGGTTACTGAGAGCATTTGCCTGGCCTTAACATTGTCATCCCAAAGCTGTTTGCCAATTCATTCCCATCTTCATAGCCCTGTCTTTCTCCAGCAGGCTTGGTCTGTGGTTCTAATGAACACAGGAGGCTTGGTTCATTCGGATGCAGGAAGTGAGGAGGAATAACATGAAGGGGATTGACCAGATGCCTCAATTCTAATCAGCTGAATGGAGATACTTATGATACCTCCTTATGCAGTGCTGTAACGATTAGATGGGATTCTTTATATAAAGGACTTAGAACAATACCTGGCATGTTGTTAGTACTCAATTAACTTTATACAATATATTAGTCAGGCTTTGTTGTGATGATGCCACATAAAAAGTAATCCCCAAATCTCAATGCTAACAACAACAAACATTTACTTCTCATTTCCATAGGTCAGCTGTGGTTCTACAGGGCTCTTCTGGGCTGGCTAGATTCAGATGGGCCTGGATCTGGGTGGTGAATTGGGTTCCTATTTGCTTCACTTGGCTCTCAGAAGAGGATCCAGGGGAGTAGCAGCAGCTATCTGAAGCATGTTCATCTCATGCTGGAGGACAGGATCACCAGAGGCCATGCAGGAATATTTAACACCTCTGCTTGGATGTGGCATTCACTGAGTCACCCACATTCCATTAGCTGAAGCAAGTCACATGGCTAAGCCCAATGTCAGTGGGGTGGGGAGGTACACCACTTCCATTGAAAGGAGGGAAAACAGATGTTTGCTGAACAATAATACAATACTATGATCTATCACAATACTATGATCTACCATTATACTATGATCTACCATTAACATTTCTTGAATGCCTAATAGCTCTCAGGAAGTGTTCCAAGAATCATGGATTCTAGAGATGAATCACATAGCAGCTCTGCTGTCTGCTCTCAAGGGTGCCCTCACTACAGAGTGTGGTCACTGCAATGACAAAGGTGGCCCCAGGACAACTTAACCTCTCCTGAACTATTTTAATTCTCACAATTTCCTTGTAACCCCAGTATCACTATCCTTATTTTATAGACAAATAAACTGGGACTCAGAGAGGTTCAGTAATTTTCTTTTGTCCCCATGGCTAGAAAATGGCTAAGCCTAGTACCAAATCCTTGTGTGATTGTTCCAGGGTTCTGTTCTTTGCATGACAACTCTGGACTCAGGTATGTAGGCAGAGACATTAGAATTGAGACAGAGACTGACCAAAACTCTCATATCTTGGCAGGAGCCCAAGTCTGCATATGTATGAACCTCATCCATATATATGCAAGCTGTGGCTGAGACATCTGTAACCTAGACTTTCATAGCTGGGCTACTAACTTCAATCATCTGAAGGAAGACTCAAGTTATAAACTGCCACCAATTCAGTGAATTATCCATAAACTTGTTTCTATATTGCCCTATGATGCTCAGTTCAAGCCCAAGTCAAATGCTCCCTCCTGAAAACTTCTCTGATTCCCTAGCCACCAGTTTCTGCCTGTGTTGCCTGTCCACAGCACCAAACACTTAAGACACTTTCTCCATGATCCTACAATTTTTTTTTTATTTTTCTGAGACAGGGTCTCACTCTGTCACCCCGGCTAGAGTGCAGTGGTGCACATGATCCTACAACCTTGATGTATATATTTTAGGCAATCACTGCTCACAGAAAGCCCATATTCTCCTATTCCACCTCCACAGTCCCCAGAGTTCCAGCCCAGTGCTTGGCATTCAGCAGGGGCTAGATGAAAGTGTGTGGAATGAGTGAATGAACGACGGATGGATAGAGGCTGCTGGGTCCTTAGGAAAGAGAGCAGATGAGATTTATTTTTTATTTTTGTCCGTATCTCCTCTTTGGTCCTTTGGAGGGATTTTAGTCAGGATGGGTCTGGTGCAACCAGGTGATCCAAGGGTTATAGGCACAGAGGGAAGTAACTGGAGCTCCCTTTGGGTACCACAGTAAACACTGGTGGTGGAATGCCATTGTCTTATCTTCTGAGAAGTAGCAGGAGGCTTCCATATTCTTGTGTTTCGTCAACTGGCTCTAATCATTAAGCTAAATACTCAGCTTATGCAATGCACTTAGCCCAGCTGATTTAGAAGTGGCACCTTCCCAATCAGTCTAGAGCATTTGGGTGGTCACTGTATTCCAACATTCACTACAATTAGGGACTGCCAGAAAAGCCTGATTGTCTTCACTGGTTATTTATAACCAAATCATAGTAGCAATCATTATGTAAAAAGAGCTGTTTCTCCACGCCCCCAACTTCTCTGCCTCGCCCACTCCCAATGTCAGTCCTTCCATTTTATTTAATGCTTCTGGCTGCAGTGATTAGATGTAATGAGAGTGATAGGGCTTTGAGTTGGAAAGTGCTAGAGGCAAAGGAGTTTTGTTATTCTCATCCTTAGAGACACAGAATTCAAGAGGTAAAGGGGACTTAGAGATTTCTAGTCCAGCAGTCCCATGCTATAGATGGGAAAACTTGAGGATCAAAGTTAGGTAGCTTCATGAAAAGGGTATAAATGTGGAAATCCAAGACTCCAGTTCTAACTGAGGCTTAATCACAGATAACGTGTGTGATCTTGAGCTACTTGCTTAGTGTCTCTGGGTCTGAGTTTTCCTTTCTAGAAGATGGGGAAACTAATACGTATTCTGGAGTGATTAGAGATAAGGTGTAGAAGTAGCCAGGTGTATGGCAGCTGGTACAATGGATGCCATAGTAAAGGAGTTGGTGCCAGAATCACTGCATCACTGCTCTCTTCCCATCACTCCACATTGCCTTCAACTAGCTGAGTGCTCCTGCTGAAGAACCGACTCCTATGTTCCCTGGCTCTCAACATGACTCAGTTTGACTTTTCATAAGTGCAGGTAAGCAAGGTAAAATGGGAGTTCTTTTTCCTCTCTACAGATGGAAAATACCAGCAGGAGACCAGCCAAGTAGAGTTGGGGGAAGTCTTGAGACTCACCCTATGGTCTCCATGACCTTTGTCTTAGTTCCTTTGAGCCGCTAAAACAAAATACCTTAGATTGGGTAATTTATAAACAATAGAAGTTTATTTATTTATTTATTTTTTGCAGTTTCAGAGGCTGGGAAGTCTAAGATCAAGGCATCTGCATATTCAGTGTCTTGGTGAGGGCTTGCTCTCTGCTTTAAGATGGTACCTTCTTGCTATGTCCTCATGTGGTGGAAGGGGTCATTTGTTCATCTTCATTTCTTTTATAAGGTCATTAATCCCATTCAGAAGGGCTCTGTCCAAATGCCTTAATCAGCTCCTAAATGCCCCACCTCTTAAAACTATCACCTTGATTAAGTTTCCACATATGAAATTTGGAGAGACCCAGACATTCAGACCATGGTAGTCCCCATCCTCTGATGTGGACCGGCAGCACACTCACAGTCTTACATAAATGACTCTGCAAGTGCAGCTTTCTGAGCTCCATTCCAATTGTCCCTCTCCCCACCTCCATAGCAGTTTTGGTGAAGCCCTATGTAATTTCATGATCTACAGGTAGATTTGATAGATGGTGTTATGGTACCAGGAGTGGGGAGCAGCCAAAACACAAACCCTAAAATATGTGGCTCTAGGGCCAGATGGCAGTCAGCAAGAGAACCGTTACTGAGGGTTGGAAAGATGGTAATCTATGTTATGCAGTGGTGAAATATTTGGTAAAGCTGTTGTAGGAATAACTTGAAGGGCGGATGATGTGCTGAAGGAACTTGAAGCTTAAGGTGAAAAGATGGGGAAACTGAACGTTAGTAACATCCCTTGGTCACTACTGTAAGAAAGAGATGAGCTCAGAAAAGAATTGGCTAAATTGTAAGCAGGTATAAAAAGAAGTAGAGAGGGTCCAGGACTTCTGGAGTCCCATTTCTCCCAGGAAGGGGCCTGCCTCAGTATCCATGCCAAGCTCAGTTACTGGCTGGGAGCTGCTTGTGGGAATCACTTCCCTCTGAGTGTGACTCAGTCATACTCTAAAGTACGACATGACTCTTCCTTGCAGAGATCTGGACATATACAGTGTCCAGTCACACGGACAGATGCAGCTTCTGTGGTCACTCTAGATGATGCTAACTTCCTTATGCTGGCATGCTATCCTCATAATGCAGGCTGCAGTTAACTATTTTAAAAGTTAACATGGTAAGCAGAAGTGATTCCTCTTTGGCTTGAACATGGACTGTTTGGAGGGCACTGGAGAGAACCAAAAGAGTGACAAGTTTTGAGTGCTTGTCATGTAAGAAACAGGAAAGAAAATGCGGCATAATTACCTGTCTCTGGGGAGAGGAGCAGGATTGCTTTTGTTCCTCCAAGTAGGCAGAAACAGAAACACTGGGCAGCTGGTACAGAGAGACGGGTTTTGAGAGGCAGTACTCTCCCAGCAGCACTGTCTAGCCAGCTGTCTGCCCGAGTCTGGGGGTGCTAGTGCCTTCTGCAGGATTACCCTATAGGAGGCATTTCCAGGGTGCTGATGTGGACTCATGCCAGAGGTGACAGTGTCAGCCATCCATGGTGGAAACACAAAAATAAGGACACTTAGTGAGCTTGGCCCAAGCTATTACATTTTCATCTCTGAGGTTATATTTCCCACACCTTTACCGTTGAATGTCCTTTTATCAAAATAGTAGTCATTGTTTAAGTGATATCTCTATGTTAAACCTTACATTTTTTTCTTTTTAATTTTATTGATTTGTGAAATCCTAAAGTCTTGAAACTCCTAAGCTAGCTGACTTTTCAGATCTGGGATCTGTTTTATCTCTAAATGATTATGATTCCTGACTTTTTTTTGATATAAACACTCAACTGCCATTAAGAGTGCTCATGATAGGGAATAGATGCTGCATTTGTTCATGTTTAAATACTGAGGCTCAAGTACCTGTCAGAAGGAGTTTATTATATTTTCTAGGCTCTCTGAAATTACATCAGAAAAATGTGAATTAGAATATAACCCATAAATAATATCTGGCCACATGCAAAGTAATTGAAGATCAATTGAAATAGCTATTGGATTAAGAAATAGAGACTGAGGTAAATTTACAGGGTCAGGGAGGATCTAAGGAGGAAGCATTGACACTGGAGCCCAGGGACCTGGGATTACAGAACAGATTCTACCAGTGCTAACTTACTGCTCCAAAGAAAATATCAATTCTGCTCATCCGCAGGTACTATTCATCAAGAAAGGGATTACAAGTTCACAAATGTGTTCAAAATGTACCCATACTTCGACATATTAATGAAGTAATCACATTCTACACATGACTACTCCATATGGAATACTGGGGTGGGGTGTTCCAAATAAAGAGACTGAGGATTTCTCATGAGAACTCAGTGTCTGCTAGAAAATATCTAAGTAAAATATTTTACTTATGTGGAAGGTGTGGATGTTTGTGCATCACAAGTTTCAAGAATCCCTAAAATGTACAATGGAGATGAGGAGAAAATATCAGAATTTCCCAGCACCAGAAATGAGGCAAGAAAAAATTCAGAGGAGTTGTAAATGTGAAAAGCCAATGGCTGGTCACACAGCAACATTGATAACCTTGTGCCAGGACAACTAGAATAAATACATAAACATACAGATTGAAAGTATTTCCAATATTAGATCTCCCTCATGTGAGAACTAAATTATAAAGATTGAAGCATATAAGAAAATAAGCTACCAGAATTTAGGCTACCAGAATAAATTCGATTACACATAAATTTCTGATATTGAAATTCTCACAAATGTTTAAGTTGGTAGTGGAAGACAAAGGACATATAATCTTGGGAGTCCTAGGGCCCTGCCCGCTGCCAGTTCCTCCATGCTACTACAGCTGATGCTTTCTGGAAAGCAACACCTCCTGGCAGGAGGCCAACCAGCACAAATATAGAGCATTAAACCACTAAAGCTAAGGACCCTCACAGAGTCTATTGCACCCTTCACCACCTCCACTGGAACAGGCGCCGGTATCCATGGCTGAGAGACCCATAGATGGTTCACATCACAGGGCTCTATGCAGACAACCCCTAGTACCAGCCCAAAGCCAGGTAGACCTGCTGGGTGGCTAGACCCAGAGGAGAGACAACAATCAATGCACTTTGGCTCACAGGAAGCCATGCCCATAGGAAAAGTGGGAGAGTACTACATCAAGGGAACACTCTGTGTGACAAAAGAGTCTGAACAACAGTCTTCAGCCCTAGACCTTTCCTCTGACAGAGTCTACCTAAATGAGAAGGAACCAGGAAACCAACCCTGGTAATCTGACAAAACAAGACTCTTCAACAACCCCCAAATAATCACACCAGTTCATCACCAATGGATCCAAACAAAGAAGAAATCACTGATTTATCTGAAAAAGAATTCAGGTTAGTTATTAAGCTAATCAGGGAGGGGCCAGAGAAAGGTGAAGCCCAATGCAAGAAAATCCAAAAAATGATACAATAAGTAAAGGGAGAAACAGTCAAGGAAATAGCTTAAATAAAAAATAATAATAATAATAAAAAATCAGGAAACTTTGGACGCATTTTTAGAAATGTGAAATTCTCTGGAAAGTCTCAGCAATAGAATTGAACAAGTAGAAGAAAGAAATTCAGAATTCGAAGACAAGGTCTTTGATTTAACCCAATCCAATAAAGACAAAGAAGAAAGAACAAGAAAATATGAGCAAAGCCTCCAAGGAGTCTGGCATTCTGTTAAACGATGAAACCTAAGATTAATTGGTGTACCTGAGGAAGAAGTGAATTCTAAAAGCCAGGAAAATGTATTTGGGGGAATAATCAAGGAAAACTTCTGTGGCCTTGTGAGAGACCTAGACATCCAAATACAAGGAGCACTAATAACACCTGGGAAATTCATCACAAAAAGATCTTAGCCTAGGCACATTGTCATTAGGTTATCCAAAGTTAAGACAAAGGAAATAATCTTAAGGGCTGTGAGACAGAAGCACTAGGTAACCTATAAAGGAAAACCTATCAAACTAACAGCAGATTTTGCAGCAGAAACTTTACAAGCTAGATGGGATTGGGGCACTTTCTTCAGCCTCCTCAAACAAAACAATTATCAGCCAAGAATTTTGTATCCAGCAAAACTAAACATCATATATGAAGGAAAGATACAGTCATATTCAGACAAACAAATGCCGACAGAATTTGCCGTTACCAAACCAGCACTGTAAGAACTGCTAAAAGGAGCTCTAAATCATGAAACAAATTCTGGAAACACATCAAAACAGAACTTCATTAAAGCATAAATCACACAAGAGCTATAAAACAAAAATACAAGTTAAAAAGCAAAAACAACAAAAAAAAACAAGTATAGAGGCAACAAAGAGCATGATGAAAGCAATGGTACCTCACTTTTTAATACTAATGTTGGTTGTAAATGGCTTAAATGCTCCACTTACAAGATACAGAACCACAGAATGGATAAGAACTCACCAACTAACTATCTGCTGCCTTCAGGAGACTCACCTAACACATAATGACTTACATAAACTTAAGGAAAGTGGTAGAAACAGGCATTTCATGCAAATGGACACCAAAAGCGAGCAGCAGTAGCTATTCTCATATGAGACAAAACAAACTTTAAAGCAACAGTAGCTAAAAGAGACAAACACAGACAGTATATAATGGTAAAGGTCTCATCCAACAGAAAAATATGACAATCCTAAACATACATGAACCTAACACCGGAGCTCCCAAATTTATAAAACAATTACTAGTAGACATAAGAAATGAGATAGACAGCAACACAATAATAGTGGGGGACTTCAATACTCCACTGACAGCACTAGACAGGTCATCAAGACAGAAAGTCAACAAAGAAACACTGGATTTAAACTATACTTTGGAACTAATGGACTTAGATATATACAGAACATTTCATCAACAATCACAGAATACACATTCTATTCCACAGCACATGGAATTTTCTCCAAGATAGACCATATGATAGGCCATAAAACGAGTCTCAATAAATTTAAGAAAATTGAAATTGTATCACGCACTCTCTCAGATCACAGTGGAATAAAACTGAAAATCAACTCCAAAAGGAATCTTCAAAACCATGCAAATACATGGAAATTAAATAACCTGCTCCTGAATGAGCATTGGGTGAAAAATGAAATCAAGATGGAAATGTAAAAAATTTCTTCGAACTGGATGACACAACCTATCAAGACCTCTGGGATACAGCAAAGGCAGTGCGAAGAGGAAAGTTTGTAGCCCTAAACACCTACGTCAAAAAGTCTGAAAGAGCACAAACAGACAATCTAAGTTCACATCTCAGGGAACTAGAGAAGCAGGAACAAGCCAAACCCAATCCCAGCAAACAAAGGAAATAACCAAGATCAGAGCAGAACTAAATGAAATCGACACAACAACAACAACAACAACAACAAATACAAAACATAAATAAAACAAAAAGTTGGTTATTTGAAAAGATAAATAAAACTGATAGACCATTAGCAAGATTAACCAAGAAAAGAAGAGAGAAAATCCAAATAACCTCACTAAGAAATGAAACAGGGGATATTACAACTGACACTACTGAAATATTAAAGATTATTCAAGGGTACTATGAACACCTTTTGGCACATAAACTAGAAAACCTAGGAGAGTTGGATAAATTCCTGGAAAAATACAACCCTCCTAGCTTAATCAGGAAGAAGTAGATACCTCAAGCAGACCAATAAAGCAAGCAGCAAGATCGAAATTGTAATTTTAAAATTACCAACCAAAAAAACCGAGGACCAGACAGATTCACAGCAGAATTCTACCAGACATTCAAAGAATGTCTTCTTTCATTCAAAGAAGAAATGATACCAATCCTTTCACACTATTCCACAAGACAGAGAAAGAAGAAAGCCTCCCTGATTCATTCTATGAAGCCAGCATCACCCTAATACCAAAACCATGAAAGGACATAACCAAAAAAGAAAACTACAGACCAATATCCTTGATGATCACAGATGCCAAAATCCTTAACAAAATACTATCTAACTGAATCCAACAACATATCAAAAAGATAATCCACCATGATCAAGTGGGTTTCATACCAGTGATACAGGAATGGTTTAACATATGCAAGTCAATAAATGTGATATACCAAATAAACAGAATTAAAAAAAAACTCAAATGATTATATCAACAGATGCAGAAAAAGCATTCAACAAAATCTAGCATTGCTTTATGATTAAAGCTCTCAGCAAAATAGGCATACAAGGGACATACCTTAATGTAATAAAAGCCGTCTATGACAAACCCACAGCCAACATAATACTGAATGGGGAAAAGGTGAAAGCATTCTCTCTGAGAACTAGAACAAGATGAGGAGCCTACTCTCACCAGTCCTCTTCAACATAGTACTGGAAGTGCTTGCCAGAACAATCAGACAAAAGAAGGAAATAGAGGAAATCCAAATCGGTAAAAAGGAAGTCAAACTATCACTGGTTGCTGACGATATGATCTTTCGCCTTGAAAACCCTATGGACTCCTCTAGAAAGCTTCTAGAACTGATAAAAGAATTCAGCCAAGTTTCCAGATACAAGATTAATGTACACAAATCAGTAGCTCTTCTATACATCAACAGCTACCAAGCAGAGAATCACATCAAGAACTCAACCCCTTTTACAATAGCTGCAAAAACAAACAAACAAACAAACAAACAAAAAACTTAGGAATATACCTAGCAAAGGAATCAAAAGACCTCTACGATGAAAATTACAAAACACTGCTGAAAGAAATCATAGTTGGAGCCAAGCATGTTGGCACATGCGTATAATCCCAGCTACTCGGGAAGCTGAGGCAGGAGAATCGCTTGAACCTGGGAGGCAGAAGTTGTAGTGAGCCGAGATCACACCATTGCACTCCCACCTCAGCGACAAGAGCAAAACTCCCTCTGAAGAAAAAAAAAAAAAAAGAAAGAAAGAAAAGAAATCATAGATGACACAAACAGATGGAAACGCATCCCCATGCTCGTGGATGGGTAGAACCAATATTGTGAAAATTACCATTCTGTTAAAGGCAATCTACAAATTCAATGCAATCCCCATCTGAATACCACCATCATTCTTCACAGAATTACAAAAACAATTCTAAAATTAATATGGAACCAAAAGAGAGCCATGTAGCCCAACCAAGGCTAAGCAAAAAGAACAAACCTGGAGGCATCACAGTACTTGATTTCAAACTGTACAATAAGGCCATAGCTACCAAAACAGCATGGTACTGGTTTAAAAATACGCACATAGACTAATGTAACAGAAGAGAGAACCCATAAATTAACCCAAATACTTACAGCCGACTGATCTTCGACAAAGTAAGCAAAAAATAAAGTGGGGAAAGGACACCCTTTTCAACATATGATGTTGGGATAATTGGCGAGCCATATGTAGGGGAATAAA
Source organism: Homo sapiens (assembly GCF_000001405.40). Classification (NCBI taxonomy): domain Eukaryota; kingdom Metazoa; phylum Chordata; class Mammalia; order Primates; family Hominidae; genus Homo; species Homo sapiens. Next base: position 144,251,440 of record NC_000001.11, on the reverse strand, counting down.
ACTGGATTCTCATCTCTCACCTTATACAAAAATCTACTCAAGATGGATTAAAAACTTAAACCTAATTCCTGAACTATAAAAATTCTAGAAGATAACACTGGATAAACCCTTCTAGACATTGGCATAGGCAAGGATTTCATGACCAAGAACCCAAATGCAAATGCAATAAAAACAAAGATAAATAGCTGGGACTTAATTAAACTAAATAGCTTTTGCATGGCAAAGGGAACAGTCAGTAGAGTAAATAGACAGCCAACAGAGTGGGACCCCTGACCCTGACCCCTAACCTTAACCCTAATCCCTAACCCTAACCCCTAACCACAACTCTCCCCCTCCCCCTAACCCAACCCTAACCCCTAATCCCTAACCCCCAACCTCTCTTAACCCCTAACTCTAAATGTTGACTCCTAACCCCTAACTCTGACCCCAACCCCTATCTCCAACCCCTAACCCTAAACTTAACCCCTAACACCAACCTTAAGCCTAGGTTCGTTACTACGTTTGTATTGACTATGTCAATGTTGATTATTATGATCGCTGTCTTAGGACTGCACGGCAGCGAGGGGATTGTGGATCTTATATTAATGTTTTTGTGTCGAGGCAGTGCATTAGCACTACAGGTGCTTGTTACATGAGCAAGGGGGGTGTCATCTTTTGAGTGCCATGTCTGCATTAGGAATGCTGCATTTGTCTTCCGAGGCTGCGGTGTGGATCTCGCACTGCGGCCGCCTCACCTTGGCTGGGGAGAACCTCGGTGGGCAGGATTCAGAGGGGCTTTTGGTTTCCCGTTTTCCACACTGAACCCTTCTATCTGGTTTCTGACCCTGATTATTCAGGGCTGCAAACAGGAAGGATTTTATTCACCGTCGATGCGGCCCCGAGTTGTCCCAAAGCGAGGCAGTGCCCCCAAGGTCCGTGCTGAGGAGAACGCTGCTCTGCCTTCGCGGTGTCCCCCGGGTCTGTGCTGAGCAGAACGCAGCTCCGCCCTCCCGGTGCCCCCGGCCCGCCCGGGTCTGTGCCAAGGAGAACACTGCTCCGCCTTCGCTGTATCTCCGAAGTCTGTGCACAGGAGAACTCAGCTCCGCCCTCGCGATGCTCTCCGAGTCTGTGCTGAGCACAACGCAGCTCCGCCCTCGCAAAGGCACAGCGCGGGCGCAGGCGCCCAGAGGCGCACAGGAGACCTCAGGCCCAGACTCCACTCCCCAGCTGTGAAAGGGTAAGAATTGAGGGTGGCTGAGGCTCGGGGTTGTTCAGGGCGGGGTGGGCTCTGGACCCAGCAGGCCCGGCACCCAGGTCAGGGATCCAGGGGAGGCCAGGTGGGGCGAAGGCCAAGAAGGGGCCGGGGCTGGTCAGGAAGGGCTCCTGGTGACCAGAACACTTTGCGTGAGCCAGCGTGGGAGGAAGGTGGGCTGGATGAGCCAGGGAGGCGCCGGGAGGGGCCTTGGCAGAGGCGACCCCCTCCGTCAGCCCCCAGGCCACTGAACCCTGGGTAGCAAGAACCGGCAGGGGAGGCTGCAGACGGAGGAGTGGAGGCTCCTTGGCTTTGGGGGCTCTGAGCAGAAGCATCTAGGGGGTCCCTCAAGAGACCCCCAAATGCTGCCCCATGGTGAGAAAACAGGGAGAGGCCCTGCAGGGACCCCCCGGGGTTACAAAGGGCTGCCACTGTGAGAAGGCAACGCTGCTGGCTGGGGCTGGGCTTTCTACCTCACCAAGCCTCTTCCCACCCAAAGGGCCCAGAGAGGGGCAGCTGCCCCCCCAGCGGGCACAGCACCTCCTCCCTGTGTGATGGGGTGGGGCCCACAGTCTCCTTTCTCGCGGCCTGCCTGGGCTGACCCTGGGTCCCAGCTCGGCCATGGGGCTTCGGCATGTAAAGCCCTTGGGGGGCAGAGCCTCCCGCCCCCGCCAGCTTCTGGCTCTCTGTGTCGCCCCCAGCACTGGACTGGTGCCTTGGAGGGAGGCTCCGCCCTCCTCCACATCAACCCGCTGAGGAGTTCTGTCTTCCCAGGGTTGTGAGGGAAACCAGCTCTGCAGGCCTATGTCCAAGTCTAGGCACCGCCTCCTCCAGGGAGCCTTCCAGACCTGATCTGTGTGGCAGAGGCCCAGAAGGACCTGGGTGTGGGGATCCTAGAGGGAGGCGGGGGACCCAGCGTGAGGAGAGAGGGTCCCAGTGCTTCCTCCTGAGTGAGGGTCACCCATCTGACTCCGGCTGCACAGAGCCACTCCCTCTAAGCGCTCCTGCTCTCTGCCTTCCTGCATTAGCTCTTGCCTGTACCCGGCCCAGCAAACCCCTGCTCATCTTTCAGACCCAAGTTCAAGGCCCCCTCCCACTCCGGGTGGCTCATCACCTGGCCTCCCCAGGCAGAGAGGCTAGGCTCCTGCTCACTGGGGCGTCTCCCTTGCCCACTGGCACGGGACTACAAGGAAAGGGGTTGACCCCCACCCTCCCCCGCCATGCCCAGGAGGGTGCAGACACAACTGGGAAGGTGCTAGAGACCCCGGGGGGAGGCTGGGCCAGCACCAGGCATTGGGGGGCAGGTTCCCGTCTCTACACCCCAGCCCCAGGCGGACAGCGCGTGCCCCTCCCGCTGCCCCACCTGTCACCCACCTGCTGGCCCCGGGCTGTCTCTGCTCCTGGCTCCCCTCCCAGCTGCGTCCCCAGCTGCCTCTCCAGGGAGGAGTGACAGCTGGCCTGTGCCACACCCTCGAGCCCCCCCGGACTACCCCCTCCCTGGGGCAGGACCCCTGCCTGTGGCACAACCAAGGGGCCTGCTGATGGGGGCTCATGTGAGCAGTGCCCCAGCTGTGGGTGTGGGTGCTGCCAGCTGCCACCGCCTTTGCCCTGGTTTCCCAGATAGACCCCGACCCACACTCCGAAGCTGTATCATGAACGCTGTGGTGGGCGGCTGGTGGGGAGCGGGGTTGCCGTCCCACTACCCTCTGGAAGCCTCAGCCATGAAGGGCCCCTGTGGGCACCTTTTCCCGGCACACGGTGCTGTGTTTCTCCACTCTTGGGCTCTGCAGTGACTTGAGGGGTCAAGTCTATGATCCCACGGGAGGCTGGGCTAATGAGGGGACCAGAGACCTCAGTGCTGTGCAGGGAGTCCTGAACCACCCTGGTGGAAGGCCCAGCCCAACTCCCCAGTCCTCCCGCCAGCTCCCTGTGGTGTCCAGGAGACCTGTGGTCAGGCCTGGAGGAGAAGCTCCTCCTCCCCTCGACATCCTCCCTGCAGCCCTTGCTCTTCACCAGAGCCTCCTGACTCCCCAGGACCCCAGAGAGGACTGACCCTCTCCAGCCGACCTCTGGGCTCAGGACAGCTGGGCGGGGCAGCCACAGGAGCTGCCTGTAGGGAGCAGAGTCAGGACGGGGACCGAGCCGGACACCCATTCTGGAAGTGTCTGCACTTCCAGGCAGGGGAAGGACGGCAGTGGGTAGCTGGGAGTGCTGGGCCGAAGATGGGCATTGTCAGGCCCTCAGTGGGGACTGGGAGGTAGAGGTGGGGAGGTCTGTGGAGGAAGGAGAAGAAGGGCCAGTGTCCCGAGTTGGGGGTGGTTGGCAGTGGACGAGGCCGACAGGAACAGACCTGAGCTTGGGGAGCTCCACTCAGAACGAGGCATCCTTCAGGGTTCTGTGCATACTGGTGTCCCTGGCTGGGGGCCGGGCCCCGAAGTGGAGCCTGGGACTGTGAGGGTGGGGGGGGTGTGCTGGGGTGGGAGGTGGATGGAGCCCCCCCCCCACCGCCTGGCCGCTTGGGCTGAACCTTGGACTTCGGAGCCGGAACAGACATAGGAAATGGCCTAACTGCATTTGCGCAGGAACACCAAATCCCTCGCAGCTGCACGGGGCTGAGCCAGGGCCACGGGCGGGGTCGGCCATCCCAGAGTCCTGACAGCTCCGTGGTGTATGCCAAGGGGCCTGGGCCGCTGACCGAGGGGCGCCTTTCCCAGGCCAGAGGCCCCCACCCCACCCCAGGAGAGCTGCCCCCCTTTCAGTTCCCAGAACGGAGCCCGGCTGTGGAATAGTGATGCGGTGAGGTCATGGGGAGGGGGCCCGCATGACTCATATCCTGGGGTAGGGGAAAGGGAGGAGACGGAGAAGGGGCCCAGAGGCCTCCACGTCCTCAGCTCTGCTGGGTCAGAGGCCAGGGGCTGGCGGGGCTTCTCCCCAGCACTGGGTTTTAGGGGAGACACCAGGAGATGCTTACTCTGCATCCCCACTCTGTCCCCCAGGCCCCTAGCCAGGGAGAGCTCAGTCAGAGTGATCCTCCAGGGGCCCAGCTCTGCATGGATGATGTTCCCAGAGTACACACCTGGGCCTCGTGCCAGGGCCGGCACCGCCGTTGTCAGGGCTATGGCAAGGCAAACAGTCAATGTTTGCCTCACTAAAGTGAGGCTGCAGCACCCTGAAGGGATCCCTGGAGGGGGACGTGGTCCCCTTGTTCCCAAGCTTGTCTGCACATGCACGTGGATGTCAAGGGTTCCCGTGTGTGAGCACGTGCATATTTGTATGTGCATGGGGTGCGGGCATGTGTGCCTGTGTGGCCGGAGCGTGGGCTCGTGGAGAATGTGTGTGAGTTGGGTGTGCACCTGCATGTGCCCCAGGCCTAGGGAGTCCCGCGCCCGGCCGCACTCCATGTGTTGGGCATGAGCTGTGAGCAGAGTGAGGGCCTTTATGGGGCTGTTGGGGCCCGGACTCGTTGCCCTTAGGGGTGGACCTAAGGAAACGTGTGCACACGGGCTTCTGGGGTCTCTGTGCCAATGTGTGCTTCCAAGCCACGCCTCCCCTATGGCTTGGTGGAGGGGGTCTGTGGAGCTGGAGTGAGGGCCCTGGACCCATTGGAAGCCCAGGTCCAAGGAGGAGCTTGGGCTCCATCTCATGCCCCAGGCCCAAGGACACACACCCCAGCTGAGACCTTGCTCACATGGAGGGGCTGGGACATGGGAACATGGGGAGCAACATGGCCAGGCTTCTCCTCCATGGAAACCCTCCACCTCCTCAATACTCTGCCCCAGCTCTGCGCCGCCCTCCATTTGGAGGGGCTGGGTCGTGAGTGGGGGCGTGAGTGAGCATGAGGGCCCCTGCACCCCAGGCTCTGCCTCCCCACGTGGAACGAGGCCCAGCAGCCCCCAGCCAGGTGGCTACTACTGCATTCAATCAGTGCCCCTCCATCTAACAAATACTCCCTCATATAATCAGTACTCCTCCATCCAATCAATATTCCTTCATCAACACCTTTCTATACAACCAATAGTCCTCCATCTAATCAATGCTCCTCCATCCAACCAATACTCTGCAATTTAACCACTGTCCCTCCATCCATTCAATGTCCCTCCATCCATCCCATGGTCCCCCAGCCCTACCCCATGAGCAGCATGGAGGCAGACCCACATCTGTCTTGTGCGCCATCATCTCCCTGATGCTCTTCAGGAAAGGGAGGTGTCTCACAATTGCATTGAATGGAGGAAGGCACATCTTTCCAGTGATCCCCACTCTAGGGCTGCATTGGGAAATCGCTCCCAGGGAAAACACAAACACAAAGCAGAGGGTTGCCCAGTGTGACCCTCTGATGTGACCACGGTGGCTGTCCACTAAGGTAATCCTGATGCTTTTCCTCCTCTGCAGACTGCTGGCCAGACCCCCAAGCTAGCCCGCCAGGCCTCCATAGAGCTGCCCAGCATGGCTGCATCCAGTACCAAGAGTTGGTGGGAGACGGGTGAGGTATAGGCTCAGTCTGCGGCCAAGACTCCGTCCTGCAAGGTAAGGTCCCCTCCAGGGGCAAGGCTGGGCTGCAGAGCCAGCACTGGGGAGTTTAGTAGCAGGCCAGGTTTCCTTGTTAAGACAAGCGTGGGACTGTCCAGGATGAATGTGGGCAGACAGAACCCTGAGGTATTGCAGTAGGGTTGGGTTCACCCTTGCTGGTGTAGAAGGCTGTGTTGTCCGAGTGGAGGTGGATGGCACCTTTATTCCTTTCCCTGCTTCTTCCACTGGGATCGCACAGAAAAAGTTTTGGTAGGCAGATCCCAGGCCCCCTGGCCAGGTAAGGCAAGGCAGGAGAGAAGGGCCCAGGGCTTCTACTCCCCAAGATCCAGGGGTCTGCCCTTGTGACATACCCTTCTGCTGCCCCCAGGATATTGTGGCTGGAGACATGAGCAAGAAAAGCCTCTGGGAGCAGAAGGGAGGCTCCAAGACCTCATCAACAATTAAGGTAGAGCCTAAATGTGGTTGGTGCAGGCAGGAAATATTAACTTATTTCATTGTCACACGAAACCAGAAGACATAAAACAGTTAAAATAGGCCAGGCACAGTGGCTCACACCTGTAATCCCAGCACTTTGGGAGGCCGAGGTGGGTGGATCACGAGGTCAGGAGGAGACCATCCTGGCCAACGTGGTGAAACTTGGTCTATACTAAAAATACAAAAAAAAAAAAAAAAAAAAATTAGCCGAGCGCAGGGGCACATGCCTGTAATTCCAGCTACTTGGGAGGCTGAGGCAGGAGAATCACTTGAACCAGCAAGTTGGAGGTTGCAGTGAGCCGAGCTCGCACCCTGCACTCCAGCCTGGCGACAGAGGGAGACTCAGTCTCAAAAAACAAACACACAAGCAAATAAAAAAAACAAAACAACTTGACACACTTAGAAAATGAAGGTTTGTGCTATTGGTTTTCTTTTATTTTAGAAAAACAAAGCATTGTTTAAATATTTCTTACAAGTACAAATATAATTTAAATTTAATAAATGTTCAAAAATATCTGTAATTAAGTTTCATTCAGCAGACATATGTCTAATAGAGAACTTGCTAAGTAAGATATAAAGGATGATTACATGAAAAAATCACAAAATTGTCAGTAAGAGTCTTAAAAGTCAGTGATAGGACAGTAGTTAAAAGATATCAAATAGTTATTTATTCTTAAACATTAAACAGGATATTAATAGTTTTAATAATCTTGAAGTTTGACAACACTGTGAAAACATTACAGACCACTTTTATTTATGAAAATACGTGCAAATAGCAAACACCAGTTGGGCTTAAGGCTGCTACTTACTTACCCAGTAAGTGACAAAGCTGGAATTCAAACCAGGTTTGAGCTATACCACTACTACCCTTGAAAAGGTTTCATTACACTCAGCTTTCCTTAATTTCTTAAACTCTTTTTTTTTTTTTTGATTGAGACAGAATCTTGCTCTATTGCCCAGGCGGGAGTGCAGTGACATGATATTGGCTCACTGCAACCTCTGCCTCCCAGATTCAAGCAATTCTCATGCCTCAGCCTCCCAAGAAGCTGTGATTACCCGTGTGCATCACCACACCTGGCTAATTTTTGTGCTTTTAGCAGAGGTGGTGTTTTGCCATGTCAGCGAGGCTGATCTTGAACTCCTGACCTCAGGTGATCCGATCCGCCCGCCTCGGCCTCCCAAAATGCTGATATTACTGGTGTGAGCCACCACTCCTGGCCAATTTCTTAAACTTTTGATTATACTAAATATGGTCCTTCTGCGTGATAACACTGTTTTTCCTTTTATAAAATTAATCTCTTAAAATACTTTAAAATTCAAAGTACACTTTTTAGATTCTTTAAAATACTCTTTGCCATGTTCATGGCCTTTAGATGTGTGATCATAGCCTATTTGCTTTTCATTGACTTAGTTTCATATTTCTTTGCCTTTTTCCCCCTACTTTTCCTTATAGAACTATTTACTAGTAATGAAATCATTTTAAAGAATACACTTTTTATTCCACCTGCTAACTGTTAAGAGAATGTTTTATAATCACTCTGGTCATGGCCTGTAAGTTTCTTTTCTAAACTATCTTTTCAGGATACATATTTACTAACTTGCTTTCAAATGAATATGGTCATGTCTATGCAGCAAGTTTCTTTTCTTTCTTCTTTTCTTCTTCTCTTTTTTCTTTTTCTTTTCTTTCTTTTTTAAGGCAAGATTTCGCTCTGTAGCCCAGGTTGAAGTGCAGTTGTAGAAACATGACTCACTGTAGCCTCAACCTCTCTGGCTCAAGTGATCTGCCCACTTCAGCCTCCCAGCCAAGTAGCTGGGACTGCAGGTGTGCACCACCCTGCTCCACTAAGTTATTTAGTTTTTTGTAGACATGGATTCTCAGTGTGTTGCCCAGGCTAGTCTTGAACTCCTGGGCTCAAGCCATCTTCCTGCCTTGACCTCCCAAAGTGATAAGATTACAGGCTTGAGACATTATGCCCAACCTCTTTTTCTTTTTCTTTCTTTCTTTCTTTTTTTTTTTTTTTTTGAGACAGTCTTGCTCTTGTTGCCCAGGCTGGAGTGCAGTGGCATGATCTTGGCTCACCGCAACCTCCACTTCCCGGGTTCATGCGATTCTCCTGCCTCAGCCTCCCGAGTAGCTGGGATTACAGGCATGCACCACCACACCCAGCTGATTTTGTATTTTTTAGTAGAGACAGGGTTTCTCCATGTTGGTCAGCCTGGTCTTGAACTCCCGACCTCAGGTGATCTGCCCGCCTTGGCCTCCCAAAGTGCTGGGATTACAGGTGTGAGCCACCATTCCTGGCCCTCTTTTTCTTTTTAACTGAGCTTATTTATCTCTTCCCCAGCTTGAGTCTGGGTCCTACTGTCTTGGTCAGAGTATTTTACTATATTGACCTGGACAATTCTGCCATCATGAACCATATTCCAAACCTAAATATGTAAGAACATAGAAAGATTATTTTAGCAGGAGAATTTTAACACACACACACACTTTATTCTGAAAATTTAGCAACAAAATGAAAGGTGAGTTGTGGTAGTTGATGTATCAACAAATAGAAAGAAGAAAGCCTGTAATCTGTTTCAGAATGCTATTTCTGGGGCTGGTAACATCAAAAATAATCAAATTAAGTGTTAACTTGCTGACTCGTAAGATTTTCTCTAATTTAGAAGTTGGAGAACATATATACTCCTATTACCACTTTCCATCTTTCTCAAATATAGTTTTTATAGTTTTCTGTTGGCTTCATCATCGTATTGAAAGATTATTAATCACTTACATATATGTAGTTTTCTGTTAAGTCCTGTTCAATATATTACAAAATTTTGATCTGTGTATGTAATATCAATTAATAAGATGGTGTTAGTTAAATCAGATTACGTGTTCATTCATTAAGTCATTGTTAATACTTCACAGAATATAAATCGTGTTCCATGAGCATGAATTTCTCTCTGAATTCCACATAATTGTCTTAAAATTATGCACCATTTATTGTTAAGAGTGAAAGATTATGTGTCATTTATTGTAGTGGTAGAAGAAAATAAAACCAAAACAGAATCCAATCCAAAAGCTTAGGTTTTTGTTGCTACTACAGTAATTACATCTTCATATACGAAGGACAGCACATTATTACTGTCCAAGAATGGTGCCTCGGACAACTGGTTGCTTACACTGTTTTCAGAGATGAAATAGGAACATAAGCAGGAAGATTTTTGTCTAAATATGAAGCAAGAAAGGCTTAAATGTCTTTATTCAGGGGATTAGGCATCATAAGTTTTTTTTTTTTTGGAGAAATTGTTTTCATGATATTTCCTATCTCCTTTTGTCACTTTGCTTTTGTCGGTAAATTTTACAACTAAATAAGGATTACCAGGCATAAAAAGCAGCAGACAATCATGATGCAAACTGAAAATAATCAATCAAAACTGACCCAGAACTTAAATAGATGTTAAAATTAGCAGAGGAGGACATTAAAACTGTTTTTATACATGTATCTCATATAATCAAAACATTAAATAGAGACATGGGAGATAAACAAGAAAAGCCAAAATCAAACTTTCAAAGACAAAAACATTTGAGATGAAAATTACATTGGATGAACTAAGGCAGATTAGAAACTGCAGAAGAAAAGATTAGCAAACTTGAAGATACAAGAACAGACACTAGCTAAAGTACAAAAAGAAAAAAAAATGTTAAAAAGTGATTTTTAAAAAGCATCAGTGAGCAGTCAGGCAACTTCAAATGGCCTAATAATATGCAGGTAACTGGAGTCCCCAAAGGAGAAAAAAAAGAAAGAGAAAAAAAATACTTGAAGAAACAACTGCTGAAAATGTTCTAGCCATAACAAGACCTATTAACTCACGGATCCAAGAAACTCAGCAAACCCCAAGCACAAGAAACATGAAGAAAATTACACTAAGGGATAACATAATCAAATTGTTCAAAATCAAGGAAACATTATTAATAGCAGGTGTATAAAAAGACATGTTACCTATAGAAGAACAAAGATAAGAACAACATCAGATTTCTTTTGAGAAACAATGCAAGTGAGAAGACAGCGGTACATCTCTAAAGTTCTAGAAGAAAAAAGGCCAACTAGAATTCTATGCCTAGCAAAAATATCTTTCAAAAATGAAGGTGAAATAAAGACACACCAGAAACATAAATAATGAAATAATTCATCACCAGGAGACCTTCACTGCAAGAAATGTTAAAGGATATTCTTCAGAAACAAAATGATGTCAGATGAAAATCTGGATCAATACGAAGGAATAAAGAGCACCAAAGTGGTAACTATATGAGCAAACATCTTTTAAATTTTTTATTATTTAAATCTCTAAGAGATACATGTTTAATAAAAAAACAGCAAAATGTTACAGAGTTTATAACATATGTAAAAGTCAAATGCATGGCAGCAATAGCACAAAGTGCAGGAGGGAGGAAAAGAAAGTAAATGAAGGAATGCTTTTATTATAGATGAAGTGTACAATATTACTTGACCTCTCTAAATGTGCACTATAATCTTAAAGGAACCACAAAAATAATTTTTAAAAATAGGTAAAAGTAATAAAAAGAGGCAAACTGGAATCATAATAAATAATGTAAGCTGGGCACGGTGGCTCACGCCTGTAATCCCAGCACTTTGGGAGGCCAAGGTAAGCGGATCACAAAGTCAGGAGATCGAGACCATCTTGGCCAACATGGTGAAACCCCGTCTCTACTAAAAATACAAAAATTAGCTGGGTGTGGTGGTGCACACCTGTAATCCCAGCTACTCAGGAGACTGAGGCAGGAGAATCGCTTGAACCCAGGAGGCGGAGACTCTAGTGAACCAAGATAGCGCCACTGCACTCCAGCCTGGCAACAGAGCGAGACTCTCTCTCTCAAAAAAAATAAATAAATAAATAAAGTAAAAGCATGCAAGAAGACCAGGTGCAATGGCTCACACCTGTAATCCCAGCACTCTGGGTGGCCAAGGCAGGAGACTCACTTGAGCTCAGGAGTATGAGACCAGCCTGGACAACATAGTGAGACCCCATATATAAAAAAATAAAGTAGCCGGGTATGATGGTGCACAACTGTGGTCTCCACTATTGGGAGGCTGAGGTAGATCACTTGAGCCTAGCAGGTCAAGGCTGCAGTAAGGTATGATCACACCACTGCACTCTAGCTTGGGTGACAGAGCAAGACCCCATCTTGGCAGGTGGGGGATGCAAGAAAAATGCAAGGAACAGATAGAGATAAATAGAAAACATAAGAAGACAATCATATTAAATGTACATGGTCTAAATACCCCCAATTAAAAAGCAGAGGTTTTAGACCATATACATTTAATGTGATTGTCTTCTTATATGTTTTTATCAGAGAAATAAAACTATCACCTTCAAGAAACACAAGTTAAATACAAAGATGCAAACAGGTTAAAATAAAAGAATGGAATAATATATACCATGCTTACGCTAGTCAAGAGAAAGCTAGAATAGAAATACTAATATCAGGCAAAGCATATTTCAGAGTTAAACACAACATTTTTCCACTATTTGCAGTCAAAAGTATCGTTAACACTCTCTTTACTCTGCTCAAAGTTACAGAGTTCTTTTGTATAAACATTAGAACACTTATCACAGCCTGCCTATAATGGAGAATAATTCCATGTTGTATACTATACAACACTCTTACTAAAGTCCATTAGACAGAAATATGTAGCATTTGAGACATCTTCCAATTATAAAACTCTATGCAAACAAAAATTAACAAAGCAGATCTGAGACTATTATATTATCCTGTGAAGGAGGGTCTGTCTGTCTGCACAGTTGGTCCTAGGCTGGCTTCTGAGGACTTGAATTTCAAGAGGGTTCCATAACTGGTAATCATGGTTTACTGTATCTAGACTATGGAAATAATGTGGCTTATCCTGCTATTCTTTTTGTGAGTCTGGAAATTTCACACATGCTAGGCAGAGTACACATATGTGACCCAGCCGAGATAAAACCTGTGTTTCTTGGGAAGTCACATAGGTTGTTGTATTTTCATTAAGGGGGAAAGAAGGTAGTCTGTGTGATCCTCATGGAAGGCACAGCACATAAGGAAGCCGGTACATGGATTTTTCCAGACTCTGTCAGTGTCTTTTGCCATTGAGATCTTTCTACTATATATCCATACTATGTTACAGTAATAAATCTTAGCCATTACAACCCTAAGCTGATCCCATGAGTCCTTCTAGCAAATCTCCAAACATGGAGGCAGTCTTGTGGATCCCTGACACAAATATAGTGTTGTGATCTCTTAAGGTTTATCCTTCCTCTTAAACTATAAAGAGCTGGCTGGGCACAGTGGCTCACGCTTGTAATGCCAGCACTTTGGGAGGCCGAGGCGGGTGGATCACGAGGTCAAAAGATTGAGACCAGCCTAGCCAACATGGCGAAACCCCGTCTCTACTAAAACTACAAAAATTAGCAGGGCGTGGTGGCACACATCTGTAGTCCCAGCTACTCGGGAGGCTGAGGCAGGAGAGTCGCTTGAACCAGGGAGGCAGAGGTTGCAGTAAGCCGAGATCGCACCACTGCACTCCAGCCTGGTGACAGAGGGAAACTTCATCTCAAAAAAAAGAAAGAAACTATAAAGGGCTGGGTGCAGTGGCTCACGCCTATAATACTAGCACCTTGGCAGGCCCAGGTGGGAGAATTGCTTGGGCCCAGGAATTGAGACCAACCTGGACAACAGAGCAAGACCCTGTCTCTTAAAAAAAAAAAAAAAGAAAAGTTGGCCGGGTGTGATGGATCACACCTGTAGTCCCAACACTTTGGGAGGCCGAGGTGGGCAAATCACAAGGTCAAGAGTTCGAGACCAGCCAGGCCAACATGGTGAAACCCCATCTCTATCAAAAAAAATACAAAAAATTCACTGGGCATGGTGGTGGGCACCTGTAATCCCAGCTACTTGGAAGGTTGAGGCAGGAGAATCACTTGAACCTGGGAGGCAGAGGTTGCAGTGAGCTGAGATCACGCCACTGCATTCCAGCCCGGTGATAGTGTGAGACTCCATCTCAAAAAAATAAAAAAGAAAAGAAAAGAAAAGTTAGCCAGGTATGGTGGCATGCATTTGTGATCCCAGCTACTCTAGAGGCTGAGACAGGAGGACTGCTTGAGCCTAAGAAGTCAAGGTTGCAGTAAGCCATGATCATGCTACTGCATTCCAGCTTAAACAACTGAGATGCTATCTCTTAAAAACAGAAGTAGAAGCAAACAACTATAGGGGAAAATGAGGGATACATACTTTAAGAATTTTTAAAAATTTACATGGAAAAACACCAGGATTCTATAGAAAATAAAACAGTATTAAATAACATTATTTATAAAATAGATACTAGCAAATTACCTTACGTAAAGATTCAAGTCAGTAACTTAAAGGATCTTACATAAAAGTACTTTCCGTTGGTTGGAGGAGAGATTTTTACTATACACTGTTTTTCAATTTTTTTAGACAAATTACATTTAAAAGTTTAAATTTGCTTATCTACATTCTTAATGTGAATTGCCACCTTACTATAGGAAGGCTATTTTTGTTCCTGCAGTCTACAAAAAGAACAAAAATATTAAAAACGTACAACTCTTCTCACAGAACTAAGTTGGTTTTATACAAAGACATCTGGCACAAAATACAATGATATTTCAATATAGAATTACAGCAGGGGATGAGGGTGGAGAAGGAAGAGATTACCAGTTCTAAGAGGGGAGACAACAGAAGTATTTTTTTAATGTCTTATTTTAAGAGTAAAACACCTGCTTTTTTTTGAGATGGAGTTTTAGGCGGGAGTGCAGTGGAACGATCTCGGCTCACTGCAATCTCTGCCTCCAGGATTCAAGTGATTCTCCTGCCTCAGCCTCTTGAGTAGCTGGGATTACAGGCACACGTCACCACGCCAAGCTAATTTTTGTATTTTTAGTAGAGAGGGGGTTTCACCACATTGGCCAGGCTGGTTTCAAACTCCTGACCTCAGCCTCAGCCTCCCAAAGTGCTAGGATTACAGGCATGAGCCACCATGCCCAGCCAACACTGAACATTTTGTTCAGAACTAGTTAAGAAAACAGAAATATACATTGGGGGTTTATGGATTACTTATTTTTGGGGTGCAATACTGGGAATAGAAGAGAAAGGAGCTTCCTTTCCCTCTCCTTTCATTCATTCATTCATTTTGAGAAGAAGTCCTGCTCTGTTGCCCAGGATGGAGTGCAGTGGCGAAAACTCAGCTCACTGCAACCTCCACCTCCTGGGTTCAAGCAATTCTCCTGCCTCAGCCTCCCAAGTAGCTGAGATTACAGGCACGCACCACCACACACAGTTAATTTTTATACTTTTTTAGTAGAGACAGGGTTTTGCCATTTTGGCTAGGCTGGTCTCCAACTCCTGACCTCAGGTGATCCACCTGCCTCAGCCTCCCAAAGTGCTGGGATTACAGGCATGAGCCACCGCACCTGGCCAAGAAAGGAGCTTTAGATAAATAAAATGATTAAACATTTGTAGCATGTAGAATGAAACTATTCCCTTAGTAATACTCAAATTATCCAGATTTCCAAGATGTTGGTAGCACCCCGAGAGCTTCAAAAGGGAAATTAAAAGAAAAACGACGTTACCCTTCCTGAAACACAGATTCACTGTTTGCCATATTCTTTTCTCTAGTAAAAGATGAATAGTTTCCCCTGGAAAAACTAAAAACAATCTGAGGTATATTTCAGAGAAAACAAAATTGCTTGATAAAAATGCCATGTTAACAACTGAGGAAATTGTTTTACATATATTAATTTTAACACAGGAATAATATGTCAAACCAGGATTTCTCAACCTCAGCACTATCGACATTTTAAGCTGTATAGTTTTTGGTGTGGGAGGCTGTCCTGTATATTGTAGAATGTTTAGTGGCAGCCCTGGCCTCTACCCAAGAGGCCAGTAGGACCTACCTCCTCATTCAAGCTAATGCACTAAATTTTTCCCTTCATTGACAAATCCCATTAATGCGTGTATTTATCCCATTAGTTACTCTCTTGTGTTCCAGGTACTTTGTTAGGCACCAGAGAAAATATGATAAAGCAAAACAGCTATTTTCCTCACTCTCATGGTGCTTACAGCCATGGTGGGAAAAATCCATAGGAAAAGACTCACATACACAAATGCAGGCAGAATAAAAAAACTCACACAAACAAACGTTGCAGATGTTGTTAAGTTACATAAAGGAGATATGCATGGCTGTGCATGGTGGCTCGTGCCTGTAATCTTAGCACTTGGGGAGGCCAAGGCAGGTGGATCACTTGAGGCCAGGAGCTCAAGACCAGCCTGGCCAACATGGCGAAACCCTGTCTCTACTAAAAATACAAAAATTAGCCAGGCATGGTGGTCCATGCCTATGATCTCAGCTACTTGGGAGACTGAGGTGGGAGGATCACTTGGGCCCAGGAGGCAGAGGGTACAGTGAACTGAGATTGCACCACTGCAATCTCAGCCTAGGAGACAGAGAGAGACGTCTCCTGTTCTCCTGGAGAACAACAAGTCATGATGTCAGACAAGAACTTGGATTTTGGAGACACGGGTTTGAATTTCAGTCATTCATTCTTTTATTCAGTAAATATTTAGCAAGTACTGACATGTCCCAGATGTTGTTTTACTCACTGGTTATACAATGGGAGGGAGACAGAGAAAGAGAGAGAGAGAGAGAGAGAGAGAGAGAGAGAGAGAGACGCTATTCTAAAAGCTTGAAGTCTAGGCTGTGCAGAGTGGCTCATGCCTATAATCGCAGCACTCTGGGAGGCTGAGGCGGGTGGATCATGAGGTCAGGAGATTGAGATCATCCCGGCTAACACAGTGAAACTCCCTCTCTACAAAAATACAAAAAATTAGCTGAGCATGGTGGCAGGCGCCTATAGTCCCAGCTACTTTGGAGGCTGAGGCAGGAGAATGGCGTGAACCCAGGAAGCGGAGCTTGCAGTGAGCCAAGATCACACCACCGCACTCCAGGCTGGGCGACAGAGCCAGACTCCATCTCAAAAAAAAAAAAAAAATGCGTAAAGTCTAGATAGACTTTAACCCAGGAATAATCCAAGGAAATGAACAATTACGAATGTGACAAGGGCTGTGAAGGGAAAGTTCACAGCCTTATCGAAGTGTACAGTAGTTGGGGAGGTTGGCCAAGGCAAGATGTTTAGGAAAGGCTTTCCTGGGGAAATTTCTCTTTGGGTTGAATCACAGTTAAGTAGGCAAAGGGGAAGACAGAGGGAAGGGAAGTATGGCAGGCAGGAAGAATAGGCACTTAATAGCTTTGGGATATTGGGCAGGTCGCTTGATCTTTCTGAGCTTCAGTTTTCTCATCTGGGAAATGAGTTAATAATAGTCGTTTAGAAAGTGTGATGAGACCAGCCAGGTGTGATGGCTCAGGCCTGTAATCCCAGCACTTTGGGAGGCCGAGGCAGGTAGATCATGAAGTCAGGAGATTGAGACCATCCTCGCCAACATGGTGAAACTCTGTCTCTACTAAAAATACAAAAATTACCCAGGCATGGTGGCGTGTGGGAGGCAGAGGTTGCAGTGAGCCAAGATGGCACCACTGCACTCCAGCCTGGGTGACAGAGCGAGACTCCACCTCAGAAAAAAAAAAAAAGGAAGAAACTGTGATGAGATCAAAACAGTTAATGCATGAGTGTTCTGAACCTCGTTTCTCCCTCTGCTGTATCTATGCAGTTTCTTGACCTGGGCTGTGCTCCAAAGAGGATTCTAGCTTGGCTTTTGTGATAGAGGATGGATACATTATTAGACCTGAAAAGCCAGAGCAGGGAGGAATGGTCCCAAAAGGAAGAAACTGTGCTTGTCTTCACAATAAAGAGCAGAGAAGTGGGAGAGGTATTGAAAGCTGTGGGTGGAGTTTTGCAGGTAAGATTGTGTGAAAGAGGTGAGGGAACTACAATCTAGGGGAATGTGGATAGGAGAGTAAAAGGGAATTCTAGAGAACAATCCCTACTGACTTCACACAACTTAAGAAATGCAAGTAAAGGGCCGGGCGCGGTGGCCCACACCTGTAATCCCAGTACTTTGGGAGGCAGAGGCAGGTGGATCACTTGAAGTCAGGAGTTCAAGAAGAGCCTGGCCAACATGGTGAAACCGCATCTGGGTTAGCCAGGCATGGTGGCATGTGTCTGTAATCCCAGCTACAGAAAGATAGAGAGGTGGCTGAGGCAGGAGAATTACTCAAACCCAGGAGTTGGAGGTTGCAGTGAGCCGAGATCACACCACTGCACTCCAGTCTGCTGGACAACAGAACAAGACTCAGGGGGTGGGGTGGGGGAAGGAAAGAAGGAAGGAAGGAAGGAAGAAAGGAAGGAAGGAAAATAGAAATAGAAATGCAAGTAAAGAATTTCAGTTTGAAAATTGCCTTTTGTCTACTGAACATGAGACTGCTTGGAAACTGGGCAACGTGGATTTTTATAAGTTGTACAAAGCACTTAGCAATTTTCAAACCTCTCCATCCTGCAGAGCCAGCTCAATCACTTCTCCAGAAAGACTTACTGAGTCCTCTGCACTGAACAGGTGTCCTGTGCTCCAGGAGAGCCCTGGGCTGGCTCCTAGTGTAGCCATTATGACCCTGGAATGCACCATCTTTCACATCACTGCCTGGCCTTCTAGAATCTCAGCTTCTTAAATCAAGAAATTGTGTCTTGTTCATGTCTGAATTCCCCAAGTGAACACAGTGAGTGGGTGCTTGACAAATCTTTGTTGGTAATGAGCAAAAAAGGGGATTCTGTGCCCAATACCATGAAATCAATGCACAGAAGATTCAATCAATCAAGAAAGGTGCACAGACGCTGGCCACACACACTGACATTTGTTTTCAGATGTTCCAGTCCCCCTGACTTCCACCAACCCATTCATTCATTCCACAAGCATTTTTGCTGGGGTGGAAGCAGGGCCATACAGGGTGTGTAAGTAACAGATAGGGTGGGTTTGTATAATGAGTATAAAAAACTTCTAGCAGAAGATGACAAAGTATATCAAGAAAGGGCTCTCTTCGAAATCACACCACTGCACTCCAGCCTGGGTAACAGAGGGAGATTCCATCTAAAAAAAAAAAAAAAAAAAAAAAAAAAAAAAACAGGGATGGGGGCAAGGGAGCTCTTTTTTTCCAGTTAGCACAAGATTGCCATTTCAGCTAGGGATTCTGCTGCAACTATCTCCCAGACCCTATTCTAGGGCCCGGGGATAGAAACAGAATCAAAAACATATTCCTTGTCTTTTTTGGGCTTATATTATTGAGGAGAGAGAAATAAACAATTTCAAAATAAACAATGTCATACAGTGCTAAGTGCTATAAATAAAATCAAACAGAATAACGAAAGAGAAAGTAGCTAGACTGGAGGGAAAAGCTGCTTCAGAATGAGTTGTCAAGGAAGCCTCTTTGCAATCAGAAAGGTGAGAAGGATTTAGTCAGGCAAATATCAGGAGTAAATTATTCTTGGAGGAAAGTAAGCCCATGCAAAGGCCCTGGGGCAGAGTGGGCTTATTTGATAAAGAGGTAAAAGGGTCAGGATATCTGTAGCAATAGTGGCCAAGGGAGGGAGAGGTATGAGACAGAGGAGGTGAGCCCTGTTGCCATGGTGAGGGCATGAGGATTTATTCTAAGTTCCAGATACCTGGAGTTAAAGTCCCCTGAACTGGACAACAACTACAAGCCTTCATATCTCAATGCTACCATCTTTAAGCCCCTGTTATAAGAGCTCAGAGGCTTCAGAGATGACAGGAAACACCAGAACGCTATGGTGGAGCATATCTAGGTGCCTTCTCCCAACTCAGATCCTTTGACTATAGAAAGACACAGATTTCAAGGCTGAGATCCACAAAACTCTAGCAAATACTGCACAGACACTGACCAATGACAGCAGGTGCTGCCTGTCACCCTGGAGCACCAGGCAGGGTTCCAAAGCACCCTTGCTGTGCCAGCCTCTGATTGCTGGTTATAGGGAGGTCTGGGGTAGTCCCAAAAGCTGGGATGTCTAAGGCAGCTGGGGTCAGTCAGGAGGCTCAGGGCAGTGGCAGGAAAATATTTTCCTCCCTGGTAGAGCCACAGCGGGGTATCCAGGCTGAATATTATTGGCGAGAAGGACCATGGCACCGCACCAAGACCTGCAGGACAAACTTTGTTGGAGCTGAATCCAGAAAAACAATCTTCTTCTAAACCACTCTCCTGCCCCTCATTTAATTATTGTGCTTTTGGGTGCACTTGGACTACTCTGAAACATTCAGAACTCTGTCAAAAAAAAAAAAAAGACCTCTCTCCTCAGCACCTCTCCCACTTGGGCATCAGTCTTGGCTTCCTCTCTACTTGCTTTCACTTGCTCCTTGTGGCAGAGATTGCCCTCAGCAGATCCCTTCCCTTAGGTTCCTTGCTGTCAAGTGGAGGCTAGGGAGCGAGATTATGGCCAATAGAATGTGGGCGGAACCACAGATCTGAGCCTGAGGAACATCCCACAGGACCCTGAGCTCTTCCTCCAGCTGCTGCAGTGGCCTTGGAAGCCATGTCTGTTCTAGAAGTGTAGCTACAGATGGAGAAGGCCCATGTGCTAGCTAGTCTCCAAAGATGGCGTATCAGGCCATTCTTGCGTTGCTATAAAGAAATATCTGAGATAAGTTAATTTATAAAGAAAAGAGTTTGTATTGGCTCATTGTTCTGCGGGCTTCACAAGAAGCATGGTGCTGGCATCTGCTTGGCTTCTAAGGAGGCCTAGGAAGTTTACAATCATGAGCAGGCACATCATGTGGCCAAAGCAGGAACAAGGAAGAGAGAGTCGGTGGGTGTGGGGAGGGACATGCCACACACTTTTAAATAACCAGATCTCACAAGAACTCACTATCTCAAAGACAGCAGCAAGCCATGAGGGATCTACCCCCATGGTCAAAACAACTCCCACCATGCCCCAACTCCAGCACTGGAGACTGCAATTTAACTTGAAATCTGGGTGGAGATAAATATCCAAATTATATCAGAGGGCCTTCCCTCGAACCAAACCTCCTGGTTTCCAGGTCCCCTTTCTTGCTGCTTCTGGGCTGGCCTCCTGGGAAGCCAAGACTGCAGTGGCTCTGATGCTGCATGGGGGCTGAGGCTCAGCCATGAGGAGGCTCGCAGCTGCCACTTTGGTCTTTTGGAAACTTTGCTCATGAGAGTCTCCCCGTTGGGCCGCAGCCACCATGCTGAGAAATGAGGGTCATGTGGAGAGGCCACATGGAGGTTTTCTGGTCTAGAGCACAACTGAGCTCCCAGAAAGCAGCCAGCATCAATGGCTGGGCATGTAAGCCAGCTGGCATGGACATTCCAGACCAGTCTGTCCTTTTGTCACCTTAGCTACAGGGAAGGCCCATGACCCCAGAAGTGCCCATCATTATGCTGAATTCCCGAGCCTCAGTGGTCCACTGAGGTGTGGAAGCATGTCTCACAAGGGTCAGATGGAGTTCTGGCCTGGATTGATGTGTAGAAGCTGGAGAGAGAAGCTGGGTTTCTTTCAGCTGGGGTGGCTCTGCTGGGATGTGGTGGGCCTTTTGGGTTTCCAGGTGGTCATTTTCCTTATTTGCAGTAGAAGGAACGAGACCCATATAGAGAATAGAGCAAATTAAAAGGAGAGAAAGAGAAAAAAGTAAGGAGAGAGGGAGAAAGAGAAAAAGAAGGAAAAGAAGAACGGAGGGAAGGAGGAGAGGAAAGAAAAAGAGAAGGAAAATGAGAAGGAGGAGAGGAAGAGGAGAGAGAGAGAGAAAATAACTTACTTGAACCTTCAAATTCAGGCATACCATGGTCTTTGCAGTTATAAAAATCAATAAGTCACCCTTCAGCTGAAACATGTCTAAGTGGAGTTTCAGTTGTTACAACTGACAGAGCCCTGCCTAGCACAAGGAATAAACAATGTTCAGCAGTGGCATGAGAACAAGGGACAGCCTGTTTGGTGGGCAGCATGGCAAATGACTGTCTGGAAAATATGATGCTTGGGCTGGAGGGCAAAGTGGAATTCACCAGCATGCAGGGTGGAAGTACGACCCTAGCAGACGGAACAGCACTGGCAAAGGCTCAGAGGCAAGAAGCTTTACATGTGAAAGGATACATTTTTAGAACACTAAACATTCTCCCTGTTATCCAAAACACTGAGTTTCTCTTCATTTTTTGGCCAGGTGTGGTGGCTCACGCCTTTAATCCCAGCACTTTCAGGGCTGAGGTGGGTAGATCACCTGAGGTCAGGAGCTCAAACCAGCCTGACCAACATGGCAAAACCCCATCTCTACTAAAAATACAAAAATTAGCTGGGTGAGGTGGCAGACACCTGTAATCCCAGCTACTCGGGAGGCTGAGGGAGAAGAATAACTTGAACCAGGAGTCAGAGGTTACAGTGAGCTGAGATCGTGCCACTGCACTCCAGCCTGGGAGATGAGACAGAGCAAGACTATCTAAAAAAAAAAAAAGACTGAGTTTCTCATCATTTTTTGAAATTGAGAGTTTTCTCTGTATCGATAAGACCTTATAATGCAAAATATAATATAATATGCAGCTAGGTCTCCACAGCCTTCAGTCTTTCCCAGGGAGGGTTCCATGAGCTGCTTGTCTGGTGGGGATGGTGGTTTTGAGCAAGTAGTTGGTGTCCTGTCTTACCCAGGCTCTTTCCCACAAAGAGTTGGGAAGAATTAAAAACTACTGGAAACCAAGATCTCTCCCTGATGTTGACTTTCAGAGCTCAGCCTCATCAGCACAGGCTCTAATCAGCTAAGCAGCTGCCTCGTTTCATCCAGCCAGAGCCCTGATCTCAGGGGTTGATAGTGAGGAAATGATCCTTTCACATGCCTGGCTCCTGCAAAATTGTGCTAAGAGGATTTTCCTCAAACAGTTTAGCACAGAGCGAGGTTTCCTGATCCAGTTAGCAAATATTCTTCTGTTTGAACTCACTGACCCTCCTTTTTCTGAAGATGTATTTTAAATTGGATTTGCTTCACTGACACAAATGGAAAACTTGATAAGAAAATCGGTGGGATTTTGCTGCACCCACTGCTGATATCAAGACTGAACTCTGTATTATAGCAAGAAAAGCTCTGTTCTGTGGCTACAGGATACATGCTGAGCTCCCAGCCACCAGCCCTGCCAATGTGCTCAGCTTGGCACAGGGCAGGGAGCAGGGTACAGGGGAGGGGATGGGGAGGGGCAGGTGGAAAGGCTCAGGTGATGAGCCAGCCACATCACCTCAAGCACAGGACCCCTGATGGTGGCCCTAGATCCTCCTCTTGAAATCCAAAGCTCAGTCCCTCTCCCCAGTTCAGGAGCAAGGAGGTTTCTGGCAGGTTAAAATGGCTAACTCAAGAGCTTGCCACCTTTGAAAGGCAGCACTGTGTAGACAGAGGCAGAAGGATGGGCTTACGAGACAGTCCTGGCTTCAAATCCTTCTCTGACTTACCAGCTCTGGAACCTTAAGCAAGTGACGTAACCTCTCTAAGCCTCAGTTGCCTCATCTTTAAAATGGCATCCCTAATCCTTACTATGAAGAGATATCATGGGTAAATGAGATGCTGTACTTACGAAAGGGCAAGTCCCTGTATTGGTCAAGTGTTTTTACAGCATTGCTGCATAACACACAGCCCCAGGGGCTCAGCAGCTCAAAACAAGTGTTTATTTCTTGCTAATAATTTGCAGTGAGCTGGGAAGCCTTGCCTCGGACTGGGGGCCAGGCTCTGTTTGCTTCTGTGTGTCTCATTCACAGGCCAGTGGTTCCCCGGAGCTTGCTCTTCTCATTGTGCAGGGGTAGGGTCAGTGCTGCCACCCAACACCACATTCAGTTAGAGCCTCCAGTCAGACCAGGCATGCACTAACTCTGCTCATGCATCTCTAGCCAAAGCTGGTCATGTGCACAGCAAGAAATCTGCTCTGTCCTGTCCACAGGGAAGTCGCAGGAATGTGGAAAGGCCAGGAAGGATTGTGAGCCAATAATACATCTTGACAATCCACAATAGATGGAAGCTATTATTGATTCATTATCTCAAAATGGCTCCACCAGCCAACCCCTTCTATCCATCCCCAGTGCTACCTCCTAATTGAGGTCCTCGACGCTTTTTGCTTGCATGGCTGCCAGAGCCTTTGGGCAGGTCTCTGTGTTGATGTGTTCACCCCCACTCCTATCTCCTCCATCCAACGCTCTACCACCAAGGCAATCCTCCTAAAACACAACCACAGTGTTCTTCACACTCCCTATGATTCCCTGCCACCCACATTATTAATCATTAATCCAATTAATAAAAATTAATGTACTAATCCCCAGCTCCTCAGTGTGGCCCTTCACAATCTGCTTGTCCAGCCTCGTCTCTTGCCTCCCCAGCTTTCCCCAGCAGACCCCTCTCCCACCCATTCCAATGCCATCCTCTTCTCCCAGCCTAGTTCTTTCAGGCCCTGTGCGTTTGCACTTGCCCCTGTCTGAAATGTCCTTCCCACTTCTTCTTGAAGGGGGTGAGTGCCAACTCACCTTTCCAACCCCACACCAATGCACACCAGGATCTCCCCAAGACTCCAGGGTAGTAGTCACCATCTGTATTTCTGCAGCACACTGCACCTGCCTCTAGCACAGCTCGACAGCCCACTGAAGTGAATGATCTGTTCGATCGGTGCCGACTTGCCTTTCTTTCCCAGCTGCAAACCACCCAAGGTGAAGTCATCTTAGCCTCTTGGAGTCAGCCTGACTGGGGTGAACCCATTGATATGTATTGCATAAATGAACATATCATGACAGTAGTGATGAGGGATCTCCAGCTATCCGTGTACTCTCTATGCTTCCCAGACTCTTTGGCAGTTGCACTGGGTACTGGCTGAGTTCTGGAAAACAGGAATGTGAGCAGAGTGCTGCAGATCTCCTTGTCAGGAGCACCTAAGAACTGGCATGACTCTACACCCTCTCTCCTTCTGCAATGACCTCGTGTCAAGATGGCAGACCCGCAGAGATGAATGTGCCTGGATACCTGAGTCACCAGGTGGAGGAAACTCCCATTGACATGCATCACACTCCACATATGAAACCCTTCTTTTTCTGCACTGTCACTGGGGTTAGGGATTATTACTCACTGCAACTTAGCCTAGCATTAAGTTGCTTGACTAATACAAGTTTCAATAAATGTCGCTTCATTTCCCATGGCTTCTGACTGAATGCTGTGCAATATCCACAAACCATCCAGATTGTGGTTTATAAATACCACCCTTCACTAAAAGGACTCAGAGCTCCTTGTAGAAATGGCTGATGCTAAGGCTGGGGTAGGGAAGTACAAGGTGAGCCCAGAGTGCTGTGTGGTGCCAGAAAGCAAGGAAGCATTTAAAAAATGACAGGGACATGTCAAAGGACACATCAATCAACTTCAAGGGGCTTCCACTGGCCAAATCTAGGATGATGTGAGCATCCAAATTAATAATGATAATGGTAGATTATAGTCTATTGAATAAAATGGGAACCTATAGCTATAGAAAGAAAGAAAAGGGAAGGAAGAAAAGAAAGAAGAAGAGAGGGAGGGAGGGAGAGAGGGAGGGAGGGACGGAGGGAGGGAAGAAGGAAGAAGACTTTCTTACAGTAGAATGCCAATGAATAAATACAGAGGGAATAATAGAAAACTCCATTTGCAAACATGATCATAATAGTTTATTCAAGGAAGAATCATCACTGAGTGAAAATTTAGGAAGGTAAAGTATGTTTTCATTGTCTCATAGCACTTCCACTCATATGGTTTATTAATTGCAAAGAGAAAAAGTGGTAACTTAACAGTAGAGAAACCCAGCAGGTCCTCCCTTAATGAGCTGAACAAAGTTAACAACACCAGGAATAGGACAAATGGGTGCCAAGTGTTTCTTGATGTGATACACTGAGAACACAGCATTGCTTCTGTAGCATTCCGGTCCCTGGAGGAAACATCAGACAAACACAGATGGAGGGACCTTCAAGGACTGACCTGAACTGTTCTTCGGCGTCAACCCCATGATAGACAAAAAGAGGCAGAGGAACTGTTCCAGATTAAGGGAGACTAAAAAGGTATGACAGCTGGATCAGGGGAAACGTGCCTTAAAGGGCATTATTGGGACTGTTGGCGAAATTTTAAGTGAACTGTATATTAGACAATTATCAAGGACTACACGATTGTATGGCATCAACCTCAAATTCCCCGAACTTGAGCACTAGAGTCTTCTTGTTCTGATGGAATATGTTCTGGAATGTTTAAGGGAGAGGAGAAGGATGCCTGCAACTGAATTTCAAATGGTTCAGGGAAAGATAATAGAGTAGAATAGACTATATAGATGGAGAAAGTAAATGTGGCAAATAACAATTGGTGAAGGTGGGTGAAGGTCATGAAAGTTCTTTGCCTTACAATTAATTCTTCTATAAGTCTGAAATTATTTGAAAATAAGAGAAATGCTTTCAGCTGTGAATAACAGAAAGCCTGACTACTTGTGGCTTTTGCAATAAAGACATTTAGTTATGTAACATAACAGGATTTAAGAGGAAGAAGGCAAGGACTTGAAAAGGCTCAGTGATGTAGCTGAGGCCCCAGATTCCTTTTATCATTTTGTCCAAAGGCTCCACCTTCCTGAATATTACTGCTTTATACCCTTGGAGCTTCATGATCACAGGATGGCTGTTATAGCTCCAGCCATCATGACCAAGTTCAGACTCCAGGAACAAGATGGAGGAAGCTATGTCAAGGGGGGCTTTTCTTGATGTGTCTCTCGCCTTTAACCAGTGAAGAAAATCTTCTTAGAAGGACACAGCAGACTTCTCCTTATGTCTCATTATGCAGAAGTGGACCACAGGACAGTCCCTACTGTAAACTCTTTCAAGTATCAGGCAAAAAGGAACAAAAGGCCCCAGCCTGGCTTAAACCAACCTTGAGTCATCACCTGACACTGGACACTTTGTTTATCCAAGCAAAATCAGGATTTTCTGTTAGCAAGCAAAGGAACTGCTCATGGGTAAGAAATTAACAGTGTGTGCCATAATTCATATTTGTCGCCAAGCATCTTCTCAGGCTGACACTGTGCCAAACAAGGGATTATAGAGATGAAGATGCAGCTTCCATCCCTGAAAGCTCACAGTCCATTCTCTCAGGGCAATCCCGGTAACCTCCTCATCACAATCATCCATCCAGATCATGGAAGTCCCTTTACTCCCCAAATAAGAAGGAGTAGCAGGAAAAAGTGACCTCATCAAGCTGACTCGAGTTTTTCCAAAAGCAAATAAATAAATAAATAACTTTTTAACCTGCACAGCCAAATATCAAATAAATACATGTGTGTTTTTTGGGGGGGTTGGGGGGTGTTTTTTTTTCTGAGCTTCCTGTGGTATTGAAACTATCTCCCACTTCCTCCTTTTTGTCTCAAAAGATCTTAAGCATTGGGCCAGACACAGTGGCTCCTGCCTGTAATCCCAGTACTTTGGGAGGCTGAGGTGGGCAGATTGCTTTAGCCCAGGTGTTCGAGACGAGTCTGGGCAACGTAAAAATAGCCCATCTCTAAAAAAATAAAATAAAATAAAATACAAAAATTAGCCAGGCATAGAGGTGGATGCATGTAGTTCCAGCTACCTGGGAGGCTGAGGTGGGAGGATCACTTGAGCCCCAGGGGTTGAGGCTGCAGTGAACCATGATCATCACATCTGGGCAACAGAGCAAGACCCTGTCTCAAAAAAAAAAAAAAAAAAAATCTAAGCATCCATTCATTTTAGTTCATTTGAGGATAATTATTGATCTCCTCTTCTACCACCACTAGGGATACAGAGGAGGAGCAAACAGACATTATTCCTTTCTCTTGAGGCTCACAGTTAATTGGTAAAGAGGGACCACTATTCAGAAAGTCCCACACATCATTGTATGATCAAAAGCTATGACAGATGCAAGGAAGGAAAGCTGGATGGTGTTGTGAGGCTTCATGGCAGGGACACCAGACCTGGTCTAGAGGTGAGGGAAGACTTCCCTGAGGCACTGGCTTGAATGGAGAGCTGAAGGAGGAATAGGAATTCACTAGAAGAAAGAAGAGGAAGCAGCAAGTGCAAGGCCCTCCTGCAGCAGGAGAGAGCATAGCACATTCAAGGAAAAGAAGCCAGCAGTGTGGATTACAGAGGAAGAGTGCAGCACGAGGGCAGTGGCTTGAGATGAGGCCAGAGAGGAGGGCACGCAGGACCAAGGGGACCAAGGCAAGGATTTTGGTGTCCATCAAATTGGAGAGTGCTGAGCAGGGGAGGGGTAACCGTGTAATTGCCTTTCTCAAATGCCCGTTTTACCGTAGCAAGGATAGACTGGTAGAAGCAAGGGATGAACTGGAGAGATGAGTGAGGAAGCTGCTCCAGAAGACCCATCAGGAGATGATGGTGACAGGGAATTGAGTGGTAGGAATGACAATGGGAAGAGATGAGCGGAATCCAGGTATTTGTGGGTAGAAGTGGCAGGTGTGGCTACTTATTGGAGATGGGGCTGTAGAGCTGTGAAGGTGTGAGTCCTTTACTTATCCATCTTAAGGGTCACGGCCAACACTCCTATAACAAAAGACACATTAACAAGAGAAAAACAGAGCAAATTTATTTAATCCAAGTTTTATGTGACATGGGAGGCTTCAGAAATGACAACCCAAAGGCCCAGGGAAAACTGTTAATTTTTATGCTTAGATTAGATGAAGAATGGACAGCCAGATAGAAATGTGATTGGACAAACGGGTATGACCTACTGGGAACAGACTGAAAGGGGACCCAGCAAAACTGTCTGCTCAGATTCTTCTCAGCCTCTCTGTGTAGCCTCCATTCCTCCTGGGTATGGGGCGGGACCCTTTCTGAAATGAGAGTTTTCAAAGGAGAAGGAGAAGATAGAGAGTGACCTTTCTAGGTTTTATGGTTTGCTTTAGCAGGAGGGTTTCTAGGTTCTATGACCCATCTTGAGGAAGATAAATTCTGGTTTCTGTGACTCACTTTGGAGGATGAAGGCAAGCAGAAGAGAGGGTCTGAGGAGGTTGGAAAGACCTTGCTTCTGAGTTCCTTCCAATGTCCTTCAGTTCAAAATACTCAGGCTGAGGCACCACGCTTTGGGGTGTCATGTTCTAAGCCCCGACAGCATAAGGGCAGCGTTGAGACAGCCTTTGCAGCCTGGCCTGCATAATGGACAGACGCTAGTGCAATCCATAGGGTTGGAAATGTGGAGGGATAACTGAATGGCGATGCCGGGAGCCTTGAGTTCAGTGTTGGACACATTGAGTGTAAAGTGCCTTTGAGACACCCAAGTAGGCTGTTGGAAATAACCAGCCTGGAGCTGAGAGGTCAGGTTGAAAAGCAGTGTCTGGACGGCAGGTGGGCCCTTGGCCATGAATTAGACCACCAAGGAGAGCAAAGTGAGAAGTCAAGAGGACCTAGTAGGGCCCCTGAAAACTCCAAATGGCCAAGAAGAGGCAAAGAGCTACAAACAATCCTGAGAGGGGGCCGAGGGCAGAGCCACCTGGAGGGAATGTTCATCAAAGTCACACCCTGCCCCTGCATCCGCCCCTCACTCTGCACATGGGAGCTCAAGAAGCCAAGGGGCTTGCTCTGTACCCGGGTCACCCAGCTTCATCCTGGGCAAAATGAGATCACAGTCCCCGACTCTCATTTGCCCTCTTTTCTGCTTTTGTTTTTTTTTTTTTTTTTCTTTTATGCTCTTTTTCATTTTTTTCTGGGTACACATTAGGTGCATATATATGTGAGGTACATGAGATGTTTTGATACAGACATGCACTGTGAAATAAGCACATCATGGAGAATGAGGTGTCCATCCCTGAAGCATTTATCCTTTCTTTCTTTCTTTTTTTTTTTTTTTGAGATGGAGTCCAGCTCTGTTACCCAGGCTGGAGTGCAATGGCGTGATCTCTGCTCACTGCAAGCTCCGCCCCCCAGGTTCATGCCATTCTCCTGCCTCAGCCTCTTGAGCAGCTGGGACTACAGGTGCCCGCCACCATGCCAGGCTAATTTTTTTTGTATTTTTAGTAGAGATGGGGTTTCACAGTGTTCACGGGGATGCTCTCGATCTCCTGACCTCATGATCCGCCCACTTCGGCCTCCCAAAGTGCTGGGATTACAGGCCTGAGCCACTGCACCCGGCACATTTATCCTTTCTAATACCAACAATCTAATTACAGTCTTTTAGTTATTTGTAAATGTACAATTATTAATGACTACAGTCATCCTGCTGTGTGATCAAACAGTATATCTTATTCATTCTTTCTAACATCATCCCCACCTGCCCTCAGCCCCCCACTCCTCTTCCCAGCCTCTGGTAACCACCTTTCTGCTCTCTAGCTCCATGAGTTGAACTGTTTTGATTTTTAGATCCCACAAATCAGTGAGAACACGCAATGTGTGTCTTTCTGTGCCTGGCTTGTTTCACTTAACATAATGACCTCCCATTCCATCCATACCATTTTCTGCTTTTGTACAAGGCATCAAGGCATAAAAAGCAGGGCAATGGGACTCAATGGATTTTCCACGCTGCTCTAACACACTACTGCAAACCTGGCAGCTTCAAACAACACAGATGTATTCTCTCATAGTTCTGGAGGTCACAAATCCAAAACGAGTCTTCCTGGACTAAAACTGAGGTGTTGCCAGGACCCTTGGTAAAAGCCCTAGAGGAGAATCCATTCCTTGCCTCTTTGGTGGCTGCTGGCATTGTGAATTGTGGGCACATCACTCCAATCTCTGCCTCCACGGTAGCATCACCTTCTCTTCTGTAGTCGAATCTCCTCTGCCTCCCTCTTCATCTATAAGGACACTTTGTGATTACATTGCGTATCCACACAGATAACCCACGATAGTCTCCCCGTCGCAAATCTTTGAAGTAATCTCATCCACAGAGTCTCTTCTGCCAACATCCCATTCACTAGTTCTGGAGGTTAGGACGTGGACATCTTTGGGGGTTATCATTCCCCCTTTCACAGGCTATCTGGGCTGTATACAGAACCAGAGATCTGAGAATCATCTTGGCGGCCTCACTCTGTGAGCAGAGAAACGTGTCTGTGCTCAGCAGCAATCCCTGGAGGCAGAGACTGGAAATTACACCTGCAACCGTAGTAAGAGCTTGCCAGGGGCCGGAATGGGTGCCATAACTAGAGCTGTACAGGCATCCACCTCAATTCTCTCAGCGGCCCTTTGAGGTCGCTCTCTTACTGCCACCAAGGTGCAGGGTGGTGAAGTTAACTCAGAGCAGAGACCTGGCCTCGAAGCCTCGTCTCCCTGGGGAACAACCAATCAGCAGGAATCTGAACACAAGCACGAGAGGCAATCCGAGCCCTTCCCCAAAGCCTCACTCTTCATTCACTCTGGCTGGAATCCTGCCCTCCCTTCAGGGCCAAGCTTAGGGAACAAGGAGCAACCAGATCCTACCTCCAAGGACAGAGCCCTTACATATTTCTGCAATCTGTCTGCAGCTGATGGTCTGAATGAGCATCGTGTCATCACAGCACTTGTAAATTTTGGAGGGGCTCCTCCACACTGAGGGAATATGCTTGTTCAGGGAAGGGCACACTCCCCCATTTCTCCCGGAACCACACTTCTGCCGTGGGACCCTGAGAACACAAGGGCCCTCCCCTTGCCCTGTTGCTTCATGTGGCTTAGTCTTGCTTAACAAACATGCTAGGTGTGGAGGCTGAGGCCTACATGTAGTGTTGAGGGCAAGCAGGGACTGCCTGGAAATGCTGAAAGCATTCTCTTAAAGTGAGGCCTTCCCATCATGATTGCTAGGCCCATGATGAGAAGATATTGCAGGAAAGCACGACCTGGACCATAGAAAGGGCAGATCAATGTGTGGGCCTTTATGTGCTTATCCCTCCCACCACCCTGCTGCAGACCCCACCCACACTCAAGCTTAGCCCCTGTGGCTTGGAACCCAAGGACGCTTCTGAGCTGAGGCAGACTTCAGGGAGTACTAGTTAGGATAGGTCAGCTGCAAGTAACAAACAAACAAACAAAATACGCAGCAAACTCTGGCCCTCAGGGCCAAATTCAGCCCACCATCTATTTTTATAAATAAAGTTTTATTGGAACATAGGTGTACCCATTCATTTACACATTGTCTATGGTTGTTTTTAGGGTTGTAGTGCCAACAGAGATCTCATGGCCCACACAGAGCCTAAAATGTTTTCCATGTGGCCCTTTATGGAAAAAGTTTGCCCACCCCTGGCTTGAACAATGACAACATTGAATTATCTGCCATCACAAGAACTCCAGAGGAAGGTGGCTCCAGGGTCACACGAAGGCTCAGCAAAGTCCTCGAGGCCCCAGGCTCCTGTTCCCTCCTTGGCAGGTTGGCCTTTCTTCTTGGGCTGGTTTCTTCATGGTCACAAGCCGGCTGCCACAGTTCCAGGCTTGACTGCCTCTCAGAAGCACATTCAGGCCAGGAGGAAGGGCAGGCTTCCTCCTCACCTCTTCTTATTTAGGGATCAAAAATCCCTCCAGGGCGGTGCAGCAGAGGTCCCTTACCTCTCAGTGTTTAGACCAGAGGTCAGTAAGCATTTCCTATAAAGGACCAGATAGTGAGTATTTTAGGCTTGTCAGGTCACATATGATCTCTGCAGCATATTCTGTGTGTGTGTGTGTGTGTGTGTGTGTGTGTGTGTGTGTGTGTGTGTGTGAGAGAGAGAGAGAGATGACCCTTTAAAAATGTACACTCCATTCTTCTC
The DNA here is from genome assembly GCF_000001405.40 of Homo sapiens. Lineage (NCBI taxonomy): Eukaryota > Metazoa > Chordata > Mammalia > Primates > Hominidae > Homo > Homo sapiens. The sequence continues at coordinate 144,219,493 of NC_000001.11, read as the reverse complement.
ATGAGCCATAGTTTGTCAACGCCTGGTCTGGCACTCTTCACATGCCCTCTCCGTGCCCATCTCCAGCAAAGGATAGCGAGCTTACCCTTGCTATCAAAGGTGCTTGGCTTAGACCAATCACCCAAAACTGATGTTTCAGAGATGCCTGCTGGAGGAGTGTAGGCAGATATTACTGATGTCAGAAAAACAGTTTGAGCGCCACTTCCTTCTCTGGCAGGAAGGAGTGATTGGCTGCTGGTCCTGCCCTGTCCGAGGAGGAGGACGGAACCCACCCACCAAGCTGTGGAGAGGTGGACCCCACAAATCCCCTCGCAAGCCACGTCTGAGAGCGAGCAGAGGGAAGAAACTCAAGCGTTTGTAGTCCTCTTTCTTAACAACCAGGCTTAAAGCGCCATCTTGTGTCTTGAAGGCAGAAGGAGATCAGGATGTGTGTGCTAGAAGCAGGCAGAGGATCTTCACCAATGTCTCAAAAACTAGAGAAGGAAACATGGCGATCCTCAAGGCCCGCGGCGGCCCCAGCCCTTCCCGCACCCTGCGATAGTCTGGTGTTGGGAGGGTGGCCCACGTGTCCAAGCAACCACATCAGGGAGGTTCTGGGAGAGGAGAAGGCAAAGCTCATGCCCTCATGAGGCAGGCAGTCCCATCCAGGACTGGACTGGATGAGCACCAATAAATAAGAAAACACAGCTGGCAGCTGACTGTGAAGGGTCTGGACAGGGTGCCGAAGTGAAGCGTAATGAGCTGGATAGTGAGGACCTCACTACAGAGGGACATCTATCTACACACAGCCTGAAGGGTGAGAAAGATGGATCCTTGCCCTGAGCCAGAAGTGCACACCCCAGAGAGAGCAGCTCCTGCGGAGGTCCTGTGGGGCAGGCATGGTAGGAATATTAAAGAGAAGAAGCCAGGTGTGGCTGCAGCCATGCAGGAGGAAGGGCGATGGGGTTGGGGAGGCAGAGGATGGGACTGGCATGAGAAGATGGAGATGCAGAGCCCAGATCGTGATAGCCCCAATAGTCCACGGGTAGGAGTTTGTATTTTCTACTAAAAGCAATGGGAGGGCGGGGCGCGGTAGCTCAAGCCTATAATTCCAGCACTTTGGGAGGCCGAGGCGGGTGGATCACCTGAGGTCAGGAGTTCGAGAACAGCCTGACCAACATGGTGAAACCCCATCTTTACTAAAAATACAAAAATTAGACAAGTGTTATGGCGCGCGCCTGTAATCCCAGCTACTCAGGAGGCTGAGGCAGGAGAATCGCTTGAACCCAGGAGGCGGAGGTTGCAGTGAGCTGAGATCATGCCATTGCACTCCAGCCTGGGTGACAAGAGCGAAACTCCGCCTCAAAAAAAGGGAGGGGGGGCAATGGGAAACCATTGAATCGTTTTTAGCAGGTGGCCTGATTTGATTTACATTTTTTAGACATGTAGCTTCACTATCATGGTTATGGTGGTCCGTGCATTACTAACATTGCTAAAACCACCATCATGCCAGAATTACCCTCCCATTTGTGGGTTAAAACACTGCACCCATCTGTCCCTCCCCAGAGTCCTCTTAGTGGCTGCTCTTAGGAGGAACTAACATGGACTACATTCCCCCATCACACCCAGCACAAGTGCCCTCCCAGCCTCCCCCACCCAACTCAGTCCCATTCACACGCGGCATGCCAGGGACTCTCCCATCAGGGGAACACCCTGTAACTCCCAAGTTCCTCCAAAGCCTCTTGAGAGGGACCATGGTGCCCTGCAGGGAGTGGGTCCTGGTGGGTCCAGTGGAGGGAACGTCCTTGCTGAAACTGGCTGGGTCTTAGCCGGGAAGTGGTGACAGGTATCTCTCACATACGCTACGGGAACCCAGCGCAGCCAATGGAGTCCAATCAGCACACCTTGCGCCCACCCCTTCGTTTGGTAACTTGAGGCCACTGCCCACCCGCCAGGTACCCTCTCTCAAGCGTGCCCTGAAGTTCAGGGAAAGACGCCAGCACCCCCTGCTGGTTGCGCTCTCCCATAGCAGGGCTCACATTTTGGGAGAAAGAAATCAGCTGTTAGCAGCTTTCGTTCTTCACCATGTTAAGCAAAGCACAACATTTTATAACTGGGTGAAAAGCCAGATATTCTGTCAGCTGATTTGATTGTTCTGTACGCATATCCCTAAGCCATTGTTTGACGGATATTTTTACTGAGTTGACTTTCTTCATAAGATGGTAGGACTAATGAAGAGAAAAGGCAATGGAGTTTTTAAAACCAGCGTGATGAACCAAATGCTGCCACTGACTAGCTATGTACATGTAATCCAAAGGTTCCCTCCGTTGAAACAAAATAACAGTGCTTACCTAACCAGGTCAGCTGTGAGCTGGGACTTCACAGACAGGCATAGAGAGACATGGATGCAGGAAGGGCTTCCTTAGCTGAGAGGGTCGTGAAACTGGAAGGTAGTAGCAAGCATTTTCCAGTTGGATCTTTTGGCCGACATCTGTAGTGGGGAGACAAACATGTCTAATTTTCCCCCCACCCCGGCACATGGGCAGGTAGGAAGATGCTGGTGGGTTTGGTTCGACAGTTTGGAGAATGTCTTGTGGAAGGGGTGCTTTTTTTAATGCACACTCAGGCACCATGGGAGCCTGTTGTCACCCTGGATATCTAGCTCCATGCCCTTGCCCTTTCACTCTGCCTCGACAAGAGTCATGGCACCCAAAATACATGAGTTCAAATCTGAGTTTCACAGGCTCAGGGAGGAACCCAAGCTACCAAATGCACAGGCCCCTCCTGTATACGGTTACAGCAGGTAAGGGAGTAACTTACTCAGTGCAAGCTGCTGTAACAAAATAGCACAAGCTGGGTGGCTAATCAACAACAGGCATTTATTTCTCACAGGTCTGGAGGCTGGAAGCCCAAGATCAGGGTGCCAGTGCTGGCATGGTTGGGTTCTGGTGAGGGCCCTCTTCCAGGTCACAGACAGCTGTCTTCTCATTGCATCCTCACATGACAGAAAAGAAGTGCACAAGCTCTCTGGCCCCCTCTTACAGGCGCTAATCCCATTCACAACGGTCCTACCATCATGACCTCATTACCTCCCAAAGACCCCACCTCCAAATACCACCACATTGGCATTAAGCTTCAACATATGAATTTAAGGGGGAAACAAACATCCAGTCCATTGCAGATTGTTCTGATAATATGTGTGCCCAGGGCATTGCCCCCACAGCAAAGAGCGACATTGGAAGGCAAACCAATGTCAGGTTTCCTAATGTGCACGGAGTCATCCCTGGAAGAGTGAGTCCGGTGATCTTACCAGCTAATTGCATTGAGCTACCCCACCTTGGGGATCTACCTGCCAAGGAGAACAGAACACCACTGGCTTTGACACCCATCTCTCAACAATGATGGAAGAATGCTGGAAATTTACCTGCTCTGGTAGCTCTCTCTAAGTTCATCTTCCTTGTATGGACTTTCTTTTTTTATTGCTCTCAAATACTTGTATTATTAAATATCTCATTTAAAATTTCTTTAAAATACATTAAAAGTACATTTAAAGAGTACATTTTAAGAGTGCAGATGAAAACATAATGAATACATCTTTGCTTAGGAAAAAATATTTCGGACACAGCATGAACTCAGTTGCTGGTTCCAAGCCCCTCCCCTTCTCACTACACTGAACTTGGCATGCATTCTTTCTTCAGGTGTGTTTGTAATCTTACTACATATGGACATATCCCCCAGCAATATCAGGGATTGTTTTGCTTGTTCCTAGACATCATATAAATGGTATCATACCAATTATACCCCTACACTACTTAATGTTTCATTCAACATTGTTTTGGGGGACTATCCATGTTGATACATGAATTCTGTTGTGTTCATTTTTTCCTCTTGTGAAATAGTCCATTATGGAAATTGTCCCTAGTGTGTCTATCTGCACTCCTAATTGACAGGCATTTAGGCTGTTTTCCATTTTCCTAATTACAATTATGCTGAGTGAACATTCCTGAACACAGGTGTGAGGCTGTCTCTGGAGCACATGCCAGGGAACAGAATTCTTAGGTCGTAAGGAATGTGTACCTCCAGCCTTAGTCAATATTGCCAATTGCTGTCCTATCTGATTTTATTCATTTACGCTCCCACTAGCAGTATATATGAGTCTTTCTTTCACTTCTTGCCAACTCTTGCCAATCTAATGAATGGGAAGTGGTAACTCATTATTATTTCAATTTGTATTCCCTGAGACCTTAACACTTGTGTATTGCACATTCTGGTTCCTCTTTGGCAAATTGCCTTGGCATTAAGATAGTAAATTTTCCTTGCCACCTACGCTGGTTGAGTCAGGATGCTTAATTACTTGGAGGTAAAAAGCACCTGGCTGAAATAGCCATCCCTGAGGCTGCCTGTTGAGGATAGGAGATGCTTCATCCATCTTTAGATCCTTTCTTGGAAACGCTGAGCCTGGCCAGCCATGCAGGCTTTTCCAAGCTCTGATGCTGCCCTGTGTCCACAATAGCATCCCCACAGCCTGGATCCATCATTCCCAGCATTATGATAGCTCCTTTGTCTCCTTGGAAGAGCCCAAAACCCACAGCTGAGGCCTCAGGGCTTTTCTAATGTGCTTAGAACAGGGGTAAAGGTAATGCCAACCAAAATGGGGAAACCTGTATTCCTGCTCAGTCACTGCTTAGTCAGCATAAATCACTCCAGAGGATAGTTTCTGACCTCAAAGACTGAGTTACAAAGATGATCACCATAGCATTGTTTACAGTAGCACCAAAAAAAGGAACCACCTAAATATCTCTAAATGTCCAACATCACCGTTTGAAAAAATAAAGAATGGTACATCCTTCCATGGAATGTACCTTAAATCCACCCAAAATCATACTGCATATGGATATGCAATGTCAAGGAAACTTACTCAGGAGTCCTAGCTTGGGGTCCATGGACGTCCAAGGAGATGCTTATCAAAGGGAGTTGGCACCCCCTGAGATGCTCATGAAAGTGCAGACTTCCGGGCCCCCCTCCAGACTGAATCTGCACTTCCAGCTTGGAGGGCAGGAATCCTAACAAGTTCCCCAGATGAGTCTCAGGCACACTAAAGCCAGAGCATCGATGCCTGGGACCCAAAATAGGGAAGAAGCACTCTGGTGTATCAAGAGGAAAAAAGCAAGTTACATACAAACGCAGTATACATAAAAACACCGCCTTCATGTGGGTGTGGGTGTCGATGTATGCGTACTTTTGAAAAAAAAAATTATCGGCTGGGTGCGGTGGCCCACGTCTGTAATCCCAGCACTTTGGGAGGCCAAGGTGGGTGGATCACCTGAGGTCAGGGGTTCAAGGCCAGCCTGGCCAATATGATGAAACCCTGTCTGTACTAAAAATACAAAAATTAGCTGGGCGTGGTGGCAGGCATCTGTAATCCCAGTTACTCCAGAGGCTGAGGCAGGAGAATCGCTTGACCCCAGGAGGCGGCAGTTGCAGTGAGCCAAGATCATGCCATTGCACTCCAGCCTGGGTGACAAGAGTGAAAGTCTGTCTCAAAAAAATAAAAAAAAAAAAAAAAAAAATATATATATATATATATATATATATATATATATATAATTTTTTTAATTTTTATTTTTTAGAGACAGGGTCTTGCTGTGCCACCCAAGCTAGAATGCAGTGGCACAATCTTGTCTCACTACCCAATCTCAAACTCCTGGGCTCAAGTGATCCTCTCCACTCAGCCTCATGAGTAGCTGGGACTACAGGCATACTCCACCGCACCTGGGTTTTTTGTTTTGTGTTTTGTACAGACAGGGTCTCACTATGTTTGTGTTCCCTGGCTGGTCTTAAACTCTTGGCCTCAAGCGATCCTTCTGTGGCCTCCCAAAGTGTTGGGATTACAGGCGTGAGCCACCATGTCCAGCCTGTGTGTGTGTACTAATAGCTACCTAGATAACAATACTTAACAGCAATTACCTCTAGATTACCTCAGCACCATTGACAATCAGCCCAAAGACTTTGTGGTGGGGCTGTCCTGTGTGTTGTAGGGTGTTAGCAGTATCCCTGGGTGCAGTAGTGTAACAATCAAAAATGTGTTTGGTAGCACAAAAGTACAACTATAGTTAACAACAATTTATTGTATATTTTAGAGTAACTAACATAGTGAAATTAGAATGTTCCTAACACACAAAAAAGATACATACCTGAGGGTATGAATATCTGTCACCCTGATTTGATTATTATTTATTATATGTTTATATCAAAATATCACATGTACCCTGTAAGTATGTATAAATATTATGTATAATTTAGATTTATTTTAATTTTAATAAAAAATAAATATTAAAAAATGTCTTCAGATATTGCTAAATGTCCCCTCAAGGAACAAGGTCCCCAGTTGGAGAACCGATTCTCTAGATGGGACATGTATAGATGATGCTTTCCTTTGTTTTTTAGTATATATGCCTATTTTTTAGTTTTTTCTAAAATAAGTGTACTTTAGTCATGTTAAAAAAAAACTTTGTATTTATTACTGTCCCATTGCCTGCACTGTCTGAAAAAAAATACACTCAAATGAAAAGATACATTAATACTTACATTAAGAAAATTAATTTTATTATTATTTTAAAATAGCTGTGGAAAAACTATACAAAGGCCTCCCAAATGTCAATATTCCTTAGGCACCTTTGAAATATTTCTAAACTTAATCTTTGGACTAGGCATCCTAATTGTAATTCCATATCTTAAAGAAACAATTCTAAATATAGGAAATGCTTCACAAATATGGTTGATTTTTGCAGAGTTACCTATAAAAGCAAAAAGTTATAAACACTGTAAAACCAACCATAGGAAACTATGTTAATTAAGGTACATTCACTTGATAGACTATCATACAGCATTAAAATGATATTTATAAAGAACTTATAACAATATGGGGGCAAGGTTTATGCCATATTGTTAAGTAGGAAAATAACTGAATACAAAATCAAATATGTTACATCACCATTCAAAGGTATAATAATGACAATAAAAAGAATCTCATCAACATGGTCGGAAGAAATACACCAAGATATTAAAAGTAATTGTTAATTGAACAATGGCATCGTAGGTGACTTTTTCTCTCTACTTTTCTGAAATATCCAAATTTTTTACAATAAACATGTGTGTATTTACAGTGAAAGAGAGAACAGTGAAATTTCTTTTTAAAAATACTTGAAAATGATCACAAAAATGTGCCAACATTTCAGGTAAGAAATGTGTTTTTATATGGGTCTGTATACAAATTTCTATCCAGCTGATAAAAATAACTTCAAGAAATTAAACCTATTCAGAAACAATAGTGATTGTGTCTAAATTCATAGGCTTTGAGAAGGATAAATTTTTAAAGTATAAATTACTATGCAGGTGGTCAGGAAAAGGTTGTATGGAGTCACATGATAAATGACACAAAGAAAATGCTTTTTATGAAAAACAAACTGGATAGATTGTTTCCCAAGCCAGAATCACATTCTTCTAAATCATTTAGAAGGCAATAAAATAATTTGGGCTTGATTAGCATTTAACTAACCAAGGACAGATTCCAGCCACCTTATGGATTTTGATCTAACTTGTTTACATTCATCAGGGGTGATGGGCAGTTCCAGCCCACAGGAAGCACAATCTTTGCAGACAAAAGGTGGCCCTTCTCATGTTTGTCAGGCAATATTTGTCCAACCTGGCCATTCCCAGTTGGCTCCAATGAACTCTTGTTAGCTCACTCTTGTTAGTCACTTGTTAGTCTCTTGTGGACCCAGACTATATCTTACAATAGACCTCAAAGAGGGAGGCAGCTGCGTGCATTGCATAGAAAATAGAAAAAGCCATGGCCAGGTTGACCACAATTATCCAGGGTTCAAAGCCAAAGACAATCTCCTCCAATCCATTGTCATACTCAGGTCGACAGCCAAAAGCGGGAGGTATCCAAAGCTGCAAGAGAAGAGAAAATGGCCTGTGGTGGGGAGCAGCTTCCAAGCCACCACGGAGGCCCCACTCAAGTCCCAGGCCTCATGGGAGCTGACCCTGATGCACGGGGACTGAGTCACCCCTGACAGAACAATAAGGAGACCTCGTGGCATTTCCCATCTCCACAGAAACCACCAAATCCATGTCTGCCATGATCCTGCTCACTTCCTCACCCACCCTTCCCTGCAATCCATCCCTAATGAGTGCTCTTTGAACCCATCCAACTCTCTCCATCTCTACAGCCCTCGCCCAGCCTCAGTTTCCTCATTTGAAAGATGGGAATTCTAACACGTGTCTGAGAGGGCTTAGATGAGAATTAAGTTTGCAAAACTGAAAGCAGTGACTTTTGTTTGTGTTGCTCACAGAACCTACACACTGTTCCCTGCTTCTCAGGCTCTTCTCTGTCCCAGTTCTCTCCCTTTCTGCCACCCCTTGAGTTGTCAGGCTCCTCACTCCCGCTTCAGGCTGCACCCTTCTTCAGCTTCCTCCACTCCCTGGCTGTGGCAGGCAGCCTCTAGGATGACCCTCAATGATCCCCAGCTCCTGCAGTCACCCTCTTGTGGAGTCCCCACCCCTTTAGTGTGGGATGCACCTAATGACTCACTTCCAACTCACAAAATATGGCAAAAGACACAGGAAGTCACCTCTGAAATTAGGTTGCAAAAGGACCTGCTATCCCTCTTGCTCATCTTCTCCTGAAAGACAGGTGGCAGAGCTGCCATGCTGCGAAGCACCCTATGCGGCAAGGGGCCCAGGGAGTACCCCTGTCAACAGCCAGCAAGGAACTCAGACCCTCAGCCCAACAAGCCACAGCTGAATCCTGCCAACAGTCACATGAGTAGATTTGGAAACAAATCCTCTGCCACCTCTCGGAAAGTCAAGCCTTGAAATGAATGCAGCCCCAGCCAACAGTTTCAGCCTGGGAATGGCCCTGTGCAGAGATACTCAGCTAAAACTGTAGTTGGAGTCATAAGTCAGAGAAACTATGAAATCATAAATGTACATTGTTTTAAGTTGCTGAGTATTGGGGTGGTCTCTTCCATAGCAATAGGTAACTGAGACACATAGCCTTCATTTGTATCTCCATACAGAACACTCCCTGGTATATACAGCCGACCTCTGTATCCAGGGACCTGTGTCTGTGGATTGAACCAACCACAGATCAAAAATATTCAAAAAGTAGGCTGGGCACAGTGGTTCACACCTATAATCCCAGAACTTTGGGAGGCCGAGGCAGGTGGATCACCTGAGGTCAGGAGTTCAAGGCCAGCCTGGCCAACATGGTGAAACCCCATCTCTACTAAAAATACAAAAAATTAGCAAAGTGTAGTGGCATGTGCCTGTAATCCCAGCTACTCAGGGGGCTGAGGCAGGAGAATCCCTTGAACCCAGGAGGCGAAGCTTGCAGTAAGCCAAGATCATGCCACTGCACTCCAGCCTGGGCAACAGTGAAGCTCGGTCTCAAAAAATAAAAATAAATTAATTAAAAAAATAAAATGGTTTGTTGTGTCTGTACTGAATAGGTACAAACTTTCTTCTTGTCATTATTCTCTAAACAATACAATGTAACAACTATTTACATAGCATTTAAATTGTATTAGGTATTCTAAGTAATTTAGAGATGTCTTAAAGTGTACGGGAGGATGGGTAGGTTACATGCAAGTATAGGACTTGAGCATCTGTGCATTTGGTATACACCACGGGGGCCCTGGAACCAAGACCCCTCTCTTCTGCTTTGCTTACTGGCTGCTGTGACTCTTAGGAGCTCTCCTACTTGTTCGGCGGGTCCCTCCCAGTCTCCTTTGCTGTTTCATCCTTTGCTCTGCCTCTTAATGTTAGCCAGCGTCCAGGGCTCATTCCTGGGTCCCTTTCTATTCTCTCTACACATGAACCCTGGGGCTCTCTCCCAGTCCCTGGTTGTAAATACCAGCTATAGGCCTATGACTTCCCAGTCTCAATCTCCAGCCTGGACCACTTCCAAGAACCCCAGACTCATAGTTTCCGGTGGCAACTTGGGTGTCTAAAACACATCTCAAACTCAACCCACCTTCCCCATTTCTCCATCTGCTCAGCTACATCGTCCTCCCAGGTGGTCCATCGAGGCTCCAGGTGTCAACCTTATCTCCCTCCTACTCTCATAACCATGCCCCCTCCCATCCAGTCCCTCAGCGCATCTCCACTGTGCACCTCCAAAGCAGTATCTTCAGCCCACCTGTGGCTCTCTCTCTCCACCTGTCCAGCTGGCCTCTCTCACCTGGACCATGGCGGTGGCCCCGTGCCTGGTCTCCCAGCTCGAACTAGGGTTCCACTCGGCCACCAGATTTACATTATATGGAAATCAGATCCTGTCCCTACCTTGATTAAACCCCTAAAGTCTTCCCAAAATATTTAAAATAAATTCTACACTCCCGCACGGAGTGATAAAGTGCTCTGTTAGCTGATTTCTAACCACCCACGCTTCTCTCCACTCACCCCACCCACATTGCAGGCAACCCTTCTTCCTGTTTCTCAAACCAGACCCGCTCACTCCCACTGGGGGTTTTATACCAGCCATTGTTCCCTCTGCCCTGAACATGCGTGGCCAACCCCTTCCTGTCTCGTGTCACCCTTCAGCGAGGCCTTCCCGCTAAGCTGGTCCATCTGATCTACAATGGCAGCCCAAGAGCTATTTCCCACACCCTCCTTTTCCACTTCTCTGCTTAACACGGGTACACTATAAGGTGTCTTTCTTGCTCAGTTGATGGTTTCACCTGCTGTTGCCTGGTTTGTAAGCCCCATAAGAGGAAGACCAGAGATCTTGGTCATTGCTGTACCCTCACCATTCATAGCAGTCCCTGTACCTCTGTAGGTACTTAAGGGACACCTTTTAAAGGAAGGGTGAGAGGAAGGGCAAGGGAGACAGGGAGGAAAAGGGAGAAGAAAGGAAGGCAGGAAAATGGGACCTCTTTTCTGAAATCCACATCTTTATATGTGCTGTTTAGTTGGCTGGAAATTCTTGTTACTTATCCTATTGAGAAGTGGCCTATGACCTCTTTCTTTGAATCTAGATGGACTCTGTGACTACATGACTAATAAAATATGGCAGAAATGACACCATGCAGTTTCCAAGCCCAGGCCTTAGGAGACAGGCAGCTTCCAGTTCAGTCTTTTGGAGGGTCAGCTCTGGGGCCCTCAGCCATCACGCATGGAGTCCAACCACCCTGAGACGTCATGCTGGAGACCCACCTGTGGATGCCCCAGTCAAGAGTCCTGGCTGAGCCCAGCCTCCCAGCCACCCCCACCCAGGGCACCAGACCACGGAGCTTCTGGCCAAGGCTTCACCAACTTCACTTGATGCTGTGAGGAACAGAACTGCCCATCCAAGCCCTGCCAGAATTTCTAACCCACAAAGCCACGAGTCACAATAAATGCTATGGGACAAAAACAGTCATGCATGTTGCTTTTGTCATACATTAGTGGTAGTTCATTGCACGGCAATAGAAAACCAAAATATCTGTCTACTGGGTTCGTCCATTTGGATGCCACAGAGGCACCTGAAACAGAACACGTTCATTACTTAACTCTGGTTCTTCCTTCCACACTGACCTCCACCCACTGCTCCCAAGGTTGCCCCTCCTCCAGAGTCCTCCTCCATCTCCAACATAGTATCACCATCTCCCCAGGAACTCAAGTGTGAAGGCAGGGGTCATGTTTGGCGTCTGTCACCCTTTGCGAGTTGCAACCTGGAGACCCTGGAGGATGTTATGATGAGTGAAATAACCTAATCACAAAAGGACTAATACTCCACAAATTCACTTATATGAGGAGTCTAGGAGTCAAATTCCTAGAGACTGAAAGAACGGTGGTTGTCAGGGGCTGGGGAGAATGGGGAGTTCATATTTAATGGGGGCAGAGTTTCAGTTTTGCCAGACGAGAATAACCTGGAAATGGATGGTGTGATGTTTGCACAATGTGAACGTACTTTACTCCACTATACACTTGAAAGTGGGTGCAATGGGAAAGTTTATTTGATGAGTTTTTTACCACAATTAAAAATATAACAAAATAAGCATGAGTCAGATCCCGTCACTCTCAGTGTAGACCTTTCCATGGTTTTCTGTTGCATTTAGGATTGAGTCTTGGCTCGCAGGCCCTGTGTGGTCTCCCCTCTGCCCTCTGCTCTGTGCTCCCAGGTCATGTCCAGTGAGCCCTGCCTTGCCTTGCATCCGTCCCTTCCCCACACCTGCAGCTCTGCCCTGATAGTCTCTCATCCCAGCCCCATCCACACCCTTCCTTAGAAGAGGCCTTCCCTGACCCATCTCCCACAGCACCCTGCCCTTCCCGGTCACCACAACCACCCTCTGTTGTCTCCAGTGCCACGGCTCCTGGAAATTCAACTAACATTTCCATGTCCGTCTCTGGAGTGGAGCCCACTCCACCTGGACATGCACATCAGCACCTGCAGCTGGGGCCTCTGGACTGGCTCCCGATGCTGGAGAAGACAGCTCTTGCTCTCTGCCAGATGCCTTTGGCACCACCTGGGGTCAACCACAAGGTTTCAAAGTGCCACCCATGAGCCAGCACGGGTATCCTAAGACTCCACCCTGCGATGATTTCCATCCTCTGGTTCAACCCCCCAGAACCCAACCAGTGCCTGGGGGCATCATGGGCCAAGCACAGGGAGGAAGAGACGGAGCCCACCCTTCTCCTTGGACTGGGCCCTGGGTCTGGCTTTCGGGTCCTGACAGACCATGAATTGCCACTTGATTCTGGTATTTCGGACAGTGCTATCTTTCTTCAAGTGGGTCCAAAAATGCAAGCCAAGTATTTCACCCAGTGGTCAACCAAAAAGGCAACCAGGGAAAGACAACTTTTCAGAACTTAGTTTTAAAAAGAAATATTAGGTCAGAAGCAGTGGCTCGCGCCTGTAATCCCAGCATTTTAGGAGGCCTAGGCAGGCAGATCACCTGAGGTCAGGAGTTCGAGACCACCCTGACCAACCTAGTGAAACCCTGTCTCTACTAAAAGTAGAAAAATTAGCTGGGCATGGTTGTTGCATGCCTGTAGTCCCACCTCCTCGGGAGGCTGAGGCAGGAGAATCACTTAAACCCAAGAGGCGGAGGTTGCAGTGAGCCGAGATCGCACCATTGCACTACAGCCTGGGCAACACAGCAGGACTCCATCTCAAAATATATGTATATTAATATTAATCACAGGATATGTACAAAAAGCATATACTTGAGGAAGATTCTAGAACTAGCTCTGACTTTATAAGAATTTGCATTTTGGAATAAGCACCTCAAAAAAATGCAGCTTACAGTATCTATCTCTCTTGTTAACTCTTTCAATTTTTGACTCACTGCTGTGCCCCTGACATAGTCCCTGGCATACAGCAGGTGCCTGGCAAATGTCTGTTAGATGGAGAAGATGGTCTCCCTGCAGCCAAACTCTTCTGGGCCTTCCACCTTCAGAGCCCCTCCTCACTGCCTAGCAAACTGAAGGAACCTGGGTGATCCAAGGCTAGGGTGGATCAGGTTTGCTTGGCAGACACACAGCCATTCTGACTTTAGAAGGGACTTACTTTCCCAACTTTGTGTTCTTAGGGTGATATCAAAAGCTGCAGACCCCGTATGCACCATCTGAAATTCAGGGGAGGAAGCTCAAAAGCCTCTGAGCTGCTGGGGCAACAGGGAGCAGGCTTGATAACAGAGGCTAGTAGCACAGAGCTGACTTCACCCAGAGTGATGGGCAGGCACCTCTGTGGACTGGGGCACTCCCCTCCAGCCACCAGTCACCATCACTGCAGAGACTCATGCGGTGGCAAAGGCTGCTTCCCCCTCCTTCTTACTGACCCCCACCATCCTTCCTTTATGTGTCTTTAAAAAAATCCCAACAGCACACAATGCTTCTTATTCCTTTTTCTTCTCTCCATCCCTCCATCACTGCCCTAGTTCAAGCTCCTCCCCTTCCTGCCTGGGCTGTTGCAGGGCTTTCTCTCCCAGTCTTTCTGCTTCTGGCCCTATCTGTCTCCATCCTTGCTACACACAGCTACTGGGAGGATCATTCCAAAACACAAATCTGAGAGAGTCTTCCCTTGCCCTCAGCATAAAGACTAGACTCCAGCCAGGCCTAGGAAGCCCTGCTCAAGCCAGAGTCCACCTACCTGGGCCCTCTCTCCTAATTCCCATTCTGCTACTCTGCTTAACACACATGGAATTTATGCCAAACTACTTGGTGCTCTCAAAACATGCCATGGTGTCTTTTGCCTCTGTGTCTTCACATATTGTGTGTCTCTGCCTGAAATGCTTTTCCCCGCCTTGATAACCTGGTGAACTTCCAGTCATTCCTTGCTGATGCAGACAGATGGGTGAGTGACTGTACACCTTCCTCTCCCTTGCTACCTTCCATCAGAGAGGCTGGGAAGCAAACCCTCTACTTCCCCAGCCTCCCTTGCAGTGAGGGGTGCCCACATGAGAGACATTGTCTGGCACCAGCCCTTCCCCACTGCTTTCTGTCTTGAACCCAGATGTGATGCCTGGTGCAGCTGCAGCCATCTCATGACCATGTCACAACAAACACCACACCACCCAAGTGACAAGATGAACAGTGCCTGGATGCCTGATGACATGGTTCAGCTGCCAGGCCAACCCCAAGCAGCCAACCTCCGGAATTCTCATGAGATAATTAAACATTGTTAAGACTGAAGACACTGTGAATCAAATTGCCTGTCACTTGCAACTAAAAGCACTCCTGATTGACACTGGGCCTCACCTCAAGCACCCACTACTCACTGAAGTCCTTCTGGATCCCTGCTCCTAGTACACCTTGCACAAGCCCATCTCAGCACTTGTCCTGTTCACTATATTAGATTTGCTCATTGTCTCCCTCCCCCATTATACTGAGACCTTTTAGAGGAAAGAGACTGAGTCTTTCCACTTTAATCTTTAGTACCTAGCCCAGCCCCTAGCACACAGCAAGTCTTTAGTAGGTAGATTTGTAGAATATAGGTCTATTTTCCAGCCTTATATTGTAATTTTATACTTACAGTATTTTTATTACAAGCTGCCTCCATTCCTTATTTTAAAAAGGCAAGAGAAACCTAGATGTCCATCAATAATGGACTGGATAAAGAAAATGTATTATGGCCGGGTACAGTGGTTCACATCTGTAATACTAGCACTTTAGGAAGCTGAGGCAGGAGGATTGTTTGAGCGCAGGAGTTCAAGACAAGCCTGGGCAGCACAGTGAGAACCTATCTCTACAAAAAAAAAAAAAAAAAAAAAAGTTTTGGCCAGGCATGGTGGCTCACACCTGTAATCCTAGCATTTTGGGAGGTCAAGGTAGGTGGATCACTTGAGGTCAGGAGTCCGAAACCAGCCTGGCCAACATGGTGAAACCCCCATCTCTACTAAAAATATTTTCAAAAATTAGCCAACTGTGGTGGCAGGTGCCTGTAATCCCAGCTATTCTGGAGGCTGAGGCAAGAGAATCACTTCAACTCGGGAGGCAGAGGTTGCAGTGAGCACCATCGCACTGTAGCCTAGGCAACAAGAGTGAAACTCTCTCTCAAAAACAAAAAAAGTTTTTAAAATTAACCAGGTGTGGTGGCACATGCCTGTGGTCCCAGGTACTCAGGAGGCTGAGATGGGAGGATTGCTTGAGCACAGGAGGTCGAAGCTGCAGTGAGCTGTGATCATGCCACTGCACTCCAGCCTGGGCAATGGGGCGTGACCCTCTCTCAAAAAAAAAATAAATAGAAAATGTGGTAGCTCTACACCATGGAATATTATGCAGCCTTAAAAAAAGAATGAAATCACATTATTTGCAGCAACCTGGATAGAAATGGAGTCCTTATCCTAAGTGAATTAACACAGGAACAGAAAACCAAATACCTCATGTCCTCTCTTATAAGTGGGAGCTAAACATTGGGTAGTCATGAACACAAATATATGAACAATAGACACTACTAGGGACTACTGGGGGAGAGGTCGGAAGTGGGGTGCAGGGTGAAAAACTACCTATCGGGTACTATGCTCATTACCTGGGTGACGGGATCATTTGTGCACCAAACCTCAGCGACACGCAATTTACCCATGTAACAAATCTGCATGCGTACCCCTTGAACCTAAAATGAAAGTTTACAGCAAAATTAAAAGAATAAGAATAACTTGGTGCAGATTACCAAAGTATTGCAGAGGAACAAGAAGGCTGCAATATTCCTCAGGACTTTTCTCTTGGCGTTGCCCTGTAAGAAACGAGGAAGGTGGACTGGGCTTGGGTTCCCTCCCCAGCTGCTCTCCTCGTGCTTCTCCTCCTTGTCACAGCTTTCTCTCAGGCACACATTTCCATTGGCTGCTGGTGGCATGTCCCTGCCCCAGGGAGCCACGTCTCCGGCCACACCTCCACTCTTGAGGCAGGAGGAAGCAAGGGGCATGGTGTTGCCATTGCAGACTGTGACCATCCGAAGGGTTTGGATGTCCTCAGAGAGTTTTTTAGGCTCTCGGTGAATGGATTCAAAGATGAAGAGGTTCTGGATGTACTTCTCCACGATCACCACGATGGAGTAGGGCAGGTTGTACCAGGTGTAGTGGGGGTGGTCCTCGGCACAAAGGATGGCCAAGATTGAGCCCCAGGAGATAAGCCAGGAGCCTGAGGCAGTGCCCACCAAGAGGTCCGAGTCCAGTTTGCGGGGCGGATTTTTGGACTCATCCAGTGACTTCTCATCTGTCCTGTAAATCCGGATTCCAGCCAGCCCCGCAGCCCCCATAAGCTTCATCAGGGTGATGACATACAGGTAGAACGTGATGAGTGCTGACTTGCTCTTGGTCTTGGAGCACCCAATATGAATCAGGTACACCACCCACCACCACGGCAATGGTGGCGGCCAGCGCGGTCAGGCCCAGGACTGTGCCCACTGTGACCCCATCAGGCTTGAACTGCATCTTCTGGTGCTGATGGCTGTCAACTTTGCGCCCGATGTTCTTCCATAGGACGTAGAGCACTGTGGAGGCCAGGATCTGATACTCTATGTTGAAGGGGTAGAGGTAGTAGATATAGTAGATCCCGTGGGAGATGGTGGTGCAGAGAGTTGGGGGCGTGCAGTTACATTGCGGTGTGTGGTCATCTAAAACTAGGGGAGACAGGTTGATCACACAGGGGGGCTATTAGCAGGTGCAAGGGGAAGCAGAAAAGCACAGAAAACTGTTTCCACTGTGGATTCAGGCTTGGGTCTTCCCACTGGATTACAAGCTTTTTCATGTCATGGCTTATTATCACGTTTAATATCATGGCTAATTTGATAGCCCTGAGTATCCCCAAAGCATATTCATTACCTAAATCACATTTATTTGGTGAGTTGCCAAAGAGGATAGAGAAGATGACTCTATTGTTGTAAAAAATAGATATGTAGATGATAGATAGATAGATGGATACACACACACACAGACAGATGGAAAAAACCTGGAAGGACACAAACTAAAATGTCAACAATTGTTATCTCTGGGTGGAAAAATGACAGATGATTTTTAATCTCTTCTAGATTTTGCTTCCCTGTATTTTCTAAATTTTCTCTGTGAAGATGATTTACATGTGTGATTTTTTAAGATTATTTTTAAAAAATACTTTCTGGAGAAAATACCCCTTTTAATTAGCAAAAGATATGCCTCTTAAGACTCCAGTGCTAGCAAGCATGCAGGAGACAGGTGCTCTCCGATATCAGTGCGGGGAAAGTAAACGGGCACCACCTTCTGGAAGAGAAGCTGGCTGTCATATGGAGGGCCCTCTCATCACAGGAAGGCAGATGCTGCAAGTAAATGACGAAACAGGTCACCAAAGCCCTGAAGGCGATGCAGTCTCTGACCCATAATTCCATTCTTTCCATTCTACCCTTCTACTCAAAGGGACAAATAAAAAAATGTAATCAAAGAGTCAGGTAAGGCCAGGAGTGGTGACTCAGCCCTGTAATCCCAGCACTTTGGGAGGCCAAGGCAGGTGGATCACTTGAGGTCGGGAGTTCGAGACCAGCCTGGCCAACATGGCGAAACCTCATCTCTATTAAAACTACAAAAATTAGCCAGGTGTGGTGGCAAGCCTGTAATACCAGCTACTGGGGAGGCTGAGGCAGAAGAATCGCTTGAACCTGGGAGGCAGAAGTTGCAGTCAGCTGAGATCGCACCACTGCACTCCGGCCTAGGTGACAGAGCGAGACTCAGTCTCAAAAAATAATTTAAAAAAAAGTCAGGTAAAATTGTGTGTGTGTGTGTGTGTGTGTGTGTGTGTGTGTGTGTGTGAGAGAGAGAGAGAGAGAGAGAGGAACAGCTCAAGGTCCAACAACTTAGAAATTGTTAAGTAAATTTTAGTATATCCCAACAATGAGATAGTAGACAGCCACTGCACGTTATAATTAAGATGTGCTTTATGGTTTTGGGTATGGGGGGGGTTGTTTTGTTTTTTGTTTGTTTTGAGACAGAGCCTCCTTCTGTTGCCCAGGCTGGAGTGCTGTGGCACAATCTTGGCTCACTGCAACATCAGCCTTCTGTGCTCAAGCATCCTCCTACTTCAGCCTGCTGAGTAGCTGGGACCACAGGCCCATGCCACCACTCCCGGCTAATTTTTATATTTTTTGTAGAGACAACGTTCCGCCATGTTGGCTAGGCTGGTCTTGAACTCCTGAGCTCATGCGATCTGCCCGCCTCAGCCTCCCGAAGTTCTGGGATTAAAGGCATGAGCCACTGCACCCAGCCAGGATGTGTTTTAATATTAAGAAAGTAATCTCGTTTCAAGGAAAATGGAAAAAAGTAAGAACAAACTGTATATTTCTTTAATGCAAGTCACAACCCAGTACAAGGCTGTAAAATCAGGTAGCAACCAACTTTTTTGTAGCAGAAATAATTTTCAGTGGACTAGAATAGGATAGAATGGAGTGGAATCAACTCCGATAAAATTTGGAAGCATCTCTGATACAGTAAAATTAAGTATTATTTCATCAAGCATACACACATAAGTATGTGCGTGTTTGGATTACAGTGTAAAATCTGTCTCTTATTGAAGTTTGCAATAAAAAAAGATCAAATATATAGTATAAAATCAACTATAAATAAATGGCACACTACAAAAAAATAACCAAACATTCACAGCATTTACTGCATTTCTGGGTAAGTGTTGTGGATTTTTTTGCTTCACACTTTGTCATTGTTTTAGTTTATGATATGTATATATTACTTATAAAATCTGAGAAAAGCAGCTGGGCGTGGTGGCTCATGCCTGTAATCCCAGCACTTTGGAGGGCCGAGGCAGGTAGATCACAAGGTCAGGAGATTGAGACCATCCTGGCTAACACGGTGAAACCCTGTCTCTACTAAAAATACAAAAAATTAGCCAGGCGTGGTGGTGGGCGCCTGTAGTCCCAGCTACTCAGGAGGCTGAGGCAGGAGAATAGTGTGACCCCCGGGAGGCAGAGCTTGCAATGATCCGAGACCATGCCACTGCACTCCAGCCTGGGCGACAAGCAAGACTCCGTCTAAAAAAAAAAAATCTGAGAAAAACTATATCGTAGCATTAATTTTACTTTCACAGAACACTATGAAATTTTCTTTTTCTTTTTTTATTCTTTTTTATATAGGGTCTCCCTCTGTTGCCCAGGCTGGAGTGCAGTGGCACAAACACAGCTCACTGCAGCCTTGACTTCCTGGGCTCAAGTGATCCTCCTGCGTCAGTCTCCCATGTAGCTATAGCTGGGACCACGAGCCCATGCCACCATGCCTGGCTTTTTTTTTTTTTTTTTTCCAGAGCTGGGGTCTCCCTTTGTTGCCCAGGCTGGTCTCAAATTCCTAGGCTAAAGCAATGCTCCTGCCTTAGGATTACAAAGTGCTCAGATTACAGGTGTGAGTCACTGCCCCAGTAATAATCTTCAATTCACACAGGGCTTCCCTAGCACTTACAATTCAATACGGTGTTATGCAGAAGACAAGGGAAGAAATCAGGAGGAAAAGTTCAGAGTAACAGAATGTTACAGCTGACAGAGTCCTTTTTTAGAAAATTAATCCAACCTCATCTTTCACAGAGGGCCTTGAAGCCAGATTGTTAGGATTCAAATCATGGCTGTATCACATGTTCACTGTGTTACCCTGGGCTAACTTCTCCGTGGCTTGATGCCTTCATCCATATAATGAGGTTAATATTGTCTACCTGAGGCCAGGCGCAGTGGCTCACGCCTGTAATCCCAACAGTTTGGGAGGCCAAGGCTGGCGGATCACAAGGCCAGGAGTTCGAGACCAGCCTGGCCAACATAGTGAAACCCCGTCTCTATTAAAAATACAAAAATTAGCCAGGTATGGTGGCATGCACCTGTAGTCCCAGCTACTCAGGAAGCTGAGGCAGGAGAATCACTTGAACATGGGAGGCAGAGGTTGCAGTGAGCCGAGATCACGCTACTGTACTCCAGCTTAGGCGACAGAGTGAGACTCTGTCTCAAAACAAACAACTATATATATATATATATATATATATATATATATATATATATATATATACATACACACACACATACACACATATATAGCCTACCAGAGAGTGTGGGGGTACAAATTAAATGACATGTGTAAATTTCCAACAACAGTGGCTGGCACTCAGCAAATGCTTAATAAAAATTTACTTTTGTTATTGTGGTCATTGCTGCTACTAATATTGATACCAAGGAGGACATGAGGCCCAAACACCGAGTGCCTGCTGGTTGGGGGTGGTGACTTCGTTGTCTCCACCCCACTGATGACAAAACAGGTTCAAAGTGGCTCTCCAGGACAGCTTGGGTTCACACAGCTGTCACAGACTTGCTGCATGTTAAAGCTGGAAGGGATCTTTGCAAGTGCATGATTTGGATACCCTCACTTTACAAATGAGAAAAGGGAGGCTCAGAGAGATTAAATGTCTTCTAAAGATCACACAGCTTGTACATGATGGGAACAAACCTGAGACACCCAGTTCCCTGCCCCACATTCCCCTCAGCCTGAATGTTCTCATATAGAAGTGACATATTGTAAATGCTAAAGGATTTTAGATGAAAATATAAAGATTAACCCAACAGGCTCTCAAATAGGAACAAGGTAGAACAGACATGAGCTAGAATTATAAGCCAACTACAGTTAAATTAAAACTTTAAATGAACCACAGCCTATTAACCACAACCTACCATTAGACTTTTATGAATTTTTAAAAGCCATACTTTTACTAGAAAGAACTGGTAGTAGAGGTTTAATTAAAAACACAAGCAGAGGCAACCATCAATCTTCTGTAGTTGAAAACAAAGACATTTATTTCTGCGGCAAACTGGACCATGAGAAATGGCCATCAGAATGATCACCGTGGGTCTTACAAGTCCCTGAGTCATGGAAGAAACCTTTAATTATGCTCAGTACACATCACTTATGAGAGATTCAGGTTTTGGAAGATTTTCAACAACAGGGGGCTGTCTGGCTGATGCTGACTTTGGTGGGCCTGAAGTTCTTTGGAACCTGCACTCCATCTCTGAACACTGTGGACTCTGCAGGTTTCCAAGACATTCCAACATGGCAGAGGGGCCACTCACCTCTCTCAGCACTCACCTGTTGTTATGTTCCCAAAGCCCAGAGTGATGAGCCATTCCTTGTGCTCATTGGTGCTTTGACTCATTGAGGACGCCGTTGGCCCACAGAAGCAGGTTGGTGAACACCAAGTGGATCACCCCAAACCTGAAAAACACAAGGACTCAGTTCTCAAGCAGCCCTGGGAGAGCCTCAGGCACCATAGGGTGAGACAGACATGTGCACACAAATACACGGCTCCTTCTCAGCCATGATTCTGGCTACATCATGGATGACCCTTGAGAACGTTATGCTGTGAGAAATAAGCCAGACACAAGAAGACCAATACTGTATGGTTCAATTCATACGAGGCATCTAGAATATTCAAACTCATAAAGACAGAAAGTAGAACAGAGTTTGCCAAAAGCCAGAGGAGGAGGAAATAGAGAGTTGTGTAGTGGGCTCAGAGTTTCAGTTTTGCAAGATGAAAAACGTTTGCAGATTGGTTGTACAACAAGTGAATGTACTTAACATTAATGAACCATACGCTTAAAATGACTAAGATGGTAAATGTTATGTGATTGTCAACCTGAAAAAAAAAGACACTAGAGAAAATTATCACTAAATATGTTGGATTTACTTGGAAATAGGAATTACAGTCCAGAATGCATGGAATGGCAAGCCACCAGCGCATTCGGTGAGGGAAGGGTAAGGAGGAGCTGTTATTAGCAAAGAGAGATTTACATAATCCACAGAGAAAAAGAGTTCATCGGTTCTAGAGGCTCAAAGCCAGAGTTGTCATCAGTTCATTGGTGGAGATGCCAGTGCTGGACAAGTGTTCTTCCAAGAGCATCTTATCTGCTTTACTGCAGTCCTAAAGAATGTCTAGTAATGTCCAACCTCTTCAAAGCAGGAGATGCATGAAGGGTTTTTAGAAAGTCTTTGGAAACACTTTGTATCTCAGACACGTAGACAGAAGTGCCCTCTCCTTAGCGCCTTCCCAGGCCTATTTTGCCTGGGTCTGACAAAAGCGATTTCATCCTGATATCTACAGGTTTTTCAGTATTTGCCACAATTTTAAAATAAATGCTCTGTTTTTTAGAACAGCGCCTAATTGTTATATATACTTTTTTCCATTCGCCAGTCATCTAATGTAGCAAAAGCACATGGTAAGTGTCCAACAGGTATAGAATGATTAATTCATTGACTTGCCTGGCCAATAAAATGCCTTAAATTAGAAAGCTAGGATCTCCAACCCACCAACTAAGAGGGATATTTTGAAAATTCATATCTGTCCCAGTCATTCTTCTGCCTAAAGCCTTCAGTGGCTCCCCACTGCCCTCGAGGTGAAGCCCAAGCCCCTAGGTGGCGGTCAGCCTTGACCAAGAATTTGCTGCACACCTAGCCCTGTGCCAAGTGCTTTTCATACACATGTGCCTTTAATCTCTACAACGAGCCCATGAAGTAGGTACTGTGATTGTCCTCAGCTTGCAAGTAAGACCCATGAGGCCCAGAGAAGTTAAGTAATTTGCCTGAAGTCACACAGCTGTGGTCAGAGCCAGAGTCATGCAATCTGACCAGAGTGCAAGCTTACAAGCCCTACACCAAACAGGGATCCAGCCTGTGCCCACACATCCTCCCGCTACCCCACTGTGAGGAAAGACTGCATGTCCCAAAGACACCCTCTTCCAGTGGCCTCTGACCCACTAACCCTGTGCTCCTCCCTCTCTCACAAACGGTTCTGGGACCTTCCCTGGCAGAAATTGACTGTCACTCCAAGCTGCCAAAATGCCCTCCTTTGTGCTCCCTCATTGCTCTGGGACACTCTGGTCAAAGCACTGAGCCCAGCGTTGTCACTGTTTTGGGGACTGCCTCTCACCTAACTGACACCCCCATGGTGTGTGACACAGACTTTACAGCCTTGTATTCCCCATGCTGAGAACAATGTTCGTCCAGTATTTAAAGATGAACTACAAGAAAAATGAATGAACGAATGCAGTTCGTTCTGGCCTCACGAAAGCTTTCCACATTGTCACTGTATCACTATAAGGCTCTGTCTTCACGGGATTTGGCTCCCCTGGAATGAGCAGCCAGTTATCTTTGATCAGCTTGGGCTGCCATAACAAAGGACCACAGATCATCAACTTCAATAACAGGAATTTCTCTTCTCAGGGTCCTGGGGTTAGAAATCCAAGATCAAGGTATGGGCAGGGTTGGTTCCTTTTGAGGCCTCTCTCTTTGGCTTGTAGATGGTCAATTTCCTCCAGTGTCTTTACATGGCTGTCTCTCTGTGTGTGTCTGTGTCCTTCTCTCCTCTTGTTATAAAGACACCAGGGCCAGGCGCGGTGCCTCACGCCTGTAATCCCAATACTTTGGGAGGCCGAGGCAGGTGGATTGCCTGAGGTCAGGAGTTCGAGACCAGCCTGGCCAACATGGTGAAACCTCATCTCTACTAAAAATACAAAAGTTAGCTGGGCATGGTGGCAGGTGCCTGTAACCCGAGCTACTTGGGAGACTGAGGCAGGAGAATTGCTTGAACCCAGGAGACGGAAGTTGCAGTGAGCCGAGATTATGCCATTGCACTGCAGCCTGGGCAACAAGCAAAATTCCGTCTCAAAAACATAAAAAATAAAGACACTAGGCATATTGAATTTGGGCCAGCCTAATGATCTTATTTAACCTCAATCTCCTCTAAACGACCCTATCTCCAAATACAGTCACATGCTCAGGTACTGAGAATGAGGGTTTCGGCATATGAATTTCACAGGGGATATGACTCAGTTCATAACAGCTTTCAAGTGCAAGGCAGCCCCTCCAAATGAGCCCCTCAGCAAGCTCCCCAGTGATCCCACCATGCCACCATGGAGCTAAACTGTTTCCAGGCTCACTGGGCACGTTCTGTCTGTTAGCTTCACTGTTTGAGAATGTGTTTGATCTAGAGAAACACTCTAAGGTCATCCAGTGCTGTCTGGTAAGTCAGCTGGGGGTACAAGCTGACGGTCACTTTGGATAAAAGATGAAGTTTTAAACATGTCATCCCTGGTTTTCTAGAGGTAGAAAACTTTCCAAAGAACCTTCTCAAACTGGAAATCCAAAAATATTTCCAGCAATGGCAGTATCACCAGAACAAGTTCATGGTCTTCCAGGGTGACTTGTCAGGAAGAAAATAATCATTGTGTCTCCACAGTGACTTTGAGCAAGTCACTTGTCTTCTCTGAGCTCCAACTTCTTCGTTAGAAAAAAATGAGAGCAGAGCCTGCCATTTGCAACAACATGGGCAAATCTGGAGGACATTGTGCTCAGTGAAATGAGGCAGACACAGAAAGAAAAATACTGCATAATCTCACTTATATGTAGTATCTAGAAAAACGTTTTTAATCCAATGCATAAAAACAGATGGTAGAAGCTGGGCATGGTGATGTGGGCCTGTAGTCCTAGCTACTAGGGAGACTGAGGCGGGAGGATCACTTGAGCTGAATTCAAGGCTGCAGTAATCCGTGATGGCACCACTGCACTCTACCCTGGGCAACAGAGCAAGACCCTGTCTCTAAAATTGAATTAAATTAATAAATAAAAACAAAATAACATAAAGAGTAGAATGGTAGTTGGAGGGGAAAAATTAGAAGATTTTGGTCAAAGGGTACAAAGTTGCAAATACGTAAGATGAATAATTCTAGAGATGTAATGGACAACGTGAAGACTGTAGTTAATACTATTGTATTGTATACTGGAAATTTGCTAAGAGAATAGATTTTAGGTGCTCTTACCACATCCAAAAAAAGAAAGGCAACTATGTGAGATGACAGACATAAATATGCTTGACTGTAGTAATCACTTCACTATGGATAGGAATATCAAATAATCATGTTGTATACCTTAAACATATACAACAAAAAACAAAAAAAAATGAGACTGATAATTCAACAATTCAGATCCTGACTCTGATAACATTACCACGGATTTCTGCCAAGGGCGAACACTACCCTGAAAGCCCATCTAACATTCTTTTCAACCATGAGATTTTTCTGACCCTAAGCTATGTATTTAAATTATATTTATCAAATCCTTCCTTCTGAGCCATACCAAGTTTACCAATGCTGTGGGAAAAAATCCTTATACATTTCTAAGACTTTAATCCCCAAACGAGAAAACAAAAGCGCTTCCATGACCCAGAGGAGGCATTGCAATGGCACAAGGTTTCTATGTAGGAAGAATATTAAATTTTTTTAAAAAATAAAATTGATTTTGGCAATGGTTGCATAACTCTATGAACAGACTAAACCGTTGAATTCCACATGTTAAATGGGTGAATTATATGCCATGTGAATTCTCTCAATAAACCTGTTACATACCCAGAAAATAAAACTCCCTCAAGCTTTTACTGTAGACCCTGGCTTGGCAGAATTTCCTGACTCTTCATCATTAGAAGTTCTGCCTCATAGGATCCCTGCAAAAATGGCCATGGGGACACAGAGTTTTATTTTGCAATGGAGGCAGCTGAAGAATTAAGCCTCAAAGATAGACTTCAGTTCACCTCAGTTCATTGCAGTTCACAGCTGTGCACACTGTCTCCACTTGCCACATGTCTTGATGTTACAAGTTTCTACACAACCTGGGATACACTTCACAGGAATGAGACAACATGAATAAACATCAGTGGTTTACCTGCAACAAAGTATGCACTGAATGGGTGACAGGGAAAACTCCTTCAGTGGCTGATAAACATTCTGAAAATCCAATGAAGTATCTAATTTTAAGGCATCCCAGGATGATGGTAATGACTGCAAACAATGTGATACTACCTAAATGTGGGATAAAGGGGGAAGTGGAAACACACACATTCCATTAATATACATTGATGTCATTTCAAAATAAATTATATTACATATTAAACCCTTATGTATATGGTCAAATGATTTTTTCACAAGGGTGCTGAGACCATTCAATGGGAAAAGGGCAGTCTTTTCAACAAATGTGGGAAAACTGGATGTCCACATGCAAACGAATGAATTTGAACCCTCACCTTACAGCATATACAAAAATTAACTCAAAACAGATAAAAGATCTAAACATAAAAGTATAAACCTTGTAAAAGAAGACATGGGAGAAAGCTTCATGACATTGGCTTTGGCAATAATTTCTTGGCTAGGACACCAAAAATGCAAGCAACAAAAATTAAAATAAATAAGATGAACTACATGAAAATGAAAAATTTTTGCACATCACAGGATGCTACCAACGAAGTGGAAAGACAGCCCACAGAACCGGAGAAAACATTAGCAAATTATATACCTAATAAGTCATTAATATCCACAATATACAGATTTGTTTACATTAAATACCTCATATAATGAAATCGTACAGTACTGTCCTTTGGTGGTTGAGTTTATTTTACTTAGCATAATGTCCTTATGGCTCATCCATACTGTATCGTGTGTCAGAATTTCCTTCCTTTTTAAGCCGAATAATATTTTGTTGTATGTCTATACCTCACTGTGTTTATCCATCTATCTGTTGATGGATGCTGGGTCGCTTCCACCTTTTGGATACTGAAAATAATGCTGCTATGAGAGAATTTATAGAGAATTCTTATACATTGACAGCAATGGGCTGGGCACAGTGGCTCGCACCTGTAATCCCAGCACTTTGGGAGGCCGAGGAGGGTGAATAACTTGAGGTCAGAAGTTGGAGACCAGTCCGGCCAACGTGGTGAAACCTGTCTCTACTAATAATACAAAAATTAGCCTGGTATGGTGGTGCATGCCTATATTCCCAGCTACTTGGGATGCTGAGGCAGGAGAATCCCTTGAACCAGGGAGGCAGAGGTTGCAGTGAGCCGAGATCATGCCATGGCACTCCTGGGCAACAAGAGCGAAACTCTGTCTCCAAAAATCGATCAATCAACAATGACAAAAGCCAATTTAAAAATTGGCAAAGGACTTGAATAAACATATCTCCAAAGAAGACATAAAGATGGCCAGCAAGTACATGAAAAGATGTTCACCATCACTAATTATTAGAGAGATGCAAATCAAAACTACAAAATACTTTCACACTATCAGGATGGCTACTATCAAAAAAAAAAAAAAAGAAAATAATAGAAAATAACCAGCATTGGTGAGGATATAGAGAAATAGTGCTCTGTTGGTAGGAATGTAAATTGGTACAGCTACTACTGAAAACAGTAGGGAGGGCCTTCAAAAAATTGAAAATACCATTATGGCATGATCTGGCATTTTCACTTCTGAGTATATACCCAAAAGAATTGAAAGCAGGGACCCGAGGGGATATCTGTATTCTCCTGTTCATAGCAGCATTATTTTCAGTATCCAAAAGGTGGAAGCAACCCAGCATCCATCAACAGATGGATGGATAAACACAATGAGGTATAGACATACAACAGAATATTATTCAGCTTAAAAAGGAAGGAAATTCTGACACACGATACAGTATGGATGAGCCATGAGGACATTATGCTAAGTAAAATAAACTCAACCACCAAAGGACAATACTGTAGGATTTCATTATATGAGGTATCAAACGTAAGCAAATTCATAGACAGAAATAGAATGGTGGTTGCCAGGTGCTAGAGGGAGGGAAGAATGAAGAGTTAGTGTTTAATGAGGACAGAGTTTCAGTTTTGCGAGATGAAAAAGTTCTGGAGGTTGGTTGCACAACAGTGCATATGTGCTTAACACCACTGAGCTGTGCACTTGAAAACTGCTAAGTTGGTAAATTTTATGTATATAAATGCATGTTTTACCATAATTAAAAATATATTAATAAAATAAATTCTAGCCCAGGCATGGTGGCTCATGCCTGTAATTCCAGCACTTTGGGAGGCCAAGGCGGGAGGATCACTTGAGGCCAAGAGCCTAAGCAACCCCATCTCTACCCAAAGATAACATAATAATTATTTCTAAATAAATAAACAAATTCTACTGTTGAGCTGCGAAGGTAAAACTAGAAGGCAGGTGTTGTGTCCCGTTCATCATTGTACCCACCCCATAGCCCAGAGTCTGACAAATGATACACAATCAACGAAGCCTGGTCCAGTCAACAGAATGCTCCCAGAAGCTTTTTCAAAAAGGAGAAATCTAAGAATGTCACTGCTCTACTCAAAAATCTCAGTTCTCTAATCCTAAAATCCTGTTCTCTAAAGAATAAGAGTGCAGCTGGCTGGGTGCAGTGGCTCACATCTGTAATCCCAGCACTTTGGAAGGCCGAGGTGGGTGGATCACCTGAGGTTGGGAGTTCGAGACCAGCCTGACCAACATGGAGAAACCCCATCTCTACTAAAAAATACAAAAGTAGCGGGTGTGGTGGTGCATGCCTGTAATCCTGCTACACCGGAGGCTGAGGCAGGAGAATCACTTGAACCCGGGAGGTGGAGGTTGCAGTGAGCCGAGATTGCATGATTGCATTCCAGCCAGGGCAACAAGAGTGAAACTCTGTCTCAAAATATATATATATTAATAAGAAATAATAAGAAATAAGAGTGCAGAGTGTGCAGGTCATACAGGTATACAGGAATTCTCTGAACTGTCTTTGCAACTTTTCCATAAATCTAAAGCTTTTCTAAAATGGAAAGTTTATTTATTTATTTATTTGAGACAGGGTCTTGTTCTGTCACCCAGGCTGGAGTGCAGTGGCACGATCTTGGCTCACTGCAACCTCCACCTCCCAGGTTCAAGTGATCTTGTGCCTCAACCTCAATCCCAAGTACCTGGGATTACAGGTGTGCTGGCCAGGCTGGTCTTAAACTCCTGGCCTCAAGTGCTCCGCCTGTCTCAGCCTCCCAAAGTGCTGGGATTACAGGCATGAGTCACTGAGCCCGGCTGAAAGTATATTAGAAAAAAAAAATAGATGGGTAAGGGCTCTATAGTAGTAGCTGAGGAAGGGCCTGTGCTAGGTGTACTGAGGAAAGGAAGCAATCTTTGATAGTATAATGAGCATGGCTTTGCCCAAAACATAAAGACAAACTAATAAAAAATTTGCATATAAAAAAGACTGGAAAGGAATGTACAAAATACATTAAAAAGACACTTGGTGACAAATGAAGAAATTAGTGAGAAAAAGGCAATGATCATGAGTGCTTGATCAAGTCAGAGTTCCTCATCTCCCTCCTGGGCTAGCAATGACTGCCATTTACACATTTGCTCCTGCCAACAGGAGGAAACTGGATCATGTATGACATGCATTAAGGCACTGAGCAGAGAGGAGGGCATGAGCCATAACATTGGGCTATAACGTTACAGCCCCAGCCTGAGAAGCCTCCTCTGAAAAGTAATGCAATCGCCTGGCACTTTTCCACTGCTCAAAGCCTTATAGAAACAACTCTAACTCACATTTTTAATCCTGGAAACACCCCAATGAAATCGGAAACGTTGTAAGAGTGGAGATTCAATCCCAGTGCTTTGAAATGTTTTGACAAATACGTGGTTGGTTTTAATTACAAAAAACATAGCAAGATCAGGTGAGGCAGCGTGGTTGAGTGGCAAGAGTACAGGCCTGAAAGTACGGAGACCTGGACACTCACAGAATACATGAGTCACTTCCTGCTCCCAACCTCAGGATTCCCATACAGAAAATGCGGATGGTCTACAGCAGTGGTTCTCAAACTGGAAACTGCATCAGAATCACCTGCAGGGCTTGTTAAAACACAAATTCCTGGGCTCCACCTCCAGAGTTTCTGATTTAGTAGGTCTGGGTGGTGCCCCAAAATTTTCATCTCTAACAAGTTTTCAAGTGGGGCTGCCACTGTTGATCTAGGCCCCGCTTTGAAAACTACTGGTCTAGACCATCTCTGTGGTTGACATGCCAAGTGTTCAATAATATACTCTTTCAGTCCTCCCTTTCTTCCTGTGTTCATCCATTCATCCATGGATTCATTCAGCCAGTTGTTTATACAACAAACACCTTGGGGACTCCTACTATGCATGAGACATTGTGCCAAGGGCTCAAAGACAGACATAGGAGATTGCTGTAGAAACAAAAATATACGAGTATAATATTGCATAAATTAGGGTGTGCACAAAATATCAGAGAGATGAGCTGGCAACAGACTTCCTCTGTGCAGCCTGGGAAACCAGAAGACAGTGGACATATGTGCCACAAGGAAAGGACTGCACCTCAAAAACCTTATTCTCAGCTAAGATGTCGCCCATGTGTCAGGGCAAAAGGCAGAATGATGTTTGAAGTATACAAAATGTAATTTTTTCAACAGCTATTTATTGAGCAGCAACCATGGGCCAGGCATTGTCCCAGGCACTGAAGATATAAAGGTCAATAAAATAGAGTATCTGCCCTTGAGGAGTTTCACATCTAGTGGGGAAGGCAAAAAATAAACCGGTAAATAGTAAACACATAAAGAATGTCAGGAAGTGCTAAGTGCATGAAGAAAAGTAAAGCAGAAAAGGGGACTGAGGTTGAAGGTACATGGGCAGGAAAGGAGGTGATTGTTGAACAGAGAACAGAGAAAACTGTCATCCACATAACTTGTCTGACAAAGGACTTTAACCAAGGAGCTTGTGAACTGGAAGAGAGTCCCCAAAAGAGGGGAAGATGAGGAGGAGAGCAAATTATAGTGACCAATCAACTCTGTGGAAGGCTAGAGGAGGGTGGAGGTATAATGGATGGAGAGACAGATGGAGATAGATAATTAGATTAATAGGAGAGAAAAGAAGAACTTAAATTCAAATGGATAAACTGCCTGAGATGTGTAATTTACATACCCTATAAAGACTTGTCATACAGAATAGACATTTTGAGGCGAAATTCTATTAACTATCTCTACAAAACCCATAAGTTCGGCCAAGCACAGTGGCTCACACCTGTAATCCCAGCGCTTTGGGAGGCCGAGGCAGATGGATCACCTTTGGTCAGGAGTTCGAGATGAGCCTGGCCAACATGCTGAAACCCCGTCTTTACTAAAAATACAAAAATTAGTCTGGCGTGGTGGCAAGCATCTGTAGTCCCAGCTACTTGGGAGGCTGGGGCAGGAGAATGGTGTGAACCCAAGAGGCAGAGGTTGCAGTCAACTGAGATTGCACCATTGCACTCCAGCATGGGTGACAGAGCGAGACTCCATCTGAAACAAAACAACACAAAACAAAACAAAACAACAACAACAACAACAAAAAACCTAAGTTGGAAAAGGACTGGATAGGGAACAAAGAAAAACCTTTGAAAGCCCTCAAGGTAAATAAATGGAAAAGAAGGAGAGGGAAGAAGGGAAAGGAATAGGGAGGCAAACGTATCCTAAAGATCTCATCCCATTAGGTAGAGAGGAAGTGGGAGCAGTGAACATCTTGGAGTGGGACACAGTGTGGCTTGCTGAGGGAAATGTTCAATATTTTGTTTTCAAATAAGAATGAAGTAATAGGCAGCTGGGCGCGGTGTCTCACACCTATAATCCCAGCACTTTGGGAGGCCAAGATGGGCGGAACACTTAAGGTCAGGAGTTCAAGACCAGCCAGGCCATGATGGTGAAACCCTGTCTCTACCAAAAACACAAGAAATTAGCCCAGTGTGGTGATGGGCACCTGTAGTCCCAGCTACTTAGGAGGCTGAGGCAGGAGAATCGCTTGAACCTGGGAGGCGGAGGTTGCAGTGAGCCGAGATCATGCCACTGCGCTCCAGCCTGGGCAACAAAGTGAGACTCCGGCTCAAAAAAAAAGAATGAAGTAATATGCATCAGATTATGAGAGTGAGGGAAGAAAAAAATGGCCATGAATGGAATAAAAAATCAGAATAAATTTTCAAATGCTCAAAAAAGACAAATGTGGAAGAGGAAAAGGAAGAAATAGGAATGTAAAATATATCATCATAAACATCGAAAAGAAAAATGGAAACAAAAAAGTCAACTACATAAATTATTTCTATAAATTAGAATGATCTAAATCCTCCCACTAAGTAGTCAGCAAGAATAGGAAAATTGAATTAAAAACAAAACCTAGTTACATGATCTTTACACAAATTGCACCTTTAACAAAGTAATAAAGGTTTAAAATAAAGTAGTGGACAAAGAGGAATCAGGCAATGCAAACAAAAAGAAAGTTGGAATGGCAATATTAATATCAGACCATACGGGATTTAATGTATTAAGTAGGATAAAGAATCCTTCCTCTTTTATCACTACATATAATAAAAGACAGACTGTCCAGTGTGGTGGCTCACGCCTGTAATCCCAGCACTTTGGGAGGCCGAGGTGGGCGAATCACAAGGTCAGGAGATCGAGACCATCCTGGCTAACATGATGAAACCCCGTCTCTACCAAAAATACAAAAAATTAGCCGGGCGTGGTGGGGGGTGCCTGTAGTCCCAGCTACTTGGTAGGCTGAAGCAGGAGAATGGCATGAATCCAGGAGGCAGAGCTCGCAGTGAGCCAAGATCGCGCCACTGCACTCCAGCCTGGGCGACAGAGCGAGACTCTGTCCCAAAAAAAAACAAAAAACAAAAAACACAACGACTGTATGAGGAAGCTATAACAGCCACACATGTGCCCAAATGAAACAGATTTTGATTTATATAAACACATATATATGTATAAATATATATATACAAGTATATATATACACATATACATAGATAAGTATATATACACATATACATATATATTTATGCATGTATAAATATATATACATATATAATTTTGCAATTACTTAACTTACCTTTGCCTCAGTTTCCCCATCTCTAAGATGTAATGACAGTAATAACACTTATCTCATAGGGGTGCTGAGGAGATTAAGTGAGTCTTTACATGGAAGTCACCTAGAACAGTGTTCCTTACCTAGAAAGTTCTATAAGCGGGATGTTATTATCATCACTCAATCGCCAAGAAAATGTTGATGCATTAGAACCAATTAGAAAGTTTACCAGCTACAATACTTGAGAATAATCCAAAGACTACATAGGGTACCCATCTAGTGATGGCAGAGGGAACCCCCTCCTCTTTGTTAGGCACCCAAATCCCTCCTAGGAGTCTAGAATCTTGAACCCCCCTCTTAGAGGCGGAAAGTCCCACAGAGTTAGTCTGCATTCTATCCCATGCAAGAATGCTTTCCAATGCATCATGACCGGAAGCCATCTGATCTCTACTTGGACAAGCCCAGGGCTGGGAGGCTCAACATCTCTCAAAGCGCACCCTTCCATCACCAGCTGGTACTTACTTTGTGTTTTATTTTTATTTTATTTTAATTTATTTTATTTTATTTTATTGAGATGGAGTCTCACTCTGTTGTTCAGGCTGGAGTGCAGTGGCATGATCTTGGCTCACTGCAAACTCTGCCTCCTGGTTTCAAGCAATTCTCCTGCCTCAGCCTCCCGAGTAGCTGGGATTACAGGCACTCCACATAGCGAGACCCCTGTCTCTACAAAAATCAATTTTTAAAAAATGAGCCAGGCGTGGTAGCACACACCTGTAGTCCCAGCTATTTGGGAGGCTGAGGCGGGAGGAGCACTTGAGCCCCAGAGTTCGAGGCTGTAGTGAGCTATTATCACACCACTTCATTCCAGCCTGGGAGACATAGGGAGACCCTGTCCTTATTAAAAGATAAAAATAAAATAAAGAAAGAAAGAAGATTGTGCAGGTGTTGCCTCCTCCCTGAACCTCGCAGCCTTCCTGCAGACTTGGGCTCCTCCCAGGCCCCTGGTGGTAGCCCTGCTCAAGGGTGCTGTGCTGCTTACTCTGTCCCCACCCCCAAGCTCCTAGAAGTTGAGGGCTAAGTCTCACAGGTCACGCTCCCCAACTTCCCAGTGAGGGCTCATTAGCTGTTTGTTTATTGCTGTTTCTCTACCTGAACATCAGCTCCACCTGAGCAGAGCCTTTCATAGCTGAAACCCCAGCACCTAGAACAGAGATCAGCAAATGATTCATAATTTGCTGTGTCCCACCATGCCCAGCTTTTTGTATTTTTAGTGGAGACGGGGTTTCACCATGTTGGCCAGGCTGGTCTCAAACTCCTGACCTCAGGTGATCTGCCCACCTCAGCCTCCCAAAGTGCTGGGATTACAGGCGTGAGCCACCACGCATGGCCTGGTGCTTACTTCAGAATGTTTTTCTTTATATTGAAGTGCAGTTGACTTCCCAGAACTATCATCTTCTTCCCTGGAGCTTCTATCATCATTCACTTATTCATCCACCCATCTAGTCATCCATCCATCCACCCAATCATTCAATCATCCAATTATTCAGTAGCTAGGAATTGGCATTTACTACATGTTAGGCACTGTGCCAGGAGCTCGGGATACAATGGTAAGCACATTCAGACAGGGTCTCTGCCTTTAGGGGCTCAGTCTGGCTACCCCAACAGTCACTGAATAATACAATATCCTGCTTGATTAGTGCTAGAAAGAAAATGAAGAGTGCTATGAGACCATACAACATGGGGGCTTCCCCTGGTCTGAAACTATCGGGAGGGGCTTCCCAGAGGAAATGACTCTTACTTGCTGAAAGACAGAGGATGGCCTGGAGCTGACAGGTGCAAGGCAGCAGCACTTTCTACCCTGTGACCTCCGCATCCTTCTCTCTTCTGGACTGAACCTCCTTTTGCTCCTCCTGCCGCCACTCTTTCCAAGGGCCTGTGAAATGCTCAAGGAGGATGAGACCCTCCACACACAGTCTGATTTCCTTTCCAATGAAAGCCAAGCCTGCATCTGATTTTTTGGCAGCCACATTCGCTCGTTTGTGTTGAAATCGTGACACTATGTCTATATTTTCCATTGGACCAGAAATATCATCTAAGAAAAGAAATAAGTAAGAAAATGCATGCAGTTAAGCAAGACCCTCATAGTGGCCCCAGAATGGATCTTGAGGATCACTGGTCTTTTTCCTGAGGGACTTGCCCTCTGCCTATTGATCTAAGATTGTCACCAACACCAGGGCAGAGCTGAGTTCCCGGGTCAAACCTGTCTTTCCAGCTAGAATTCCAGAGGAAACCCCAGTCCCTGTTGGGGCTGAAGGTGCTTCCTTTTGGCGTCGGGGCCTCTCGACACTAATAATTAGCGTCTTGCTTCTTTGAGGAACCCACAGGAATGGCCAGGGCTTTGCAAACTGCTTCTCTCAACATCCCCCAGCTCCTCCCAGAGAGTCGACTGGGATTCTTATCTTACTGATGAGGAAAGCAGAACTCAGAAAGGTGAAGGTGACAGAGCTGAGACCTCAAGCCAAGCCCTCCAGAGCCAACACCATTTCCATGATACACACACCTCACTTGAATTACATTATTATGGGGCAACTCACTGAATGTCTAAAGAGCTACCACCTACTGAACACCTATCACGTGCTCTCTCTACCTTGCCCATTTATTCCCTCTCTACTTAGTGTCCCAAAGACACCTCAAATGTAGCATGTCCATAAGAGAACTGTAACATGTCATTGGTTTTGTGTCCCCACCCTGCTCTTCCCTTTGGCTTCCCAATCTTGGGAAATGGTGCAACCATTCACCCATAGACTCAGGCGCCAATGCTCGGAGTCAACCTGAAAGGAGGCAGAGAGAGAGGAAGAACAAAAAAACACAGATGGATGGATGGACAGATGGATGGATGGATGGAAGGATAGATGGATGGATGGATGATGAATAAGTGTGGATGGGTGGATGGATGCATGGTGGATAAATAAGTGAATGATGATAGAAGCTCCAGGGAAGAGGATGATGGTTCTGGGAAGTTAACTGCACTTCAATATAAAGAAGAGCATTCCTTGGATAAGGATAGACTGAGTAGAAAAAAGAAGAAAGAGGAAGAAGAAGAAGAAGAAGAAGAAGAAGAAGAAGAAGAAGAAGAAGAAG
Organism: Homo sapiens; assembly: GCF_000001405.40. NCBI lineage: Eukaryota > Metazoa > Chordata > Mammalia > Primates > Hominidae > Homo > Homo sapiens. The sequence goes on along the minus strand of NC_000001.11, from coordinate 144,183,198 downwards.
AAGGAGGAGGAGGAGGAGGGGGAAGGGGAGGGTGGGAAGGGGGAAGGGAGGGGGAGGGAGAGGGGGAGAAGGAGAGGAGAAGGAGAAGGAGACACATTCTAAATGCACCAGGCTGGGCGTGGTGTCTCATGCCTGTAATCCCAGCACTTTGGGAGGCAAAGGCAGGCAGATAACCTGAGCTCAGGAGTTTGAGACCAACTGGGCCAACATGGTGAAACACTGTCTCTACTAAAAAATACAAAAATTAGCCAGGTGTGGTGGCATGTGCACCTGTAGTCCCAGCTAATCAGGAGGCTGAGGCAGGAGAATCACTTGAACCCAGGAAATGGAGGTTGCAGTGACCCATGATCTAGCCACTGCACTCCAGCCTTGGCAACAGAGTGAGATTCCATCTCAAAAACAAAAACAAAAACAGCAGAGGAGAGAGGAAGAGAGGAAGGAAGAGAAAGAGAGGAGAGAGGGAAGAGGGATAGTGGAGGGAAGGCTAGAGGAAGGAAGAGAGGAAGGAAGAATGAAGGAGGAGAAGAGAGAAAGAAAATGAGGAAAAAAATAAGGAAAGGGAGGCTGGGCATGGTGACTCACACTGGTAATCCCATCACTTTGGGAGGCTGAGGCAGGCAGATCACGAGGTCAGGAGTTCGAGACCAGCCTGGCCAACATGATGAAACCCCGTCTCTACTAAAAATACAAAAAATAGCTGGGCATGGTTGCAAGCGCCTATAATCCCAGCTACTTGGGAGGCTGAGTCAGGAGAATCGTTTGAACCCGGGAGGCGGAGGTTGCAGTGAGCCGAGATCGCACCATTGCACTCCAGCCTGGGTGACAGGGCAAGACTCCATCTCAAAAAAAAGATAAAAAGGAAGAAAAGGGAGAGAAAAGGGAAGGGGAGGGAATAGGGAGGGAGGGAAGAGGAAGAAAGGAAAGGAGAAAGAGGGAAGGAAGAAGGGAGAAAAAAGGATGGAGGAGAAAAAGAAGTGAGGAACAAACAAGGGGGCTTTGACTGTAGGAAAACACAGGTAAAGGCTCATGTGTATAATACTTTTTAGCCTGTGTAAGTCAATATCCTAAAATAACACTTTGTGCCTTGTTTTAAATAGCACCAGATTCACTGTCATTCACAGAGTCACAAAACCATTAACTTCCCTAAAACAACCAATTTCAGAACAGGAATTTGGGCCACCCTGCAATGGTGTCAAATTTCCCCAAAAGCAAGATGAACTAGATCCAGTCCCTGAGCCTAAGAAGTCTAAAATCTCTTCTGGATGATAAGGCTAATATTCAACAGTCATAATACAAGGCAGAAACAGACAAGGACCAAAAGAGCTTTACAGAAGGAGGGCCATGGTGGCCCATGGAAGTGAGGAGTAATTCCTGCCAGGCATTTGTGAAGAAGGTGGCATCTGGCCAGGACCTTTGAAAGAAGTGCAGAAAGGAGGCCTAGTGTGTGCTGGGCAGCCACCTCATCAATCACTGGATCCTATCCAGTGTGAGATCCCCATTCTACAGATGCCGACACCAGGGTTCAGGGTAAGGAAGGCAATCAAGCAACTTGCCCGAGGTCATGCATGCAAGGAACACGGAAGCCCCACTCTAATGGAGATTTAAATTCAGGTCTAATATGAGAATCCAAGTGGCAATGTGTGATGTGTCTGGACCACGTGGTGTGAAATGCAGTCGGCTTCTCCTGGGAAGGTTACTCAGACAGAAGCTTTCTTCACAAGCATGCTCCCCACGGCCTCCTCCCTTTCACCTGCACCATGTCTGTCTCCCATTCAAGACTGGCAACCCCAGCCAGGCACAGTGGCTCATGCCTGTGATCCTATCATTTTGGGAGGCCAAGGCAGGAGGATCCCTTGAGGCCAGGAGTTTGAGAACAGGAGACAACACAACGAGGCTCTATCTGTACAAAATATAACAAAACTTAGCCAGGCAAGGCCATGTGTACCTATAGTTCCAGCTATTCAGGAGGCTGAAGTGGGAGGATTGCTTGAGACCAGGAGGAAGAGGCTGTAGTGAGCTGTGACTGTGCCACTGCACTCCAGCCTGGGAGATAGAGCAACATTGTCTCAAAAAAAAAAAAAAAAAAAAAAAAAAAAAAAAAAAAAAAGATGTGGCAGCCCCTTGAGAAAGGAAGAGCTCCTATCTTGACGATTTCAGCCAATGCCCGTGAGTACCAGCAGGAGCCTCTATCCCTCTCTGCCCCACCCTGCATCCACGCATTCATTACATCATTCATCCCCCCTCATTTTCTCAACACCCACTTGTGCCAGGCCCTGAGGTGGCTCTAGGACCGAGAGACAGGGATCACAGAGCTCCCCAGTGGAGTGGAGGGTACAGACATGTCGACAAGAACACTGGAACCCAGTGCGGGCTGGGAGCGTGCGGTCAGACCTGCAAAGCGGGGAAGAGAAGGGGGTCGGAGAAGCTTCGCGGGGAGAATGGGGTGAGGCCTGAGGCCTGTCTCGGAAAGCAGAGGGGCAGGTGGGAGAGTGGAAAAGACATTCCTGGAGGAGGGAACCAAAGGTGCTGAATGTGCAGAGGCAGAGATCCTGCGACAGGAGAGAAAGTCCTCGAGAATGACCCCAGCATAGGATGAGAACAAAGAAGGGGATCAAAGGAAACGGGCCCTCGGTGGCCGGGTGCTAGAAGGCTCTGAGTGTCAGGAGAGGGAGCGTGACCTCCCTCATGGGGTCAGTAGGGCCACTGTATGGCTTTAAGCCAGGGAAGGACAGGAGAGGTTTCTGTAACTGTGGCTGTAATGATGGAAGCGTCTGGAGGCGGAGAGGAGGCTCCTGCGACGACCCAGGCTTCAGAGAGAGAGAGAGAGAGGAAAGAAGGAAGGGCAGATAGGAAAGCTAGGAAAGATGCACAGAGAGACCAAGGCAGAAAAGGCTGAAGGGAAGACGGCAGTGGTAGGAAGGGGGCAGAGCCGTCTCAGGATGCAGCCAGCGGGCGAGGAGGCAGAGACCCGCTTGCCCGGTGCCTGGACTCACCAGCCGGTGCAGCCAGCCGGCGCCGGCGTGCGTGTCCTTGAGGCGGAAGAGGCGGCGGTTCGCGGAGCTGCGGCCCACGTACCACAGCATCTGCAGCAGCATGAGCGCCGTCAGGAAGCACAGCAGGTCGCTCTTGCTCACGCCCGCGGCGTGCACGGCCCAGGCCAGCAGCAGCAGCAGCCCCGCCACGAACACGATCAGCCCATACTGGCTGCTCAGCATCTCGGCCAGCCTCTGTGGGACGCTGGCGCGCACACCGCCCCTCCGGGGGGCCGGGGACTCCGGGCACCTCGGGGCCGACGGCGAGGGAGGCGGGCAGGCCGCGGGCCCCGATGACCTCGCGACTGAGGCGCTCGCAGCTGCCCGGGGCCAGGCGGGCGACCCCAGGCCCTCAAGCATCTTCAAGACACCCGCGCCAAGTCTGGCCCCGGGGGTGGCTGCCGTCGGGCCCCGCCTGCGCTCCTGGCTCCTGTCCTTGCCCCGACGCCTCTGCCAACCAGCACCCCCCTTTTCAACTCCCCTCCGATTCCTACCCCACGCCCCCAACAACCTGCCCCGTCTCCTGTCACTTCCCGACGCCCGCCCTCCCCTCTTCTGCCCCTTCGTCCTCAGTCAAGGTACCACCCTGTCCACTTACCCAGCGCCCCACCCCGCTGACCCGGGATTCTACGAGCTCCCTTGCCCACTGCCCCTCACTGGGCAACGCCCGGGGCAGCCATCTGTCCCCTCCGGGACCCACGCGGACCGCTCCCGGCTCCTGATCCCTGGGACACTGGCCAGCCCTGCCCCGACACTAGCGCGTCCTCCCGCACCTCCGCCCGCGCGCCCGGCCCCCGCCCACCGTCTGCAGCCCTCACTCCTGCGCCGACGCCCACCCACCCAGCCCCTGTCCCGGCGCCTCAGAAACGCTGGGTGACGAGAGATGCCTCCCAGAGTCCCGGGGTTGCGGGGCTGGGGAGAGGGGGTCTTCCAGAGCCAGCCCGAAGTGGGGTGTGCGCGGGGGGCGTGGCTGCTGCCAAGTGGGGCGCACGGGGCTCCACAGGGGCGTGCTATGCTCCGGGCCTTCCCCGAGGGTCTCCGTTGGGGAACCCAGAGGTCCAGGTGATCCTGCCTGGGTCCGTGTCCGAGCGTCCGATGGTCTGTCCTTGTCCCTGCGTATTTCTGTATTGTCTTCTCTGTGCCGGTCACTCTGTGTCTGGCCGTCTGTTTTCGGGTGTGTCTGGTTAGGGGTGGAGGAGCGCCAGTCACTGGCTCTCTGAATTGGGGGAGGGGCCGCCTTCTGTGGGTTTTTCTGTTTGTCCATCTGGTGTGCCTGTGTGTCGGCTGCGAGACGCCCAGGCGCAGAATAAGACCTGAGCCACTTTCTAAGAAAAGAGACCATCCCGCACCCTCCCCCAAAGGAGCGGCAGCCATTCTGGACGCAGAGGAGCTGGAATGAGGGAGGCCCCAGGGTCTGCCCTGGGGCAACCGGCGCCCAAGCATCTCCACCAGCCCCTTCCAAAGCCCCGGTGCCTGCCTTGCACCTGCCTGCTCCCGGAAGGAGACTGCGTCTGCCAGGGCGCCCTGCTCGGGTGCCATTAAGTGGAGGTCTGGGAAGTTTCTGCAGAAGAGCGTTCTACCGGTCGGGCGTGGCTGACAGGAGGCGGTGGACCCCAGCCCCCCAGCTGCAGGTTGGAGAGGGGAGTTGGGAGCGAGCCTGGGGCGAGCCCCCATCCCACCATGCAGCAGCCCGGGGCTGGGCCCCGGAAGACACCCTCTCCCTCTTGGTTTAAGGCTCTTGCAGTCTTGAAATTCTTAATTTTTGAACAAGAGGGCCCAGGTTTTTGTTTTGCGCTAAGCGCAGCAAATTGCAATAGCAGGTCCTGACTAGTAAAGGAGGGGTGGGGAGTCCTGGGCCGGCAAGAAGTCAACCTGGGGGACCTTGCCTTGCCGCCATCATTCTTCCAATTCATGCATTCATTCATTTGATCAACACACATGTATGTGTTGACCTATGAATCATTTGCTGGTCTCTGTTGTAGGCGCTGGGGTTTCAGCTATGAAAGGCTCTGTTCAGGTGGAGCTGATGTTCAGGTAGAGAAACAGCAATAAACAAACAGCTAATGAGCCTTGACTGGGAAGCTGGGGAGCGTGACCTGTGAGACTTAGCCCTCAACTTCTAAGAGCTTGGGGGTGGGGACAGAGTAAGCAGCACAGCACCCTTGAGCAGGGCTACCACCAGGGGCCTGGGAGGAGCCCAGGTCTGCAGGAAGGCTGCGAGGTTCAGGGAGGAGGCAACACCTGCACAGTCTTCTTTCTTTCTTTATTTTATTTTTATCTTTTAATAAGGACAGGGCCTCCCTATGTCTCCCAGGCTGGAATGAAGTGGTGTGATAATAGCTCACTACAGCCTCGAACTCTGGGGCTCAAGTGCTCCTCCCACCTCAGCCTCCCAAATAGCTGGGACTACAGGTGTGTGCTACCACGCCTGGCTCAGTTTTTTAAAATTGTTTTTTGTAGAGACAGGGGTCTCGCTGTGTTTCTCAGGTTGATCTCAAACTCCTGGGCTCAAGCCATCCTCCTACCTCAGCCTCCCAAAGCACTGGGATTACAGGCTCCAGCTACCACGTCCAGCCTCCTGCACATTCTTTAGGCTTAGGAGTGGATGGCCAGGTGGAAGGGAGCAGGGGTCTGGAAAGGCAGTCCAGAGAGAGGATCCAGCAAACCTACTGGGAATCCTCCACCTTCTCCCCTCCTCTTCCTACCAACAGCCAGAGCAACCTGGGAGGCTGAGCTGAAGATGGAAGAGCCTGTCTGCGTGTCTCCCCAGTGACTAGTGAGGTGGCTTTTCCTCCCGAAGCTGGACCTTACATCAGTGAGAAATAAACTTCCATTGTGCTAAGCCACCAAAGTCTGAAATGTTACAGCAGCTAGCAGTACCTTAACCCATTGAGTACAAAGATAAATAACACTCAGTCACTATCTGAAAATCAAGTGGAATGCCTGTCTCTGGGCTACCTGCACTTTTGTTTGTTTGTTTGTTTGTTTGTTTGTTTGTTTGTTTGTTTGTTTGTTTTTGAGATGCAGTCTCACTCTGTTACCCAGGCTGGAGTGCAGTGGCACAATCATCTCAGCTCACTGTAACCTCTGCCTCCTGAGTTCAAGCGATTCTCCTGCCTCAGCCTCCCGAGTAGCTGGGATTACAGGCGCCTGCCACCATGCCCGGCTAATTTCTGTATTTTTAGTAGAGATGTGGTTTCACCATGTTGGTTAGGCTGGTCTCAACTCCTGACCTGGTGATCCACCCCTTGGCCTCCCAAAGTGCTGGGATTACAGGCATGAGCCACCACACCTGGCCTGCATTTTTTTAAGAAGCAATGAAATGAAAGTTTCTGGAGGCTAAAGTCAGCCCCCTTTATTGTAATCTCAAGACAATGTTAAAACTCACTGAGAGCCTGTAATCCCAGCACTTTGGGAGGTCGAGGCAGATCACTTGAGGTCAGGAGTTCGAGACTAGCCTGGCCAACATGGTGAAACCCCGTCTCTACTAAAAATACAAAAAATAGCTGGTGTGGTGGTGCACACCTGTAATCCCAGCTACTTGGGAGGCTGAGGCAGGAGAATCTCTTGAACCCAGGAGGCAGAGGTTGCAGTGAGCCAAGATTGTGCCACCGGACTCCAACCTGGATGACAGAGACTCCATCTCAATAAATACATAAATAAAACTGAGAGATTTACCCACACTGTGTTCTGCCTTCCACCAGTGAGATTTTTTTCAAAAGTCTGAGCCACACGGGGCCCCCAATTTCTTACGACTGACCCCTGCTCCATGATGGGAAGATACAAGGGGTCAGAAATGGTGCTCTGGTGGTGCCCAGGCCTGCTGTTTTCACCACATTTGGTGCATGTTACCCCTGCCCACACTGTGTCCTGAGAACTGTGTGGCATGGCTCAATCAGTGTAAAAGCTGGAAACGTCCTGACCAGGCAGCTGCTTCCCAGTGATGATTCAGTACCACGCAGATGGACAGGGAGGCATGGTGCCCTCGGGCATGGGCTCCCTTCCTTTTTTTCTTTTTTTTTTTTTAATATTTTAAGTTCTAGGGTACATGTGCACAACATGCAGGTTTGTTACATATGTATATATGTGCCATGGTGGTGTGCTGCACCCATTAATTCGTCATCTACATTAGGTATTTCTTTTAATGCTATCCCTCCCCCTTCCCCCCACCCCATGACAGGCCCCGGTGTGTGATGTTCCCCATCCTGTGTCCAAGTGTTCTCATTGTTCAATTCCCACCTATGAGTGAGAACATGCAGTGTTTGGTTTTCTGTCCTTGCGACAGTTTGCTCAGAATTATGGTTTCCAGTTTCATCCATGTCCCTACAAACGACATGAACTCATCCTTTTTATGGCTGCATAGTATTCCATGGTGTACATGTGCCATATTTTCTTAATCCAGTCTATCATTGATGGACATTTGGGTTGGTTCCAAGTCTTTGCTATTGTGAATAGTGCCGCCATAATCATACATGTGTATGTGTCTTTATAGTAGAATTATTTATAGTCCTTTGGGCATATACCCAGTAATGGGATCGCTGGGTCAAATGGTATTTCTAGTTCTAGATCCTTGAGGAATCACCACACGGTTTTCGACAATGGTTGAACTAGTTTACACTCCCACCAACAGTGTAAAAGCATTCCTATTTCTCCACATCTTCTCCAGCACCTGTTGTTTCCTTTTTAATGATCACATGAGCTCCCTTCTTCCAGTGAAGTTGACAGGATTTCACAAGGCCAGAGGCCCACTGGCACTCTCAACTACCAGAGATAATAGAAGGTCCCAAGGGGCAATTAGCACATTTTGCCCCCAGTCACCTTTGGTGGTAGCTATGTAATCCCAGTATTTTTAAGAACAAAAGAGTTAGACAGTGTATTCACTTCTTTTTTTTTTTTTTTTTTTTTTTTTTTTTTGAGACAGAATCTTACTCTTATCACCCAGGCGGGAGTGCAGTGGTGTGATCTTGGCTCACTGCAACCTCTGTCTCCTGGGTTCCAGTGATTCTCCTGATTCAGTCTCCCGAGTAGCTGGGATTACAGGCACACACCACCATGCCTGGATAATTTTTTGTATTGTTAGTAGAGATGGGATTTCACCATGTTGGCCAGGTTGGTCTTGAGCTCCTGACCTCATGATCCACCCACCTCGGCCTCCCAAAGTGCTGGGATTACAGGCATGAGTCACTGTGCACAGCCAAGTGGGTGGGTCTAACAAAGTGCCACTGACGGGGTGGCTTCAAAACAATGAAAATTTATTCTCTCACAGTTTGGGAGGCCAGAAGTCCAAAATCTAGACGTCAGAAGAGCCAAGTTCCCTCTGAAGGCTCCAATGGGGGGTCATCGCCAGCCTCTTCCAGTTTCTGCTGGTTGCTGGCAACCCCTAGCATTCCTTGGCTTGTGGCTGTATCACTCCAATCTTTGCCTCTGTTGTGACTTGACCATCTTTCCTTTGTATCTGTGTCTCTTTTCCTCTTCTTATAAAGACACCAGTCATAATGGGTTAAGGGCCCAACCTACTCCAGTATGACTTCATTGTAATTTACATCTTAATTAAATCTACAAAGACTCCATTTCCAAATAGGGCCACAATCAGAGGAACCAGGGGTTAAGATTTCAACAGATCTTCTGGTGAGCAAAAATTTAATCTATAACACACAAATGATAGTCAAGATATGGAATTAACCTGTGCATCCATCAATGGATGAATGAATGGACAAAGAAAATGTGTGTATGTATACACATTGTATACATACACAACAGAATATTATTCAACCTTAAAAAGAAGGAAATGGCCGGGCACAATGGCTCACGCTTGTAAACCCAACACTTTGGGAGGCCATGGTGGGTGGACTGCTTGTGCCCAGGAGTTCAAGACCAACTGGGCAACATGGCAAAACCTCAACTCTACAAAAAAATAAAAATAAAAAGGCTGAGTGTGGTGGCTCATGCCTGTAATCCCAGCACTTTGGGAGGCTGAGGCAGTTGGATCACCTGAGGTCAGGAATTTGAGACCAGCCTGACCAACATGGAGAAACCCCTTCTCTACTAAAAATGCCTGTAATCTCAACTACTCAGGAGGCTGAGGCAGGATAATCACTTGAACCCAGGAGGCAGAGGTTGTGGGTGAGACAAGATCACACCATTGCACTCCAGCCTGGGCAACAAGAGTGAAACTCTCTCTCAAAAAAAAAAAAAAATCAGCTAAACCCAGTGGTGTGCACCTGTAGTCCCAGCTACTTGGGAGGCTGAGGTAGGAGGATCATTTGAGCCTGGGAGGTCCAGGTTTCAGTGAGCTGAGATTGTGCCACTGCACTCCAGCCTTGGTGACAGAGCCAGACCCTGTCTCAAAAAAGAAAAAAAAGGAAATCCTGACATTTGTAACAGTATGGATATGAACCTGGAAGATACTATGTTAAGTGACATAAGCCAAGCACAGAAAGACAAATGTCACATGATCTCATTTATATGTAGATCTAAAAAAGCTGAGGTCATATAGGTAGAGAGTAGAAGAGTGGCTACCAGGGGCTGGGCAGCAGGTGGAATTTGTGGGTTGGGAGATGTTGGTCAAAGGGTACAAAATTTCATTTAAGTAAGAAGAGTAAGTTCAAGAGATCTATTGTACAGCTTAGTAATTATAGTTAATAACAATTTATAGCATTTTAAAAATTGTGAAGAGTAGATTTTAAGAAATCTCACCACAAAAAATAAGTATGCAAAGTAATGCATATATTAATGAACTCCATCTAGCCATTCCACATGTACCCTTGGACTTCAAAACTTGGAAAAAATGAATTGAAAATATAAACTTTATGTCTCAACATAAGCTCCATCAAGTTCAAGACACTTGTATAAGTCATGCTACAGCCATTTAGCCCATCCTTAAGGAACTGAAGGTCCTGAGAATTTAACCATATCAATGCAGTCTTTTACACATTAACTGAAAAGGGTATCCTTTACAGATTAAGATTACGAAACAAAAAGAAGTTAGGAGGAGCCAAATCAGGACTGTAATGATTTCCCATCAAAATTCTCCCAAAATTGCCCTTGATGACAGGAATAACCAGAAGCATTGTCATGGTGGAGGAGGACTCTGCTGAAATTTTCCCAAGAATTTTCTGCTAAAGCTTTGGGTAACTTTCTCAAAACCCTCTCATAATAAGCAGATGTTACCATTCTTTGGTCCTCCTGAAAGTCAACAAGGGAAGTGCCTTGAGCCCCAAAATACTGTTGCTATGAGTTGTGCTCTTGACTGGTCTGCTTTTGCTTTGACTGACCCACTTCCACTTCTTGGTAGCCATTGCTTTGATTGTGCTTTGTCTTCAGGATAGTACTACGAAATCCATGTTTCATAACTTGTTGCAACTTTTCGAACAAATGCTTCAGGATCTTGATCCCACTGTTTAAATTTCCATTGAAAGCTCTGCTGTTGTTTGCAACTGATCTGGGCACAACAGTTTTGGCACCCATCAAGTGCAAAGTTGGCTTTCAGTCAGAATTGTGTAACCTGAACCAATTTGACGTCTATGACACTGTCTATTGTTTCTGCTATTGTTAACTGCTATTAATCATCAGTCCTCTTTGATTAGGGCATAAACAAGATGAATTTTTTCCTCAAAGATTCGTGTGTAGGGTCTCTTACTGAGGGCTTCCTCTTCAACATCATCTCATACCTTCTTAAAACAAGTTATTCATTTGTAAGCTGTTGATTTCTTTGGGGCATTGTTCCCATAAACTTTTCATGAAGCATTAGTGATTTTACCATTTTTCACCCAAGCTTCATAATAAATTGATGTTTGTTCTTGCTTCGATTTTAGCAGAATTAATGTTGCACTGATGTGGTCTCTTTTCAAACTGATGTCTTATCCTTCTTAGTGTCTCAAACTAGATCCTGTTCAGACATGTTATGACAAGTTAAAGACTCTGTCTCAAAAAGTCTTTTTTTAAGTAATAGGACAATCTTCATACCATCCTAATTGGCCAGTTATTAGCTCTTGGGAAACTGGGTTTTAACTAATTGTTTTAAACACATGCCAGCCTTAGATTTCTATCCATGTTGTAAACATACTCTTCAAGAAAAAAAAAAAAGATATAAAATGTGTGAAGGCTGACACTGGGGCACTCTCCACCCAAGCTCCCTCCAGGGAGTGTGATCCAAATGCCCTCCCTTCCCGGGCTGCTGCCTCGGTTGTGCCGGACCCTCACATCACTGCCTGATTCATCACTGCCTGATTCGGCTGCCTGATTGTGGCCTTTGCCTGGCCTTGCTCCCTATTTTAAATGACACTCTCGCCACACCTTCACATACCCATGACAACAAACTGGGTTTACTTCTGTCTACTCATCATGCCTGACTTTCCCCTTTGCAAACATCATGACGGGATGTGATATTCCTGATCCTAGATTCTGCTTTCCCTTTCTTTCCCTCTCCATTACCATTTATTGAGTGGACACCTACTGTGTCAGGCACTGTAATTGGTGTTTTACAAACATTATTACTATTACCCACAACCCTACAAGACAGATATTGTTCCCACTTCACAGCTGAAAAAAGATTACAGGCTGACTACCCCTTCTCTGAAATGCTTGGGACCAGAAGTGTTTTGGATTTTGGAATACTTGCATTGTATTCCAAAACCCGAAATGCTCCAATGAGCATTTCCTTTGAGTGCCATATCAGCAATCAAAAAGTTTCAGATTTTGAAATTAGGGATACTAAACCTGTACTACTGAAGGTCTTGCAGCTAGTAAATGGCAGGGTATGATCTGAACCAGACACAAGTGGTGATTAAGTCAAATCATTACTAGAAGTCACCTTACAGAGAAAACAATCAACATGAGGTACATTCTGTCACAATGCTTATGCTGTTTAGATTTAATGTAGATATATTTGCATTTGAAAGTGCAAATACTGTCTTTATAAAGTCTTTGAAGAACAGAGTTAGCCCTTGTTATTTCTATGGTTAATTCAAAGTGCTAATAGCTAAAAACCAGAAGTCATTCCAAAGTTTGCATGAACAAAACTCACAAGAAAGTTATAAAAATATTTTATTTAAATGGTACAGAAAAAAATATGTATACTTAAAAATGATTAAAACTTCACATTAGGAAATGCTAAAAACCCAGTAATTTACACAATGATAAAATCTAAAGTGACGGGAAAACATAAAATATTTTCATTTGGTCCTGTCACCTAACAAAACGATCATAAATATGAGATTATAGTAATTACTAAAGCTGGTTAAAGGCACATGACAACGTAATTCCTTTATACATATCCAGTCATTTTATACAAGGAACTGCTATCCCTTAAATGGAAGAGTGAACTATTTGTTTAAAATATTAAGAGTGCATCATGTACCTATAATGAAACCACTTTCTCCAAAGACTCAAACAGATTAACATTGCAAAATAGTATTTCTGTATCACTGACTTCTGAAAATTTTAATAATTTAAGAATATGCAAGTGAAATATAATTTATTCTGGTTTCAAAAATAGTTATACAAAGTCACAATTTTCCCCAGGAAACCATTCACTTCATAGCTGCAAAAACACACTGTAGCTTTTCTGTTAGGGTCTGTCATGCTTTCAGCTAGCTGGATGTTTAACCATTCACTTCAAATTTACGTGTCCAGCCATGCACGGTGGCGTGGGCCTGTAGTCCCAACTACTTTGAAGGCTGAGGCAGGAGGATCACTTGATCCCAGGAGTTCAAAGCCAGCCTGGGCAACATAGAAGACCCTATCTCTTAAAAAAAAAAAAAGTATATATCCTTAAATCTGAAAGAAAACCAGCATTTATGTAACAAGTAAAACATTCTATCTTAAGCTATTGCATTTAACACTAAAAAGCATAGTTCACTCTGTGATCTACAACGTTGTCTGAGTCTCCATTACAATTGTAAATTCATGTCAGGGTAAGAGCTCCCAAACATCTGTAAAAACTCAAAATTCAAGAGTCAAAGAAGGGGCTGAGCACATGAGAAGGGGAGAGATGGGTGACAGGGTCAGGTGAGGAAGTGTTCTGAGATGTGTAGGATTCCTCCGGGCCCAAAGCAGCTTGTGGCACCACATGCATACAGGAACGAAGGGCCTCCTGTGAGGGCTCCCAGTGGTTCCAAGACACAGCAAGGTGCCTGAAAGAGGCTGGAGACATTGGCGTGGGCATGGAGGTGCTAGCAACTATTTTCAGACTGCTAACAATGAGACTGTGTCCATTTCTTCTTTGTACAGTTACCATTGACCTTCCTTTAAAATCCCACAGGGAGAACATGCTGTTTTTAGCAGAAATGTCAGTTTTCATTAACTCCTTGAAAATTTAGCGTATTAACTTTCATTTCCATGAGCTTCAATTTCCACACCTGTCAACTGCTGTATAAAGCAGGTTTCCTGCAAGTTCTGATGTAAGTGACCTGACAGGAGGCACTATCTTTGTCCTTCTCAACTTGCCTCTAAGCATCTGGAGTGAGTATTCTCAATATGCACTTATTTAATAACAGAGTTATCCGACACTCAGAAAACAGCCTCCACTGTGTAAGGCAGCAGATCTCAGGATGGGGTGATCTGTAGGGAGGCAGAAATTCTATAAATAACACCAAACAAAAGCTGATTGTGTCATCCAACACATTTTTATGAGGAAGTCAGAATAATTAGAAGATGGTAGAATTTTTTTTCCCAGTTGGGTAAAATTGTCCATTCTTCCTGTATTCCCATTTCTTAAGAATGATCTAGCCAACAGTCATTGAATATAAGCTGACACAAATTAATATAATTTCAACATAAAATGGTCTAATGTGTGAATTTAACTATATTGGAAGGTACAAATCCTGTCTTTATGAGGTCTTTGAAAGGCAGGGTACCTTCTCTAAAAAGTAGTCACTTAGAACCAACTTTTACAAAAGAAAGAGTCTCAGCCCCCAACCCCTGCCAGCCTGGGCAAAATAAGGAGACTCTGTTTCTACAAAAAAAATTTTAAAAATTAGCCAAGCGTGGTAGCACATGTTTGTAATACCAGCTCCTTGGGAAGCTAAGGTGGGAGGATCGCTTGAGCCCCCAGGTGGTCAAGGCTGCAGTGAGCGGTGATCATGCCACTGTACTCCAGCCTGGACAACAGAGTGAGACACTGTCTCAAAAAAAAGGAGTCTATCTCAGAGTTCAACGAATGGATAATTCTAGTGTGGACAACTCTGGTGTAAACATGACTGAAAATAATTCACAAATAGTCTGTTACAGCTCCATCCACTGAAAATTGTCATAAAAGACATTTTTCAAATGAGTTCATTTTTAGAAAAACCATTCCAGATATCTTACCTTCGGAAATCATCCAAGGAGTGTGATAAACATTACAACCCCCATAAACTGGGTAAACAACAACAATGGAGTGAAAAACGACCACACATGCCATAAAGCAATGTTGAAGCTGAAAAGAACAAGACATAAACAGTTGACAACTCAAATATGCATCAATATATTTTATTCTAGAATCCAGATTTAAAGTATTCAATGTAGAAAAGTTCATCCAGTCAGCAACCTTCTCCATGTATCATATTTCTCAGCTATGTGACTTAGCCAATGCTGGAAAGAAAACTCTAGATATACTTACACAAGTATCACAATTTCTTCAAGAAGGCCCTGGAACTGGAACCACTAAAGGTCTCCTAATAGGAGTTGACATGGCTTAATAGAAACTGCAGTCTCTTAGTTTCTGCACTTGAACAAGAATTTAAATGGCTACAGCCCATTTTTATGACATCACACACTAAACTATCATGGTAAAAAAGACCAAAGTATTTTCTCTTAAAAACAGAATGAAAACAGTTATCACTTATAAGCTGCTATTCTATATTTCATTGAGAAGAACACTATTCCTGTCATCAAAGTAAAATTAAAACACTTTCTAAGTGTAAAGATTGTTAGTGACTGAAATTTCTAAGAACAGAATAGGAAAAACTATATTCAAATAAGTTCAGATGGTTATTGGTTTTAACATATAATATTTTGATAAGTATGAGTATTAAATAACTATAATCACACTGTCTAAAAAATTAATATTTCTGGAGATGATCTTAGCCTTATGGGAAAAAGTAAAAAAACATATCTGTATGCCCCCACATACAGGTTAACAATAACCACATCACACTGTCAAACACCCTTGAACTTCAACTACAGAAAATAAGTCATAGAAAGAATATGTATAAAGGTATATGGTTCTTCCAAAATAAAAATTCAATTAGGCCGGGGGTGGTGGTGCATGCCTGTAATCCAGCACTTTGGGAGGCCAACACAAGCAGATGGCTTGAGGCCAGGAGTTTGAGACCTGCCTGAGCAGCATGGCGAAACCCCATCTATACAAAAAATATTAAAAATAGCCAGATGTGGTGGCACATGCCTGTGGTCCCAACTACTCGGGAGGCTGAGTGAGGTAGGAGGATCACTTAAGCCTGGGAAGTCGAGGCTTCAGTGAGCTGTGATCATGCCACTGCACTCCGGCCTGGGTGACACAGTGAGACCCTGTCTCCAAAAAAAAAAAAAAAAAAAAAAAAAATCCAATTGATATAAAGAAAGAAAAAACTAGAGAGCTACGCACAACATAGGAAAAGTAGTTTTCTTTCTGGTTGGATCAGAGGATATATTTCCTTTGTGTTTTTCTGTAATTTACAGATTTTTTTTTCCTCAGTGAGCAAGTATTACTTTTATAAACTGAAAAAAAACCTGTATTTTTCATCGAGTATTTAATTAACTTATGAAGAAGGTTATTCATTGTGGCATTGTTTGAGTATAAATATAACGAAGTCCAACAACAGAAGACAGGTTAAATAAATCATGTTATGTCCATGCTGTGAAAACTATGCAACTGTTTAAAAAAATGAGACACATCTATATGTACCATTATGGAAGAATCCCAAACTATAAGGATCCACTGAAAAACAAAAGGAAAAAAAGATGAACAACCACTTTGGAAAGCAGTTTGGCATGATTTACTGAAGTCAAAGGTATGTACATCCAACAATTTTACCCCTTGGGGTGTATATATATATACACACACACACACACACACACACACACATATACGTACATCTCTACACCCAACAGAAATGTGTTCACTGTGCTACAAGAGCCATGTACAAGAATGCTCTTTATAGCATCCTTCATAGTAACCCCAAACTGAAAAAAATCTAAACACAACCAACAGTGGAAAAGAAAACTGGGATTCAATTAAACAATGGAATGCTAAAGAGCAATGAAGATGAGTCACTGTTCCCGGCTACAATATGAAACAACTGCACACAATGCTGCACACAGCCAGCTCAATGTGAAGGAATACACCCTGTATGAATCCATTTCTATAAAGTTCAAAAGCACAGCTGAAACAAAAATAGAATATCTAATGGAAGCAAAGCAAGTAGTTACCATGAAGGTCAGGGCAGTATTTACCGGTGGCAGGAGGGATGGTGCAGTAACTGGGAGGGAGAATGAAGGGGGTTCCCAATGTACTGGCTCAGTTTACACCAATGCTCACTTCATGAAAATTCATTCATTTCAGTTTTTTCCACTTTTCTATATGTATTGTACGTCATAATAAAATAGACTTAAAAAGCAAAATGCAGAATATGTACAGAATGTCACCATCTGTGCTTTAAATAACTAGATCCATAAATAGAAGGAGAAAGAGATACTAATGAAAAGGGAACCAGAGAGCATGAATGACCAGGAGACTATTTTTCTGTTTTAACTTTTTTACTTTCGAAGTTTGGACCAAGTATATCACTATCTGATCAGGAGGTGGGGGGCGTTGTCAGCCCAAGCAGCTGCCACCGTGAGCAGTGGACACAGGACCAGCTTCTGGGGATGATCCTGTCCTCTCCTAGCACAGCCCCGTGCATGGACAGGGCATCCATGCCATCCGTGTCACCCAGGGCAGGTCACTAAGCCTCCCGCAGCCCATTTCCCCGAGTCGCCCAGGCGCGGTGGAGCACATGCAGCACAGTTGTTTTAGGAATTGGATGACTCACTGAGCTCCTGACAAGTAGTAGGCTCGGCACGTGGCTGTGGCACTTTTTTCTAACTGCCTGGGTTCCATCTCAACTCCCAGAGAGTGAACATCCCGCCTCTCATCTCAGGACTGGTGCTCTCTGAAGCATTAAGTAGGAAATTGAGAGTAGTAGCAAGTGAGACTTAGGGGGCAGGTAGGCAGAAATCAGTGATGGCATAGCCGCGCCACCATGACCATCCTGGCCATTGTCTCCTGTGTCTCCTGCTCCTCGAGGTCTTCAAAGTCTCATGCTGCCTTCTCCAGCAGCTGCTCTCTGTGATGGGAGGGTGGGCACAGGGTGGGTTTGTGGGTGATTCTGCTGAAGCCAGGGAGATGACGTCTGTCCAAGGACCCTCAGCCTGGAGCCCAGGCTCCAGGAAGCTCTGTGGGGGACAGCTGACGTCACTGGGCATCTCCTTTCTGTCTGCTCTGCTCACAGAAACCTGCAGGACACTGCCCATAAGGTGAAGTGAGCAAAGAGGCCAGGCCAGTCCTTCCCAGCCCCATGGAAGCCAGTTCAGCAGGACCCTACATGGATGGGCTTCTGCAACTGTGAGCAAAGGGGGCCCATCAGGCTGTGCCCAGCCCCTAGGACACACAAGGGAAGGGCTTCTTCCCAATACCTGCCACCTGCTGCCTCTGCACAGCCGTGGTGTGCACACTGCTGCAGGGAGCAGGCACCCTCATCCCTGTGGCCCATCTCCCCCTTCTTGTCCTCATTCTGAGGCCATACAAAACTGGCCTGCAGCATCCTCACCCTCAACCTTGCCCTGCTGGGAAAACTTAGGCCCTCAACTAAACTCGGGCCCCTGGACGCACTCGCTCGGCCGCAGTTCTCAATCTTCCCTCTGCCTGGAAGGCCCTGTCGTGTGTTTCACACTTGCTAAGCAGAGTCCCCTCTGAACTCAGCCCCCTGGATCCAGCCCAGCCCTCCTGGATCCACTTGCCAGAGCAGCCCCGGACCCCGCCAGCCCCTCCCACTGACTCCAGTGCAGGTCAGTGAAGGTGACTATGACAGCTCTGGTAATCCTGGAAGAACCCCCAGGATTGAACACAGCTCTTGGGCTCTGATTACAGCCAATTACCATAATGGAGAGAATATCTGGATTCTCCCCTAATTTCCTCTCCTCTTAAAATTTTCAATTAAGAGCCTAATCTTGATGGAAAATGGCTGCTTTCTGGAGTACTCTCCGCAGTGCTGATTCCTCATTGCTAAGTGCTTTTTCTAGACAGATAGAGGCTCTCGATGATTCCAGATAAAATCAGAGCAAAGGAGCTTACCCAAAGAAAGGAGGAGAGCAGAGCAGCAATAGGCTATGCCCCGGAGCCCTCCCCACTGCTGGAGACACCAGGTGGGTGAGGGGTCTCTTGGGCCCTTCCAGCCTGCAGAGCTGCTGAGAGTCAGGCCTGGCTGCCAACAAAGCAGCTGAAGTCTTGAGAAAACTTCCTGATTGCATTAGCGAGGTTGCAACACCAGGACATAATCAAATCTCCCTGGAGGACGTGGCTTCAGGAAGGGCTGCTACAAGCCAGTGGCAGAACAAGGGCAACCAGGGTCAGACACGGTGGAAGGAGGGAAGTCCCAGAGCCGAGCATGGGTGGACATCAGAGGGGTGTGGGCTGCACCATCTGGGTGCAGGGGCCAGCAGGCAGTGCGGGTCCACCCAGCCCAGGGCCAGCCTTTCCCAGCAGTCGCGTGCAGAAACCTGGCACACGTCATGGGGCAGCGGTCCCATATCATAGGCCCTCCTGGTGTTAGCAGTCAGGAGGGTGCCTAGAAAAGCCTCCCACAGCCACAGGGACAGCAGGATCTGAGCCCACCCTCCACACCAGAAGCCTGCCCAGCACCGTAGGCAGGGCCCGGGTGCCCTGCTCAGGAATGAGCTCTGCTTCCAGCTTGGCCATCCTAGTTCCACCCTGTCTGTAACTTAGCCGACCAGGAAGATGGCTGTGATGACCACAGAAAATCCTGACACAGAGCTGGCATGAAGGAGCTGTGCCTGTGGGAGCTTCAGAGTCCTCAGGCCAGGCTGGCCCTGGCTCTGCCACCTCTTGGCTGGAATGCCTTCAGGCACCTACTGAGCCTCTCAGGGGCTCAGCATCCTCATCTGTGGGACACGGATAATAATAGGGTTGTTTTGAGAGTAAAAGCACAAAACACAGAGCCTGGCTGGAGAAAGCACAGGTAGCTGAAGTCAGCCAAGGCTGAGTTAAGTGTTCTTCTTAGAAAAGCGGACAGGCCATTCCCTGAAGGCATCAGTGCGGGCAGGAGGGAACCTGCACTTTGCAGTTCCAACACCTCAGGACACAATTCCTGCTAACCTGACCCACAAAAGACCAAAGGACACACCCAAGATCCTGGACCAACGTCCCACAAGGATGCCTTCCTGGTTTCTTCTCTAAGAATACGTCTTAAAATGTTCCCCAGGAAGCTAACTCTATATTCCTAATGTATGGACCA
The DNA here is from genome assembly GCF_000001405.40 of Homo sapiens. Taxonomy (NCBI): domain Eukaryota; kingdom Metazoa; phylum Chordata; class Mammalia; order Primates; family Hominidae; genus Homo; species Homo sapiens. The sequence continues at coordinate 144,163,676 of NC_000001.11, read as the reverse complement.
TGGAAAGAAAACAAGTGTCTCAGTAGGTTTGTTCAACAAATGTGCAAATGCAGAGACGAACAAAGATGCCCAAAGTCAAGGAGCAGCTCAGTCGCCTCCGACATGCTCGGGGGCCACAACCACCTCCAACCTCTGCCCTGTTCACACTTTCCTCCACCCAGATTCCCCTCTTGCCCTGGCACTCCAGGAATTGTTTGATGTCCTGGAAGCTCCCTTTCTCTGTTCCACAGCCCCTGAGGCTGGTACCTCCCTGCATGCGTGTCCACCTCACCCACTGAGTTCCAGGAGCAGGCGTCTATCCTGCTCGCCCTGACTCAGCAGGGAGGGCTGAGCTCTGGAGCCTGAGTGCACCCAGACCTGCCCCATGGCCTCCTGTGCCTCTGTGTCCTCCTCACCCTCGACTCACCAAGGAGCCCTGAGGACGTGAGAACTGGAACATGCCCAAGACCCACATCGGGGCCTGGCACACACCAAGCGTCTAGTGAACGCTTGATGACTGAGGACAGCATCGCTTCTTCTAAGAGGGAAAAAAAGGAAAGTCAACCAGAGACAATTTGTAAAAGATGGCTTTTGACTGAGGCCTTGAAGGATGGGCAAGGATGGGCAAGGGGAGGGGGGACTCAAAGTGCAGGATGAGAAGGCTCTAGGTGCCTGAGTGCCTCTGCATGTGAACATGCATGTGCATGTGTGTGCATGTGTGTGTGCATGAGACTTGCAGCCTTGCATGTGTGCGTGCATATGCATATGTGTGTTCATATGCGCATGCATGTGTGTGTGCCCTAGTCCAGACAGGGTTCTGAGTGCACTGTGGGGGACAGATGATTTCACACTCCGCCCTGAGTCTGAAATCAGTGGGACAGATGACCTTGAAGAAGGCCTTATGGCTCACTTAGTGTGAGCCAGACTCCATAGAGACAGTGACGGCAGGACACATGCATGGGGGTCCACCTTCCCAGAGCTGGAGCCCACATAGCTCCAGGACCTCAAGGGAAGCCCAGGGTCTGAGGGGCCCAGGAGGCCCATCCATGTGATGGACCCAAGGAGACTTTGGTGGCTTCTCTGTTAAGATTTGAAGGGGGCCAGGTGTGGTGGCTCACGCCTGTAATCCTAGCACTTTGGGAGGCTGCAGCAGGGGGATCACGAGGTCAGGAGTTCAAGACCAGCCTGGCCAACATAGTGAAACCTCATCTCTACTAAAAATACAAAAATAAAAATAAAAAATTAGCCGGGTGTGGTGGTGGGTGCCTGTAGTCCCAGCAGTTTGGGAGGCTGAGGCAGGAGAATCGCTTGAACCCAGGAGGCAGAGATTGCAGTGAGCTGAGATTGTACCACTGCACTGCAGCCTGGGAGACAGAGCAGGACTCTGTCTCAAAAAAAAAAAAAAAAAAAGATTTGAAGGGAGCCCAGGGGGCAGGACTGGGTGGGCACAGGATGGAGACAGTGACACCCTTGGTCTTGGGTGGCCCCTGCCAGCCCCAGCATATCCTCAGCAGATAGGGTGACAACAGCGCCTCTACCTCTAGTGGGAGGCGCAAGAGAAATTCACGCGATGCACTTGCCTGGGCTTGGTGAGTGGAAAGCTCCCCACTGACTCGAGGGCTGGTGGTGAGGATGGAGAGGGAGGTGGAGATGGAGGCGACAGCATGGGCAGAGCAAGAGCACAGCCGTGGAAGGGAGGTCCTCCCAGCTAGCCTTTGGGAGGCCCATGGCCAGTCTCGGGGCAGGAGGAAAGAATGTGAACCAAAAGCGGAACGTCCAGCCAGGGGAGGCCCCAGCAATGACTGTATCAGGGCTGAGTGTGATCACAGGAAAAGTCACCTAAGGACTGAAATCCAGTGGAGTCAAGACTACGTGGAAGCCTATCTCTCCATGATGGCAACTTTGGAAGAACGTGTGACCTTGTGGAAGTGCACAGAAGGCACTGCTGGCCTGAATGGGTCCTCGGGCTGCGGTCTCGGGGCCGGCTTCTCTCCCTTCCCCAGACCTGCTGTGGCTCCATCCCCTCTCTCCTGCATCCTGGGATTGCCTCCAATTAACTACCTGCTTACAAGCCTTTTCTTTATTTTCTTTTTGCCTTCTTTTCTTTACATGTAAAACATGAGTCCATCTGGAGCTTATTTTAAAGCACAGTATGAGGACTGACATTGACCTGTTTTTTTAAATGAAATAACTAGTTGTCCCAACCCTGCTTGTTGGATAACACTGCTCTGTTTCAGGAGTACCCCCACTGTCATACACCCGTGGGTCCATACCCCTGGGCTCTCCATCTGGGCACTCCCCTGCCTGTGGCACCTCCTTCCTGAGGGCCGGCCTCACCCAGGGCCCAGCTGCCCTCTCCATGGCCTGTGTCTTCCTTTCCTGATGCCTCAGATTTCCCCCATTCTCTGGCACTCTTTCCATCCTCCTGGCCTCACTCTGCACCTCCCCTGAGGTGCAGGACTGCCCTGCCCCAGCCCCCAGCTTCCTCACTCCCAAAGCATTGTGCCACTGAAGCACGAGCTCCAGAGTGCACCTGGATGGCAGCTTCTCTCCTGGCCAACAAACGCCTGGTGCTGGCTGCCCTCCCAGCATCTCCCCTCAACTCCTCAGCTCCACCCCAGGGCCTTAACACACACATGCATAGCACACACACATACAAACATATGCACACACAGACATGCACACAAATGTACATACGGACTTACACAGACACACACAAATGTGCACACATTCGTGCATACACAGATGTGTTCATGCAAACACACACGTGCACGCTCACGGGCACGTACACATGTGTAGGTTATGCTAAGAAATCCATTTTGTGTAGAAGACACTCAGGCTCAAATATGTGTCCAAAGTCACACAGCTATGGAGCGGCAGAACTCAGGTCTCTAGCGCACACAGCCCCGACTTACCGCAGTTCCACTTAACAGTTTTCAACTTTATAGTGATGCAAAAGCCATCCACAGTCAGCAGAAACCCTCGTGTGAGTCCCACACGGCCAGTTTTTCACTTTCAGTACAGCAGTCAATGATTACATGAGGTATCCGACACTTGACTACAAAACAGGCTTCGTGTTGATGCTTCTGCCCACCGCAGGCTCAGGGCAGTGTTCTCAGCAGGCCAAGGTGGGCCCCCCCACGCTGTGCTATTCGGTAGTCAGGTGGACTCAGTCATTTTCCACTCGCAGCGGCCTTATTGGGCCGCAGCCAGGGGTAAGTTGAGCAGTGTCTGTACTTTTAGCTCCACCCTGGGTATTTTTAAGTGGCAGATTTACAACAAAAAATAAAAATAAAAATGAAAAAATACAGCGTTCCAAATAGTAGGGGCATAAAAGGAGAGAATGCACGTTGTGGACAGCCCATGCCTGGGAGCATAAGCACTTCAGGGCATCACCAGGCGTGACTGGCTATTGTTCCTGCTCTTCCTGGCAGCAGCGGCCTGGGCCTGAGAGGGATCGCCCTGGCCACAGCTGTAGGCAAGGCTGCTGGGAGCCGCCACGCTCCGCGATAGCGAGTCTGCGGCGCCACCTCGTGGGTGCTGCGTGGAACTCCCCGTGGTGAGGGCGGGGAAGGCCGGGTCCCCACAAAGCCGGAGCCCGAGCACAGCGGTGGGAGCTCGCCCCAGGGCATCCCATAGCACCCGGAGACGGGGGCTGGTCCCCCAAAACCCTCAGGGGTGAGAGGAAGGAGGTCCCCAGCCTGCTGAGAGCTGTCCTCTGAGCACGCACTCGCGCACACTCACACGTGCATGTGTGCATCCTCGGGCACCCTGATGCGTTCACATGCACGTACACGCGTGTGCACACGCACAGTCTTTCACAAGCGTATGACGCGTTCACACAAGAGTGTGACGCGTTCACACGCACGCACACTCCCTCTCCCTCGAGCCTGGAAGGCGCACTGGGCTCATAGGGGTGGAAACCTCTACCGCGGCAGAGGCATGGCGCCAGGGCCAGGATGCTCGCTTTTATTTCAGACGTGAAAACTGAGGCCCGAAAGAGACAGCCAGTGTCCAACCCTGTCCAACGTCTCTGCTGATTGTGCCTCCTGTGTGCGGCCGGGGCCGGTGTGAGGGCTGCGGGCCCACCGCACGCCTGGCCCGCCCCAGGGCCTCGAGCCACTTCCTCAGGAGCTGCTGGCAGCTGCAGCGACAGCGCGCCCAGAGCCCGAGGGTCCCATGGAGCCAGGCTTCCCAGCACACAGGCGCGGTGGAGCCTCGGGGTGGGCATACACCCCGCGAGCTCGCGGGGGCTGGGCACTGCGGGTCCTCGGGTGGGGACTCTGGAGTTCAGTCTTGAAGGACACAGTCACTGAGGGTCAGGGAACCAGGAGGGTAGGGAGAGTAGGGAGGGGTGCCTAGGCCTAGTGGGAGAAGCATGTGAAAGTTCCCTAAGAGGGCTGGGGGTGAACAAGCGCTCGGCCCGGCCTCTCCCGGTAGACTGCTCTGGTGCCCTGAAGCCTCCCTTCTCCAAGGCCCCATGGACGCCCCCAGAGGGGTGACGCCCTCGCCCACGCTGAGCTCTGAGTGCTGCACGAGAACTCCCAGAGCCGTGTGCACACGCGCTCCCCGTGTTATAACTGGCATTAAGTGCACTCACATTGTCGCATATCCCCTACCACCGTCCATCTCCAGAACGTCTTCATCTTCCCAAAAGGAAACCAGACCCATTGAACACCAACTCCCTCCTTTTGTTAACCATTGCTCTTTCTGTATTTGAATTTGCCCATTCTGGGCCCCTCATGTAAGTGAAATCGCAATGTATTTGTCCTTTTGTGGCTGGCTTATTCCATCTAGCACAATGTCCTCAAGGTTCATGTGTGTTGGCACACCTCTCAGAATTTCCCTCCTGGCTGGGTGATATTATAGGCTCACGCCTATTATCCTAGCTGTTAGGGAGGCAGAGGTAGGAAGATAGCTTGAACCCAGGAGTTCGAGACCTGCCTGGGCAATATAGCGAGACTGCATTTTCCACAAAAAGAAAGAAAAAAAAGAATCTCCTTCCTGGTAAAGGTTCAGTAACAGTCTACTGTATGCATAACCACATTTCGCTTGCCCATCCACTCACCCATAGACCCTCAGAATGCTTCTACCTTTTGACTCTTGTGAATCACGCTGCTTTGAACATGGGTGTGCAAATATCTGTGAGAGTGCCTGCTCTCAAAAAAATCCACATTCTTGGCACCATGAAGAATCACCTCTCACAGACACCAGCGAAAACCAAGTCTGTCTGAGAGCAGAGGGTGAGGAGGGGAAAGCCGGGCTGCGGATCACAGTGGGCGGAGGAAAGCCCACCCTTGTGTTCCCATGTGTGGGAGGAGAGAGGAGAGATGCCCTCTAGTGAAGGAACTCTTGTAGCAGCCAGCTCCATTCCTGCTTGGCCTGCGGAGGGCCAGCTCAGGAGCCCAGACCAGGAAGAAGTCAAATGACCGACAAGATCCATCAGGAAGCAGAAGTGTGCTGTGTCTCATCGGCAACAACAAACAGAGCTAGGACCAGCCACCCACCCCCCAACCCAGGGGAAATGCATCCACCACACAACTACCACCGCTGCGCTCATGACACTCTCAGAGACAGGCACGGGAGCTCCTGGCAAGGCACAACCAGGGCAAGTGACAGTTTGCCAGTCCTGGGCAAGCAGACACTTATCCTCTCTCCAGTCCCCAATCCCACCAGCCTGCACAAGCAGAGAAACATCCTGCATAAATTAAAAGATCATCTGGATCATCAAAAGATCTGAGCAAACAAAACGACTGAGACAAAAAACAAACAAAACAAAACAAACAAAAAACAGAACAACAACAACAGAAGAACACTCATTTTTACAGAGAGATTTGAGCCCATCCCAACAGAGTACAATGCTCTTTCCAAGCTCATGGATGGCGTTTGGGAAAATTTAGCTGTGCTAAAGGAGCAGGAAGCCTCAGCCCCTTTCCCAAGAATTGCTGTTACACAAATCACATTCTCTCACCAGGGTGCAACAAAATTAGAAACATGCAATAACAAAGACCATGTTAAAAGTGCATTTTGGGGCCGGGCATGGTGGCTCATGCCTGTAATCGCAGCACTTTGAGAGGCTGAAGCGGGTGGATCACCCCAGGTCAGGAGATCGAGACCAGCCTGGGCAACATGACGAAACCCTGTCTCTACTAAAAATACAAAAAATTAGCCAGGCATAGTGGCAAAAGCCTGTAAACCCGGCTACTAGGGAGGCTGAGGCAACAAAATCACCTAAACTTAGGAGGCAGAGGTTGCAGTGAGATGAGATTGTGCTACTGCACTCCAGCCTGAGCGACAGAGTGAAACTCTGTCTCAAAAAAGAAGAAAAAGTGTGTTTTGGAAACAAAGTTAGTTTTCACAATGAAAATTATAAAATGCCTGGAACTCAATAGCAATAGGGTATTACATATTAAAATTATGAAACTCAACAAAATTGACATTTAGGGAGAAATTTATATCCTCAGATTAATTTGTCAGAAACAGGATAAAAGGAGAAAGCTGATGATAATTTGAGTAAAAGAGAAAATAAAAACTAAAATGAAAAACTTTTCAGAAACAAACTACAATAAGTGTGTGACCTATCAAAATCTCTGGATGTGTCCAAAGCAGTTCTCAGGGGAAACGTTATAGCTGGAAGTGTTTGTTAATATGCTTCAACAGAAGACATATAAAATTATATAAACTAAGTAAACATACAAGAAGCTTTTTTAAGGGAAACAAGAAATAAATGTATTTAATTTTAAAACAGCCATAATAAAAGTAGACTTGATAAATAAAACCCAAAACCACTTCTTTGAAAAGACCATTAAAAAAACCTCTGAGAAGTCAAGCAAAAGAGAAAGAAAAGGCACAAATTTTAAAATGTTAGATTTAGAAAAATGACATAATAACCAACGTGGAGAAGCTGCTTCAAATCAAGGAGACGGGAGGCCAGCTTCATTCCATGGGAGGCCAGCTTCATTCCAGTAGGTTCTGTTTCACCTGGATGAAATGGAAGATTTTCTTGGAATGTATAAATTGGCTTAGCAGGAGGCAGAAAACCTGAATAAACAGAACAAACAGAAATGGTAAGCAGGTGCTCGAGGGGCTCCATCAGCCTCCAGGGATGGGCTGCTGTGTTAGGGAGGGCCAGAGCACAGGGGAAGTGGAGTGTAATTCTTTCTACAAGATTAGCAAGCTGAACTTGAATCTCACACACGCACACACACCACAGTGACATGGAAAGAATCCACAGGACACTTATGAGAGGTAAAAATAGAAAGTTTCTGCACAAAACAATCGTGTGTGTTTAAAAGATACCATGTGGCAGAAAATAGTGATCTATGTTTGCCAGTGTCTAGGAAGAAACCTTGAAGGCGCACGCCAGACTGGCGGCTGGGTTGGCTAGGGAGGAGACGATGGGGTGGGAGCAGCTAAGGACGACACACACTCTTTTAACTCTGTTCCTGTGTTGTCGGGACGTTTACAAACTGAAGATATATATTTTTAATTAATTATTTTTTTTTTAATTTTACTTTAAGTTCTGGGATACATGTTCAGAACATGTAGGTTTATTACATAGGTATACATGTGCCATGGTGGTTTGCTGCACCTATCAATTTGTCATCTAGGTTTTAAGCCCTGCATGCATTAGGTATTTGTCATAATGCTCTCCTTTCCCTTGCCTCCAACCCCTGGATAGAACCTGGTGTGTGATGTTCCCCTCCCTGTGTCTACGTGTTCTCATTGTTCAGCTCCCATTTATGAGTGAGAACATGAGGTACAAACTGCAGATAGTTATACATTACTTTAAAGTAATTAAGTTAAACTAAACTAAATGTAAGCCAACTACATGTAAATAAATAAAACCAATAATAGCAAGATAAAAGTAATTAATACTTAAATAATTACTAATTTATTTCTCAGCTAAAAATTAAAAATTTAGAAAATGTGGAAATGTGTTTCATAATAGGAGGATATTTAAAATGAAAGGGCATTTCTGTAGTCAAATGGGTAGGAGACTCACCCAAACAAGACACAACCTCAAAACCAAAAGGAAAACTATCAGGTTTGATTATACGAATACTGAAAACCTCTGAATACATGAAAGGCAAATTCTATATCCCATGAAACTACCCTTCAGAAATGAAGAGAGAAATAAAGACATTCTCAGAGGAAGAGAATATAGGAATTTGTCACTGGTCAATTTAGAAATGCTAAAAAGTGGCTACAGAAATATGTTCTGTCATTTCCACAATATAAAAAATTAAAACAAAAAAATCAAAATAAAAAAATGGCTATAGAAAGTTCTTATGCAGAAGGGATGAATATGGGACTATGGGAGGAGGGACAAAGGAAAGACGAGAAATGTGGATACATATGCGAGACAATCCACAGTTCTTAAAATCACATTTGACGACTGAAACAAAAACTATACCACCACCTAATACTCAAGCCAGTGATTTATACAAGTGGAAAAGGTAAAGAGACATAAATGCAAGGCAGGTTTCCACACTTTGAAGTGGTAAATACTGGTACCAGTAGACTACTATATTACAATACACATATTGTAACATCCAGAGCAAACACTTTAAGACTATACAAAGAGATACACGCAACAACATTATACAGAAATAGATCAAGATGGAGGGAAAGAAAAAGGAAACAAAAAAGCAAATAATAAAAACATCAGACATAAGCAATTATGTAACAATAAGCACCTTAAATGTAAATGGTCTAAATAAACCAAAAGACAGATTGATGGAGAGCCTATAATAAACACATGGCCCAACTAAATACTGTTCATAAGAAACTTCAAACTCACTTAAGGACCTAAGTAGGTTGAAAGTAAAAGAATGGAGAAAGATATCCTGTGAAATCATTAATTTTTTAAGGAAGCAGGAGTGAATATATTAATATCTCATGAAGTAGACTTCAAGCAAAATAATTTACCAGAGCTGGAGAGGGTCTTCGCTGAATTTTAAGATCTAAAATTTCCTATGCTGCCTTGACATGTTTGAGCCTCACAGGGCCCCAAAGACCTAGCCGTGGGTTTTCCTGTTTCTACCAGACACCCCCTACCCCGCCACCCAACAGGAAAGGCTCCCCACCTGGCTAGTTCTTTTATCAGCCAGAACAGTTGCACCTCAGCCTAAGAAGTTTCACTTCACCTGTCTGCCAGCCCATGAATTTATTCAAACAAGCCAATTGCATTCCCCCTCGGGAACCATTGGTCATCGTGTGCTCTTGTTACTACCAAGCCCGCCTGCTTCCTCAGCCCGCAGCCCTCACTCCACTACAGAGTGCGGTGCCCATCTGACCCTGTGTGGCATGCAGTGTCCTCCTCTGAGCTGTGGGTATATGTGACTAAAACACTGCTGTCAATCGCATCCATCCACGCCAGGTGTCGTGTTCAGCCATCTCCTACACTTTAGGGCAGGGACCCCTCCTTCACCAATGGGGTGAAAAGAGGAAGTGACCATAACAACTGCTTAATGACAAAAGGATTAACCCACCAAGAAGACATCTACTTCAACATCCTCCTCTTAGCAACTGTTAAAACTAGGCAGAGGCCGGGCACAGTGGCTCATGCCTGTAATCCCAGAACTCTGGGAGGCAAAAACAAAGGATAGCTTGAGGCCAGGAGTTCGAGCCTGGGCAACATAGCAAGGCCTCATCTCTCCAAAAAATTTTAAATTTAGCCAGGTGTGGCGGCACACACCTATAGTACCAGCTACTCAGGAGGTTAAGCCAGGGGAAGTACTTGACCCTAGGAAGTCAAGGCTGCAGTGAGTCATGTTCGTGCCACCGCACTCTAGTGTAAGTGACAGAGTGAAACTAGGCACAAAAGGAGCAAGGATTTACAAAAGATCTGAACAGTCAACCAGCAAAATCTGACATCCGTATAATACCCCACTCCCCAACAGCAAAACACACACATTTTTAAAGCCAATAGAAATCTACCAAGATGAGGTACACTTGGGGCAATAAAAGAACTCACAGCAAATCTCGCTGTGTGCCCCTCTGCACCAGCGCCGTGCCCCTCTCTGCACCTTCTTTTCTCACCATGGGGAAGCGTTTGGGGGCCTCTTGAGGGACACCCTAGATGCTTCTACTCAGAGCCCCCAAAGCCGGGGAGCCTCCACTCCTCTGTCTGCAGCCTCCCCTGTCGGTTCTCCGCTACCCAGGGTTCAGTGGCCTGGGGGTGACGGAGGGGGTCGCCTCTGCCAAGGCCCCTCCCGGCGCCTCCCTGGCTCATCCAGCCCACCTTCCTCCCACGCTGGCTCACGCAAAGTGCTCCGGTCACCAGGAGCCCTTCCTGACCAGCCCCAGCCCCTTCTTGGCCTTCGCCCACCCGGCCTCCCCTGGAGCCCTGACCTGGGTGCCGGGCCTGCTGGGTCCAGAGCCCACCCCGCCCTGAACAACCCCGAGTCTCAGCCACCCTCGGTTCTTACCCTTTCACAGCTGGGGAGTGGAGCCTGGGCCTGCGCCTCTCCGCGCCAGAGCCGGCGCCAGCGCCTCTCCGCGCCTGCGCCGCCGCTGCGCGCCTCGCCGCCGCTGTCCGCCTCTCCGCCGCTGTCCGTCTCTCCGCCGCGCCGCCGCTGTCCGCCTCTCCGCCGCTGTCCGCCTCTCCGCCGCTGTCCGTCTCTCCGCCGCGCCGCCGCTGTCCGCCTCTCCGCCGCTGTCCGCCTCTCCGCCGCGCCGCCGCTGTCCGCCTCTCCGCCTCTGTCCGCCTCTCCGCCGCTGTCCGTCTCTCCGCCGCGCCGCCGCTGTCCGCCTCTCCGCCGCTGTCCGCCTCTCCGCCGCGCCGCCGCTATCCGCCTCTCCGCCGCTGTCCGCCTCTCCGCCGCTGTCCGTCTCTCCGCCGCGCCGCCGCTGTCCGCCTCTCCGCCGCTGTCCGCCTCTCCGCCGCTGTCCGTCTCTCCGCCGCGCCGCCGCTGTCCGCCTCCCGGCCACTGTCCGCCTCTCCGCCGCTGTCCGTCTCTCCGCCGCGCCGCCGCTGTCCGCCTCTCCGCCGCTGTCCGCCTCTCCGCCGCGCCGCCGCTGTCCGCCTCTCCGCCGCCGTCCGCCTCTCCGCCGCGCCGCCGCCGTCCGCCCAGGCGCCACCATCCGCCTCTCCGCCGCGCCGCCGCTGGCCGCCTCTCCGCCGCCGTCCGCCTCTCCGCCGCGCCGCCGCTGGCCGCCTCTCCGCCGCTGTCCGCCTCTCCGCCGCGCCGCCGCTGTCCGTCTCTCCGCCGCGCCGCCGCTGGCCGCCTCTCCGCCGCTGTCCGTCTCTCCGCCGCGCCGCCGCTGGCCGCCTCTCCGCCACTGGCCCCCTCTCCGCCACGCCGGCGCCAGCGCTGTGTGCCTTTGCGAGGGCGGAGCTGCGGTCTCCTCAGCACAGACCCGGAGAGCATTGCGAGGGCGGAGCTGAGTTCTCCTCTGCAGACTTCGGAGATACAGCGAAGGCAGAGCAATGTTCTCCTCAGCAGAGACCCGGGCGGGCGGGCCGGTGGCACCGCGAGGGCGGAGCTGCGTTCTGCTCTGCACAGACCTTGGGGGCACTGCCTCGCTTTGGGACAACTCAGGGCCGCATGGACAGTGAATAAAATCCTTCCTGTTTGCAGCCCTGTTTGTGGTTGGTGGCAGCGATGGACACTGCAGCCAGCCAGAGCGTAGAAAGGCGTCGGGGTAAGTGCACTATCCAGGCTGCACTGTGGGTGGCCTGGGACGGGTTGGGAGCCCTATCTCAGGCGTCACTGCCCGTCTTGGGTGGCCGGTTGGGTGTGCTATCTGGGGCTGTGCTGCCTGCACCGGGCGGGGGGGGGGTGGTTTGGGGGCCAAACCGGGGCTGCACTGCCTTTGGTGGGGAGCCGGTTGGGGGCACTATCCCAGACTGTATTGCTGGCAACAGTGAGGTGGGCTAAGTGTGCTATCCGGGGCTGCACTGTGCGGCTGTCGGGGGGGTGGCGGTTTCGGGTTGAGGGCGCTATGGGGTGCTGTAATGCCCATGGTGTGGGGAGGCGGGGCAGTTTGGGTATGTTGGGTGTGCTATTGGGGGGGTGACACTGCTGGTGGTAGGGGGCAGGGTGGGTTGGGGGCCATATCAGGGGCTGCACTGATGGCTTTAGCTAGGATTTCTGGTACTATGTTAAACAACAGTGGTGACAGGGGGCATCCTTATGTTCCAGATCTTAGAGGAAAAGCTTTCCATTTTTCCCCATTCCATATGATTCTAGCTGTGGGTGTCTTTCCTGTAGTTTTTATTACGTTGCGGTATGTTTCTTCTGTGCCCGTTTCTTTGAGGATTTATAGCATGAAGGGATGTTGAATTTCATCAAATGCTTTTTCAGTTTCAGTTGACGTGATGATACTGTTTTTGTCGTTTATTTGGTTGATATGATGTATCACATTGTATGTTGAGTGACCCTTGGGTCCCAGGGATACATCCCACTTGATCATGATGAATTATCTTTTTAATGTATTACTGAATTTGATTCACTGGTATTTTGTTGAGGATTTTTGCATCAATATTAGAGATCCTGGCCTGTAGTTTCCTTCTTTGATGCTTTTGTCTGATTTTGGTATCACAGTAATAATGGTCTCATAGAATAAGTTTGGAAGTATTCCCTCCTGTTTTTCAAAATAGTTTGAGCAGGATTCGTACTAGGTCTTTAAATTGTTTGGTGTGAAGCCATCAGCAGTGAAGACATCAGTTCCTGGGCTTTTCTTTACTGGGAGACTTTTTCTGATGGCTTCAATCTCATTACTTGTTACCAATCTGTTCTGGTCTTGGATGTTTTCATTGTTTAACCTAAGTAGGTTGTATGCATCTAGGAATTTGCCAATTTCTACTAGGCTTTCCAATTTATTGGCATATAGTAGCCAGTTATGATCCTTTGAATTTCTGAAGTATTAGTTGTAATGTCTCCTTTTTTTAATCTGTTGATTTTATTTATTTGAATCTTGTCTCTTTTCTTAGCCTGGTTAAAAGTTTGTCAATTTTGTTTAGCTTTCCAGAAAACCAACTTTTCGTTTAATCTTGTCTGTTTTTTATTTCAATTTTGTTTGTGCTATGATCTTATTTATTTTCTTATTTTCAGTTTAGTTTGTTCTTTACTAGTTCTTTAAGATGTATTGTTTATTTGAAGGTTTTCTTTTGTTTGGATGGTAGGCACTTATAGCTGTAAATCTCTGCCTTTGTACTGCTTTCTGCATAACAAGTTTTGGTATACTGTGTTTTCATTACCCTTTGTTTCATGAAATTTTTGAATTTCTGTCTTAGTATCTTCATTGACCCACTAGTCATTTATTCAGGAGGGTAGTGTTTAACTTCCATGTGATTGTATTGTTTCCAAAATTGCTTTTCTTATTGATACCTAGTTTTATTCCTTTGTAGTGAAAGAAGATGGCCACGGAGACAGACAGCAGCGTGGTCAGAGTGGTAGGAGCCGGCCATCAGCGAGAGCTGCTCCATGCCTGGCTGCTGGGTCCTAGAGCCTGTGGCCCACTGGCTTGCCTCACTGTGGTTGGTGGTGGTGGTGACAGAGACTGCAGGACGACCAGAGTGGTAGGACAGGGGCTATCCAGGGCTGCACCTTTCGCAGTGTGGGGTGGGTTGAGGGCGCTATCCAGGGTGTCATTGCCTGCATTAGGGGTACTGGTTGGTAGCACTGTACAGGGCTGCACTGCCCACGGCAGGGAGGGTGGGTTATGGGTGCTCTCTGGGGCTGCAATGCCCATGGAGGAGGACAGGTTAGGGCACTATCAGTTATACGCTACTGGCGGCATTGGGGGACGGAGGTGGGGGGCGCTATTGAGGGCAGGGCTAGCCATGGAGCGGGGGCGAGTTCGGTGCTATCAGGGGCTGCACTGCTGGTGTCGGTCAACAGAGTTGGCATCCAAGGAAGGAGTGGTTCTCCTCTCCCTGACTCCACACTCCAGAGGGCGACCCACTCTTGGTCATACTGGAGTGCAGCAGGGCACACAGCGTTTGCGTGGGAATCCTGAGCATGGCAGAGCCCCCACACCCACCGTGGTTCCTGGGCCTGTGTACTGTGGGTCTGTGCCTCAGAGGCTGCCAGGCACCCCTGGGGACACCACGGGGGACAGGGCCCTGTGCGTGGAGGTGTCCGGAACAGGAATTGGCACCTGGGTGTGGAGGGCTGGCTGGGTCTGAATTTTTCTGCTTCTCCTGCTCCCCGAGGAGTGCAGCCCCAGTGGGCCCAATGGTTCCTGTGGAGTGGGGAGCTGGATGCTGTGGTGTCTCCAGCACCCACCCCAGACCCCAGTTCCTGCCCAGCTTGGGCCAAAAGGAGAGGCTGGACTTTGTAGGGTGGGTGTGAGTGCCTTTGCTGAAACTGGCCCCTGCCACCCAGTGGCCGGCATGACAAGTTGAGGCTCTAACCCTTCCACCCCTCACATCTTTCCCTAGGCTTTTCTGGCTTTGCCCGCCCAGCTGCTCTGTGCCAGGAGGAGGAGGAGACACCTAGAGCCTGCGACACCATGGCTCGCCTCGCTGCGGGTGGGCGGCAGTGACAGAGACTGCGGTGCGCCAGAGTGGTAGGAGAGCGGCTGCGCTAGGAGGGCAGGCGGCTGCAGCCAGGGTTGGGGGTCAGGCTTAGAGCGATGGACGGGCTGCAGCAGTGGCCAGGTGGTAGGAGCCTTGTAGGGAGGGCTGGTGCCTTGGCAATGGGCCTGGCTTTGCCCTGCGCCTGCCGTGGATCTGGCCCTGTACTGCCCTGCCTTGCCCTGTACCTGCCCTACTGTTACTTGGACTCTCGGCCCTGTCCTGCTCTGGTCCCATCCTGACCCTGTCTTGGCCCTGTGCTACCCTGTCCCTGCCCTGGTCTTGCCCTGGCACTGGCCCTGCCCTGAACCTGCACTGGCCTGACCTTGGCTCTGGCCCTGGCTCTGGCCCTGCCTCTTGTCCTGACCCTGGTCGTGTCATGGCACTGGCCCTGCCAATGGTCATGGTCCTGCTCCTGTTCTGGCCCTGACCTGGCCTTGGACATGTCCTGGCCCTGCTTTGGCCCATCCCTGCCCTGGCTCCACCATGGGCCTGCCTGTTCTGCCCTCTCCTGGCACTGACCTTGCCCTGTCATGGCCCAGTGGTGCCATTGCCCTGCCTTACCCTGCGCTGGTTGTGACTTGGCCCCGCTTGGTGCTGGCCACTCCCTGGACCTGCCCTGGACCTGCCCTGACCCTGCCCTTGGCTTTTGCCCTGCCCTCACTATGGCCTGGCCCTGGCCCTAGCCCTGGTCCTGCCATATCCCTGGCCCTGCCCTTATCCAGGCCCTGCCCCTGCTGCTGCCCTGGCCCTGGCCTGGAACCTGGTCCTGTCAAGAACCTGCCCTGACTCTGCCATGGCCCTGGCCCTGCTCTGCCTTGTTCCTGGCCCTGACCCAGACCCAGACCCTTTCCTGGCTCTGCACTGGACTTTCCCTGGCCCTGAGCTGGCAATGGTCTGCCCCTGGTCTTGCCATCACCCTGCCCTGCTGCGCTCTGGATGTGTCATCACCCTGCCCTGGCCCTACTCTGCCTTTGACCCTGCCCTGGCCTTACCTTGGCCCTCACCCTAGCCTGCGCTAGACCCTGCTCTGGAGCTGACCCTAGCACAGACCTGGCCCTGATCCTGGCCGTGGTCTTTGTCCTGCCATAGCCCTGGCCCTGAAGTGGACTTGGAGGTGTCCTGGCCCCGGCATAACATGGCTCTGCATTGGCCTGTCCCTGCCCTGCCGCTACCATCTCCTTGCCCTGCTCTGTCCTGTCCCAGTACTGACCCGGCCATGCTATTTCCCTTCCCTACCCTGCCTTGGCTGTGCCCTGGCTCGGTTCTGGCCCTGGCCCTGGCCCTGCCCTGGACATGCTCTGACACTGCCTCAGCCTCGGCACTAGCCTGGCTCTTTCTTGGCATCAGCTCTGCTCTCTCTGTGGACCGGCTCTTGTCCTGTCCTGCACTGGCCATACCATGCCCTGCCCTGCCCTGCCCTGACTCAGTCCCGGGTCAGCCCTGGCCCAACCTTGGCCTTGGCATTGCCCCTGGTCATGCCATATTTCTTGCCCTGTCCCTACCCTGGCCTTGGCCCTGACCCTTACCTTGCTGTGGCCCTGCCCTTGCCCTAACGCAGCCCCTGGCCCTGTCATGGCCCTGCCCTGGACCTGTCCTGGCCCTGGCCCTTCCCTGCTTGAGACCTTGCCCTGGTTCTCCCCTGGCCCTGACCCTGAAATGCCTGGCCCTACCCTGGCCTTGCACTGCTCTGGCCCTTGCCCTGACTCTGGTCCTGTCACTGGCCTAGCCCCAGCCCTGTTGCTGGTCTTACCATGGCCCAGACCCTGCCTTGGCCCTGCCCTGACACTGTCCTGGACCCTGGCTGTGCCAAGAACCTGCACTGTCCTTGCCATTGTTTTGCTCCTGCCCTGAACCTGGTCTTCCCCAGGCCGTGGCCATGGCCCTGGCCCTGGCCCTGCCCAGGTCTTGGCACTGTCCTGGCCCCGCCCTGCCCTGGCCCTGCCCTGCCCTGGCCCTATGCTTTCCTGGCCCTGCCTTGCCGGCCCTGGCCCTGCCTTGGCCCTAGCCTGGCTTTGACCCTGCCCTGGCCCTACCTTGGCCTTCACCCTAGCCTTACCTGGGCACTGTGTTGGACCTGGCCATAGCACAGACCTGGTTGTGGCCCTGGTCCTGCTGTGGCCCTGTCTCAGACCCTAGCCCTGCCAGGTACCTGTCCTGGCCCAGCTCTGGGCCTGGCTTTGTCCCTGGTTCTTAGATGAACCTGGCCCTGCTCCTGCCCTTGCTGTTGCCCTGGCACTGGCCTTGGACATGTCCATGGTCCTAACCCTGGCCCTGCCCAGGAGCTGCCACTGTCTTGGCTGTGCCCTGGCTCTGGCCCTGCCCCGGCCCCAACCATAGACCTGCCCTGGTTGGTCGTGCCCTACCTTAACCCTGTGCTACCCTGGGCCTGCTCCACCCTGCCCTGGCCCTGCCCTCCCTTTGGCCCTGCCCTGACCCTGCCTTGGCCCTCACACTGGCCCTAGCACAGACCTGGTCCTATGTGTGGCCTAGGCCTGGCATTGACCCCTGCTCCTGACCCCGGTCCTGCCATGGCCCTGGCCCTGCCAATGACCCTGGCAGCCCTGACCCTGGCCCTGTCTTGGCCCTGGCCCTGAACTGGCCCTGCCCTGACCCTGGCCCTGAAGTGGATTTGCAGGTGTCTTGTCCCTGATGTAACCTGGTCTTACCATGGCCCTGTCCCTCCCCTGGCTCTGTCCTGGCCTTCTGCTGACCCTGACCCAGACCTTGGTCCTGCCCCAGCCTTGTCCTAGATCTGGCCATGGCCCTGCATCTTCCCTGGACCAGCACTGGCACTGGCATGGACCCTGGCCCTGACCCTTCGCTACTTAAGGCCATACCCTGGCCCAGCCCTGGTCCTGACCCTGTCCTGGCCCTAATTTGGCCTGGCTCTACCCTGGCATGCTATTCTGGCCCTAGCCCTGACCCTGTCCCTGTCCCTGTCCTGGCCCCAGCCCCATTGCTGGTCCTGCCACGGCCCTTGTCCTGACATTGCCCTTTCCTGGTTCTGGCCCTGGCCCTGTCCCAGCCCTGCTCTGGCCCTGGTCTGAACCCTGGCCCTGCAATAGACCTGCCTTGGTCCTGCCCAGACCCTGGCTCTGGCCCTACCTCTGCCCTGGCCATACCCTTGCCCTGGCCTGGACCCCAGTCCTGGTCCTTGTCCTGCCCCAGCCGTGGCCCTGGCCCTGCCCTGCCTGTGCCCTGTTCTATCCTGGGCTGGCCCTGCCATGGCCTGGTCTTGCCATTGCCCTGCCCTAGCCTGCCCTGCTTGTGCCCTAGATCTGCCCCGGCCTTTGCCCCTGTCTTGGTTCTAGCCTTGACTGAGCCCTGGACCTTCCCTGATCTTGCCTCAGCCCTGGCACTACCCTGGCCTTGCCTTGGCATTTGCCCTACTCTCTCTATGGCCTGGCTCTGGTCCTGCCCTGCTCTGCTCTTGTTCTGTCCTGGCACAGCCCTGGCCCTGGCCCTGGCCCTGCCGTATCACTGGCTCTGGTCCTGCCCTTATGCAGACCTGACCCTGCCACTGCCTTGGCTTTGGCCTGGACCTTGGCCATACAGTGACCCTGCCATGACCCTTTCCTGGCCCTGGCCTGGAACCTGGCCCTGCCAAGGACTCGCCCTGGCTCTGTCATGGCCCTGGCCCTTTCCTGGATTTGGATGTGTCCTGTCCCTTATTTGCCCTGGCCCTTCCCTGGCTCTGCCATACCCCTTCTCTGGGGTAGGGCCAGGGTCAGGACCAGACCAGGGCAGGGTCAGGACCAGGGTAGGGCCATGGTAAGGCCTGAAGATGGGAAGGGCCAGGGCAGCGGCTGGACCAGGGAAGGGTCAGGGCCAGGGATGTAGTAGGACTAGGGGCAGAGCCGGCACTAGGGCTGAGCCAGGACAGAGCAGGAGAGATTACATTGGGCTATTACATAAAATTTTTATTTTAGATTTTTAAGATAACTATAGTAGTAGTAATGTCTATACTATATTGTTTGTAATAGTAATAATATTTGCAGTAATCACTAAATTTTAACTAATACTATCTTTGCTTCCAGTAGTGTTCTATGAGTATAATTTTATCAATATGTTAATATGTGAGGCATTGATTCTCACAATAATTCTATGTGCTAGGTACTTAAAGCATCCCCATTTTCCAAATATAGGAAACAGGTATAAAGAAGTTAAATACTTGGCCAGATTACTCCTGTAATCCCAGCACTTTGGGAGGCCAAGGCAGGCAGATGGCTTGAGCTCAGGAGTTTGGAACCAGCCTGGGCAACATTGTGAAACCCCATCTCTACTAAAAATGCACAAAAAGAACTAATTTAAGTTTCTTGTAGGATTCTGGTTATAAAACACTGGTCAAACACACAGGGCATGGATAGGGCAGGGCCAGGGACAAGGTCAGGCCAGGAAGGGGCCAGGGCCAAGGCAGGGCCAGAGATGGACTTGGAGATGTCCTGGTCTGATTTGCCCTGCCCCAACGTTGGTCCAGCCCTGCTCTGGCACTTCCTGTCATGCCCTGTCCCTGGCCTGAGCATTGGCCCTGGCCCTGTCCTGCTTCTGGCCCTGCCCGGGAGTTGACCAGGCACTGCCATGGCCCAGTCCTGCATTGCCCTGCCCTCCTCTGCCCTGGTGCTACCATGGCCCTGCTTGGGCCCTAGCTCTGCCTCGACTCTGGACCTGCCCTGACTCTGCTCAGCCCTGGATCTACCCTGACTCTGCCTTGGTGTTGCCCTCCCATCTCTATGGCCTGGCTCTGGCCGTGCCTTGCACAGATCATGCTCTGCCCTGCGTGTCCCAGCCTGGGCCCAGCCCTCGTCCTACCATATTCCTGACCCCAGCCATACCCTTGTTCTGGCCGTGACCCTGCCGTGGCCCTCTCCTGGCCCTTCCTTGGTCCTGCCCTGCCTTTCCATGCCCTGGCCTTGCTCTCACCCTGCATTGGCCCTGCACTGGTCCTGCCCTGCCCTGGCACTGCCTTGGCCCCGGCCCTGCCTTCTCCCTGGTCTTGCCTTTGCCCTGCCCTGGCCTGACCCCAGGCCTACCGAGTCCATGAAATGGCCCTGGACCTGCCTTGCCATCGTCTGTCCTGGCCCTGTATTGTCCCCACCATGCTCTGGTCCAGCGCTTGCCCTGGCCCTGTTGCTAGTCCTGCCACTGTTATGGCCCTGCCCTGTTTTTGGCCATGCCCTGTGCTACCCTAGCCCTGCCCTGCCTTGGCCTTGGCCCTACCATGGCCTTCTCCTACCCTGGCCTGGCCCTACACTGGCCTTTTCTACTCTGGCCTTGCCCTTCCCTGGTCTTGCCTTGCCCTGGCCTTGCCCTGCCCTGGCCTTGGCTTTGCCTTATCCTGGTCCTGGTTCTGCCCTGACCCTGGCCTTGCTCTGGATCCTCTCTGGTTCTGCTTTCTCCCTGGCCCTGCCCTTGCTCTGGCCCTGTCCCTGGCCCAGCCTTGACCCTGACCCTGGCCCTGACAATCCCCAGGTCTGACACTGGCCATGCTTGGCCCTGGCCCCTCCTTTTGGCCCTGCCCTGGCCCTGCCTTGGCCCTGTGCTATCTTAGTCCTGCCCTGGCCCTGAACTCACCCTGGCCCTACCCTCACCCTACACTGGCCCCGCCCTACCCTGGCCTTGCCCTGCCCTGGCCCTGCCTTTGGCCTGCTCTGGCTCTGGTTCTGCCCTGGCCTTGCCCTTGCCCTGGACCCTCCCTGGCCGTGTTTTTTCCATGGTCCTTCTCTGGCCTTGCCCTTGCCCTGTCCCCTTTCTGGTCCTGCCATATTTCTGGCCCTGTCCTGTCCATGTCCTGGACCTGACTCTGGCCCTGGACCTCCCTGTCCCTGCCCTGCCATACCCTGGCCCGTTCCTTGCTCTACACTGACCCTGCCCTGCCTTGGCCCTGCACTACCCTAGCCCTGCCCTGGCCTTCTGCTGACCCTGATCCTGCCATGGCCCTGGCCCTGCCATGTCCCTGCCCTGGCCCTGGTTCTGCCCTGCTTCTGGCCCTGGCCTTGGTCCTCTCATGTCCCTGGCCGTGACCCTGCCCCTGGTTTTTCTCTGGCCATGACCCTGCCCCTGTTCTGTCCTATCCCTGGCCCTGTCTCAGTTCTGTCCTAGCCCTGGCCTTTCACAGTACTTTATGCTTAGTAAGGGCTCCATGGTGTCTGTGAGTTGAATGTAGTGTTCATAGTATCTGCCAAAACAGAAAGAAAAAAAACAAAATATTTTGATAAGAAGTTAAAGCTTTGTATATAATATGCCTTGAATTGTAAATGCCTGTTATTAGTTGTATTACATATAGGTCATGGTTTTGTACACATAACTCCAAACCATTGATACTGTTAAAAGAATATATGAATATATGAAAGAATGTATAAACGTAAGAATGTATCAGTATCTAATGACCTTTCCAAATTAATATTTATTTTTAGCTCTATTAGATTTTTCTCAGTGTAACAAACGTTTATTCCTATGTAATTAAGGGCGTATTTCCTGTACAGAATATTCATATTACCTAATTGAAAATTATATGATACAAAAATATAATACTATTTTTAGGCCAGGCATGGTGGCTCATACCTGTAATCCCAACATTTTGAGAGGCCAAGTTTGGAGAATCATTTGAGTCCAGGAGTTGACCAGCCTGGGCAACATAGTGAGACCTTGTCCTTATTAAATAAATAAATAAATAGGTTGGGCACTGTGGCTCATATCTGTCATCCCAGCATTTTGGGTTGCCAGTGCAGGAGGATTGCTTGAGCCCAGGAGTTTGAGACCAGCCTGGGCAGAATAGCAAGACTCCATCTCTACAAATAATAAAATATTAACCAGGTGTGGTGGTGCACACCTGGGGTCCCAGCTACCTGGGAGGCTAATGTGGGAGGTTTTCTCGAGGCTGCAGCGAACTGTGAATGCACCACTGCATTCCAGCCTAGGCCACAGAACAGGACCTTGTCTATGAATAAAGAAATAAGTAAAAATATAAATAAAAATAAGTAAAAAGAAATATTAGTAAATATAAATATAAATACATATAAATATAAAAATGCATGCATGAAAAGAAACAATTTTTAAATTTAACATCACTGAGGGCATCCTATCCATTTCATTTCATGATTCCATTATGTCATTTCACTTAGATGAAATGATAAGATGACTTGAGATGAGATGAAATGATGAGATGAAATAACAAAATGATGAGATGAGATGAGATGATGAGATGAAATTTTGAGATGAAATGGAGAGTGGAAATGATGAGATTAAATGATGAGATGAAATGACAAAGTTGAAAAGAAATTGAAAGGAGATGAGATGAGATGAAATGAGATGAAATGATGAGATGATGAAATGATGAGATGAAACGAGATGAAATGATGAGATGAAATGAAATGAAATAATGAAATGATATGAAATAATGAAATTGAAATGAGATGAGATGAGATGAAATAATGAGATAAAATGAGATGAAATGAGATGAACGATGAGATGACATGATGAGATGAAATGAGATGAAAAATGATGAGATGAAAAATGAGATGAAATGAAATAATGAAATGAAATAATGAAATGAGATGAAATGAAATGAAATAATGAAAGGAAATTATGAAATGTAATGAAATTGAAATGAAATTGAAATGAGATGAGTTGAAATGATGAGATGTAATGATGAAATGAAATGATGAAATGAGATGAGATGAAATGAGATGAAATAATGAGATGAAATGAGATGATGAGATGAGATGAAATCATGAGATGAAATGATGAAATGAAATGAAATGATGGATGAAATGATGAGATGAAATGAGATGAAATGTAATGAGATGAAATGAAATGACATAATGAAATGAAATAATGAAATGAGATGAAATAATGAAATGATGAAATAATGAAATGAAAATGAAATGGAAATGATGAGATGAGAAGAAATGATGAGATGAGATGAGATAAAATGAGATGAAATGATGAGATGAAATGAAATGATGAGATGAGATGAAATGAGATGAAATATGATGAGGTGAAATGACATAATGAAATGAAATGATGAAATGGAATAATGAAATGGAAAAGAGATGAGATGCAATGAGTTGAAATGAGATGAAATGATGAAATGATGAGATGAAATGATGAGATGAGATGTGATGAAATGATGACATGAAATGATGACATAAAATGAGATGAAATGTAATGATGAAATGAGATGAAATGAGATGAGATAAAATGATATGAAATGAGATGAATGATGAGATGAAATGATGAGATGAGATGAGATGATGAGATGAAATGATGAGATGAACTGATGAGATGAAATGAAATTGAAATAAATAAATAAAATTGAAATGACATGAGATGAAATGAGATGATGAAATAAAATGATAAAATGATGAGATGTGATGAGATGAAATGATGAGATGACATGAAATAATGAAATGAAATAATGAAATGAAATTGAAATGAGATGAGAAGATACGAGATGAAATGAAGTGATAAGATGAAATGATGAAATGATAAGATGAAAAGAGTTGATGAGATGATAAGATGAAATGATGAGATGAAAAGATGAGATGAAATGAAATGATGAAATGAAATGAGATGAAATGAAATGACATAATGAAATGAAAAAATGAAATAATGAAATGAGGTGAAATTAAATGAGATGATGAAATTAAATGATGAAATGAAATAATGAAATGGAAATGATGAGATGAGATGAAATGACGAGATGAATGATGAGACGAAATGAGATGAAATGATGAGATGCAATGATGAGATGCAATGATGAAATGATGAGATGAGATGAGATGTAATGATGAGAGGAAATGATGAGATGTAATGAAATGAGATGAAATGAATGAGATGAAATAATGAAAGGAAATTGAATTGATATATGAGATGAAATGAGATAAAATGAGATGAAATAAGAAATGATGAGGTGAAATGATGAAATGCTGAGGTGAGATGAGATG
Source organism: Homo sapiens (assembly GCF_000001405.40). NCBI lineage: Eukaryota > Metazoa > Chordata > Mammalia > Primates > Hominidae > Homo > Homo sapiens. Next base: position 144,140,222 of record NC_000001.11, on the reverse strand, counting down.
AAATGAGGAGATGAAACGATGAGATGAAATGAAAGGATGAGATGAAATGATGATATGAGGTGAGATGAGATGAAATGAGATGAAACGAGATGAAATGGTGAAATGATGAGATGAGACGAGAAGAAATGATGAGATGAAATGAGATGAGATAAAATGAGATGAAATGAAATGAAGTGAAATGTAATGAGATGAAATGAAATGACATAATGAAATGAAATAATGAAATGAGATGAAATAATGAAATGATGAAATAATGAAATGAAAATGAAATGGAAATGATGAGATGAGATGAGATAAAATGAGATGAAATGATGAGATGAAATGAAATGATGAGATGAGATGAAATGAGATGAAATATGATGAGGTGAAATGACATAATGAAATGAAATGATGAAATGGAATAATGAAATGGAAAAGAGATGAGATGCAATGAGTTGAAATGAGATGAAATGATGAAATGATGAGATGAAATGATGAGATGAGATGTGATGAAATGATGACATGAAATGATGACATAAAATGAAATGTAATGATGAGATGAGATGAGATAAAATGATATGAAATGAGATGAATGATGAGATGAAATGATGAGATGAGATGAGATGATGAGATGAAATGATGAGATGAACTGATGAGATGAAATGAAATTGAAATAAATAAATAAAATTGAAATGACATGAGATGAAATGAGATGATGAAATAAAATGATAAAATGATGAGATGTGATGAGATGAAATGATGAGATGACATGAAATAATGAAATGAAATAATGAAATGAAATTGAAATGAGATGAGAAGATACGAGATGAAATGAAGTGATAAGATGAAATGATGAAATGATAAGATGAAAAGAGTTGATGAGATGATAAGATGAAATGATGAGATGAAAAGATGAGATGAAATGAAATGATGAAATGAAATGAGATGAAATGAAATGACATAATGAAATGAAAAAATGAAATAATGAAATGAGGTGAAATTAAATGAGATGATGAAATTAAATGATGAAATGAAATAATGAAATGGAAATGATGAGATGAGATGAAATGACGAGATGAATGATGAGACGAAATGAGATGAAATGATGAGATGCAATGATGAGATGAAATGATGAAATGATGAGATGAGATGTAATGATGAGAGGAAATGATGAGATGTAATGAAATGAGATGAATGAGATGAAATAATGAAAGGAAATTGAATTGATATATGAGATGAAATGAGATAAAATGAGATGAAATAAGAAATGATGAGGTGAAATGATTGAGATGAGATTTGATGAAATGATGAGATGAAATGATGAGATGATATGAAATGATGAGATGAGATGGGATGAGATGAAATGAGATAAAATGATGAGATGTAATGATGAAATGAAATGATGAAATGAGATGAGATGAAATGAGATGAAATAATGAGATGAAATGAGATGATGAGATGAGATGAAATCATGAGATGAAATGATGAAATGAAATGAAATGATGGATGAAATGATGAGATGAAATGAGATGAAATGTAATGAGATGAAATGAAATGACATAATGAAATGAAATAATGAAATGAGATGAAATAATGAAATGATGAAATAATGAAATGAAAATGAAATGGAAATGATGAGATGAGAAGAAATGATGAGATGAGATGAGATAAAATGAGATGAAATGATGAGATGAAATGAAATGATGAGATGAGATGAAATGAGATGAAATATGATGAGGTGAAATGACATAATGAAATGAAATGATGAAATGGAATAATGAAATGGAAATGAGATGAGATGCAATGAGTTGAAATGAGATGAAATGATGAAATGATGAGATGAAATGATGAGATGAGATGTGATGAAATGATGACATGAAATGATGACATAAAATGAGATGAAATGTAATGATGAAATGAGATGAAATGAGATGAGATAAAATGATATGAAATGAGATGAATGATGAGATGAAATGATGAGATGAGATGAGATGATGAGATGAAATGATGAGATGAACTGATGAGATGAAATGAAATTGAAATAAATAAATAAAATTGAAATGAGATGAGATGAAATGATGAGATGATGAAATAAAATGATAAAATGATGAGATGTGATGAGATGAAATGATGAGATGAGATGACATGAAATAATGAAATGAAATAATGAAATGAAATTGAAATGAGATGAGAAGATACAAGATGAAATGAAGTGATGAAATGATGAAATGATAAGATGAAAAGAGTTGATGAGATGATAAGATGAAATGATGAGATGAAAAGATGAGATGAAATGAAATGAGATGAAATGAGATGAAATGAAATGACATAATGAAATGAAAAAATGAAATAATGAAATGAGGTGAAATTAAATGAGATGATGAAATTAAATGATGAAATGAAAGGATGAGATGAAATGATGATATGAGGTGAGATGAGATGAAATGAGATGAAACGAGATGAAATGGTGAAATGATGAGATGAGACGAGAAGAAATGAGATGAAATGAGATGAGATGAAATGAGATGAAATGAGATGAGATAAAATGAGATGAAATGAAATGAAGTGAAATGAAATGAAATAATGAAATTGAAATGAGATGAGAAGAAATGAGATGAAATGATGAGATGAGATGATGAGATGAAAAATGATGAGATGAAAAATGATGAGATGAAAAATGATGAGATGAAATGATGAGATGAAATGAAATGAAATAATGAAATAATGAAATGAGATGAAATGAAATGATGAAATGATATTGAAATGAAAGTGAAAGATGAGATGAAATGATGCGATGAAATGATGAAATGTTGAAATGAAATGATGAAATGAATAGATGTGACTTGAAATGAGCTGAAATGATGAGATCAAATGAAATGAAATGAGATTAAATGATGAGATGAAAAATGATGAGATGAAAAATGATGAGATGAAATGCTGAGATGAAATGAGATCAGATGAACTGAGATGAGATGAGATGAAATAATGAAATTAGGTGAAATAATGAAATGAGATGAAATAATGAAATTGAAATGAGATGAGAAGAAATGAGATGAAATGTTGTAATGAAAGGAGGAAATGATGAGATGAGGAGATGAAATGATGAGATGAATTGAGATGAAATGAGATGAAAAATGATATCAAAAATATGAGATGAAATGAAATGAGATTATATGAAATGACATAATGAATTAAATGAAATTAGATGAAATGAAATGAAATAGTGAAATGAAATGATGAAATGAAATAATGAAAATGAAATGGAAATGAGATGAGATTTGATGAAATGATGAGATGATATGAAATGATGAGATGAGATGGGATGAGATGAAATGAGATAAAATGATGAGATGAAATGATGAAATGATGAGATGAAATGATGGGGTGAAGTGATGCACTGTCACGTGTGTGTCTATTCTTTTTCCCAAGCAACAAAAATTATAATTCATTAATTTTAATTTTATTATTTAAGAATATTCTTAAGAGTTGAAGGAAAAATAATATCTGTACATTATGGGTTACAATCTAAGTATAAATAATACATAAATATATTAAAACTTACAAAGAATATGTTTTGGAATCGAATATACCATGCTTCTGTGATGACAGTTATTTCATGCTGGTTGTCACAATTTTACATGAAAAACTAATGAAAAAATGTTTTTAACTGTTTCTAAAAATAACAGTTTCCAAAACAGTTTTACATTCGAAATATGAAAAAGATGTCTTTGTGTTCCTTAATCTGATGAGATTTTCACACTCTGCACATGATAATTGTTAGATTTTTATTGTGTTGATAAATTGTATATCAAATAAAAAATGTTATTACCTCTTAAATTAGGATTTTTAGGTGATATAGGCAGAAAGGACAGCAAGTTTTTATAACTTTGTCTAAATGAACTTTCTAAATGCCTGAGTATTAAAAGATAGCATGTCTATAAATCACAATGTATATATTACTGTATGACCTAGGACCAATCAAAACCGTTACCTCTGATAACATTATATTGTGCCCAGTATAAAATAGATATAATAATACCTCAAACTTAAATCCAGGCATTGTCATTGAATATCTTAAGAATATGCAACAAAGGTGCTTTTAAAAATACAAGCTAGTGATTGTACCAAATTTGTAAATCACATAGGATAGTGGGTCATTTTAAGAATATTAGTTATTTCAATCTATAAACGTGGATGTCTTTCCTTTTTTGTGTTTTCTTTAATTTCTTTCATTAATATTTGTCATTTTTGTTGTCGAAATCTTTTACTTCCTTGGTTAAATTTATTTCTAAGTACATTTTTGTAGCTATTGTAAAAGGAATTGCTTTCTTAATTTCTTGTTTCAGCTAGTTTACTATCAATATATAGAAATGCTACTGATTTTTGTATGTTGATTTATATCCTGCAACTTTATTAATTTCATGTATCACCCTAAGAAGCTTTTGGTAGAGTCTTATTTTTTTCCGTGTATAAGATCACATTGTCTTTAAACAGGGACAATTTGACTGTCTCCTTTCCAATTCAGATGTCCTTTATTTCTTTTTCTCACCTAATTGTCCTGGCTAAGACTTTCACTATGTGAAATATGATTGGTGAGAATAGGCATCCTTTTCTTGTTCCAGTAAAATCTTTTTCTTGTTCACAGTAAAATCTTTCACCTTTTCCACACTCAGTATGATCTTAGTTGTAGGTTTGTCCTTTATGTCCTTCTGTTTTAAGGCATATATTTTCTATACTAAATTGTTGAGAGGTTTTTTGTCATGTAAGAATATTTAATTTTGCCAAACGCTTTTATTGTGTTTATTAATTTAATCATATGGTTTTCAGTATATATCCAAAGGAAAGAAAATCAGTATATCAAAGACTTACCTGCACCCCCATGTTTATTACAGCACTATTCACAATAGCCAAGATGTGGAATCAACAAAAGTGTCCATCAACAGATGAATGGATAAAGAAATGTGACATACATATATAATGGAATACTATTTAGTCATAATAAAGAACAAAATCCTGTTATTTGTGGCAACAAGAATGCAAGTGGAGGGCATTATGTTAGGTGAAATAAGCCTGGCATAGAAACATAAACACCACATAACTACGTGTTCTCACTTATGTATGGAAGCTAAAATGTTTAATCTCGTAGAAGTAGATAGTAGAGTTTTGGTTACCATATCCTGGAAAGAGTAGGAGAAAGAAGAGTATAAGAAAAATGTGGTTAATACATACAAAATTACAGCTGGAGAGAAGGAAGAAGTTCTAGTTCTCTACAGCACTGTTGGGTGACTGTAGTTAACGGGAATTTATTGTGTGTTTTCAAATAACTAAAATAAAAGATTTTGAATATTCTCACTGCAAAGAAATAATACATGATTTAAGGTAATGGATATGATAATGACTCTGACTTGATCTTTACGCATTGCATAAATATATCAAAATATCACTCTGTACCCCATAACATGTACATTTATTATATGTCAATTAAAGTAAATTTAAAAGAGAAAAAATGAGACAAAGGTAAATATACATAATTTAATTACTTTTTCTTCTATAAAACCCGAGTCAGTACCAAGAAGAGTCAATTTATTAGTTTTCTAAAATAAAAAAAATCAAAATCACCAAAAAAGAGCAATATCCAAGAAAACATTGAAAATGAAACACAACATTTAGTAAGAATAGAAAACTTGGGCACCGTATCACCCTGTTCCTAGATACCGATTTACTGATGGCCATTTAAATAGAATTTTATTCTATCTAATTCATTTATACTCCCAGAGTTCAAAATTACATTTTACCTACAATAAATGAGATAACACTTGTAAATTATATGGTACTCTGCCTAACACACGTTAATAACTCAATACATGTTAGCAATAAACTTTTAGTATAGTAGTCAAAGTATTAATTTCTCACATTGCAATTTCCTTCAAAGACATGAATACAACCTTTCTAATGACTCCTTGTTCATCAAGATACCTCTTCAAATTATTCTATTTGTTTCATTCAGTATATTATCTGTGTATACCGATATTAGACTCTTTTCTTTTTTTGAGATGGCATCTCATTCTGTTACTGATGCTGGAGTGAGGTGGCATGATCTCGGTTCACTGCAACCTCCACCTCCCAGGTTCAAGTGATTCTCCTGTCTCAGCCTCCCAAGTAGCTAGGACTACAGGTGCATACCACGATGCCTGGCTAATTTTTGTATTTTTAGTACAGTCAAGAGTTTCACCTTGTTGTCCAGGCTGGTCTCGAACTCCTGACCTCAGGTGATCCACCCACCATGGCCTCCCAAAGTGCTGGGATTACGGGCATAAGCCACCGCACCCAGCCTGATATTGCACTCTTGGATTTTGAACACTGAATATCTTTTTGAAAGATTACACCTCTTTACTTCTTTGTGCTTCAGAAATTATTTTCCTTCAGGTGTTCTAAGAGTCTAATGAAGAATGAAGTCATGTTTTATCACTTTTGTCCTTAAAGATTTCAGACATGCTGAAACTGATTGAAGTATCATTTGCTACTAGATAGATTAATTATCTCTAGTTGTAGGAGTGGATACATCTTTAATGGTATATTTTGGGTTATTATCTTATTTTTGATGCAGTATTCTATAAATAATTTATTAAACCTGGCATCCTTGGGTGAGCATAGATTTTTCAACTTTAGTGTTATACTGTGTTTGCTTTTAAAAACTGCTTCTGAGGCCAGGTATGGTGGCTCTTGCCCATACCCAGCACTTTGGGAGGCCAAGATGGGTGGATTACCTCAGGTCAGGAGTTCAAGACCAGCCTGGTCAACATGGCAAAACCATGTCTCTACTAAAAACACAAAATTAGCCAGGCATGGTGGTGCATGCTTGTAGTCCTAACCACTCGAGAGGCTGAGGCAAGAGAATCACCTGAACCTGGGAGGCAAAAGTTGCTAGGTTGCTGTGAGCCAAATTCGCAGCATTGCCCTCCAGCCTGGGTGAAAAGAGCAAAACTCTGTCTCAAAAAAAAAAAACCCACCAAAAACTGCTTTTGAATGGAGTTGTACATATAATTTTTATGAAAAAAATTAACAAGTGCATAAGTTCATAATAGAAAAACCAATAATACTCCAGGCACAAGTTAGTACTAAAAAAATTATGTTGAATATTCTCTAATACAACATGCTTTTTCCCTTCATGAACAATTTGTGTTTTACTGAGAAGAGTCATTGTTTATGGTAGACATTAGACTACAGATGAATATGTACTTTAAACACTCTTAGTTGCTTTCTTAATTTTATATCTGCTGCTTTATGCTTCTGTTTATTTTCATTCTTTCCAATGTCCACATTCTAGTAAATTTGAATATTTTAATCCAAGTTTATATACTATTTAATATTGCTTGTATAGTTTAGTATTTTTAAGACTCAAAAAGGTTTACAGAAAGAAGAAAAAGATCAACATGTTATTAATCATTTAAAGATCATTTTGAAATCTTTGACCTTTATATTTTAATGAATAAAATATTAGTAGTTATTAGTATAAAATAATTTATGTCTTTTGGACTTAGCATCCAGTATTTCTTTTTTAATAAAGAAAATAATTATTCTCTTGCAATGTACTATGTTTATCTGAGTTTTGAAAAGTGATGTTTCCTAATATGAGAAAGCCATTTACATTTTTAAATCTACAAGGGCAAATGGAATGGTACTAAATTATTTACATAATAATGTTTAGATGGTGGCCCTTATAACATTCTTTCTATACTTCCTACAGAGTTGGGGATATGCAATCCTAGAATATTTCTGGGAGCTAATCCTTTAGCTTGATGAATGAAACAAGACTTTTAAATAAAATTAAACTTTCAAATTATCCAGGTAATGGGCCTGTCTTTTAATTCAATGGATATGGAGCATAATGAATTAACCCCTGTTCATTGGGTAATAAGTTCTCATTCTTATAATACTCAGAATGTCCTTTAATTTTTAATTTTTGATAGTCATATCATTATCCCTAGGTATTTTAGCTTCTATCTTAAATTCTAAAATAATTTTGAAATAGGAGAAAGTATTCTTTATTACTATATGTATTAAACATCATGGTTTTCAAATTGAACTGCAAATGTATCTTTTCATTGCTTCTTGATGACACCCTTCACCCTATCCATATTGTCACTACCAAGTGGTGATTACTTCTCAGGTTCACATACTTATTCTTCAGAAAAATCTTCTCTGTGCCTTGTAAAGAATATGATTGTTGGCATTCAAAAGCCAGCTAAGTATACATTATTAGCCTGTTGCCTAACTCATTTCTTTAAGAAACTACACTAATTACCCACATACTTATGTTTTTATTTCCTCATTATTTCTGGAGAAAACAAGTACTGCTAACATGATATTTGTAAGAGAGAAAAAAGTCTTTTCTTGAAAAGTGCTGTCATTGTAGTACTAACTTATAGTATCAACTTCCTTATAAACTCCTTTTACACTTTTTATTCTGAGAGAAATAAAAAAGCTAAAAGTCAAATGACTTTTTTTACTCTCCTTATTATAAGCACCCATCTTGGTAATTTAGGGTCTTTATAGTTAGGGTAAGTTGTGTCATACCGAGGTTACAAAATAAAAATTATTTTGTCTCTTTGGGCCTTTCCTTATTCAGTAATACTGTCAGTTTGGCTTTTTTTGTAGGTCAACTTATTGAACTCAGTATTCTGAAGTAATATGTTTACTATCTTTTGAGAAGCACTTAAAATATTAGATTTATTGTTACTCTTCTGCCTTTATTGGGCTGGAAGAATAATTGTTTCACTCCACAAAAGGCAAGTTGCGGAGAAAACCACATAGACATTCAACTGCAAAGCAGAGAAACTTGACTATTTTCTGCAATTTTAAAGTGTATATTGAATAAAACCATCTTTTTATTTTCTTTTTTGCTCACTGGCAAATATTAACAACATCAAGTGTATTATTATAATGTTATCTAGTTAAAAATCTCAAAAAGTTTTCATAATTACCATTTTAAAATATATAAATAGGTGACCTAATGTTAATTTTTATTGTCTGAGACCATGTCTGTTATTTCACTCTTTAAATTCAGTTAGTAATGCAGAACCTAGCACTTAGTAGATACTCAAAAATTATTTGCTGAATAAAAAAGGTTAAACATGTAATATATACAAAATGTACTGGAAAAAAATGCACCAAACAATTTTGTTATACCAGTTTAATGTAAATATTGCCTTTAAAAGATAATATAGTTTTCAGGTGTCTACAGTGATTTTGTAATATTTGTGCACATATAAAATAATATTTCCAAAAATGTAATCCAGTGGGGAAATATACTTTCTAAATTCTAGATTTATAATTTAGGGTTTAAATTATAAAATCATTAAATAAGACACAAGTGAAATGTAGTCAAATATCCCCTTGGAAAAAAATTAAGTGGCCTCTAAAGTGAGGTATTCATATATGTAATTTTACAATCCTCTAGTGATAGAATTAATTAAATACACCACAAAATTGATTAATTCCTACTGTGTTAAAAGAGAAGCACTAACAATGCCAGTTACCATGTAACATGGATTTAAGCTACAAGTCATAGAAATGTGATGAGAAGCCTCAGCGCTGTAAAACAGAGGGTGGAGGAAAGCTCTTCCTCTCTCAAATGAGCTTTGCGAGGTATACTTCTTGAAGGATAGGAAGTTGAAGTGTTGAGGACTTTTTATGTCTATTCTACTTTGGCTTAGTTTACATGATTCGTAGTTTATTAGCCTAGAAATGGCCAAGAAAACTTAAGGTTCAATAATTAGTTATAAATATGAAATATCCCCAATTTTTAAGATAAAAACAACTTATAAATGTATTTGTAAAAATTGTGTATATTTTTACAGAACATCTATTTCTTTTTTTATTTTTTTATATTTATTTATTATACTTTAAATTCTAGGGTACACATGCACAGTGTGCAGGTTTGTTGCATATGTATACATGTGCCATGTTGGTGTGCTGCACCCATTAACTCATCATTTATATTAGGCATATCTCCTAATGCTATCCCTCCCCCCTCCCCCCACCCCACAACAGGCCCTGGTGTGTGATGTTCCCCTTCCTGTGTCCAAGTGTTCTCATTGTTCAATTCCCACCTATGAGTGAGAACATGTGGTGTTTGGCTTTTTGTCCTTGCGATAGTTTGCTGAGAATGATGGTTTCCAGCTTCATCCGTGTCCCTACAAAGGACATGAACTCATCATTTTTTATGGATGCCTAGTATTCCATGGTGTATATGTGCCACATGTTCTTCATCCAGTCTATCATTGTTGGACATTTGGGTTGGTTCCAAGTCTTTGCTATTGTGAATAGTGCTGCAATAAACATACGTGTGCATGTGTCTTTATAGCAGCACGATTTATAATCCTTTGGGTATATACTCAGTAGTGGGATGGCTGGGTCAAATGGTATCTCTAGTTCTAGATCCCTGAGGAATGGCCACACTGTCTTCCACAATGGTTGAACTAGTTTACAGTCCCACCAACAGTGCGAAAGTGTTCCTATTTCTCCACATCCTCTCCAGCACCTGTTGTTTCCTGACTTTTTAATGATCGCCATTCTAACTGGTGTGAGATGGTATCTCATTGTGGTTTTGATTTGCATTTCTCTGATGGGTCTATTTCTTTAAAACAAAGGGAGGGGAGTCTCTCATTTGCATTAGTTTTTTTCATAGCCTTTTGAACTTCGCAATTTCTATGTTTCAGAACCTATTTCTTACAGTTTTTCTATGCTAAACTCTGTCCTAGTCAGTTCTAGAGTGTATGAAGAACCAAATGATGTAATTGTATGCCACCTGGCTGTAGTGGAACAAATTTGACTCTTAAGTATGCAGGCTCTAATTCTCCTGTCTGGTTTTGGCAAGTATTCCTTACATAGGTCTTTTCTTTGAAAATCTGGGATTGAGAGGTTGATGAATGAAAATTAATCCTTTCACTTTGTTGTATATAGGTTTGCAATAATTAGGTCAGAGTGGAGTTTTAAGGTCACGGAGGGGTCTGATGACTTACAAATAATGGGCTCTGATTGGGCAACTACTCATCTGAGTTCCTTCCATTTGACCTAATTAAGCTTGTGAAATTTACACTAAGCCATGAGCTCATCTTTAAAAAGTTTTATTAAAAGATTTTCAGCTGTTCCAAATGGGACTTATTAGTGGAATGTGTTTTAAAGGATCATATCAGATGAATGAAAGGTATTTGATCCTTCGTTTCCTTAATAATAAAATGATGGTTTGGAAAAATAGGCTGCAGTCTAACCACAGTGCTATTATTAGGCTTTCTTGTTAAACATAGTTCTAAGCCTAAGTATGTCAATACAACAAATACTTACTGTTTCATTTCTAGTAATGAAAAAAAAAAAACCAAGTCTTTCTGGCATAAGGATGATTTTCATCTGGTTATTTTGAAACATTTTTGTAAAATAAATTTCCATCTATAAAGAACATTTTTATTTGTAAGGAGGGGTATGTCTCTGTGCACTGGAAGAGAGGGAGGACTAAATCACTGGGAAGTCTTATGATAAAGAAGCCATTGGCTTAAATCAGCAAAGCAAGCCGTCCCTTGGTTTAAGGTGTTTTTCCTGGCCATCCTGTCTTGACTAGAACTTTACCTACACCTTCCTTTTTGGTTTAGGCAAATTATAGTATCTAAAACTAAAGTCTCAGCTCTGTGTCTTTGACATATAAATGTTCTACCATGTCTTCTCTGGAATCTGATAACTATCTATCTCTTTAAAATGCAAGTCTAGGGAGATGACTCATCAGAAAAAGAAGAAAAAAGAGGTATTTGGAAATTGTGCAAATTAAAGCAGCCCCTGATGTCAAAGTCTACACATTCCTGAGTGAGTCAGTTCTGGCCAGTTCTAGCTGGATCAAGAGAGCTCTTCTGGGCAGGCCTGAAGAGCACCTGGATGGCAGACACCTGAGGAGCCAGGTGCCTGAAACTTCCTCCACCTTCTTGAGGAGGGCCAAAGCCCAGGTGCTGGCTGGACAACCCCTTCTGGCTGCCTAAGCAGATGGCAGAAGAAGGAAACAAGGTCAGAGGCAGAGTATTGAACCCTGCCTCCCAGGTGGGTGGAAGATGCCTGTCACCAAACTAGGGCCCAGCTTGCCGGGTGAGATGGGTGAACTGGTGATCCCCCGAGAGAGTGGACATCAGAACTACATGTTTCTGGACTTCACCTCGGCCAGCAAAGGAGAGAGAGGGTTAATGTTAACTGCACGAGGCCCACTCTAGCCTTAAATTCTGTAATTCAAACCCTTCCCTTGGAGACAAAACATGACAAGGAATTCTGAGGTCAGGGGACAAGAATCACAAAGTGGGAGACTGAGGAGGCAGTGTCCTTCCTGCCCTTGGTCTACTGGCTAAGAACCTTCCTCAGCCTGACCTTTGCACATTGCACTTTCAGCTCTGTTTGCAATTTTCCTCCTTTAGTGCTGAGGGAATCCCAGTGTTCGATCCTGAAATCTGTACGTTCCTAATGGGTGGTTAAAAAAAACCTCAGCGAGAGAAGCAGAAAATGTTTCCTCTTCCTGAAAAACTGTAGAAAGGCAGGCACCATTCTGGGTGAGGACATGGTCCTTGCAAATGTCTTTGTGTTCTTTTTTTTTTTTTTTTTGAGATGAAGTTTTGCTCTTGTTGCCCAGACTGGAGTGCAGTGGTGTGATCTCTGCTCATTGCAACCTCCGCCTCCTGGGTTCAAGCAGTTCTCCTACCTCAGCCTCCCGAGTAGCTGGAATTACAGGCACCTGCCACCACACCTGGCTAATTTTTTGTATTTTTAGTAGAGATGGGGTTTTGCCATGTTGGCCATGTTGGTCTCGAACTCCTGACCTCAAGTGAGCCACCCGCTTCTGCCTCCCAAAGTGCTGGGATTACAGGAGTGAGCCACCGCGTCCAGCCTGCAAACGTCTTTAAAGACAGCGTGTTTCAGAGGCTGTGACAGTGCCCTGTGAACATGCCAATTCTCACAGTCCCGGGAGCTCTGAGGAGCAGGCCCGGCTCCTTGCCAGGCTGATGGTACTGAAACTCTGCTCTCCAAGACATAACCTGATGGCCGTGCAAGATTTCTTAATCGACTGTGGACCGTGAGAGTCTGCATCTCATTTTAATTAAGATGGGAAAAGAAAGAACAAAAGAGCAACTCCCAGGTTATAGAGAAAGTGGATTTTAGTATAATATTCAAGTGTAGCATTGCTAATAATAACAAACCTTTCCCCTCCCAAACGGTAAACACTTGCACTGCCTATTATACAAAAATTCAACCACCCTCTCTGTTACCCCGATATCTCCTCCCCAGTGACCCCCCCTCTCATGCGGCCTCATGAGCCTGACCAGTGGTGAATGGCACTTTCATGGGCATGAGACTCCACGTGAGTGGGACTCAGCTGGGACCCCTCTCCACGTGGGAGCTGGGGAAGCCACCCTAGTAGCAGCTCAAAGTGTCCGTGATGTCCCTGCTGCTGAGGTAGGGGCTGCCTCTGAGCTGGTGTCGGGGTGTGAGCTGCTGCTGGTAGTAGGCTCTGCCCTGAGGGCCTGGTGGCTGGTCAGAAGGGCAGGCACACATGGGTGACTCCCCAGGAACTCAGGCCACCTCCCCACCACAGCCCTGCACTGTGTGCTCCAGGCATGTGCTGAGTGCCTGGTCAATCACCAGTGCCCTATTGATCCCAGTCTCCAGAGAGAGCATTTAGTGTCACTCCACAGAGGGGGAAACTCGGCCCAGAGAAGTAAGGTGACTCTCCCCAGTCACAGAGCTGGTCAGCAGTAGGATGGGAAGCTAGTCCCTTGCTGTCTGACTCCCTGAGCCCACCCATATCCCAAGGCAGCCAACCTCTGCCCGCCCTGGTTCAGGCCCCGACTGGCCCCAGTGGTGGGTGATGTCTATCTTCCTGGCCTTTGTGCTCCCAGCCAACTGGGATGGAGCCTCCAGCTGGCATGACATGTTGTAGCTATGGACAGAAGAGTGGCTGTGAGGCTGCCAGGAATCTCACCAGGGCCCCCTCCCAGGGCCTGTCCAGAGTGAGGTCTGGGTACCCCAGGCATTGCCAGACCACAGGATCTGATGTTGGCCAAGAGGCCATGGCCACAGGCTTTCTGAGGCTGGCCCCCAGGGAGAGTTCAATCCTACTATCCCAATTCCTGTCCTGGCCTTACCTCTCAGTCTCACCGAGCCGCTTCATGGTCCCAAACCAGGACCCAAAGTGCTGCTTGGGCTCAAGGTTGTAATTATTTGCAGTCAACTGGAGCAGTGGACCTCCTTGCTTACTTTGAATTCCTGGGTCCAGAGGGAAAAACTGGGTGGTGACAGGGACTGGACAGGGATGCCACAGGGGCCCTGTGGGGGTGTTAGATGGGGTGGTGGCCAGTCTTTGCTCATAGGGGACCCCCTCCTCCTCTCCAGTCCTGTCCCCACCTGTTCTCAGAGCTGGCTCAAACAGCAGCTCCTCCAGGAATGTGTCCTTGGTTTCAACCTGGTACTCCCACCTGCAGGTCTTCCTGGAGTGTCTCCTCTTTCTCTCTGTCTCCCCATAAATCTAAGACGAGGGGGATGGATCTGCCCACTGCTACTCACCGTATGACTCTTGTGAGGTTGATCAGTCTCCCCTGGAAGGCCAACAGCTGAAGTCCATCAGAAAGGGTCCTCTGGCCCAGAGCCAGCCCCTGCCCACCCCTGTCTTGCTGCACCCAGGGTGCAAGACCCAGATCAGGTCTGGGTGACAGGAGGGGTATAGAGGGGCTGAGGCTCAGGGGCCTTCCAGCCTAACTTGTCTGGAGACAGTTGGGGAAACTGAGACCCCAAGCAGGGAGGTATGGCTCCGAGAGATTATTCTCATTAACCTGGAAAATTTTTGCAAGCTGTTAGGTATAGGAAGTCTGTCACAGGTAAGAGAAATGCTTTTTAAGAGCATGAGAGACAGCAGGATTGTGACAATATTGAAACACCACCGTGCAGATTCACCAATTGCCACCACCGGGAGCCCCCTGAGAGTCATTGCAGATGCACAGCCCTCCCCTGCAACCCCTGGACCTCCCCGTGGTCTGGCACCTAAAGGGTTATGCCTCATGGCGGGAATCAGGGCCCTCAGGGTGCCCTGCCCACTCCAAGGTCTGCCTCTGCTCTGATTGGTCACTGACATTCAGATTGTCACCCAAATATAAGGACGTTAGCAGAAAGACTCATTCAATACAAGTGGACTCAGACATAGATAGGAATTGGGTTGCAAAAAGCCCCTTTTGTTTATTTTATTTTGGAAAAAACTTTTATTGTGAAAATTCACATATATATATATATATATATATGTATGTATGTATGTATATATAGAAAAAAACTCAATCAATGCAAAAGGATAGACAATGAACAAATGAATTCCCCTTCCACTCCAGATCCCCAACTCAGATCCAGACCTCCTGAGCCCACTTCCCCCATCTCATCACAGATCCAGACCTCCTGAGCCCACTTTCCCCATCTCATCACAGATCCAGACCTCCTGAGCCCACTTCCCCATCTCATCACCAGTGATTTCTTGGGCTCTGCATTAGTTTTCTATTGCTGCTGCAACAAACAGCTACAGACTCAGTGGCTTCCATTTCTGTCTTATAGTTCTGGTTGCCAAAAGTCCTAAGAGGATCTCACTGGGCTAAAGTCAAGGTGCTGGCGGGGCTATGTCCCTTCTGGAGGCTCAAGGGATGAATCGGGTCCCTGCCTTTTCTAGCTTCTAGGGGCTCCAGCTTCTAGGTTTGTGGCCTCCTTCCTCCATCCTCAAAGCCAGCAACAGCAGGTGAAGTCCTCGCCCATCATGCATCACTCTCCCTTCTTCCTCCTTCAACTTTTTTTTTTATATTTAGGGGGAACGAGTACCGGATTCTTACATAGTCAAAAAGCTCCTTATAGAGAAGCTCGGAACTTTCAATACAACTTTGCCTTTTCTGCCATTTTAATTTTCCATTTAATTTAAATGTATTCTCTCATTTGACCTTCATACTCTGTGGAGAAATATTCCTATTTCGGCTTGTATTGACAAGCTGTTTTCACACAGCCCCCACATCACCCAACCAACCAGCAAGAAACAGATAAAGAAACTGAGGCCCAGGGAGGCTAAGAGTCCTGCCAGGATCATTCACCTTTCAAGGTAAGGAGCCAGTTCCAGACCTGGGTTTGTGCAGCTCCAAGCTCCCCCGTCTTTCTACAATGCTAGATTTAGACTATAGCAATCTAGCAAGTGTGGCCACACAATGGTCAAGTTGGATTTAGATGATGTTCCCTATAAATCCATTCTCCTCTCCCGTGTAAGCAAGGCAAAGTACTCCAGGCCATGGGGAGTCCCTGAAGACTCGATGAACTGCAGTGGCCACATCAGGAGGTTGCAGGTTGACCAGAACTCACCGACACAGCAGGAGAGCAGCTTGGAACCTGCAACCTAGCCAAAACCTAGTGCCTTGGACTGGGGGAGAAAACAGGCAGCCATTCCTCTCTCTCTGCTGGCTAGAGGGGATTCTGGCTTTTCCTGCCAGAGCCACCCCTTTCCCTCCTCCTAAAGTTGATGGTGGTTCTTTAAGGAAAGGGAGAAGTGCACGGTGTGATAGGGCAGGAAGAGAAGAAAATGGAGGAGAGGAGGGGACTTTCCCATAAGCAGGCAGAAGAAAAGGCAGCTGTGGTGTGTGATGGACATGGATGTAGTGGTGTCCAATGTGGGGTCAGCCCTAGAGGAGAGACAGAGAGAGAGACAGAAAAGTGAGAGTCCTGACCCTTACGATTAACATGGGATCTGCCTGCAAATGCTGTTTAGGGCCATCGCCTCTTCCTGTACTGCTATTTTTGAGAGTGATGCTCCTGAGCCCCATGACCCAGTCAAATTTGATGTCCCCTCGAGCCAGATTCAGTGCTGGGAGTCCAGTGTGATCTGCCTGGATCTTGCTGCATTGAGAACAGGCCAGATCTTGACCCCAATACAGGGGCTGGATATGAACAGGCAACAGCTGGGTTTCTGAGTCAGAAAGACTTGGTTAATTGCTAATTGCTTAGGCGAGTAATTTAATTTTGTTGAGTCAGATTCTTCAGCTACAAAATGCAGATGACAGTACTTATTCCTCCAGGTTGTGGGGAAAATGGAGATTCTAAGCACGATGTCCATTTCACAGAAAGCTACCAAATTGGTGGCTTATTTTCCTTTCTACCTTCAGAAGTGGCTATCCCTGCCACCCAAACAGACCCTTGACTCTCAAGTGGACGGGGTCCCATTTGCACAGGGGGAGACCTTACAGCCTACGTTGAGTCTATACTTACCACTTAGTGAGCATTGTGTCTGCTCAGGGGCCTCTGTGGGCATCCGTCTCCTCTGCAGCATCTTTCCTCCCCACTGCTGGGTCTGCACATGACCCCCTCCTTGGGTTAGGCCTCTGATCAGTGATGACCTTGGTATGGTGGTGATGGTCAGTCTTGGCATCAAATGAGCCAGTTTATATCATCAGCTATTCAATAAAATACTAATCTAGGTGTCACCGTGAAAGTATTTTGTGACATTGTTATGTACGTGTTGTTACAAATGTGCATGATGCATTTACTACAGCATAGAATTTTGCCTGGGTGCCAGCGTGAAGTCTGTCCGACAGATCATAGCCATGTTAATCCCACAGTCACGGGGGCCAATTGATTAAATTATTTTATCTCCCTTGAAAACTAAAAATAAAATCCTAAGCCCCCCACCCGACTTAACAGACCCCCTGTTGGCCAACGGAACCTCAAATAAATCTTAAAATTCAGTTCTTGGCCATGACAGGACAGGAGGTCAGACATACCTCCCTGTACCTCCCTCCCTCTTATGGTTTAGACCCAACAACTGAACAGCATTAATGTTAAAATAGAGATCATGAGACTGACAGAACAGACTCTTTGTGGCAATAAGACCTCAAATTATAAACAGGACCTAGGGCCATGCCAGGCGAGCGTTAAGTCTTGTACCCTACTCTTAAAGAATTAACTAGATTCTAACTACCACATGGGTTTTATTTTTCTCTAGCAACCAAGCAAGCACTGGCTGTGAGAGAAGCAAGATTAAAACAATTACAACTCACCCAGTTCACAGACGCTGAGTAACTGATCTCCTGCCCCACTAACCTTAATGACAGCTTTCTCTGGACAAGGGACTGATTTCAGTAACTTTCTCCTGATAAGAGACCATCCTCCATGGACTCGTTCTGGCCAGTTTTGGAGGCAGTGCCTTTACAGAGGCTGAGTACCTTCATGTCCCTGCTTCACTTTTTGATGTGTAGGGCCTAATTATAATACATTTAAATGTCAAGTCTCCACCCCAGAATGAACATGCATGTTTATTGAATGTGCATGCATTAGGACCTCTTTTATGAGTATTCTCATAAAATGATATAGCTCCTCTGATATCCTATTGAGTATGTATATGTAGCCAACTCATTTGGCTCAAATTCCTGTCCTCTCCTTCCCTCCCTGGAAATGCCTGCCTCTGGCCTTGGCTGTAGGCCACACTTCCCAGCCTGTCATAATGGCCACCTTGCAGACTGCAAACCTATATAAGAAATAAAGCTCTCCTTTCTAAATTTATAAAATTGTGTGATTTTTCAGTTGATGCTCTCTTTCTACACACACACACACACGCAATTTATACAGAAGGAAATCTGGAGAATATATGTGGGAATGGATATTAAGTGTGTGGCACCATGGTGGAAGTAACATAAAGTTGGATTAGGCTAAATTTATTAATGTTGGCCCACTAAACAGAGATTCTGGACTCAGGGTTGTAGGTCAAAGCTTTAGAAAGGGCTCCAAGGGTTGGTTTGATCGGTTACTTGGTTGGTTGCTTGCTTGGTTGGTTGGTGCTTGCTTCCTTGCTTGGTTGTTTGGTTGGTTTGTTGCTTGCTTGCTTGTTGGTTGATTGGTTGGCTGTTTGCTTATTTGTTTGGTGACTTGGTTGGTTGGCTGAAACAGAATCAGAGTTTACCTAAGGTACATAAAGTTGAGATGCCACAACTTCCTTGGTTTATGTGTACAGAAAGGTATGCAAAAACTCAGGGAGACTGGATTTATTATGTCAGACCTGCTCACTCACACTGGAGGGTCTACGGAACATACTCCTCACAACGATCATGAGAAAGAATATTGTGAGAGGAGCCCAGTATCCTGGAAGAGCTTTGAGCTTGTGCTCTCAGTAGGCAAAATGTTACAGCAGGAACTGCAGCCACTGGACTGGGATCTTTAAGTAAAATGAGGATAATTGAATCCTGGGGTGGCAGGGAACATGGGCTGTCCTTAATCACCAAAGATGAGGTGGGTGTGGTCACCACAGTGGAAAGCAGTGTCAAAGCAGCAGTCAGAATGGCTTGACTCACAGACACCCACGGCATTGTGTAGTCCACGGTATCCACAGGGAGAGCTAATGGGCTGTACCAAAGTCTTAGTTGTTCTTTAAAAAATGAAGAATTCTAGGTCAACTGAATAAAAGACTAACTCAAATTAATGAAACACAGATCTAAAACCCTCAATCAATTCCCAGACTTGAGCCAGTTCACAGGCCCACAACCCCTTAAGTGAAGGGGAGGCTGGGTGATCTTGGGGAAGTACGCTGCTACATTGCCAAAAATTTACATTGTTAATCTTTTTCCCAGTCTTCCCCAAAGGGACCTACAGCCTTCTGCCAGGATGACTGTGACTTAAAGAAAAGAAAATTCTCAGATATTTGGGGAATTACTGGACACTGGCTCTCATTTGACACTATTATCACTATGTTGCCTAGGATGGATTCATGCTCCTGGGTTCAAGCAGTCCTCCTACCTCAGCCTCCCAAAGTGCTGGGATTACAGACATGAGCCACTGTGGCCAGCAGAGCTTTGAAACTAGAACATGGAGGTCCAGTGGTAAAGATTTGACAAGTCTGGGAAGAGATTGGGCCAAGGCAATGTTGATGATTCTTTTTTTTTTTTTTTTTTTTTTTTTTTTTTTTTACAACAGAGTCTTGTTCTGTTGTCTAGGCTGGAGTGCAATGGTGCGATCTCGGCTCACTGCAACCTCTGCCTCCGGGGTCCAAGCAATTCTCCTGCCTCAGCCTCCTGAGTAGCTGGGATTACAGGTGCCCACCACCACACCAGGCTAATTTTTTATTTTTTTGTTTTTTTTGAGACAGAGTCTCACTCTATATCGCCCAGGCTGGAGTGCAGTGGTGCAATC
Organism: Homo sapiens; assembly: GCF_000001405.40. Taxonomy (NCBI): domain Eukaryota; kingdom Metazoa; phylum Chordata; class Mammalia; order Primates; family Hominidae; genus Homo; species Homo sapiens. The sequence goes on along the minus strand of NC_000001.11, from coordinate 144,120,032 downwards.
TGGGCTCACTGCAAACCCCACCTCTCAGGTTCATGCCATTCTTCCGCCTCAGCCTCACGAGTAGCTGGGACTACAGGTGCCTGCCACCGTGCCTGGCTAATTTTTTGTATTTTCAGTAGAGACGGGGTTTCATTTCACCATGTTAGCCAGGATGGTCTTGATCTCCTGACCTCATGATCTGCCCACCTCGGCCTCCCAAAGTGCTGGGATTACAGGGATGAGCCACCATGCCCAGCCACACCAAGCTAATTTTTGTATTTCTTTTTTTAGTTGAGACAGGGTTTCACCATGTTGGCCAGGCTGGTCCCTGACCTTGTGATCCACCCGCCTCGGCTTCCCAAAGTGCTGAGATGACAGGCGTGAGCCACCGCGCCTGGCCAATGTTGATGATTCTAAACAGCAGCCGCTAATGTGAAAACCATCCAACTGGAAGCCCTGGCCTTGCCCAGAGGACACAGTCTGGGTGGTGAGCAGAGACTTCAGCTGCCTTCCAAGGCAAGCAGCTCCTTGCTGCCCGCTTGCTGGGGATTTTACTTACAGGGCAGAAGCTGGCAGGTGATTTGGGGGCAGGAATTGCTTCCTGGATGGTATAGGATGAACCACACTCCCCAGGAAGGCACTCATCCTGGTGGCCTAACAGAAGCAGCCCTCACCCCAAAAGGCAATGCTGCTCCACTAGTTTTATGGGGTGACTCCTTCCTGTAGGTTCCTTCCAGCTTTACCAGAAACACAGAACATCTTTCCTGACAGGGCATTGGTTTTGTTTTTGAACAGAGAGATCCTTCTTTTAAAAAGTTAGGGTTTTGGCCGGGCGCGGTGGCTCACGCCTGTAATCCCAGCACTTTGGGAGGCCGAGGCGGGCGGATCACGAGGTCAGGAGATCGAGACCATCCTGGCTAACACGGTGAAACCCCGTCTCTACTAAAAATACAAAAAATTAGCCGGGCGTGGTGGCGGGCGCCTGTAGTCCCAGCTACTCGGGAGGCTGAGGCAGGAGAATGGCGTGAACCCGGGAGGCGGAGCTTGCAGTGAGCCGAGATCGCGCCACTGCACTCCAGCCTGGGCGACAGAGTGAGACTCCGTCTCAAAAAAAAAAAAAAAAAAAAAAAAAAAGTTAGGGTTTTTTTTTTTTTTTTTTTTTTTTTTTTTTTTTTGTAATGGAATCAACCTAGGTCCTAAGCCTAGCAGGTTGTTATTATTATTTTTATGATTATTTTTTGAGATGGAGTCCCACTCTGTGGCCCAGGCTGGAGGGCAGTGGCACGATCTCAGCTCACTGCAATGTCTGCCTCCTGGGTTCAAGAGATTCTCCTGCCTCAACCTACAGAGGAGCCGGGATTACAGGCATGCACCACCATGCCCGGCTAATTTTTGTACTTTTAGTAGAGATAGGGTTTTGCCATGTTGGCCAGGCTGATCTCAAACTCCTGACCTCAGGTGATCCACCCACCTCAGCCTCCCAAACTGCTGAGAATACAGGTGTGAGCTGCCATACCCAGCCACAGGTTATTTTTGCTGATCTTCTCCCTCCTCCCACCCTCCACCCTCAAAGAAAATGCGGTACATCTACACCATGGACTACTACGCAACCCTGAAAAGGAACAAAATCATGGTTTTTTTTTTTTGTTTTTTTTTTTTTTTGCAGCAACATGGATGTAGCTGGAGGCCATTATTTTTTTTAATTATTTTTATTATTATTTTTTCTATTCTACTTTAAGTTCTGGGGTATATGTGCAGAATGTGCAGGATTGTTACATAGATATACATGTGCCATAGCGGTTTGCTGCACCCATCAACCCATCATCTACATTAGATATTTCTCATAATGCTGTCCCTCCCCCAGTCCCCCACCCCTGCAATAGGCCCCAGTGTGTGATGTTCCCCTCTCTGGGTCGATGTGTTCTCATTGTTCACTTCCCACTTATGAGTGAGAACATGCACTGTTTGGTTTTCTGCTCCTGTGTCACTTTGCTGAACATGAGGGTTTCCAGCTTCATCCATGTCCCTGCAAAGGACATGAACTCATCTTTTTCATGGCTGCATAGTATTCCACAGTGTCTATGTGCTACATTTTCTTTATCCAGTCTATCACTGATGAGCATTTGGGTTGGTTCCACATCTTTGCTATTGTGAACAGTGTGGAGGCCATTATCTTAAGTAAATTAACAGAATGCTGCGTGTTCTCACTTATAAGTGGGAGCTAAATGTTGCGTATATGTAGACACAGAGAAGGGAACAGATATTGGGGTCTAGTTAGGGGGAGAGAGGAAGGTAGAAGGACAAGAGTTGAAAAAACCAACTGTGGGGTATTATGCTCACTACCTGGGTGATGGGATCACTCATACCCCAGACCTCAGCATCACACATTGTACCCATGTAAGAAACCTGTACATGTACCTCCCGAATCCAAACTGCTCCACCATTTGCACCAGCAATTCCAAGACTGGGCATCTACCCAAAGGAAAAGAAGTCATTCTACCAAAAAGACACACGCATGGTAAAGTTCCTTTTTTGTTTGTTTTTTGAGATGGAGTCTCGCTCTATTTCCCATGCTGGAGTGCAGTAGCAATCTCGGCTCACTGCAACCTCTGTCTCCAGGGTTCAAGTGATTCTCCTGCCTCAGCCTCCTGAGCAGCTGGGATTACAGGCATGCACCACCATGCCTGGCTAATTTTTGTATTTTTAGTAGAGACAGGGTTTCACCATATTGACCAGGCTGGTCTCGAACTCCTGACCTCAGGTGATCTGCCCACCTTGGCCCTCCAGAGTGCTGGGATTACAGTGCCTGGCCCTGTAAGGTTCATCACAGCACGACTTACAATAGGAAAGTCATGGAATCAACCTAGTTGCCCATCAGTGGGGTACCGGATAAAGCAAAAGTGGTTCTTCTACAGCATCGAATACTACACAGCCATGAAAAAGAATAAAATCATGTCCTTTGCAGCCACATGGATGTAGCTGGAGGGCATTATGCTTAATGAATTAACACAAGAACAGAAAATCAAATACCACATGTTCTTGACTGGATAAAGCAATTGTGGCCCTTCTACACCATGGAATACTGCACTGCCATGAAAAAGAATAAAATCATGTTTTTGCAGCCACATGGACACAGCTGAAGGGAATTATGCTTAGTGAATTAACGCCAGGAAAAGAAAATGGAATACCACATGTTCTCCACTAGATAAAGCAAATGTGGTCTTTCTACGTCATGGAATACTACACAGCCATGAAAAAGAATAATGTCATGTCCTTTGCAGCCACATGGACACAGCTGAAGGACATTATGCTTAGTGAATTAATGCCAGGAACAGAAAATGAAATACTACATGTTCTCAACTGGATAAAGCAAATGTGGCCCTTCTACACCACGGAATACTACACAGTGATGAAAAAAATAAAATCATGTCTTTGCAGCCACATGGATGCAGCCAGAGGGCATTATGCTTAGTGAATCAATATGAGGAACAGAAAATCAAATACCACATGTTCTGCACTAGATAAAGCAAATGTGGTCCTTCTGCATCATGGAATACTACACAGCCATGAACAAGAATAAAATCATGCCCTTTGCAGCAACGTGGATGAAGCTGAAGGGAATTATGCTTAGTGAATTAATGCCAGAAACAGAAAATCAAATACCACATGTGCTCAATTAGATAAAGTAAATGTGATCCTTCCGCATCATGGAATACTACACAGCCATGAACAAGAATAAAATCATGCCCTTTGCAGTCACATGGATGAAGCTGAAGGGCACTATGCTTAGTGAATTAACGCCAGGAACAGAAAATAAAATACCACATGTTTTTGCTTATAGGTGGGAGCTAAACATTGCCTGCACCTGGACACAATGAAGGAGCACCACAGACCCTCAGGACTAATAGAGTAGGAAGCAGGGGCGGGGGTACAAGAGTTGAAAAACTACCCTGAGATTCTTTGAATTTCAGGCAGAAGGCAGCAACTGGAGAGATCTTTGGGTCACGGATTTTTCTGTTGCATTTTCTTGCTTGTTTGTTTTCTCTCTCTCTCTCTCTCTTTTTTTTTTTTTTTGAGATGGAGTCTCACTCTGTGACCCAGGCTGGAGTGCAGTGGTGCAATCTTGGCTCCCTGCAACTTCTGCCTCCTGGATTCAAGCAATTCTTCTACTTCAGCCTCCCAAGTAGCTGGGACTACAGGCACCTGCCACCACACCTGGCTAATTTTTGTATTTTTAGCAGAGACGGGGTTTCACCATGTTGGCCAGGCTGGTCTCGAACTCCTGACCTCAGGTAATCTGCCTGCCTTGGCCTCCCAAAGTGCTGGGATTACAGGCATGAGCCACTGCGCCTGGCCCTCTTCTTATATATTTCTAGAACTCCTCTCGAATTTGGGGTTTGTTTTTCTTAATTACAAGGAATCAAGTTGAATCATTAGTGCATATATAAATATACATTTTATTTTTAGTACACATTATATACCTCAGGAATGTACAATGCTCAGTGCCTGGGTGACGGGATTATTCATACCCCAAACCTCAGCATTGTACAATATCCCCAGGACACAAAGCTGCCCATGGATCCCCTGAATCTATAATTATAATAATAATAATAATAATAATAATAATAATAATAATAATAAAAAGTGACTTTGTCATTCGCAGGGAAATGTGAATGACATTCACTCTGCCTCTCAGGCCCTTGGATTCCCAAAGTTTGTTTTCATCACGCCCAGGGGACACTCAGAATCTCGTTTGCAGAACACGGGTTGTTTTTCTTAGAAACGCCTTGCAAAACAAAATAGGAAGCAAAATCTTTCTCACTCCTTCCACTCCATAATAGACAAAATAAAATGAGGGGGCAGGAATCCAGAGACTTTGACCACAGTTGGCAGATTTATTGTGGTACAGACATGAAGGCAAGCAGTGTTCTCTCTGATTCTACGAACCGTACAGCCCGGGCCAGCTGCCTTCTGCTTTCTGGATGGTGCAGGCGTGAGCTCCAAGCCCAAATTTCACTGGAGCTCCAAGAATCGAGCCTGGCCCAGGCACTCACTGCACGGGGGCCAAGCGTGAAGCCAGTGATCACTCCAGCAAGGTAACAGGACAGCTTGGTGATCCTTCTTGCCGGCCACAAAAGGTTATAGCCAGAATTCCACCGAATGTGGTCTTTCTGTGTCCCTCCCCAGACAGTGAAGCTGCACAAACCTGGGGGTGGGGGGTGGGGGGTGCTGACCTCAGTGGGGTGTCCTGAAGAGGCAGGAACCAGGGTTTACAGGGTGCAGATCCTACTGAAGCAAATGGACGTGGCATCCGCGGGCAGAGCTGGCTGTGGTGTCCCCCCTCTGCCTACGGTGTCACCAAATGTACCCAGAGACCGCTTGTAAACCTGGAGGGTGTGCTAACATCAGTGGGGTGTCCTGGAGAGGCAGGAACCTGGGTATCCACGGTGCAGATCCGACTGAAGCAAATGGACGTGGCATCCGCGGGCAGAGCTGGCTGTGGCATCCCCCCTTCTGCCTGGGGTGTCACCACATTTCACTGAGAGACCCCTTCTAAACCTGGGGAGAGTGCTGACCTCAGTGGGGTGTCCTGGAGAAGCAGGAACCAGGGTTTACAGGATGCAGATCCTACTGAAGCAAATGGACGTGGCATCCGCGGGCAGAGCTGGCTGTGGCTGGCCTTCCAGCCTGGATGTCTCCCCCCCACCTGGGGTGTCACCAGATGCACCCAGAGACCCCTTCTAAACCTGGGGGGATGTGCTGACCTCAGTGGGGTTTCCTGGAGAGGCAGGAAGCTGGGTTTCCAGGGTACATATCCTACTGAAGCAAATGGACGTGGCATCCTTGGGCAGAGCTGGCTGTGTCTGGCCTTCCAGCCTGGACGTCTCCCCCACTGCCTGGGGTGTCACCAAATGCACCCAGAGACCTCTCTTCTGAAAGCCCATTCATGGGAAGCCTCCAGGTCTCCTCAGCAGGCAGCATCACGTCTGATTTAACTGCGTTATCAGGTAATGCAGGCCTGTTCTACCTGTGTGCGTGAGCGCATGTGTGCCGTGTGGGAGTGTGTGTGTTGATGTGGGTGTGGGTGTGTGCTTGTGTGGCTGTGTGTGTGTGTGCCTGTTTATGTGATGATGAGTGTGTCTGTGAGTCTGTAAGACAATGTGTGTTTCCATGCGTGTTTCTGTGTGAGCGTGCATTCCTGTGTTTTATGGAAGTGTGTTTTTGTGATGGTGTTTTTGTGTGCCCCTGCGTTTATCGTATTTGTCTGTTTGTGAATATGAGTGTATGTGTGTGAATCTGTATGGCAATGTATAAATTCTTTTTTTTTTTTTTGAGATGGAGTCTCGCTCTGTCACCCATACTGGAGTGCAAAGGTACAATCTCAGCTCACAGCAACCTCCGCCTCCCGGGTTCAAGCAATTCTTCTGCCTCAGCCTCCTGAGTACCTGGGATTACAGGCACCCACCGCCACATCTGGCTAATTTTTCTTTTTTGATACGGAGTCTCGTTCTGTCGCCCAGGCTGGAGTGCAGTGGCATGATCTTGGCTCACTGCAACCTCTGCCTCCCGGGTTCAAATGATTCTCCTGCCTCAGCCTCCTGAGTAGCTGGGATTACAGGCATAAGCCACTACATCTGGCTAATTTTTGTATTTTTGAGTAGAGACGGGGTTTCACCATGTTGGCCAGGCTGGTCTGGAACTCCCGACCTCAAGTTATCTGCCCGCCTCGGCCTCCCAAAGTTCTGGGAGTACAGGCGTGAGCCACCTTGCCCGGCCCCAGTGTGTGAATTTTTATGTTTGTGTGTCCACATGATTATGTGAGTCTTTTTGTGACTGTGTTTCCATGAGTGTGTGACTGTATTTATGTGTTTGTGTGTGCTTGTGTGATTCTGAGTGTGTGTATGAGTGTGTATGACATATATGAGTGTCTATGTGGGTGAGTAGCCATCCACGTGTTTATATGAGAGTGTTTGCATGTTTCTGTTTATGAGTGACTTTGTATGTATACGTGTTTGTGTGCTTTGTGAGAATGTCAATGTGCATGTGCACCCACGTGTGCAAAAAACCCACACATTTTTGTAATTGTGTTTGTGTGTCCCTGCATTTGTGTGAGTGTGCATGTCTTCGTGTGTCCATGTGTTTCTATGAGTGTGTTTTGTGATTCTTTGTGTTGATGTGTGTTTGTGTAAGTGTGTGGTTGCATTTGTGTCAGTGATTCTGGAGCAGGTGAGCTGATCACAAGTCTGAGCCGAGAATCCATGGAGCTCATTTACAACAGAAGCCGGGACCCTGTGCAAATCCTTCTGAAATATCCCCGGTTTACAGAGCTCCTAGGGGTGGGGAAGAAAAATTCCCTGACTTTTCGGCCTCAGGGAAAGAGAGAGATACCCCGCTGGCCATACGCCTCTGCTGTTTCTCAGAAAACAGGTGGGGTATCACTCTTTCCCAAATGACGGTGATTTTAAGAACGGTTCACCTTTTGAAGAGACGTTTCTGCCCTGGCGATCCATACATATTGAACCCAAATGAATATTTTTTAATTAAAAATTTTTATATAAATATACATTGTGCATACTTTATATTAATATATTGATATAAATAAATATATTTTATTAATATAAACATGATTTTTATAGTTCATATAAATAAAGTTATATATAGTGTATATGTAAAATATACTTTTATTTGTGATACATAATTTTATAGATTAAATTTTATATACTAAGCAAAGTTATATGTGATATATACATGCCATATAACATCATTTATATAATATATCTTTATGTAAATAAGTATATAATAAAATTGATCTTATTATATTTGTTAATACGTAATTATGTATATATACTATGTAAAAATAAAATTATATATTGTATGTGCATAATTATATTTCTATAAATACACGCTTATGTGTGTATTTATACATGAATGCCTGTGTTTGTGTGAGTACATCAGTGAGTGCATGAATGTGTGTGTGTGCATGTGTGCCTGTGTTTGTGTGAGTGTAAGAGTGTTGTACATTTATACACACACATTTTGTTTTCTGGTTAATAACAAGATCTATCTTTGATTTAGGATATGAAGAATTCTTATAAGCAACCCCCCCACACAAAATTTGTATTTATTTTAAAATATTCTTAAAATATGGGTTATTTTATTTTTGCACAAACAGACAAGAGTGTTTTTTCTTTCCAAAACTTTTATTTCAAATTCTGACCCTGAGGAGCAGAAAAAGAAGAAAACATTGTGTAACCTTATATACATTAGAAACATAAGTAGTTACTAAATGCAATACAAATTTTGACAACATGCATTTAGGAAAAATGAGGAATTCATACTCGTAGCTGCCTCAATATTGAACTTTCTAAAGTTTAATTTTTTTTATTAAAAAATATTCATTTGGGTTCAATATGTATGGATCTCCAGGGCAGAAATGTCTCTCCAAAAAGTGAACCACTCTGAAAATCACCGTCATTTGGGAAAGGGTGATGCCCCAGCTGTCTTCTGAAAAATAGCAGAGGCTTCCGGCCAGTGGGGTGTCTCTCTCTTTCCCTGAGGCCGAAATGTCAGGGAATTTTTCTTCCCCACCCCTAGGAGCCCAGTAAATGGAGAATATTTCAGAAGGATTTGCACAGGGTCCTGGCTTCTGCTATTTATGAGCTCCATGGATTCTTGGCTCAGGCTTGTGATCAGCTCACCTGCTCCAGAATCACTTCCCATCTTAGCTTCTGGGCTAAGACACCTCAAAACCAGCAAAGGAAAGTCCTCACTGGTCAACGCGTCCATCCCAACTCCCCCATCTCCCTTTAGGGTGGGTTTGGGGTTCGGGACTGCTTTACTGTTCCTTTCAAAGCAGACTGGGAGGTAAGATTTTATTCTGCTTCCAGAGGTTCAGGATTTCTGCAGACGGTCAGCAACTCTTTGCATCCTACTGGTAAAAGTTTTATATACTTTGTATTTATATAAATATGCATTGTGTATATTTTATATGAATAGATTGATACAAATTATTTTATTAACTTAACCATATGACTTTTATATTTTTATATAAATAAAGTTATATGTAGTGTATATGTAAAATACTTCTATTTCTAATACATAATTTTATAGATTAAATTTAATATATTAAGCAAAAATATATGTAACATATATAACATATAACATCATTTATATAATATATAACTTAATGTAAATAAGTATATAAAATTGATATTATTATATTTGTTAATACATAATTATGCATATATACTGTGTAAAAATAAAATTACATATTGCATATGCATCATTATATTTCTATAAATACAATTATATACTATATATAATTATGTATAATTGTATAATAAAATTATATAATAAATTTTGAAACGTTATAAATTATTATACATAGTATTTTATTGTATTAAATTTAGAAATGTGTTATATGTAATAAAATTTTATTATAATAAATGTAGATTATATAAAATTTTATTTATAATAAATTACCTTATGTATAATTATAATATGAGAAAATAATTATATATCATTGTATTATAATAAATTTAGAAATGTTATACATTATTATATATAAAATTTCATTATATTAAATTTAGAAATATATGTAATAAAATGGTATTATATTAAAATTTTTATGTAACATTTTATTATACATGTATAATTTTATATAATATTTTATAATATATAGAATATAAGTACAAAAATATTTATATACAGCTACACGTAATATAAATACATCAGTGTAAGCTGTTTTGTGTGTGTGAGATGAAGTCTCGCTCTGTTGCCCAGGCTGGAGTGCAGCAACACGATCTCGGCTCACTGCAACCTCTGCCTCCTGGGTTCAAGCGATTCTCCTGCCTCAGCCTCCCGAGTAGCTGGGATTACAGGCATGCACCACCACACCCAATCAATTTTTGTATTTTTAGTAGAGATGGGGTTTCACTGTGTTAGCCAGGATGGTCTCAAATTCCTGACCTCAGGTGATCCACCCGCCTCGGCCTCCCAAAATGCTGGGATTACAGGCATGAGCCACAGTGTAAAATACTAGCTATTAAAAAATAAATATATATATATACTGCAACAGCTGATTTGTCTGGAAGAGTTTGGTCAGAAGACAGTGTATTAAGAAGACTGTGAGTCTCCAGAGGAATATAAGAATATACATCATGTTGATATATTATATATAACATAAATAGCTAACTACATCTGTGTATATAGTATAAACAAAAGTACAAAAATATTTGTATATAACTATATGTAATATAAATATATCAGTGTAAGATATTAGCTATTAAAAAATATATATATATATAGAGAGAGAGAGAGAGAGCAACCGGTGATTTGTCTGGAATATTCTAGTCAGAAGACAGTGTATTAAGAAGACAGTGAGTCCCCAGGAGAATACAAGAATGTGCATCATGTTAATATATTATATATAATATAAATACCTCACGACATCTGTATGTATAGTATAAACATAAAGTACAAAAATATTAGTATATTACTATATGTAATATAAATATATCAGTGTAAGATATTAGCTATTAAAATATACATATGTGTGTATGTATGTGTATATGTGTATATAAATATTATATATATATATAGTAACTGCTGATTTGTGTGGAAGACTTTGGTCAGAAGACAGTGTATTAAGAAGACAGTGGGTCCTCACAGGAAAATAAGAATATACATCATGTTTATATTATATATAACATAAACAACTAATTACATCTGTATATAGAGCACAAACATAAAGTACAAAAATATTTGTATATAATCATATGTAATATAAATATACCAGTGTAAGATATTAGCTATTAAAGTATACATGTGTGTATGTATGTGTATATGTGTACATATAATATATATACATATATAACATATATAATATATAAGATATAGCATAATATATTATATATAATATGTAATGTGTAACATATATTATATAATTAATATATAATATATAATATATTCTATAATTAATATATAATATATAATATATTCTATGCAATAAAATATATAGCATATATATATATATAGCAACAGCTGATTTGTCTGGAAGAATTTGGTCAGAAGACAGTGTATTAAGAAGACAGTGAGTCCCCAGAGAAATATAAGAATATACATCATGTTTATATTATATATAACATAAATAACTAACTACATCTGTATATATAGCATAAACATAAAGCACAAAATTATTTATATATAATATAAATATATCAGTGTAAGATATTAGCTATTAAAAAATATATATATATAGCAACCAGTGATTTGTCTGGAAGACTGGTCAGAAGACAGTGTATTAGGAAGACAGGCAGTCTCCGCAGGAAGCATGGTGCAGGTGGGATCTGGAGGTGACTCTGGGCTGCCAGAAGACGCCCCACTGCTTTGCGGCAGACACAGGTGGAGAGGTCCTCTCTGTAGCTTCAGCGTGGACACTGTGTGTGTCTTGCTGTGGGAACACTTCTTTCTGCTTCCCTCTCCACTGTGACCCCATCACACTCACTGACCTGCCCTCCTCCTTCCTCTCGCTCTCCGGGGCCCCTGTGGAAAGAGGGTCTTCCCTCCGTGCAGCAGGAACCCCCAGGACCATCCCCATGCTCCTGGGTTCTGAACTTCAGGGACATATGATCCTACCTGACCGGGCACAGGCTCTGTTCACCCTCAGGAACCCCTGTCCTCCCAGGCCACCGTGGACTGGAGAACTGGCCTCCTGAAAATCCAGAGAGAACTTAGCACTCACAACTTCTTTCTTTTTTTCTTTTTTCTTTGAGACGGGATCTTGCTCTTTTCCCCAGGCTGGAGTGCAATGGCATGATCTCAGCTCACTGCAACCTCCTCCTCCCAGGTTCAAGCAGTTCATCCTGCCTCTGTCTCCCGAGTATCTGGGATCACAGTCATCCACCCCCGCGGCCAACTAATTTCTGTATTTTTAGTAGAGACGGGGTTTCACCATGTTGGCCAGGCTGGTCTCGAACTCTTGACCTCAAGTGATCCACCTGCCTCGGCCTCCCAAAGTACTGGGATGACATATATTAGCATGATGTATATTCTTCTATTCCTCCGGGGACTCACTGTCTTCTTGGGCAGTAAACCACTGTGCCCGGACTTCTCTGTCCACATCTGCACACCTCTAAAACTCTGTAGATTCTGAATTGTTTTTCCTTTTGCACAGAATGAGAGGAACTGAAGTCGGGAGGCCCAGCCCCAACACGGTCCCTGTGGCTCTGTGCTCAGGCGGTTTACGGCTGAGAAGGACTTGGGGGGTTGAGGGCTTCCTATCAGCCCAGGAGACATTACCCGGGTCTGGGAAGCCTGCTCTGCATTTGTGGGTCTCGAATTGTCTGTTGCATTTACCTGCCTCATTATTTTTTCTTCCTGTCTCTCTTCTTACATATTTCTTTCGAATTTGGAGCTTGTTTTTCTTAACTACAATCAACTTGAATCATTACTGCATATATAAATATAAATTTTATATTGAGTAGACATTATATACTCAATCTACTACACATTCCAACACGGGCCATATCTAAGACGAATATTTATATTTAATGTTTAAAATATGTTTACATTTCATACAGAAAAATATATTTATATTTAATATATATGTGTATATTTAATACAGGAAATATATATTTATATTTAACATATAAAAATATATGTTTATATTTAATATGGGAAATATATGTTTATGTTTAATATACATAATACATGTTGATGTTTAATATAGAAAATGTATAGTTATATTTACTATGCAAAATACATGTTTATATTTAATATAGAAAATATGTTTATATTTAATGTACAGGATACATATTTATATTTAATATAGAAAATACATATTTATATTTAACATATACAGTATTTATATTTAATGTATAAAATATGTTTACATTTAATGTGCTGAATATATGCTTATATTTAATGTCTAAAATGTCTATATTTAATGTATTGTATACATTAAATGTACCAAATGTATTCTTATATTTAATGTATAAAAGATGTTTATATTTAACATATAAGATATGTTTACATTTAATGTATAAAATGTTTATGTTTGATGTATAAAAGATGTTTATATTTAACGTATACAATTTATATTTAATGTACCAAATATATTATTATATTTAATGTCCAAGCCAGCCAAGCCAGTCAGCCAAGCCGGCTAAGCCACCCACCCAGCCAAGCCAGCCAAGTGAGCCAGCTAGCCAGCCAGCCAAGCCAGCCAAACCAGCCAAGCCAGTCAGCCAGCCAAGCCAGCCAAGCCAGACAGCCAGGAAAGCCAGCCAAGCCAGCCAAGCCACCCAAGCCAGCCAAGCCTCCAGCCAGCCAAGCCAGCCAAGCCAGCCAGCCAGGCAAGCCAGCCAAGCCTGCCAGCCAGCCAAGCCAGCCAAGCAAGGCAGCCAGCCAAGCCAGCCAGCCAGCCCAGCCGCCCCAGCCAGCCAAGCCAACCCAAACAGCCAAGCCAGCCAAGCCAGCCAAGCCAGCCAGCCAAGAAAGGAAAGCCGGCCGGCCAAGCCAGCCAAGCCAATCAGCCAGCCAAGCCAGCCAAGCCAGCCAGCCAGCCAAGCCAGCCAAGGCAGCCAAGCCAGCCAAGCCAGCCAGGCAGCCAAGCAAGCCAATCCAGCCAGCTAGACAAGGCAGCCAAGCCAGCAGGCCAAGCGAGCCAAGCCAAGCCAGCCAAGCCAGCCAGCTAGCCAGCCAAGCCAGCCAAGCCAGCCAAGCCAGCCCAGCCAGCCAGCCAGCCAGCCGAGCCGGCCAAGCCAGACAGCGAGCCCAGCCAGCCCAGCCAGTCAGCCAGCCAAACCAGCCACCCAGCCAAGCCAGCCAGCCACCCAGCCAAGCCAGCCAAGAGACCCAAGCCAGCCAGCAAAGCTGGCCAAACCAGCCAAGCCAGTCAGCCAAGCCAGCCAAGCCAGCCACCCAGCCAAGCCAGCCAAGCCAGCCAACCAGCCAGACAGCCAACCCAGGAAACCAAGAGACCCAAGCCAGCCAGCGAAGCTGGCCAACCCAGCCAAGCCAGTCAGCCAAGCCAGCCAAGCCGGCCACCCAGCCAAGCCAGCCAAGCCAGCCAACCAGCCAGACAGCCCAGCCAGACAGCCAGCCCAGGCAGCAAAACCAGGCAAGCCAGCCAGCCAAGCCAGCCAAGCCAGCCAGCCAGCCAAGACAGCCAAGCCAGCCAAGCCAGGCAAGCCAGCGAGCCAGCCAAGCCAGCCAACCCAGCCAGCCAAGCCAGCTAAGACAGCCAGCCAGCCAAGCCGGCCAAGCCAGCCAGCCAAGCAAGCCATGCAAGCCAGCCAGCCAGCCAAGCCAGTCAAGCCAGCCAGCCAGCCAAACCAGCCAAGCCACCCAAGCCAGTCAGCCAAGCCAGCCAAGCCAGCCAAGCCAGTCAGCCAGAAAAGCCAGCCAAGCCTGCCAGCCAGTCAAGCCAGCCAAGCCAGCCAGCCAGCCAAGCCAGCGAAGACACCCAGCCAGCCAAGCAAGCCAAGCCACCCAGCCAGACAAGCCTGCCAAGAGACCCAGCAACCCAAGCCAGCCAAGACACCCAGCCAGCCAAGCTAGCCAAGACACCCAGCCAGCGAAGCCAGCCAGCCAGCCAGCCAGCCAAGCCTGCCAAGCCACCCAGCCAGCCAAGCCAGCCAAACCACCCAGCCAGCCAAGCCGGTCAAGCCACCCAGCCAGCCAAGCTGGCCAAGACACTCAGCCAGCCAAGCCAGCCAGCCAGCCAAGCCGGCCAAGCCACTCAGCCAGCCAAGATGGCCAAGCCACCCAGTCAAGCCAGCGAAGCCAGTCAGCCAGCCAAGCCAGCCAAAACAGCCAGCCAGCCACGCCAGCCACCCAAGCCACCCAGACAGCCAAGCAAGCCAAGCCAGCCGGCCAGCCAAGCCAGCCAGCCAAGCCAGCCAAGCCAGCCAAGACAGCCAACCAGTCAAGCCAGTCAGCTAGCCAAGCCAGCCAAGCCACCCGGCCGGCCAAGCCAGCCAGCCAACCAGCCAAGCCAGCCAACCAGCCAAGACAGTCAGCTAGCCAAGCCAGCCAACCAGCCAGCCAGTCAAGCCGGCCAGCCTGCCAGCCAACCAAGCCGGCCAGACAGCCAAGGCAGCCAAGCCGGCCAGGCAGCCAAGCCAGCCAAGCCACTGACCAAGCCAAGCCAGCCAAGCCACCCAGCCAGCCAAGCCAGCCAAGCCAGCCAAACCAGCCTGCCAGCAAAGCCAGCCAAGCCATCCAGCCTGCCAAGCCAGCTGGCCAGCCAAGCTAGCCAATCCACTCAGCCACTCAAGCCAGCCAAGTCACCCGGCCAGCCAAGCCACCCAGCCAGCCCAGACAGCCAAGCCAGCCAAGCCTCCCAGCCAGCCAAGCCAGCCAAGCCACCCAGCCAGCCAAGCCAGCCAAGGCGCCCAGCCAAGCCGCCCAGCCAGCCAAGCCAGCCAAGCCGCCCAACTAGCCAGGCCAGCCACCCAGCCAGTGAGCCAAGCCAGCCAGCCAGCCAGCCAAGCCAGGCATGCCAGCCAAGCCATCCAGTCAGCGAAGCCAGCCGGCTACCCAAGCCAGCCAAGTCACACGGCCAGCCAAGCCAGCCAGCCAAGACAGCCAAGCCAGCCAACCAGCCAAGCCAGTCAGCTAGCCAAGCCAGCCAACCAGCCAGCCAGCCAAGCCGGCCGGCCTGCCAGCCAACCAAGCCGGCCAGGCAGCCAAGGCAGCCAAGCCGGCCAGGCAGCCAAGCCAGCCAAGCCACCGACCCAGCCAAGCCACCCAGCCAGCCAAGACAGCCACGCCAGCCAAACCAGCCTGCCAGCCAAGCCAGCCAAGCCATCCAGCCTGCCAAGCCAGCCGGCCAGCCAAGCTAGCCAATCCACTCACCCACTCAAGCCAGCCAAGTCACCCGGCCAGCCAAGCCAGCCAAGCCAGCCAGCCAGCCCAGCCAGCCAAGCCAGCCAAGCCACCCAGCCAGCCAAGCCAGCCAAGCCACCCAGCCAGCCAAGCCAGCCAGCAAGCCAGCCAGACAGCCAAGCCAGCCAGCCACCCAGACAGCCAGGCCATCCAGGCAACCCAGCCAGCCAACACAGCCAAGCCTGCCAAACCAGCCTGCCAGCCAAGCCAGCCAAGCCAGCCAGCCTGCCAAGCCATCCAGGCAACCCAGCCAGCCAAGCCAGCCAAGCCTGCCAGCCAGCCAAGCCAGCCAAGACAGACAGCCAGCCAAGCCAGCCAAGCCTGATAGCCATCCAAGGCAGCCAAGCCAGCCAACCAGCCAAGCCAGCCAGCCAGCCAAGCCAGAGAAGCCAGCCAGCCTGCCAAGCCATCCAGGCAACCCAGCCAGCCAAGACAGCCAAGCCAGCTGGCCAGCCAAGCTAGCCAATCCACTCAGCCACTCAAGCCAGCCAAGTCACCTGGCCAGCCAAGCCAGCCAAGCCAGCCAGCCAGCCCAGACAGCCAAGCCAGCCAAGCCAGCCAAGCCAGCCAAGCTGCCCAGCCAAGCCGCCCAGCCAGCCAAGCCAGCCAAGCCGCCCAGCTAGCCAGGCCAGCCACCCAGCCAGTGAGCCAAGCCAGCCAAGCCAGCCAGGCAGCCAAGCCAGCCAAGCCAGCCAAGCCAGCCAGCCAGCCAAGACAGGCATGCCAACCAAGCCAGCCAGGCAGCCAAGCCAGCCAGCAAGCAAAGCCAGGCATGCCAGCCAAGCCAGACAGGCAGCCAAGCCAGCCAAGCAAGCCAGCCAGCCAAGCCAGGCATGCCAGCCAATCCATCCAGCCACCTAAGCCAGCCGGCTAGCCAAGCCAGCCAAGCCACCCGGCCAGCCAAGCCAGCCAGCCAAGCCAGCCAAGCCAGCCAAGACAGCCAACCAGTCAAGCCAGTCAGCTAGCCAAGCCAGCCAAGCCACCCGGCCGGCCAAGCCAGCCAGCCAACCAGCCAAGCCAGCCAACCAGCCAAGACAGTCAGCTAGCCAAGCCAGCCAACCAGCCAGCCAGTCAAGCCGGCCAGCCTGCCAGCCAACCAAGCCGGCCAGACAGCCAAGGCAGCCAAGCCGGCCAGGCAGCCAAGCCAGCCAAGCCACTGACCAAGCCAAGCCAGCCAAGCCACCCAGCCAGCCAAGCCAGCCAAGCCAGCCAAACCAGCCTGCCAGCAAAGCCAGCCAAGCCATCCAGCCTGCCAAGCCAGCTGGCCAGCCAAGCTAGCCAATCCACTCAGCCACTCAAGCCAGCCAAGTCACCCGGCCAGCCAAGCCACCCAGCCAGCCCAGACAGCCAAGCCAGCCAAGCCTCCCAGCCAGCCAAGCCAGCCAGCCAGCCAAGCCAGGCATCCAGCCAAGCCAGTCAAGCCACACAGCCAGCCAAGCCAGCCAGCCAGCCAAGCCAGCCAAGCCAGCCAGCCAGCCAGCCAGCCAGCCAGCCAAGCCAGCCAGCCACCCAGCCAGCCAGGCCAGCCAGCCACCCAGCCAGCCAAGCCAGCCAGCCACCCAGCCAGCCAGGCTGGTCAGCCACCCAGCCAGCCAAGCCATGCAAGCCAGGCAGCCAGCCCAGACAGCCAAACCAGCCAGCCAGCCAAGCCAGCCAAGCAAGCCAGCAAGCCAGCCAGCGAAGCCAGCCAGCCAAACCAGCCAAGCCACCCAGCCAGCCAAGCCACCCAAGACACCCAGCCAGCCAGCCAGCCAAGCCAGCCAAGCCACCCAGCCAGCCAGCCAAGCCAGCCAACTAGCCAAGCCAGTCAAGCCAGCCACCAGCCAAGCCAGCCAAGCCTGCCAGCCAGCCAAGCCAGCCAAGCCAGCCAAGCCAGGCAGCCAGCCAAGCCAGCCAGCCGGCCAAGCCAGCCAAGCCACCCAGCCAGCCATGCCAGCCAAGCCACCCAGCCATCCAAGCCTGACAAGCCACCCAACCAGCCAAGGCAGCCAAGCCAGCCAAGCCATCCAGCCTGCCAAGCCAGCTGGCCAGCCAAGCTAGCCAATCCACTTGACCAGCCAAGCCGGTGAAGCCACTCAGCCAGCCAAGCCAGCCAAGCCACCTGGGCAGCCAAACCAGCCAAGCCACCCGGCCAGACAGCCAGCCAAGCCAGCCAAGCCTGCCAGCCAGCCAAGCCAGCCAAGATAGACAGCCAGCCAAGCCAGCCAAGCCTGATAGCCACCCAAGCCTGCCAAGCCAGCCAGCCAGCCAAGCCATCCAAGCAACCCAGCCAGCCAAGACAGCCAAGCCAGCTAGCCAGCCCAGACAGCCAAGCCAGCCAAGCCAGCCAAGCCTCCCAGCCAGCCAAGCCAGCCAAGGCAACCAGCCAGCCAGCCAAGCCAGCTAAGCCACCCGGCCATCCAGCCAGCCAAGCCAGCCAAGCCAGCCAAGCCAGCCAGGAAGATAGCCAAGCCAGCCAACCAGCCCAGCGAGTCAGCTAGCCAAGCAAGCCAACCAGCCAGCCAGCCAAGCAGCAAAGCCAGTCAGCTAGCCAAGCCAGACAACCAGCCAGCCAGCCAAGCCGGCCGGCCTGCCAGCCAGCCAAGCCGGCCAGACAGCCAAGGCAGCCAAGCCAGCCAAACCAGCCTGCCAGCCAAGCCAGCCAAGCCAGCCAAGCCAGCCAAGTCATCCATCCTGCCAAGCCAGCCGGCCAACCAAGCTAGCCAATCCACTCAGCCACCCAAGCCAGCCATGTCCCACGGCCAGCCAAGTCAGCCAAGCTACCTGGACAGCCAAACTAGGCAAGCCAGCCAAGCCTGCCAGCCAGCCAAGCCAGCCAAGCCAGCCAAGCAGCCAAGCCAGCCAGCCAGCGAAGCCAGCCAAGACAGCCAGCACACTCACACACACACACTCACACGTACACACACTCACCACCCCATGCCAAGAAGATACACAGAAAACTCACTCACCTTTCACTTGAGTTTGCAAATTTGGAGCTGACTTAATGAAGGAAAAAAAAATTGCAGCTACAAAGTAACACAGAGCCAATGAAAAGACAAAAACCACCATTAGATTTTCTTCTTTTCTAAAGTTTTATTTTATTTTTAAGAGTCATCGTTCGGATCAGGCGCAGTGGCTCACGCTTGTAATCCCAGCGCTTTGGGAGGCTGAGGTGGGAGAATCACAAGGCCAGAAGTTCAAGACCAGTCTGGGCAACATAGCAAGATCTCATCTCTTAAAAAAAAGTACAAAAGTTAGCTGGACCTACTGGTGCAGACCTGTATTTCCAGCTACTGGGGAGGCTGAGGTGGAAGGATGGTTTGAGTCCAGGAGGTTGAGGCTGTACTGAGCCATGATTGCATCACTGCACACTCCAGCTTAGGCAACAGAGCAAGACCTTGTCTCAAGAAAAAAACTCCATAACGATTGTACACATTTATGACATATAATATACTGTTTCCAAGCACGTGTATATCATGTAATGACACCTCATGGTAATTATCAGATCCAGCTGCTCAGAAATCTCATTTTCCAGTGGCTGGGGAATACGCATTTTTTTTTTTTTTTTGAGACAGAGTTTCGCTCTTGTCACCCAGGCTGGAGTGCAATGGAATGATCTTGGCTCACTGCAAACTCCGCCTCCAGGGTTCAAGCGATTCTCCTGCCTCAGCCTCCCCAGTAGCTGGGATTACAGGCATGTGCCACCACGCCTGGTTCATTTTGTATTTTCAGTAGAGACTGGGTTTCATCGTGCTGGCCAGGCTGGTCTCGAACTCCTGACCTCAAGTGTTCCACCCACCTCAGCCTCCCAAAGTGCTGGGATTACAGGCGTGAGCCACCAAGCCTGGCCAACCCTCTCATCTTTCAGGGGCTTAAATAAAATTTGCTTTTCTCCCCAAAGGCGGGTCCCCACCCCATTCAGCCCAGTTTCAAAGGGTGGAGTGTAAACGGTGGGTTGCCCAATTCCTGCTGCCATGAAGTACTTCAGCTTACAGCAGAAAGCCAGGCGCAGACACCATGCTTTATTTCTATTTCTACGAACAAGAAGCGTCTCTTGCAGTCTGCAATATTTGTCGTCAAAAATTTCACTGGGTGTTGTATCAAATCAGCCACCTCTATAGAGTGTGATCGTTGACAATTTTTTGTTACATCCCGATGGCCGTTTTACCTGGACCATTTTCTTCCTTTCATGGGTGAAGCAAAACTCCTTGGTAGACTTTTTTTTTGAGACAGAGTCTCGCTCTGTCGCTCTGTTGCCCAGGCTGGAGTGCAGTGGTGCGATGTCGACTCACTGCAACCTCCGCCTCCCCCGGGTTCACACCATTCTCCTGCCTCAGCCTCCCCAGTAGCTCGGACTACAGGCACCCACCCACCATGTCCACCTAATTTTTTTGTATTTTTAGTAGAGACAGGGTTTCACCGTTTTAGCCAGGATGGTCTCGTATCCTGACCTCGTGATCCGCCCGCCTCGGCCTCCCAAAGTTCTGGGATTACACGTGTGAGCCACCGCACCAGGCCAATGTGATGATTATCTATGGATATACCTTGATCATCAGCAGGAGGAAATGAAGAGGTATTGGTTAAAAATACAAAGTTGCAGTTACGCAGGATGAATAAGTACTAATTTGTAACAATTCAGTATGAAACAGTGTGACCGTGGTTAACAAGGCTCTGCTCTATGCCTGACATCTGAGAACAGAGGAATTGAAGTCTGAACTTTGTCCAGAAGAGGATGGCTTTGTAGGCTTTGCTGAGCATGCTGAATTCACGGTTTCCGGGTCAGCCCCTGGGCTGCCCAGGGACAGGGTGGAAACCCTGCCCCAGAAAGTCCAGGAGCCAGGAACCTGCTTAGAGACACATTTCAACAAGGAAAACCACACTCAGGCCGGCCTCCTTAAAAACACATAGGCCCGGCGCGGTGGCTCAAGCCTGTAATTCCAGCACTTTGGGAGGCTGAGGCAGGTGGATTGCCTGAGTTCAGGAGTTCGAGGCTGCGGTGAGCTATGATTGCACTCCAGCCTGGGCAACAGAGTGAGACCCTGTCTCAAAGAAATAAACAAATAAATGAATAAGCAAGCAAGCAATTTTTAAGTTGAACATCAGTTCTCTACTTGACTCTAGAGTTAAATAGGCATCCAGTTGCTTTTTGTGTTTATTTTTATATTCACTGCTTTTGCCTGCAACTGTGTTTCTGGTTCTAAGTAAATATAACGTATGCTACTGGTACACATACGTCTTAGGCAACATATATTTCATTCACTGGATTGTTAGCTCTGTTTTGTTTTGTCACTACTTTAGTCCCAGTACCAATAACTGTGCCAGGCACAAAGTAGGTGTTTAGCTAATATTGTTAAATGAAGAAATACAAATATTTGATTTTATCACTTGAATCCTCATTTATTAGTACTGCACTATCTTTTCTTAGCTGTTTTTGTGAACATATGTGTGCTGCTTTTTTACCCTAACTAGATTGGAAGTACATTGTGGGTAGAAACTTGGTTTTATTTGTTTTTCCTATATTCTCCTTTACAGCAGTTTAGACCTGATGGGAAGTAGGTATTTCCCAAACACGTGATTGAACTGAAATACATTGGTAGATTTCATTTTATCAGGAGACTGCCAAAAGTATAGTCATAAATAAGGAATTTGGAAGAGAATCAAAAAGCTAGTATGTACTCATCTGTCAGCTTGAAGGCCTGTATAAGACTCCATACTTCTGTGGAGTAAAAAGGGTAGGGTTCTGGGGCTGGACGCGGTAGCTCACACCTGTAATCCCAACACTTTGGGGAAAAAAAGAGGGTTCTGGGACTATTCTTTGCTTCTTCTTCTTTTTTTTTTTTTTTTTGAGACAGTTTTGCTCTGTCATTCAGGCTGGAGTGCAGTGGCATGAATTCGACTCACCACAACCTCTACCTCAGGTTCAAGCAGTTCTCCTGCCTGAGCCTCCTGAGTAGCTGGGATTACAGGTGCTTGCGACCACACCTGGCTAATTTTTTTATATTTTTAGTAGAGATGGGGGTTTTACCATGATGGCCAGGCTGGTTAAGAACTCCTGACCTCAAGTGATCCGCCCGTCTCGGCCTCCCAAAGTGCTAGGATTACAGGCGTGAGCCACTGCACCCGGCCTCTGGGACTGTTCTTTTCCTTGCTCCTTAACAGACTATTTCCTGCTTTTTGTTTTGTTTTGTTTTGCTTTGCTTTGTTTTTTGTTTTTGGCCTTCTAACTGTGTTACAAATGGTTTAAGTCAGTGGTTCTCCAAGGGTGGTCCCAGATCAGCAGCATTATCACCTGGGTACTTACTAGAAATGCAAATTCTTGGGCCCCACTCCAGACCTACTGAATGAGCAACTCTGAGGGTAGAACCTAAAAAATTGTGTTTTAACAAGTCATCTGGGTGATTCTGTTGGTAAAGTTTGATGTCACCAAATGATAATGATGCTTTTTTTTTAAATTGAGATGGAGTCTTGCTCTGTCGCCCAGTCTGGAGTGCAGTGGCGTGATCTTGGTTTACTGCAACTTCCACCTCCCAGGTTCAAGCAATTCTCCTGTCTCAGCCTCCTGAGTAGCTGGGACTACAGGCACACGCCACCATGTCTGGCTAATTTTTGTATTTTTAGTAGAGATGGGGTTTCATCATACTGGTCAGGCTGGTCTCAAACTCCTGACCTCAGGTGATCCACCTGTCTCGGTCTCCCAAAGTGCTGGGATTACAGGCATGAACCACTGTGCCTAGCCTGATAAAGACACTGTCTTTAAGAGAGAGGGCTAGAGGCAGTGATTATGTGCCAGAGAAAACTAGCAGCCTAGATTTAAGAGGATAATATAATCCAAAGCTTTTCAGAGGGAATAGATATAGTTTATAGAAGGCATTAAGACATAAAGCAGATTATTGAAACTTCACTGTACACTGTAACCATATAATTGACTTTTACTTATATATTTCCTCTTTTACTTTGAAGTTTGTGTTCAAATCAAAAGATGAGAACCTTAAATTAATCAAGTTTTATAATATTTTATTTTAGATTTTTGTAAAAGTGAATGCTTTTTATATTCCATAGCAAGTAACTGAAAAGCTACTGAAAAGTGTCCAACCCAAGAATTTTGTGTATTTTTCATTTTGAATATACTTCTCAGTTATTTCAATTTTGAATCCTAGCCCTTTTAAATTTCAGAATACACAGTAGTTTAAAATGGCTTCAATAAGGCTGGGCGCGGTGGCTCGCACCTGTAATCCCAGGGCTTAGGGAGACCGAGGTGGGTGGATCACGAGGTCAGGAGTTTGAGAACAGCCTGACCAACGTGGTAAAACCCTGTCTCTACTAAAAATACAAAAATTAGCTGGGCGTAGTGGTGCGCACCTGTAATCCCAGCTACTCAGGAGGCTGAGGTAGGAGAATTACTTCGACCCCGGGAGGCTGAAGTTGCAGTGAGCCGAAATCTCACCACTGTACTACAGCCTGGGCGACAGAGTGAGACTCTGTCTCAAAAGAAAAAAAAAGGGTGGGGGGGCTTTAATAAATTAAGTGGTACATTTTAAATATTTTAATTGTTTATTAGATATTACGTATGCAGATAAACCTGTTTAAATATAGAAGATTTGTATTCCTATTTACATATATCCTTTTGACAAATTAGAATTGAAAATAATATAAAAATAAATTTTCAGCTGGGCACGGTGGCTCACGTCTGTAATCCCAGCATTTTGGGAGGCCGGGGCGGGCGGATCACGAGATCAGGAGATTGAGACCATGGTAAAACCCCGTCTCTACTAAAAATACAAAAAATTAGCCGGGTGCAGTGGCGGGCGCCTGTAGTCCCAGCTACTCAGGAGGCTGAGGCAAGAGAATGGCGTGAACCCGGGAAGCGGAGCTTGCAGTGAGCTGAGATGGTGCCACTGCACTCCAGCCTGGGCAACAGAGTGAGACTCCATCTCAAAAAAAATAAATATATAAAATAAAAAATTAAATAAAAAAATAAATTTTCTTTCTGTCATGCAGACTTAAATAGTAAAATATCTTCCTTCTATTATTTTTATCTTTTTTGTTTATGATGGTTAGGAAGTGAATATCTAATTTTCTATACTGTGAAAAATACACAAAGTATCATGGAAGTTCAACATTCATTTTCCTTGAAAATAATTCCAAAGTTTTCTTCTCCAGAAATATATCCTGTTATCATTAAGTTTAGTTGTACTGATAAATGGCAGTTGATGATTTGTAAGTTTTTAAACATATTTATTCATAACACTTATTTTTTTTCTTTTTGAGACGGAGTCTCACTCTGTTGCCCAGGCTGGAGTGCAGTGGTGTGGTCTCGGCTCACTGCAACCTCCACCTCCTGGGTTCAAGCAGTTCTCTGCCTCAGCCTCTCAAGTAGCTGGGATTACAGGCACCTGCCACCACGCCCGGCTAATTTTCTTTTTTGTATTTTTAGTAGAGATGGGGTTTGGCCAGGCTGGTCTTGAACTCCTGACCTCGTGATCCACCCGCCTCGGCCTCCCAAAGTGCTAGGATTACAGGGGCGAGCCACCACGCCCTGCCTTTTTTTTTTTTTTTTAAAGATGGAATCTCACCGTGTCGCCCAGGCTGGAGTGCAGTGGTGCGATCTCTGCACACTGCAACCTCCGTCTCCCGGGTTTGAGTAATTCTTCTGTCTCAGCCTTCCGAGTAGCTGCGAATACAGTGCCTGGCTGATTTTTGTATGTTTAGTGGAGACAGGGTTTCACTGTGTTGGCCAGGCTGGTCTCGAACTCCTGACCTCAGGTGATCCCCCCGCCTCAGCCTCCCAAAGTTCTGGGATTACAGGTGTGAGCCCCTGTGTCCGACCTATTTTCCTCTTTTTCTTTTTACTTTTTCCCTTCCCTTTATTTCTTCCTTTCACTGTTTTCATCTTTTATGTCTCTCACCCTCGCCCTTCCTCAGTTCAATTCAAAGAGCAATATACTGCCATATCTGGAGAATTTTTAGCTGGAATTTAATCTTTATTTTAAAAGAGTAAGAATTTATACCAATTATTATGTTTTCGACTGAGGTCGTTTTACAGAAGGAATTCTTTTTTTTATGTAGGAATGTGTTTTAAGACTTTTTGTTTCTAATGTCTTAGTTTTCTAGAGAAAAAAAGGTAAAAGATTGACATTATTCTCATAGTCTTTTACTCTTTTCTCAAAGGTCTTAGTTCAGGTCCTAATTTTCTTTCAATTATACTCATTTATTTAACCAGTCTCCTTTAGGTGGTCATTTGGGTTGTATACATATTCTTGTCTGTGTTTTATCAGTAATGTATTATATAATTTCATGTATGTACAAATAAATATTTGAAGGATAACATTCTAAAATTGCTGAGTTAAAGGGTATATGCATTTATAAACTTGACAGATATTACCAGTTGTCCTCTATAAAGTGAAACTGGTTTATATCACCACAGCTAACATATAAATGTCTGTTTTCTACCATATTATTAAATTACTGAACTTTATCCATCTGATGGAAAAGGAGAAATCTGATTGTACTTTATTTTTTATATTTTTAATATTTTTATGAGACTTCTTGGCATGTTGGCCAGGATGGTCTCAAACTCCAGCCTCAAGCAATCCTCTCACCTCAGTCTCCCAAAGTTCTGGGACTACAGGCATTAGCTACCATGCCTGGCCCTGATTACCACCCCACCCCCCCCCCCCGCCCCCTTTTTTTTTTTGAGACAAGGTCTCACTCTGTCACCCATGTTAGAGTGTGGTGGCGTGATCACTGCTCACTGCAGCCTTGGCCTCCTGGGCTGAGGTGATTCTCCTGCCTCAGCCTCCCAAGTAGCTGGGACCACAGACACATGCCACCATGCCTGGCTGATTTTTTTAATTATTTGTAGGGAAGTGGTCTCGCTATGTTGCACAGGCTAGGCTCAAACTCCTGAGCTCAAGTTATCCTCCCACCTCGGCCTCCCAAAGTGCTGTAATTACAGGACTGAGCCACTGTGCCCAGCCTCTGATTATACTTTTAATTGTAATTTCTCTTATGCTTGAAGTTGAACATATACAGTAAAGACTTTACGGTATTGTAGGCTGAAGTTTCAGAATCATCCAGGACCAATGATGTTAGCAGAAATGCAAAACTAGCCAAGGAGTATCGAGAGGACAAAATTGATAATTGATATTGTTATTACCTTCAAAGTTTGATTGCATTGATTAGCTTATTATTTTTATTAAAATCATTTTAAAGAGCATATAAAGTTCTATGCCAAAGCATGTTTGGCCTGACAAGTTGGGCTGTCACTTCCTTTTGACAAGACTTTCATTTTTATCAGCTTTAAATGCATGTGTCATTACTATTCTGGTTAGGTAACATAATTATCCCACTGCAGAATATATAATTTCAAAAGAGTCTTGTGGATATTTGATGCCTTTTCCTCTGAAAACAATTGAATTGTTTTCAGACCACTTTTATTTCAGTAAGATAAATGTAATCCTTCCTTTAATTGTAATGTAGAATTTAAGAGCATATTGAAATGAAAAGAAAAGCTCAACACTACCTATATTTTGAAAGTTATAAGAGACTAGATAAGTTGGATTTTATGTTTCTTGTGGTACCGAATAGAAACAAAGGTCATTCAAACTAAGTTTGAATGAGAATTAAGTTTAATGGCTCACTTGCTAAACCTGGGTTGCACAATCCTCACAATTCCTTAGGGATGTGGCAAGGTCATCCTTAAATGTAAAGTTCTTGCTCACTTAATGGAAAGCACTGTAGATACATAAATAACATTGTTACCTGTCTTAGTGGGTCAGTATAAAAGACGGGGGTGGTGGTATATGTGAGAATAGTGAAATTTATAGCTAGTTTTGAGGCCCTTGTGACTTTTAAGAGGTATTATGAGTCACTTTAACAAGTTAGTGTTTGTGACATAGTTTCAATTTCTTATGTGAAAGATAGTATTTCAGTTGTAAATGTTCTTTTAATATTCTGGAGAGCTACTCTTTCCTAGCCCCTCTGTTTTACTGACTTTAAAAGTTGTTTACAGTTTGTTTCATGTTCAAATGTAGGGTTTTAGTAATTCCTTGGGGTGGGGGGCAGGAATGGGCAGAAGGCCATTGTCTCTAATTTTCCTTTTCCCAACTTTCACTTTCTTTTTTCTATGGATTACATGTCAAGGTGGGTGAGAAAAATGGTGGGGATTGAGAAAAGGGAGCAATTTATTTTTTGTAGGGGAGGTCCAAAATAAAGTCACTTAAGGAATCTGTCATAAAATTTAAATATATGATGAAGCTTGTGCAAGGGGATTATAAGAACTGATTTTACTTTAACCCTTCCTGCTTTATAAAAAGATCTTGTTGATGGCAAAAAGACAAACGCTTTAGCAAACTGTACTGTACACCTTGCATTTGTTTGTATTAATATTAGTTGTTTTATTTTTTAATATGGAGTCTCACTCTGTTACCCAGGATGGAGTGCAGTGGCGCAATCTCGGCTCACTGCAACCCCTGCCTCCTGGGTTCAAGCAATTCTTCTGCCTCAGCCTCCCGAGTAGCTGGGGTTATAGGTGCCATCAGGCCCGGCTAATTTTTGTATTTTTAGTAGAGACAGGGTTTCACCATGTTGGTCAGGCTGGTCTTGAACTCTTGACCTCAAGTGATCCACCCGCCTCAGCCTCCCAAAGTGCTGGGATTACAGGTGTGAGCCACCGCACCCGGCAGTATTAGTTGTTTTATATTGTAGACTCTTAATTGATGTGGACTATGTGTTGTAAAATCCCTACCCTGAAGTACAATGCATTTAGATGTCCCCCCGCCCTTTTTAACTTAAATCCTTTTTCCCCCTTGCAGTCAGTGCATTTTTATATTTCTACATGCTTTGTGAGAAATGTGTAAAGGAAATATTTTTGCATCTAATTGTTCTAACTTCCAAAGGTTCTTTACTGAGTTAAAAAAAACTGTTTTTTTTTTGGTCTAAACTGAATTTTGTCTGTCTTTCCCCTACTCAGGCCCAGATTACCTTCCTACAGGGAGAAAGGAAGGGCCAAGAAAATTTGAAGAAGGATCTTGTGAGGAGGATCAAAATGTTGGAGTATGCTCTTAAACAGGAAAGGTAATTCAGTAAAATGAAAAGTGGTGTTCTTTTTTGTTTGTTTTGAGATGGAGTTTCATTCTTGTTGCCCAGGCTGGGGTGCAATGGTGCGATCTTGGCTCACCGCAACCTCCACCACCCGGTTCAAGCAATTCTCCCACCTCAGCCTCCCCAGTAGCTGGGATTACAGGCATGCACCACCACACCCAGCTAATTTTGTATTTTTAGTAGAGACGGGGTTTCTCCATGTTGGTCAGGCTGGTCTCGAACTCCTGACCTCAGGTGATCTGCCCACCTCGGCTTCCCAAAGTGCTGGGATTACAGGTGTGAGCCACTGGGCCTGGCCAAAATGGTGGTCTCTTAAATGTTAGAATAATTTTTTCATCATTCCTAAAATAAATTGAAATGTTAATACTGCTTGAGTTCAGGTGTGTCTGTAGTAAACATTTGTATGAATGGTTGTAATATGTTAATTTTATTATGAATAGTTTGATAATGATCAAAAAATTGATTTATATGATTTCTTAAAAATTAGCAACATTTTTTTCCTACTCTGCCTGTTTTGAAGAAGCAGATGTGCTCCCTGAGCTGTTAATACCCATTCATTTTAAAGTTGAAATAGTTTTTAATTTTTAAAGGAGGTTTCTATAATGTTTACTCCTTTTCCTGTCATTTAATATTATTCAATTTGATGTATTTTCTTTAGAAAAAAATTGTTCTAGCAGACTATGTTAAGATTCTATATAGACTTTTTTTTTTGAAACGGAGTCTCGCTCTGTTGCCCATGCTGGAGTGAGGTGGTGCAATCTCGGTTCACTGCAAGCTCCACCTCCCAGGTTCACGCCATTCTCCTGCCTCAGCCTCCCAAGTAGCTGGGACTACAGGTGCCCGCCACCACACCTGGCTAATTTTTTGTATTTTTAGTAGAGATGGGGTTTCACCATGTTAGCCAGGATGGTCTCGATCTCCTGACCTCATGATCCCCCAATCTTGGCCTCCCAAAGTGCTGGGATTACAGGCGTGAGCCACCGCGCCCAGCCTATAGACTTTTTTTGTGTATTTTGTTTCTTTGCTGTCTGCCGTTACAATCTGTCCAAAAGCTTGTCTTACCTTTCTATTTTGCTAGTGTCTAAGATACTCCAGTAACTAAATTTGGGTCACAAGTAAAGGAAAATAGGTCATGAGTGAGATTTTTAGATGTTATATGAGTTATTTATTTGCTTTAATGAATAGGCCTTGGATTTTTTTGTCGACAATCTGAGTTCATTTGTTTAAGATAACTGAGTACTTATAGGTGATATTGGAATTATCTATTTTGCTACTTTCTTGCTTTGTTTTTAATGATGCTTGTTTTGTTTTTCTCTTTTTGAAGTTGGTGAATGGGATATTTGCAATAAAATAGCATTTAGATGCAATTAGATAAATAGATGATATTTATGAGTAATGAGAAACAGATAAAATTTTATTAGAACTTACGTTCATCAACATATAGAATGGTGTAAGAGATTGAAAATAGGTTGACCTCTTAGTGAAAAATACGTGTTTCTTTTCATACTTTGGGAAAGTTGATGAAAAGCTGTATCAGGGACATGGAAAGAAAAAAACATTTTTAGGCTGGGCGTTGTGGCTCACGCCTGTAAACCCAGCACTTTGGGAGGCTGAGGCGGGCAGATCACAAGGTCAGATCAAGACCATACTGGCTAACACGGTGAAACCCCGTCTCTACTAAAAATATAAAAAAATTAGCCAGGCATGGTGGCGGGCACCTGTAGTCCCAGCTACTTGGGAGGCTAAGCAGGAGAATGGTGTGAACCCAGGAGGCGGAGCTTGCAGTGAGCCGAGATTGCACCACTGCACTCCAGCCTGGGCGACAGAGCAAGACTCCATCTCAAAAAAAATAAAAAAATAAAAAATAAAAAACATTTTTAAAAATACATAATTTGGGAGTAGTGAGATTTTTTTTTTTTTTTTTTTTTGAGGTGGAGTCCTGCTTTGTTGCCTAGGCTGGAGTGCAGTGGTGTGATCTCGGCTCAGTGCAACCTCCGCCTCCCGGGCTCAAGCAATTCTCCTGTCTCAGCCTCCGGAGTTGCTGGGACTACAGGCGCATGCCACCATGCCCGGCTAATTTTTTTGCATTTTTAGTAGAGACAGGGTTTCACCATATTGGTCAGACTGGTCTTGAACTACTGACCTCAGGTAATCCACCACCTCAGCCTCCCAAAGTGCTGGGATTACAGGGGTGAGCCAATGTACCTGGCCGAGTATTTGAGATTTTTTTTTTGAAACGGAGTTTTGCTCTGTTGCCAGGCTGGAGTGCAGTGGCACGATCTTGGCTCACTGCAACCTCTGCCTCCTGGGTTCAAGCAGTTCTCCTGCCTCAGCCTCCCGAGTAGCTGGGATTACAGGCACTCGCCACCATGTCCAGCTAATTTTTGTATTTTTAGTAGAGACGGGGTTTCACCATGTTGGCTGGGATGGTCTCAATCTCTTGACTTTGTGATCCGTCTGCCTCAGCCTCCCAAAGTGCTGGGTGGCGTGAACCACTATGCGTGGCCTGGAGTGGTTATTTTCATCTGGAAGAGGAAAGTAGAAAGGAGTGCAGAGTAAGAGGAGGTGAGGCTTGAATAGCATCAAATAAGAAGGTGCTTGTCAGACAGACAAGGTGCAGGAAGTAGAGAGAACATGTTTGACATGGAACAAAGCAGTTTGGTGTGTTCAGAAATTTGTAATCTTTGTGTGTGGAGAGTAGGATGTTGGTTGTGGTCCTCCTCTCAGTTGATGACCGATAATGGTAGAGGGGGCAAGAGTCAGATCACAGAGAGCCTAACCAAGGAGTTCAAACTTTTATCTTACATGTAACAGGGAATGTGGGAGGTTTAAATTTTTTTTTTTGAGACAGGGTCTTGCTCTGTTGCCCAGGCTGTAGTGCAGTGGCACAGTCATTGTTCATTGTGGTGCCAACCTTCTGGGCACAAGTGATCCTCCCACTTCAGCCTCCCAAGTGGCTGGGAATACAGATATACTCCAGTCCACACAGACAAATTTTTAATTTTTTAGAGAGACAGGGTCTCACCCTGTTGCCAGGGCTGGTCTGGAACTCCTGGGCTCAAGCAGACCTCCTGCTATAGCCTCTCAAAGTGCCGTGATTATAGGCGTGAGTCACCATGCCCAGCCAAAAATATTTTATCTAAAATGATCTCAAACTAATAGAGGAGTTGCAAGAATCTTGTATACCCTTTACCCAGATTCACCAATTGAAAATGTTTTGCTATATTTGCTTTATTGTGTTTGCTCTCTCTGTAGGTATCATTTTTTCCCCTAAATCATTTGCTAGTTTGTCCCTAACTACCTCTGTGTATATTTCCTAAGAGCAAGGACATTTCCTTATGTGATTATAGTACATTACCAAGTTAAAGAAATGTAACATTGATATTCTATTATCTGATATAGTCTATATTCAGATGTTCTAAAAAGGATCTTTATAGCTTTTTTTTTTCCCCTGGTCCAGGATCCAATCTGGAAATATATACTGCATTTAGTTGTTAAGCACTTGAAAGTTTTAAGCAAGATAGAGTATGAAATACATTTTAGAAAGATCTCCTGACCTCAGTGTGGGGGTGGACTGGAAAGATCTGTAAACACAGCCAGAAAGATTGTAATAGTCTAAGATGAGAAATGATAACACAGTAGC
The DNA here is from genome assembly GCF_000001405.40 of Homo sapiens. Lineage (NCBI taxonomy): Eukaryota > Metazoa > Chordata > Mammalia > Primates > Hominidae > Homo > Homo sapiens. Next base: position 144,088,438 of record NC_000001.11, on the reverse strand, counting down.
TGCTGAAATAGAGACACATCAACTATAAAAAATTTTTAAGTACAGTCCATGAAATCTGAAGCTTATATAAAAATTTGGAGATGGGACAGGGGGTGAGTGAGAAAGATAATTTGAGAATGACTCCCATGTTCCTGGCTTGAAGGACTATCTGAATTGTGAGAGACTTTTAGAAGGTATCAAATGAATTAAAAAGAAGAATTAAAGAGCAGATATGTGAGGGGGACGCATGATGAGAGATATATGCTTGGGAATCATCAGTATTATTGTGAATGAAGTGAAAGGAGTAGTTGATAGAACAAGTATTGTGGAAACAGAAAAGAGAACTAGAAGGAGTGAGAGGAAGTAGAAATATTTGAAGAGAAGGCAGAGGAAGAAGAGCCAACAAAGAAATAGAGAAGGAAGGAGGAGAGAGTAGTATTTTGGAAGTGAGTTAAAGGAGGAAGTTCAATAACTGAAGATGCTAAGTAGACTCCAAGTAAGTTGTATACTGAAAATAGTCATTTGGAGTTGCCAGTTGGAAGCTTACTAGTACCCTTACTAAAGCAGCCTCAGTAAGGCAGCAGGAACATGAGCCAGATCACAGAGGACCGAGGGCTGAGAAGGATGAAGTGGGGAGAGATGGAGTTGCTTATTATTATTATTTTTTTCTTTGAGACAGAGTCTTGCTCTGTCACCAGGCTGGAGTGCAGTGGCGTGATCTCGGCTCACTGCAACCTCCGCCTCCTGGGTTCAAGCCATTCTCCTGCCTCAGTCTCCTGAGTAGCTGGGACTACAGGCGTGTGCCACCACGCTGGGCTAATTTTTGTATTTTTAGTAGAGATGGGGTGTCACCATCTTGGCCAGGATGGTCTCGATCCCTTGACCTTGTGATCCGCCCTCCTTGGCCTCCCAAAGTGTTGGGATTACAGACGTGAGACACCACGCCTGGCAGAGTTGCTTATTTTTTTAAGAAATTTGACTCTGAAGGACAGTAGAGATAAGGAACTGGCTGAATCTAGGGAATATTTTTTTCTTCTTTTTCTTAACTAAATGGGATTGCTCCTGGAAAAGAGTTCCTGCTTTTGTGTCTTTTTTTTTTTTTTTTTTTTTTTTTTGAGATGGAGTTTTGCTCTTGTCGCCCAGGCTGGAGTGCAATGGCGCAATCTCGGCTCACTGCAACCTCCACTTCCCGAGTTCAAGTGATTCTCCTGCCTCAGCCTCCCCAGTAGCTGGGATTACAGGCATGCACCACCACACCCAGCTAATTTTGTATTTTTGGTAGAGACGGGGTTTCTCCATGTTGGTCAGACTGGTTTCAAACTCACAACCTCAGGTGATCCGCCCACCTCGGCCTCCCAAAGTGTTGGGATTACAGACGTGAGCCACCGCACCCAGCCTGGTTTTGTATCTTTTGAAGTATATGGAATGATTTGGGATTATTCTTGATGTTATGGCACTATTTGTATAATCTAAGAAATTTTTAAAAAGCATTTATTTGTGGCTTGAATTTTAAATTGAATTTTTAAAAAATTTATTGAGGAAAATTTGAAATATACTCATAGAGAAACTAATGTCTTTGATATATAGCCCCAAGTTTTAACAGTTAATGTTTTTGTCAGTCTTTTTCACCTTGATCTATTTTAATGCAATTCCAGATACCTCGTCATTTCACCTGTAAGTGCCTAAGTAAAGATCATGATTTTACATGATTTTCTTTGCATGATTTTTGCAGATTTTCTAAGTAGTTCCACTTTAGGATCCAAAAGTAAAACCGAATTATTAATGTTACAGAAGAATTACCTACCTAGCAGTGGATTTATCAAAGCATTCCTGTCTGGGAAGACCTGGGCTTCCCAGACAGGACTGAGGATCATCACACGGTGTTCAGCACATACCACCAGGGGCAGGTGCACCCTGGCTTCTGAAGTAGCACCTGAGAATCCCCTGTGTCTAGTACCTGCTTCATGAATAACATTCCATAGGCTTCGGAAAGACTGTGGTTTAGGCTCTAATTTATTCAACTTGAATAATTTCTCCTTGAAATACTGAGAATAGCTTCTCTTTTGCTGTACAAATTCCGATTATCCCATAACACAGACTCCTCAGTTGGACTTATCTCTCTTCTTTATTCAGTCAGGACAGGCATTGTCACATCTTTTCTGCTGGGGATGAGGGTGAAAGAGGCTTAGGGTTCAGAGGAACCTCCCTGGCCTCCTCTAGGAAAATCTCCCAATGACTTTCCAAACCTGACTGAGTTTGAGAACTTCCCTCAGCAGATAGAGGCACCGGAAGGAGCATTGGGGCAGCCCAGCCTCACACATCTGCTTCCTTGGGGATTATGTTATGACTTGTAACGCTGTGGGAGGGGTACTGTCACTCTGTTGACAGTAATAAGTTGCAAAATCTTCAGGCTGCAGGCTGCGGATGGTGAGAGTGTAGTCTGCCCCAGATCCACTGTCACTGAACCGAGAGGGAATCCCACTTTGCAGACTGGATGCAGCATAGATCAGGAGCTTAGGAGTTTTCCCTGGTTTCTGCTGATACCAATTTAAATTATTGCTAATGCCCTGACTCGCCCGGCAAGTGATGGTGACTCTGTCTCCTACAGATGCAGACAGGGAGGATGGAGACTGGGTCATCTGGATGTCACATCTGGCACCTGAAGTTGGAAACATAAAAACAAATATTGTCGCAATTAATCATGTTATCAGAGGACTTCCCTGAAGTTCCAGACAGTACTGAGCACACTGACCGAGTATAATCCTAGTGTTCTCCTTCCTTACCTGGCAGCCAGAGCACCAGGAGCCCCAGGAGCTGAGTGGGGGCCCTCATGTCTGTGCTGTGTCCTGACTGGGGCTGACTCCTGCACCGGGTGTGACCAGCCTATAAAAAGTCTTCAGGGCAGGGGGCTGTGCTCTAGGAACAGGCAAATCAGCAGGGGATGGGGCAGGCTGAGCACAGCTGCAGGGCTGGCTCATCTCAGTAACTCAGCACAGGGGCGCAGTATCCCCAGAGTCCCAGGTCAAACCAGGGCAGCACAGATTTACCTTGAAAGAATGCATTTCTCATTGGTGGCCATATGGTTACAGAACATATGTTTGGAGTGAATTTTCAAAATTTTAAATCAACCTAAGACTAGATTAAATAATATATTTATACTTGTATTAGGAGTGTATAGGAAAGCATCATTTTTGGCAGAAAATTTACAATAAAGTTGTAGAATGTGGGGCTGTCAGAAATTTCAGTTAGTCTCAAAGGAATTTGATGAGTGTAAAAGTATTTAGTGCTATAATAACAATGTCAGTGTGAAATTGCTTCTTGTTTGAAATGAATATAAAAAGAATTTATCAGAAGCATCTTTAATAAATTCAATAGAATTTACTAACAAACTTAAGACATTGTCCCTAGGAGTAAAAGGAAAAACAATTCTCTGAAGATGCACAAAGATGATAACTGTGTCACGCATAGATCTGCCATTATCCAGAGCTATGGGTCTCTTTAAGACCCAGGGGCTAAATGGGCTGCACCTTATTCTTGGTGTGATGATCCCCATATTCTATCCCCTTTCCTGCCTTTGGTATAATTTCTTATGGTTCTCCAGCATGGAGAGCTGACTAGTAATACCAGGTCTCATTATTTCAACTAAAATCTCTGTTTCACTCGCTGACTATAGGAGCCTGGATTAAAATCAACTTGAAGCCCTGTATCAATCTAGGCCCAAATAGTCAATTGTTTCAAAGTAGGATGACAAAGGCCACATCCCCTGAGTAATGCTCTGAGCTGCGCTCCCCACCAGCCTGTTCCTGGGGTCTCAGGAGCATCTGCCCTAGAGTCTGGCTTTCTGGAGAGCAGGTGAGGGGGAAAAGCCAGGTCAGTGAGCCTCTCTCCTTAGCGAGGGCAGCTGCTGCACAAGGCATGTTCTTGCCATGCACCAGGGCATCATCCTGACCCAGATGCCAGCCACCCTGTCTCACATGCATTTAGAGAGAATCTCCATCCTCTGCCAAGACACTGCCCATGTAGATGAAAAAGTGTTTTGCATCCAAACATATCTTAAGCACTGATTTGAACCTCAATACTTCACACAGATGCCTTTGCCCAGGGCGTGTCGGCCTGGCTCAACAGCAGGGGAAGTGGAGCCAATTACATCAGTGTCAGTGGACTGAGAAATACTCCAGGGAGTAGTTCTCATGCACGACTACGCATGGCCAGACCAAGGTAGTGCAGCCTATGCACAAACCTCCTCCTGCTTTTCCAGAGGACTGGATTTCTGGGAAATGGCTACCAAACAGGCTGCCAGGATCCATATATCCAGATTCAGAGAGATACATCTCTGGATTCAAATGCACTTTTTCTTTGTGCATAATTTTAGCAGTCATTGTTACTATGCCTTGGGGATTCTAGACATTATACTTCAGCTGACTCTCTATGGCCCTTTCTCCCCTTCACTGCTCTATCTGAACCTGGGGAAGCAGCTCAGGCTGCAAATGAGGCAGACCTCATGGCCTGGAATTAGCATCCCCTAGGACGGTTGTCAATCAGTGATGACAAGGGAGGTGTACACATCCCCCAGCTCCCTCACCTCTCAGGTGGAATAACAGAGGCATTTTTCCTGTGTTTCTATGTGGGCTTGAGCGCTCGTCATCCTCAGAGGTGGCTCCTTCTGAGGCACTTTTCACTTTCCCTTTCCCTCCTCCCCTCCCTTGCTCACTTGCTTGTTTCCCGCACTTTGTAAATATACTGCCTGCATGCGAATCTTTGGCATCCTTCTCACTGAGGGGACCCAACCTAATGCATTGGAAAAATCCTCATTCTTGGAGGGCATCGTTGGTTTGAATTATTGCCACTTCTCATGTTTTAATGCCTAGGGAAATTCCAAAAATTTAGGAAATCTTTAAATTCCCTTTGCCAATCTTTCTTAGATTTGATTTTAGCAGAGATTCGTTTTCTCTAGGTCACAAAATCACAGAAGCCTTCCACAAATGGCTACACAATATAGAGTCCACATAGAGCAGAGGCTCAGAATCTCCCAGGATTTGACATCCACACATCAGACAGTCCTAGAGTCTCATGTTTTTTCTAGGTCGATCGCCTCATAAATCTGCCTTGTGATATTTTTATTCTACCTTAGGGGAAGGCCATTGTGTGGATGATGAGAGTTGTTTGTGGAATGAATAATACACCCACTAAAGACATCATTGTCCTAATATCTGGAATCTATGATCATTACTTATGAACAAGTCAAAAATAACTTGGCAGACATGGTTGAGAATTTTGAGGTCAGGAGAATATCCTGAATTATCTGGGTGAGACCATCATAATCACAAGGGTCCTTACAATAGGGAGGGAGGAAGGTAACAGCCAGAGAGGACCTGGGACAATGGACAGGGAAACTGGAGTGATGGAGGAAGGGGCCATGCTGCTAGGAATGTGGGAACATCAGAAAGATGGAATGCTCGACATTGGATTCTCTCTCTTGAAGCCTAGAATGAATAGAGCCCTATTACTCCTTGATTTTACTTCATTGAGACTTCTGACCTCCAGAAATGTAAGATAATACACTTGTGTGATGTGGAGCAGTAAAGTTGTGGTAATTTGTTACAGCAGCAACAGGAAACCAATGCAAGGGGAAGGGGTGTGTTTTACTTCCCTAGTGTATCACTGTCCTCTGTTCTCCCAAGTAGTTCTGTGTTTTTGTGTTTGCTGTCAATTTCAACAAGAGACAGAAAACATTTTTCTATGAGGAGAGCTAGTACCACAATTCTTCTTACGTAGAAAGTGTCTTGAGTAATTCTCTGGGTTAGGTCTTGTACAATCTTGGTATCTGAGAGCCTGGAGGTCATCTCTCACAGCACATGAGAAGAGGAAGGGGATGCGGGTTTGCTGTTTTAACATTCATAGGGCAAATTGGATGTACAAGACCCATTCTTTTTATTATTATTATTATTGTTAAGTTCTAGGTTACATGTGCACAACATGCAGGTTTGTTACATATGTATACATGTGCCATGTTGGTGCGCTGCACCCATTAACTCGTCATTTACATTAGGTATATCTCCTAATGCTATCCCTCCCCCCTCCCCACACCCCACAACAGTCCCCGGTGTGTGATATTCCCCTTCCTGTGTCCAAGTGTTCTCATTGTTCAATTCCCACCTATGAGTGAGAACATGCAGTGATTGGTTTTTTGTCCTTGCGATAGTTTGCTGAGAATGATGGTTTCCAGCTTCATCCATGTCCCTACAAAGGACATGAACTCATCCTTTTTCATGGCTGCAAGCGAGGACTGAGTCAGAGAGATGGGGATGGCAGAGGAGACAAAATGTGGTCAGGGCCGTGTAAGATGTGACCCTGCTGCCATATCTGAAAGAAAGGCTGTTGGTGTTTGTAAAGGCTTTGGGCAAATTGTGCTTTGTAGACAAAACTGTAGAAGGGTCTGGGTTTAAGCTTAGTGTCAGCGTGATGAGGACTAGAGGTCGTAGTGAGCTTGTGTTAAGAAATCCACCCTGCACTTCTGGCTTTGTCTCTTTTCTGGTTTTATAGGTGGTGGGTCCCTCTATGGAATGAACGTGGCTCTGTGGAAGGAACATAAGTTAAGGTCAGACAGACCTAGATTCCAATTTCAGCTTCGACAACTGCTGACCAAGTGACTTTTATGCAAATCAGCCATGTGCTGTCATGAACAGTTTCCTCATGTGTGAAATGGGGCACTGAGGATGTGAAGGGGTGTCCTGAGGGTTCCGCCAGCTGATGCACCATGAAGTGTACATCCATGTATAGACAGACACACACACATACATGAGAAGAGTATCTAGTGCCTCTTTTATGCATTCTTGAGTAACTCAGAATGTTATGTGAGATATTAACAGTCATATGTCATTTTCAACTAAAATTATCAGTATTTATCTTATAACTAACAGATGCTTCTCTGTACACTGTAGGTTTCATGTACATTTCTTCAATCACAAAATTTTTCACCAATCTATTTACGTCTAGTATCAGAAAGTTAAGCAAGGAGATTGCAAACCAACACAACACCTTTAGTCTGGATTTTCCTGGAGCCCATTTGTGTTAGTGTCCTCGGGCTACTGTAACAAGTTCTCAAAAATGTGGTAGCTTCAAACAACAGGAATGGAATCTCTCATAGTTCAGAAGTCCAGATCAGTTTCACTGGGCTAAGATCTTGGAGTCATCAGTTCTGGCTCCTTCTGAAGCTCTAGGGAGCAGTCTGATTTAGCTCTTCCAGCTTCTGGTGGCTTCTCTCTCCCGGGATGTGGACACATCACTGCAATCTCTGTCTCTGTGTTCACACTGCCTTCTCCACTTCAGTCTATGCTAAATGTCTCTCTACCTCTTGTTTTTTTTAGGACACTTGAGTTTGCATTTAAGTCCCAGTTGATTAATCTAAGACCATCTCCCTGTTTCAAGCTCCTTAATTTACACCTGCAAAAGCTGTTTTCCCAAATGAGATACATGCATAGTCTTCATGGAATGAAACCTCACTATTTGGGGATGATACTCAGTACTACACCATTACATAACCAGGTCTCAGTGTTAGTCCTGTACATACATCACAATCTCTCTCTCTCTCTCTCTCTCTCTCTCTCTCTCTCTCTCTCTATGTCCACACACCCTGGCTTCCTCCTTTTCTCAATGTCATAAATCTCTTCAATTCCTTAAGTGTATCCAGTGATACCTATAAACAAATAAGTATCTGAGAAAAGTCTCAATCAGTTTAGAAATTTACTTGGTCAAAGTTAAAGAAATATCAGTGAAACAGCCTCAGGAGGTCTTGAGAACGTGTGTCAAAGGTCGTCGGGCTACAGGTTGGTTTTACACGTTTTAGGGAGACATAAGATATCAATCAATACGTGTAAGCTGTACATTGCTTTGACATGAAAAGGCAGGACAGCCCGAAGGAGGGGGGATGTTGGGGACTTCCAGGTTATAGGTGGATTCAAAGATTTCATAGGTGGTTGAAAGAGTTTATCTAATGACCTGTAATCAACACAAGGGAGTTTCTGGGTTTAGAAAAAGGGTTTTGGAGCCAAGGTTGCATCATGCAGATGGAGCCTCCAGGTAGCAGGCTTCAGAGAGAATAGATTGTAATTGTTTCTTAGTAGACTTAAAAGGTGCCAAACTCTTAGTTAAATCTCTCTGGGTCAGGAAAGAGACTTAAAAAGGAGTCTCTACAGAATGTAGATTTTTCCCACAAGAACCAGCTTTGCAGAGGCATTTTTCAATACATTAAATAACAATATCTTGGGGAAAATACTTTGATTTCTCTTAGGACGTGGTATCTGTCACATTGGTATCTTATTGCTATAAAGAGTTTTCTTTGTCAGTCTCAAGGTCTCTGTCTTCATATTAAAAGCTGGTCAGTTGTGCCTGAATTTTAAAGGGAAGAGGGTAAGTTAAGGCATATCCAATCATCCGTTCCGATCATGGGCTGCATTGTATTTCAGGTTGATTTTGGTGTGTGCTTGGCTGAGAGGAGGAGTTCATTCAGTTGGTTAGGGAGCTTAGAGTTTCATTTTTGGTTTACACACCTATGTCCAGGTAAGAGGGCCCCACACAGGAGGGCTTGCTCAGAACCTGGCTTGCAGGGCTGCTTACAGACCTTCTATGTCTCCTGTTGTCATGCACAAGGAAGGACACAGCCAATGACAACCCTCAGCCATCCGGGGAGAAGCTGTGTCTGCAGAGGACGGTCATGAGCTGTGAGTCTAGAGACCTGTGATTGTCTTCAGGGGCCTGTGGTCCTCGGCTTTCGTAGGAGTTGTGGGGGCACTGGCTCAAATAGCATCCACCAGGATTCTAATCAGAATATCTCATTCACAGAAGGCAGTGGGTGATATGACAGCACAGAGGGACTCTGTGGGTCCAGCTGCATGGAGCACTCTGGGAGAGTCACTGGCACCCGTGCTAGACAGAGCTTCATTCAAGTTCTGGAGCACACGGATTTAGATCTCTTTACATCATTTTGAAAGACCATTTATCATTCTGAAGGAAACCCCTGTAATTAACTAAGGTAACATCTTTAATAGGTAGAAAGAAAAAACTGATTATTTTATTGCCAAGATGATTACAAGAAAAGAAAGAAACAAAAATAGCACGAAGGAAAGAGCAACACTAGACTGAGGGCTTTGGGTAAGAGGTTGAGACTTAGTAGTGAATGCCCTGGGCCATCTTCTGTCAAAAGGGAGGGACAATCAGCAAAGGGAAATATGCAGTAGAGGCAAAATCTTGGTTAGTAAAAGAATCCTAAGAGAAAACAAGAAGTCTCCTTCCTGAGCATCATGTTGGTGTCGGGAAGATGCACATAATCCCCCCATTGCATGTCTTACAGTTTTCAGCAATTAGGGCTCAGCACGAATTTAGAAGACACCATTCACTTCACAGCAGATGGGGACACAGTCAAGGCAGCGGTGAGAGGCAAGGCTGGGCTTTCAGTCTCAGAGCACAGAGCAGGTTCCCCACTACTCCGCACCCTTGTGTCTCCTCCCAGATGTTCCACCTCATTCTTGGCTTAAGGGCTCCAAGTTGTTAATGGGACAGTAGCCCTCTTCCTTTCCCAGGGTTTCTAAGAATTTGGCTCTCTTTTGTGTATTGCGGGGTTTGTTTGCCATCTAGAGGCAGGTTTTTGGCATAGCAACTTATAGGCTTTTTCTACTTGTGATAGCGAAAATAAATACATAAATAAATTCATCATAAGTAATAAATTGACTTAATGCATTGAATCTGTAAAAAAAAAAAAAGGTCAGTTTGAGAGCTTAAAAGGAGCCTGATGAGGTTAAAAAGACAAATTACCTTTAGTAAAGGGCAGTTGGAGCAATAGATGATTCTTTCTTTAATCAATGACATTTTAGGAGTAATTATCAAATGGTAAATAAAACTTGAAATAAGCTGATACACTATAATTTTATATGAAAAAAATATTTCCAAGAACCATACAAATACATTTTCAGATTAAAACAAACAAAAATGTGGGTTTATCATCAGATCCGCTAAATGGAAGATTTCTCAAATGTGTGCTTGGAGCAAAAATAACACTTATCCCTATTTGAAAGTTCAAGATTTTTGAGCTTTCGAAGAAAACAGCTTTCCCTTCACTCTGTTCCACTCACACTTCTGAGGATGGCCATGGGGCAAAAAGCCGCGGCGGGCATAAACCCGAGGCGGCGGGGGGGGCAAAAAGCCGCGGCGGGGAAAAAGCCGTGGTGGCAGGGGGCAAACAGCCGCGGCGCTGGTGGGGCAAAAAGCCGAGACGCGCAAAAAGCTGCGGTGGCGGAGGCAAAAAGCAGTGGGAGCAAAAAACCATATAACGTCGCGGCGGCGGGGGGCAAATAGCCGCGGCGGCGGGGGCAAAAAGGTGCAAAAAGCAGTGGTGGCGCGGGCAAAAAGCCACGGCGGCGGGGGCACAAAGACGCAAAAAGCCGCGGCGGCGGGGGGGGGGGGGGAGGGGTGGGGGAGGGGCGACAAAAAGCCGCGTCCGCAGGGGGGAAAAATCCGGGGGGGCAGGGGGGCAAAAAGTCGCGGCGGCGGGGGGCAAAAAGCTGTGGCAGCGAGGAGGCAAAAGCCGTGGGGGGCGAAAAGCCACGGCGGCGAGGGGGGCAAAAAGCCGCGGCGACAAAAAACCACGGCGGCGGCGGGGATGCAAAAAGCCGCGGCGGCGGGGCAAAAAGCCGGGTCGGGCAAAAAGCCGCGGAGGCAAAAAGTCGCGGCGGCAGGGGACAAAAAGCCGCGGCGGCAGGGGGACAAAAAGTCGCAGCGACGGGGGTGCAAAAAGCCGCGACGGGCAAATAACCGCGGCACCGGGGCGGCAAAAAGCCACGGCGGCGGGGGTGAAAAAGTCGCGGCGGCGGGGGAGCAAAAAGCCGGGTCGGGCAAAAAGCCGCGGCGGCGTAGGATAAAAAGCCTCGGCTGGCAAAAAGCCGCGGCGACAAAAAGCCGCGGCGGTGGGGGGAAAGAGCCGCGGCGGGCAAAAAGCCACGGCGGCGGGGATGCAAAAAGCAGCGGAGGCAAAAAGCCGCGGCGGGCAGAAAGCCGTGGGGGCGGGGGGCAGAAAGCCGAGGCGGGCAGAAAGCCGGGGCGGGGAAAAAGCCGCGGCGGAAAAGGGGCAAAAAGCCGCGGCGACGGGGATGCAAAAAGCCGCGACGGGCAAATAACCGCGGCACCGCGGCGGGTGGGGGGCAAAAAGCCGGGGCGGGCAAAAAGCGGCAGCGGTGGGAGGAGCAAAAAGCTGCGTCAAGCAAAAAGCCGCGGCGGCAGGGGGTAAAAAGCCGCGGCGGGCAAAAAGCCGCGGTGGCGGGGGGGGAGCAAAAAGCCGCGGTGGCGGGGGGGGGGGGGGCAAAAAGCCGCGGTGGCGGGGGGAGGGCAAAAAGCCGCGGCGGCGGGGGGAGGCAAAAAGCTGCGGTGGCGGGGGGGCAAAAAGCCGTGACCGGCAAAAAGCCGTGGTGGCGGGGAACAAAAAGCCGCGGCGGCGGGGGTGGGCAAAAAGCCGGGGCGGGCAAAACCCCGAGGCGCCGTGGGGGCAAAAAGCCGGGGGCGGGCAAAAAGCCGGGGCGGGCAAAAACCCGCGGCGGCGGTGGGGCAAAAAGCTGGAGCGGGTAAAAAGCCGCGGCAACAAAAAGCCGCGGCGGCGGGGGCGCAAAAGCCGCGGCGGACAAAAAGCTGCGGCGGCGGGGTGCAAAAAGCCGCGGTGGGCATAAACCCGAGGCGGCGGGGGGGGAGGGGGGGTGCAAAAAACCGCCGTGGGGAAAAAGCCGCGGCGGCGGGGGGCAAAAGCCCGCGGCGGGCAAAAAGCCGCGGCGGCGAGGGGGGTCACAACAAAGCCGCGGCGGGCAAAAAGCCGAGGCGGGGTGGGGGCAAAAAGCCGAGGCGGGGTGGGGGCAGAAAGCCGCGGCGGCAGTGGGGCAAAAAGCCACGGCGGCGGGGGGTAAAAAGCCGCGGCGGGCAAAAAGCCCAGGCGGTCAAAAAGCCGAGGCGGGGTGGGGGGTGGGGGGGGGAAGCCGCGGCGGGGGGCGAAAAGCCACGGCGGTGGGGGGCAAAATAGTGGAGATGGGGTAGAAGGACGGCACAGTTTGGTATTGCTGGAGTGTGATGTGATAGGAAATGTGCAGCCAAAGAGAAAAAAAGATGTAAGTAAGCTTGACTCATTGCAGCTAAGAACCCAGATGTTATCTTGAGGGTATTAACTAATAAGCAGTTTAAATCAGAATGGCATATTCTGATTTGTTTTTTGTATGTTCACATTTGGCAGGCATAGATACTGTTTGAAGAGAGAAAAGACAGTAGATAGAGGTAACAAACTTAAATATGTGCGAAGTCTAGAAACAAGAGACCGGGGGATAAGGACCTTTCAAAATAAAATGCAAGATTTGAAAACTGATTGGCTGGGGCATGAGGAAAAGGCAGGTCTTTAAGGTCAATCCCTGTTTTGCTTTGTTAGGGGTTGGTTTTATCACATATTGTAGAACATGTCATTTCAGTTTTGAACATCTTGAGTTAAATTGTCCTAACATATCTTATGAATTTGATTTTCTTCCCTGGGAAGCTAATATTTCAAAAACTGAAAGAGTATATAGATTTCCAACTTGTATCCAATTTATAAAACTATCTCTGGGCTGCTGATTTCAGGAGGAGGCTCATGAATATTCTCTTTGCAGAGAATATATCAGGAGTTAACAACAGCTTCAATATTTGTGGACGACCAGTTAACTAAGCCACCTCTTAGTGTATTTAGATGGGAAATCTTAGCTGAAGATATTCAATAATGAACCAACAGTGACTAAAAAATTCAACATTTAAGTATATTTCATTGTAATTAATTTGAATTGAAGTAGCAGCTAGTATTTACTACATTGAACAATGCAAATAAGAGGAAAAAATTAATAACCATCTCTAATACCACATGCCAAAATCCTCATCAATTTATTCTAGCTAAAGGAGTTGATCAGAAGCAGCAGTTGAAAGCACCAACTAAACCAGCTGGGGTTGGTTCACTGTCATTCTCTCAGAACCATCTCTTCTCTGAACAAAACAAGTACAGGAGTTCATTGTGAATCTGCATTCTCCTTGCCTATTTTAAGGTTTTGATGTTGACGCAAATTTGTGAAATCCCTCCTGTGGTGTGATATTTCGTTTTCCTTGCTTTGTGTTAGGACAAGAATGCTTCAGCTCTTAATTTAAAATTATGTTTCTCCCTCCTAGGTTGAGTGAACTTAGAATGCATTCTCTGACATATCCAAGATTTTGTTAATATGAATTTCGGGAAAAAAGCATACTTAATTAGCTAAGACGTCTTATTCTAAGCTTGACCCTATGTTCGACATCTTTTGAATTTCTGGTTGCGTGGGCTGCTCTCTGACACTGGTTAGTGACCTGGAAGCTCTATTAATGTTAGGGGAGGTGGTGTATGAGCATTAGAGGTATCCTTGCAAGGAAAGACTTGTCTTATCTCAATACGTCTTTTTTTTTGCACACAAGAAAGTCAATGTCTGAGTCTTCTAAAATCTTCCTATTTCCAAATTGCAGATTATGATTGATTCCTAAACAAAGACCTAATTTTTGACTCAGAGACGTGGCAAGCTAGTGAATCACCGTTATAATTTAACAATCTTCAAGATAAAATTATCTCTGATATTTAGATTTTGCCCAATTATTAAGATATTTGGGTGTTCCGTTAAGAATGGAAAACTCTAGTCTCTTGAGCAGAGACTATAAAGGCCTCAGATGATCATTTTTAATTTTATGCTCTTTTCTTTAACACCTTCAACACAGTTGGAAGCAGCCGATATTCCGCAGAGTTGTTGTGTTTTTTAAACCAAATGCATGGTTCAGTGGTAGAAAACTGGGCTGATCCAAGCTGTTTTCAGTAAACACTTCATTTCAGGTGACCCATTTCATATTAAATAATCTCTAGATCCTGTCTTCGAAACTAACTAGATCAGATAAACTACCCTGGATTTTCTCTTTTTAGGGTCTGAGAGCTGCAGTCACTTTTGTGAAAATGATTACAATGACAAGATAGAGTTGTAGATGGGGAAAATGTTTTGACTAATTTAAGCACAGTGGTATTTCATATGAGAATTTAAGTTACACACATTTGAAAATTATAATGGAGTCTCTTGGCTGAGCTTTAAAAAGAAATAGCGTTTAGGCTAAAAAGGGAACTGCTACCTCTCCTAAAATCAGAAAGATGTTACAGTAATTCTCCATTCTCTAGAATTATCAAGAAGCACCTTTGTGATGATTTACTTTTGCTCTTGCGAGTGTGAGCCCGTGTAGTCGTGGAACCATCAATTAGAATGGTGGCTTTCTGATCCCAAAGTCACTCGTTCTGAAAACAATATTTTCCATAAATTTGAAAGTGAGAAGTTTTGATCTTGCCATTCCCAAGTAACTCTCTTAATAAGAGGCATCAGCATGCTTCAGTGACAGCTGTCACCTTCCATTGCTGAGAGTCATCTTTGAGTTCTCTATTTCACTCCCTACACTCCAATTTAGCTGCAGTTCTCTTGGCCAGTCCTATGAAATACATCCATGGCCTAACGACTTCTCACCACTACTACCACTCATGCTGACAGCATTCTCACCTAAGTCACTACCTTTTTTCGCTGGATTAGAGTAGCCTCCCAATTTATTTGCTCACATAACCTATTTATTCTACACAGTGCACCAGATACACCCCTTTGAAATGCAAACACAATCATATTATTCTCTGGTGAAATTATCTCATATATTCCTATCGCATTTAAAATTAATTCAGAATCATCCCATGATTATCAAAACCCTACATGCTCTTCCACAACATGGTTTACTTCCAAGATATCTCTTCAACATTTTTTTCACTGTACTGAATTGGTGACTAATAGTCATATTTTTGTTTTTGCTCAAAAAGTCTTGACTTGTAAATTTTTCAGTTTCTCCTTTATCCACAGGTAACTCTTTCCTGATAAGGCGAATTGCTTGCTTCCTTGAATTCTGCTCTCAAAGATACCCTTCATTTTCTACCTAATATTAATAACTTTAATCATTCATTATTCCATTACTATGCTCTATAGTGTATACAATTTCTGTTCTTTGTCATGTTATTAACTAAATTATTTATTGGGTCCAGTAACGTATTCCATAAATATTGTACACATAAAAATTGTGTTATTTTTATTCCTGTATGCTCAGCTGCCCAATAACAGTCTGAGGATTAACATATTTGTTAAATGCACAAATACATTCTTTCACAAATATTAGTTTAATAATTTTATATTAAACTCCCTCTATACTTACAATATGAATTAGATAATTCAGAATAAACATTCCATTGGAAAAAGCTACACAATTTGTTATAAAACATCCTTAAAAGCATCAGAAAATTAATACAGCAATGAAGAATTACAGGACCAAATTAAGAATGGTATGAAAGCCTGTTTGTGACGCTTATGTTTGGGTTATCTCTTTATTTGAGTGACTATAAATCTCAAAAGAGAACTAAAGGGAGAAATAACCGTATCTACTAACATGCTAAGGGTACTTAAACATCTCTTAGTAATTGAGAAAATTGAAAGAAAAGAAAAAAGAGAAAGGGAGAAAGAGAGACAGCGAAAGGGATAATGAAGGAGAGAAAGAAGAAGAGAAAGGAAGAGGAAGAAAAGTAAAAAGGAGGAGGAGGGGGAAGGAAGAAGGAAGAAAGGTGAAAAGAAAGAATGGTAAACTTTTTAACAACATAATTTATCCTTCTAGAATATGAATGTTGGTCTATTTGATGATGTCCCACAGATTCATTAGTCTCTGCTCATTGTTTATTTTTTATTCTTTCTGTTTCTCAGAGTATTTTCCATTTTCTTCTCTTCAAGTTCATGGCTTCCTCTGTGTGTGCAAATATACTCTTAAATCCCTCTGGTGATTTTTAAATTTTTATCATTGTAGTTTTCCACTCCAGAATTTGTTATCTCTTTGCTGATATTCCTACTTTTTAATATTTTTTCTGATTCCTTTATTTCTTTGTTTATGTTTTCCTTTTGACATTTGAGTATAATGAAGACAGTTGTTTTAAAGTCTTTGTCTGGTAAGTTTGATGTCTGGGTTTCTTTAGGGATATTTTCTGTCACTTTATTTTGTTCCTTTGAATGAGCCACACTTTCCCATTCTTTGTATGCCTTGTAACGTTTTTTGAAAACTGGACATTCTAATAATTATAATTACTATGTGGTTACTCTGTAAATCAGACCTCCCCCTACAAACACAGTGATGTTTTGTGGTTTTAAATTTTCTTTACTTATTATATTGTTAAGGATTTTTTTTTTTAGTGAAATTTTCCAAAGTGATTTACAAAACTGTTTGGTTTATAAGGTGTGGTCACCGAAGTCTTTTTGTTTCCTTAACAAATGTTAAGCTAATGTTTTGACAGTGATTTTCTGGTATGTCAGGAGCCAATCAAACAGGCAAATACAAGAAAAACAAAAAGAAAAGCAAGTAATCATTGTCCAGCAAAATATGTCTGTAGGCCATGCAGACTGGCTTTGTGCTGGGTTCTTTAAAGCCGGCACAAAGTGTGTGTTCACTCTTGCACTGAGTGAAGTTCAAGTTCACTCTTGCACAGAGCTTGCACTGAGGGGAGGGATCGGCCAAGGTAAAAGTGTAGGGTCTTCTTATGACATTTGTCAGCATGTGGCTTAACCTATGAATACGTGTGACTTTGTAGACTCTCCCATGTACGTGAATGAGGCATGCGCCACCACGCCCAGCTAATTTTTTCGTGTTTTTAGTAGAGACGAGGTTTCTCCATGTTGATCAGGCTGGTCTCAAACTCCCGACCTCAGGTGATCCGCCCGCCTCGGCCTCCCAAAGTGCTGGGATTACAGGCGTGAGCCACCACGCCCAGCAGATTTATTTATTTTTTAATCTTTCTTTTTTTTAGGCAGAGTCTTACTCTGTCACCCAGGCTGGAGTGCAGTGACACGATCTTGGCTCACTACAACCTATGCCTCCCCGGTTCAAGTAATCCTCCCACCTTAGCCTCCTGAGTAGCTGGGATTACAGGCGCCTGCCACCACACTCAGCTAATTTTTGTGTTTTTAGTAGAGACAGGGTTTCACCATGTTGTCCAGGATGGTCTTGAACTCCTGGCCTCAAGAGACCCACCCGCCTCAGGCTCCCACAGCGCTGGGATTACAGGCATGAGCCGCCATATCTGGCCTATTTATTTTTTAATTTTTCAAATGAGAAGGTTGGGTTAGGTAATTTTTAAAAATCGCTTCAAGTTTCTTAACTCCACAATTATTTTCCTGAGACTCTTGCAAGCAACTGATCTTTATAGGTCATGCCTCAAATTCCCAATTGATGTCATCTGGGCAAATCAGTCCAATGACAGCCACAAGTGGTCAGAAAGCTTTCTTAGCAGCCCTCTTGGTCACTAGGCACACTACCTAGGAGTCAACCTGTGACAAGAGGCTGCTTCTTAAACTTACAAAAGATAGGATCTTCCAGGATGTGCTGCTCTGATGTTTTTGAAGGGCATAGAGAAACACACGGGCAATGTTTGCAGAGGCAACAGACTAAATAAAGCACATCTATAGTTGTATTGGCTTTGTGTGGGTTGTATGGTAAACAGGTAGTCACCCTGCTTAATGTGGGTATCCCATTTTCCATAAATGTCTATTTCACCACCCCAAAAAGCCCTCTTATCATGAAATTAATCATCTGATGCACTTCAAGTACCAGTCACAAAAATGATGAACTCAGGCAGAATTCCACTGCTAGACAAGCCCAGACAAAAACTGTTACTGTTAGCCAAGGAAATTTGCACACAATTTTGATAAGTGGCACTAAAGCCACATAAGACAGGAAATGGGTTAGAGGACATCAATGTATTGAGACAGAAAGTGAAAGGGTGGGCAGGATTTGCGAGGTTACCAGTTTGAATATGGCCATTCCTGCTTTTACTAAAGGTCAATTTAGAATACAAATGTTACAGAATTCATTTAGAGCCAAAAAGTAATTCTGACAAAGACTGTCTTAAAATGCAAGATTTTTAGGTCCAAAATTTCTTACGTAACCTAAAAAATGGAAATCTTCACAATGTAATGAGATTGGGTCATTTAAATAGTGTTATATCTAACCAGTCCAGACAGACCAGCTAAACAATCCTATTATTAAAAGCCTCTAGAGAGTGTTCAACAAACTCCTTAGATAATGAAGCTTGGGGCAGCAACACATCCCTCATTATAGTCAGAAAGTTCTCTTAACATGTGAGCCAGGTTATTGCGTGCATTTATGTTTTCCCACATGCTGCTCTTTCCTCAAGGAATGCGATTCTCCTCCCCGACTCCCTGCCTGGTTCGCTCATTCTTCAAGATCAAACACAAAAGTCACTGTGTGTGTGATGCTTCTCCAATTCCACTCATCCTGGCTGCCATTCATGCACTAGTGCATGTATGCATTTTTACATTTTTTAAATTACAAAAATCAACCTATTATAACTGCTTAGATATATATGAAGTAAAAATGAAAGTTCTCCCTTTACATGACCCATCCCCCATCATTTCCCTCTTTATCTTATACTGTCAGCATTCCCAGCTTGTAGCACAGTGTCTGGCAATAGTAAATCCTCAAAAAATGATCAATGAATAATTTAATAATGATTAATAAATAAATTAATGATGATGGTGAAGATAAATTTTTAGCATTTATTGAACGCTAACTACAAACCAGGGAGTGTGTTAAATATTTTATAAAAATCAATGAATGAGCTAAAATGCCATTCTATTATTTTTTTGTATAGGTTTTAATATTTTACTCATAAATATGCTTAAAGAATATTATAATTATATGACTTAGATTGTAAAACAATATGTACAGCAGTATCCTATTTTTTAGAATAAAATTATAAATATGTGCTCACATATGTGTTTGTGCATGCATAGAAAACAGATTAGAAAGGAATATATTCTAACACCATTATCTCTAGCTGGTAGAATTATGGAAAATTTTTATTTCCTTCTTTTTGCTTCTAAATTTTATATAATGAGCATATTTGGCTTTGTATAATCATTTTTAAAAAGTTGTTTTAGAAGAATAGTACTGATATATCATTCCCTTTTAGCAGTTTTCTCTAGGATAAAAAATAAGAGGAAGTCTGAGCTTAACTAATTAAAAAAACAGATTTCTTTAAAAAATATTAGCAAATCATTAGTGTTCTTACTGGAGAAAGGGCAGTGTTCAAAGAAGAATTAAACAAATCATTCCAGTTGCAGGAAAAATTCAATTTACTGCATGCAGACTGTTTCTTGACTGAAAAGTTAATTCCTTTCATTCAGAATCAGTATGCATATTCACTGGCTATATTTCATCTCACATCTGCAAACTTAATTTTTCCTTTCTTGGTCATCAGAAGATTAGGAAATAAATTTTAGTCCAGGCAATAGATCCTACTTGGCAAGCTCAAAATAACTCAATTATTAAAAAGCAGCACACAAAGACCAGTAGTGACTTCCAAAGGATTGTTAACAATACTTAAAAAAAAAAAAAAAAAAAAAAAAAAAAGAAAAAGAAAAAAGGGTCCAACTGTCTAAAAGAAGACTAGAGATACATGAATAAGAAAATACGATGTTTTGGAATTATGTGCAAAATAGTAATGCTGCATATTACCCATCCTTTAAGTTTTAGCAATAATTAGAAAAAATAGTTTCCCAACAATAAAAGTTATAAAATAATGTCATCATATCACCTAGAAGAGATTATAGATTTTTATAAACAAAATATGTGTTATTATGAATATTTGTATGTACTCTCCAAGAACTAAAAGATGAAGTTCCCCTTTCAGGATCCCCTGTGCCTGAGAAGGAAACTTTCCAGTGAAAGCCTACTAGCTAGTTAAAAATTTCTTAAAAAAGAAAATCTTCTTAGTTGTATACTTGGGAGCATCCTTTCTCTTGGGCGGATCCCTGTTAGACATATACAACTTTTAATGTTTGCACCTTTAACTGTAGGGATGGTCTCTGAGTATGCCCACATTCGTATCTAAGATATTCAACGCCTGTCCTTCAGACACTTAACAAGGACTCTGAGTTCCAAATCTCCCTTGAGTGCTGCAGTGCATGCTGACGCTCTTTAAAAGCCATAGCACTCCCTTACTGTGAAATAAAACTGCTCTGTCTCTTGCTGGTTGGCTCTCCTCTTAGCAATGCTGGGCTTGCTCATGAAGGTTTCAGAGACCGTGGACTTGACGGACTCCATGGAGTTGCTGTACTGGAAGCAGTCAGACACATCGAAGTCCTCGACAGTCACAATGTCCTGGATGGTTTGCAGGGTGGCCTCCATTGTCTTCTTTACCTGCCACGACAAGGGCCAACAGGATGCATGAAGGGTGGGTTGTTAAACAGCAGGTGATGGAGAAGCTTGAAGAGAGTGGGCTGGGGAAGGCCACAGGATGCCATCAGAGTGTGCAGCTCTGCTTCCCACTGGACAGTGCTAAGTGAGAGGTAAACATCACATGGACTCTGCTACAGCATGCTACTCTCTACAATGAAAACCTAAAAGCCACTACAACCCTTCATGCTATGTACTTGACCCAGATCTTTTAATGTTTACTTTTAAAATTTAATATTAGCATTATTATAATATTATATAACAATATTATAATAGAAGTTTTAAGGGAAAGAGAATAAAATAAATCTAAACCAACCCCCTCATACAAACAGCTAATTAAAATGTGTGATGGGCCTAGTACTGCAAAGCCCCAGGTTCTGTTTCATGACCTTCAACAAACTGATGAACTTGTTTGCTCATTTGCAAACTAAGTGACCTATCCCTACTTCTTCCTGATCTTCCTGCAGAAAGTAAGACTTACTGAGACACAAGGTAAGAAGCCATCTGAGCTCAACAGAAAGCTGGATCACCCGCCCTTTTGAACCGCTTTTTGAAAGCAAATACACTGAGCCCAGAAGAAACTCACCCTTTCCTAAGAGGATGGAGATGTTTGAAGTGTCAAAGTCAAAGGCCTCTGTTTGTTTGAACATGCTGGAAAAAGCTAGGCATGAGGAGGTGGTTTCAGAGACACAATATTGTTCACACAGCTGCCAAGTGCCATTTTGATTAAATGTGTAGAGGGGAAAAAAAGCATTTCGCAAAAGCTCAAAATAGAGCACAACCTTTGGCAATGCAAGAGCAACTTCCTGGAGTTCAAGGGCAGGATGTAGCAGAGGGGGAAAGTCCAAGCCTACATTTGGCTAGGAAATGTTTGCGGCCGCCCGGACATTCTCTGCATGCTCCTTCCACCTGCTCCCAGACGGGCAGCAGCAAAAGTTTCAACAGGGAAACTAAGAGTGTGGCTTTGAGCCTCCTAAGGAAGAAACTCACCTCTTCGTTTTCAATCTTTAGAGTGGATAAGCGAGACTGCAGTTGTTGGCATCTCTGTAGCAGCTCACTCTGGACAGGCTGCTGGGCACAGAGCTGGGAAGCCTAACAAAAGAAAGCAACACCAGGTCAGAAAGAGGATACAGTCCCTTTGGCAGTTCCAGAGTTCCCATTACTGGCAATGAAACTACCCATATTCAAGGTATAAGGCTCGTGGTTTCTATGTTGAAGCAAAACCCAAAGCCAACTTGTGTGAGCCTCTTCCAGGACCAAACAGTACATGAAAGGAATGGGTAGGGGGATCTGTTTGGAGCCCGGCAGGGGTAGGTCTAGGTAGGGTCTGCAGCTCCATGGAAGGCTGAGGAGGCTGGAGAAGAGTGCCTCAGGCAGCTCCGGCTCCAGAAACACAATGCTTTGGCACAGTGAAGATTTCCTGCCAAAGGTCCAAGTGGCCACCTCTCTGGCCCCTCCCTCATCCCCCTTCATACACCAGAGTGAAAGCAGGAGAGAAGTGGGTCAGGAGGCTAACTTGCCACTGCTGGCAGCCAGCATGTGTTTACAAATCCAGGCCATGCACGAGAGCTTTGATTCAATGAGAAAGCGTGAAGCCAGGAACAAGTTCGTTGCCTATGCTAGAGGGCCCGAGAGGGTATGGAATCTGAAGGAGCTTGGCATTTTCCAAAGAGCCATCATTTTACCAGGCCTTCCCTAGATCTGTAAGAGAGGAGTCTGACCTTCCCGCAAGGATTATTGCCAATTAGCTTTCCCCTGTGTGAAGGAATGGCTGTTCCACTGTCTCCCATTGGAGATGTGGTTATGGGATGAGGTCATCCACAGTCCCCTGGATGACAGATGAGGAGCAGAAGGCTGAGAGAGTTGGGAGGCAGGACCCATGTGGAGACAGCTCCTGTCACCTTGTTACCGTTCGTCCTTTAGCCTCTTGCCTGCAGAGAGACATCTGGATAGAAATGGCCTCCTTCCTCCTCAGCAAAGAGTGGGCACATTCACATGCCCACGGACCATTCCCTTGCTTGAAAAGAAAAAACCTTTCTTCAAATGGAGGGGGCTGGGACTTGACCTTTTCCTCCATTGGCTTTTAAGCTCCCAACTGACTTGACCTCTTCCCCCAGCTGAGAGGCTGGCCTGAGCCAACTCTCAGATCCACAGAGAGCTGACTTCACTCTAACTCTTGGATAAGCAGACACAATGGAGAAAGCTCAGTGGCCAGAACCGGTTAGCGCCAAGAGTGAAATTCTCTGGCTGCCTGATGTCACCAGTCAGGCATCCAGAGTCCCACAGCCTCTGAGGGCACCAAAAATGGAGCCAAGCACCTCCTCCTAGTACATCTGAGAGCACTTGGCATCAATTCATGTGCTGTGCACCCCAGAACACCAGTTAGTGTGGGACCTTGGCCAATTTTAAGGCTTCCGGTCAAAATGCTACCCAATCTTTGGCCCTAGTTCAACGACTTCCAGGCAGCTCCCTCCTGTTGCCTCCACAATCTGCAGACAACCCACACTGATGGGGATAGACTGGCTGCAGAGGCCAAGAATGACCCACCCTCTCATCTCTTTTTATTTTCACTCATATGAAGGCTAGGCTAGAATGCGGAACCTTCACAAGCTCCAGGACTGGTCCTGGCCCCTGCCTGGCTCAGCCACTGATCAGCTATATTACATAAAGGGAGGGCCCTGGCAGAAGAGTGAGCTATTGATTTTTAAAGTAACCCAGACCTAGCAGAGAGGAATCATGGAGGGAAAAACCACCTCCAAGCCTGTTCCTTTAAGAAGTAGCAGAGCTGATGATGATGCATGCTTTGGCAGTGGTCCGCTACCAGGGTGCAAGGTAATACACTTCAGCTGCACTCCGGAGTATGGAAATAAGGCTCTGACAGGGGGAGGAGGGGGCTTGAGCACCCAGCATCTGGATTCCTCCTTTATGGAGACAAGCTGTTTGGCTCAGAAGGCAACTCAGTCACTAACACCAGAAAATGTATCACTCCACTCAGCTGGTCCCCAAGTTCCACTGATCCCTGGGAAGGAACCTCAGTGACAGCTGGAGAAGGTGCTTGGAAGGCAAGTTTGACCAGAAGCCAGGGCAGGTGAGGAATGGGGCTTCCTGAGGCTTGGTGACACCCCTTCCCCCAATTCTAATTGCACATGCTGCCATCTCACTTCTCCATCTGTTCAGACACTGACATTTCCTAAGCCACAGCAATGGAAATGAACTGTAAATGGTTTGATTTTCCCCAAGAAGGAAAGGAAGGAAACCAACTCCACATTTCTATCTCCAGGACAGCGTCTCACTCTCCATAGAGGCCAACTGATGACAGCAAATCCTCTGGTTCCACTGCCACAGCTGTCATTCTGGAGTGGGGATTTCTAGAGTCTGGATGCTAATCTTAAGGGAAGCATCATTCCTGAGGAGCACACATGTTGCTGTTTTTTGGTCCCCGGCGTCCACTCCTCCTTTTTTTGGTAGCTTTGGTCTAACTGCCCTCGGTGAGGGGAACCTCCCACTCCACAACTCAGGCCACGTGCTTTGCATGGACCCAGGCATAAGCACTTTACCCAATCAAAACCAATGAGACACACAAACTTTATGGGGGCTTTGAGGAGGGAGGCAGAGACTCTTTCCACTAGATTTCAACCTACCAGGGAAGGCTGGAAATGCAGTCACCTTGCCTCCATGGGAGAATGGCCTGTCTGAGAATGGAGTTAACACACAGGAAGTAGTACAGAGACAGCAAAACAGTGTCTTGGTAAAATTCCTCCTCCTAAAGCCAACTATACCCAAAGGTCCATCTTGATCTTTTCTATCGCATAAGCCCTATACAACCTCCTTCTAATTTCACCAGTAGGAGAAATGGTGGCTCTTATCCACAGGAATGAGGTTCACTCTGACTTGTACACACAACCACACAAGTGGAACCAAAAGATTCAGAACAATGAAAACCCAGGAGCTTCTCCTGCCTCTCACTTTAGCTTTTTTAGGCCCTTTTTATTCTAGTCACTGGAGGCTAAGAGTCCAAAACAAGGCCCCCATGTTCATGCTCCCCTGTCTGGACAACCAGCATCAGGCCTTTGGGATAGCATCTTAGCTCCTTTCCTTCCTGCAGGTACCCATTCTTTTTTATTCAATACCCAAACAAAACTATACACTTCATCACAGTCTTCTAACTTCAGGAGAATAAGATTATTCAGAACTCTGCCAAATGCCAAAAGATCACAGCATTCCCTGCCTAGCCCTCGCTTCCCCACTAAAGCCTCTAGGATGTGGCCCCACCTCAGCTCTCATTTCTTCTAGCCTCACCACTGGGAGCGCCCCCCTCCCTCACTTTCCTTTCACCATCCTGAACTGTTGGTAGTTTTTAGAATATACCTGCTGTTTTTCACCTTCTTTGATCCTGCTGGGCCCCTTTGGATACCCCTCTCTATGCATAGTTCGAACCCTCCTCAAGCCTTAGCGACCTTATTCCCCAGACTGTAAGCTCCCCGAGGGCTTTAATCCCCCATGTCTGCACCCAAGCCCGAGTGTCTGACAGCAGGCACTCACTAACTGTTTGCTCAATAAGGGGAATGTGCCTCACCCACCTGACAAAAAGCCGGGCCCAGGCCTCTCCCACCCCAGAATAATGTGCCTTCTGTGTAATTAATCTAGACAAGTCCACTCAAGCCCCTTGAGGGTGGGGGTATAGGGAAAGGGCCTCACCATATCCCCCATGTGGGGCTGAAACTCAAACTTCATAGGGGGGCAGAAGACGTTGTTGTACATCTCCATGAGGCGCTGCTTGTCACTGGTGGCATCCAGGTTTTCTACTGCATTCTCGATGGCATCCAGACCCTCATGCTTCGACTGTTCCAGGTTTAACTCAGCAGAGAGGAAGGTGCGTAGAGCCCGGTTCAGACTTGCATGGTAGCCTAAGTCACAACACTGCTGTGGGAAGGAGAAGGCACATGAGCACACCATGGACAGCCCCAAGGCTTGGCAGAAAAGGAAGGTGGTCCAGAGGGCAGATCTGACCACATCAATAGGCTTGGCTGTGCAGTAGAAAGACGGCTGACATTCCGACTTCCAAGGTCTGGGTGAGAGTTCTCAGTTCTTGACTCCCAATTCAACGGTTAAACACACCCTACAGGGCTGTGAGGTGGTTAGGAGGAAGAAGACTCATAAGGATAAAATGACATTATTTAATTAAGCGCTATTTCATAAACATGAGAAGAATTGAGAGTTAAAGAGAATCCTCTTTCGTTTTCAGGTTTATCTGGTGTTGTCATTATAACAAAATTCAACAATAAAAATACAACCTGCCACTCACTGAGGGTTACTGTGGTTAAATCACTATATAGCAACCAAGCCAGGCCATTTCAGGGTTCTGAAAGCAGGAGTATTGCAACAGCAGCTAATGTATGCAAGCTCAACTCTAGATGGGAGAAGGAGAGAATGGGGAGCTGACTCTGTGGGTCATCATCCCCACCAATGCCCAACATCCTAGGACAGGCCTTAGCTGCAGACTAGGGTTTCTGACATGCCTCCTCCTTCCTGGCATCTGACAACAGATGCCCCTGCACTACAGAAATAGCATTTATAAGACTAAAAAGCTCTACGCAAAAGTGTTACTGGAAAAATTCATGCCATGTAAAGGATTCTGATTTTTTACAACAAAATGCAAAAAGAGGCAACTGTATAAAAAAAGCACTGGCGCAGAATCAAGCAACCTTGGAAAAGCCACTCCCCTTCTCTGGACCTGTTTCTTCCATAGTAAAATGAACAGATTTGGCCAGGCTAGTGGCTTTCAAGCAGTAGACCAGAGCTGGCACTGAAGCTGCCCTTGAGAAGTGAGTAAAAGGACAACCCAACTACTAGGACTTGGAGTCTTCTATTCCTCCTTCAACCAAGCCAACCCTGCTCTTTTTTCTATTTAATATTTAGGGATTCTATGTAAGGTTTGGTTTGAAGAAAGAATTCTTCTGTTAGAGAAAAGTCTGAAAATCCTTGGACTAAATGTAATCCCTAAGGCCCTCTTCAGCAATGGCATTCTGTAACTCTGTGATAATATTCCCCATCCCTCCCAAAAGACCCAGAGATCCCAATTCCTTGGCCATCCATCATTCTCTCTATTGCTTAAGCAGCTCTGAGGTCCGGGTCCTGAGAAGAAACCTCAAAGAAGAATCTATGCATAGAGTAAGGCCATCTGCCTGATTGCCATTTCATTGCACAAGCAAGCATCAAATTAACTCTCCCCACAGCCTTTTCCTCTCATCATGATCACACTGGAAGCAGCTACTATTGGGGAAGAAAAGGAATATGATGTGCCTCCTCTTTCCTGGCATCTGACAAGAAGCTCAGTGAGAACATCAGTTGGGTTGGGCTCTGGGTTCAGTGCCAACAGGCCCTGGCAGCTGCCTGGCTGCAGTGGAATAACAGCAGTTACAACTTAACTAGAGGCAGAGGATGGAAAGACATTAAATTCAGTTGGGAGGGAAGAGCAAATGGAAGCTAGACAAAAGCGGCTCATTAGGACGCTGCACGGGCATGGGCTCTCTGGGAGATGCTGCTGGTCTCACCAGGCTGCCCTTGAACCTGTAAACCTTCCTGACTAGCTCTATGTAGACCCTGTTGATGAGCTCTATGCCTATAAGTCTAATGAACAGAAGTAACACGGCCCACAGAGTGTATGAGTGTGGGTGGAGGGGGTGTGGGCAGGGGGTAGAATCTGGGAGAGAAAAGTTACCCTTCAAAAAACTTTTACCTGTTTTTAGTAATTTCCCTTTCCTCTCCATTCTTACTACCTCTACCCCTATTCATACCCTCACCGTCAGCTTCACTGTCCTAAACTGTGACTTTAATTATGGCACTTTCCTGTTGAAGAACCTAAAATACCTCTCATTTTTTTTCCCCAAGGTAAAATCCACCTTCCTCAGTTTTGAAATTTAAAAAATGCTTCTATTTCACTAAGTATGCTTACTATACGTCAGTCCATGTGCTAAGTGCTTTATATACATTCTACATTTTAATCCTCATAATAACCCCAATGAGGTTGGTATAATCTTAATTTTCCAGGCTTGAAAGCTGAGGTTCAGTGAAGTTAAATAATTTGAGCAAGGTTCAATAGCCAGAACAAACTGTAATCTGTCTTCAATCTACCCATCCAACATCAACTCCCTTTATTTTCTTCTTCAGATTCATCTGCTCTAATCCAATGAGATACTCTCTGTTTAGGGTAGAGTATTAGTCTTCAAATCAGCTATTATGGCCATAAGCAAGCTACTTAATCCCTCTGGGCCTCAAATGAGGATAACACCAGCCACACAGGTTGTTGTAGGCTAACAGGCAATATATTTACAGATATTTGGTACCATGTAGACACTTTAAAAAAATACTAATATAGCTCCAAATCCACTGACCTCTGCCCTTCAGCTCCCAGAATGTCCTTTTCCTTAAATGTTTCCTATGCCTCTCACCTGTTGGAATTGGACCAGATCTTCAAGATCCAAATTAAATTCTTAGCCTCTGGGAAGCCAGCCAACCCTGCAATCCTAGACTCCAGTGACCCTGGCCTCTACTTAGAACCACACTAATCTGCAGCTTTCATATGACAAGGAATACGCTTCTTCATTCTATGATTTGCCATGTCATATCACCCCAACCAGACTAGCTTCTCACTCTTCTTTACATCCCTCAGCATTAGGCCTTGCTCACAGCAGGCATTTAATAAATTTCAGTTGACTGATTGATACCACAAATACAGATTCCAGCCTCTCAGGAAATAAAACATTTAGGCTGAATACTGACCTAAGTCAAGTGGGTAGATGGGGCCAGTGAAGCCATTTGTTTTGCTTACTCTATGGCCAAAGGGAGGCTGGGAGTTTTCCCAGGCTGGCGCACTGCCTCTGTTTATATAACTATTCTGTAGCTTCTTTGTGCCAATGAGTGAGGGTCTGAGTCACAATGTGCCCCTGGCTCCTCTACACCTCTAGCCAACCAGGCAGATTCGGAAGAGGTTCTCCAGAGTCTTGACTATCTATATACCTGTAGGGGAAACAGCCAGAAACCGAGCCTTCAGCGAAGAAGCAATATCTGGCAAGGTTGGGTAAATGAGATTTGAATATTTCATCCTGTTCCAAGAAGAATCCCAATAAGTACAGGAAGCACATTATTTTGCTCACAGTGGGGACAAAGCAGGCTTTCCATGGCTTCTGATGAGTTCTGTGGCCACGCTGGACTCCCCTGGCCATTTCTGGGTTATATAAATGTTTGATGAAAAATCTCTCAGGGGAAATCAAATTTTCGTAAGAAGTTAATGACAGCCCATCCAGATGTATGATGACTTGAGTTGATAGCTCATTAACCCTTTCCCAGCTGATATCTTCACCCAGAGACTCCACAAGGCCTGGAAAGGAAAAATGGGTGTTTCACAACACCCACTTCAAGTTCACACAAAAGAGAAAAATAACTGCCCTTAATGACATTTCTTACTGAAACAGCCAAGTTCCCTCATGTCCGACTTGGGTGCACATGGTGTCACAGACCTTCCATACATGTACACGGCACTTACAACACTCCAGCTATGCATGAGGACAATGCCCTGTTCTTCATTCATCCATCTGCTCCTGGGTTGAGAGAGCCAGAAGAGTATGGGGGAGGAAAATTATATTCCAGTGAGCCTACCGTTCTTAGATGCCATCAAATGAGCTCAGAACGTCTTTTTGGCCTGAAGTCAAGGTTTCCCCAGTGTGGCAGATGCCTCACGTGGATTCCTACAGTCTGAAGTTTAAATCTTGCACTATACTATAAAAAGAAGTCGGAGGCTAGTCCTTGGTCAATGTAATGGCATCAACAAAAATAACTTCTTTTCACTTATCCTCAATGCCTTATGCACACATTTGGCTTCAGAACCACTAGGAAGGAGGCAGAAGGCTGTACATGACACAGATGGCAATGGACTGCAACAGGATTCATCCCATGTCTTAAAGCAAGTAATGAATAATGTTAAGATCAGGATGCCAATATCCCAGGCTCCTCACTTAGTCCTGCTCTAACTGCATCCTTTTGGCCCTTTTTATCTCATAGGTCAGCAAGAAAAAGAAAGACACTACCGATACATGCAAACAACATGGATGAAATTCAAAAACATCATGTTGGCAAAAGATGCCAGACACAAAAAAGGATAATCCCATCTTTGTGAAGTTCTACAACGGGCAAAACTAATTTATGGTGAAAGAAATCATAACAGTGGTTGCCTTGGGGTGGGGGATTGGCTGGGAAGAGACAAGAGAAACTTTCTGAGGCAATGGAAAGATATCTCTTATCAAAATATTTATTCTATATCTTGACATAGATTACAAAGATGTACAAATTTGTCAAAACTCTTGAAACTGTAACACTTAAGTTTAGTTACTGTATGTAAATTATACTTCAAAACCATATTGAAAGGTACAAAAAGAAAAACCGATCTTAGCTTAGATGATCATCTTCCTCCTCTTTCTATTCCTTTCTTCCTTCAGTAAACACACTATGTGCTCAGCTATATATTAAGCACTGGAGGCTACTAAGGTAAAGAAAACTCTTGGTTCCTGCTCTCACAGAACTTAACAGATGAGACTGAGATCTTCCTCTGTTCATAGTACAATGGCTCACAAACACTTTTTTGACTCCCAACTCACAATAAGAAACACATCTTCTATTGTCACACACTCCCCCATAGGATGTACAAGTGTGTACATACATATCTAACATAAAAGTTTCACATAATCTTACCAATGTGATGTACTCTAATATTTTCTTTCTTATTCTAGTCTCATCTAGTCATCTGAAAACACAGGTTAAACCAATAAAAGTGATTTCCTGACTTTCTTAAGGGATCTGACCAATGGTTTGAAAAATGTTGTCTTACAGCCTATGACTACCTCTAGGGTGAGAACTACTATAATCCATTTTTACCCCAATACTGAGCACGTGGCTTCTCCCTAAATAAATATTTACTGAACATTTATAGAGCAGAATAATACAACTTTAAAAAAAATAATGAATGTGTCCATATCCCAGGAAAAACAACAAAAACCCAACCAACCAACAAACTAAAACAAGACACAACCAAAACAGCAGCAAAGAAACGAGGCTGAGGCAGGCGGATCACGAGGTCAGGAGATCGAGACCATCCTGGCTAACACAGTGAAAACCCGTCTCTACTAAAAAAATACAAAAAATTAGCTGGGCGTGGTGGCGGGTGCCTGTAGTCCCAGCTACTCGGGAGGCTGAGGCAGGAGAATGGCGTGAACCTGGGAGGCAGAGCTTGCAGTGAGCCGAGATCGCACCACCGTACTCCAGCCTGGGTGACAGAGAGAGACTCCTTCTCAAAAAAAAAAAAAAAAAAGAAACATGAGAAACTTTATTACTACCTATGTAGCCTTTTGATCCCAGTGATCTAGACCCACACCCTGCCAAGTACTAAGGCAGCCTCTTTTTCAATGGCATGTCACACCACATCCTGTGAAATTAGGCTCTTAGCAGACGTTTTTTTTTTTTAAATGATGAAAATAAGGTACAAAATACCTCGCTTCTTGGACTGATTTTAAAACGCTTGGTTATACCTGATGGAGAATCTATGGATTGCAAAGGTTGTGGCTGATACAGCAGTAACCCCTCCCTTCCCCTGAGATCAGTATTTTGGTGAAAAAGGTAGGGAAGTTGCCTTGAGTACAAAAAAAGAGAAGAGGGCTAACCAATAGCAGCGGTGTGGCAGACAGCACAGTCTGAATTTTTACCAAATGCGAGATAAATAGCAGAAATTGTGCATAAGAAAGAATGGATTCTCTTCCTTATGCTGAGAACAGGCCTCTCTCCCAACAATGAGGAGCTCTTCCCCTGAGGAGGAGAAAGGATCTTGTTTAGGGCTTTGACCTCCATTGAAGGACAGTGTTCAGATTGTCATCAACAAGCAGAGAGAACAAAGAGGTACCAGAACAGGGAGCAAGGCTCTACTAACCCAGTGAGACAATGACACCTAGGGCATTAAGTGGCTGAAATCTACTGAATCAAAAATCCTCGGCTAAAGGGAGACAGGAATCTGTATTTTAGAGAAGTTCCCCAAGCAACTCTTACGTGAGGCCAAATTTTAATACCAGGGAATTAGTCCAGTTCTTCAGTTAGCTAGAGGAGCTTGGGAGTGGGTGAGAAACAAAGCTGGGTTCCAGAACAATTCAGTGACAAGCCTAGATGACCCAGGTGGTGATATAACAGCAAGACTCGGACCCAAATCCCATATGATGTTGTGAGGTGTGGCAGGTTTGCTTGTGGAGAAACCAAGGCAGGAAAGCAAGAGTGGTCGGGCCAGAGTTTTGCAAAGCCCAACTGCTGCCAACAAGACCCTGAAACAAATGGCAGGCCTCCAAGATGAGATACACTTGAAGCCCCAGAGACTGGAATGCTAAATTGGCTGGCTCCAGATGCCTCACTTTGATGACTGGAAGGAGAGGTGAGAAAGGGTGTAATTACATAGCTTCACTTAGGTGTGGCTCAGGACCTGGGCCAGATTGGAGTCTGTAGGTGAGAGGGCTTGTAAGACCCAACTGTAAGGGGAAGCAGCAGGAAAAACAAGGCCAAGAATAACTCACAGGCAAAAAACAAAAAGCTTATCCCTGCGCTTGCCCCTTGCAAAACACATGTGCCTATTAACCGCTTTCCTCAATCCCCTTTGCATCACATATTTTTAAAAATGGGCCAGATGTCAGGGGGAGCTGGATACCTTCCTGACAGGACCCTAATTTGCAGCATAACCTTGGACAAGTGAGTCTCCTAGTCCTCTGGACCTTGAGCTTCCTTATCTAGCAACTGGAGACAGCAATGCTTACCCATAATGGTGATGTGAGAGTCAAATGAGTTAACACCGAGAAACCTTAAATGCTATACAAATATAAGGGATGGCATTGTAACTCTTTAGTTAAGTTCTTGCCACTCACTTCTGTGCAAGAGAAGCTGATGTAATAAAGTATTTCCTAGGTCGGGTGCAGTGGCTCACACCTGTAATCCTAGCACTTTGGGAAGTCGAGGCAGGTGGATCACCTGAGGTCAGGTCACCTGAGGTGAGGAGTTCCAGATCAGCTTCACTAACATGGTGAAACCCCATCTCTACTAAAAATACAAAAATTAGCTGGGCATGGTGATGCATGCCTGTAGTCCCAGTTACTGGGGAGGCTGAGGTAGGACAATTGCTTGAACCTGGGAGATGGAGGTTGCAGTGAGCCAAGATTGCACCACTGCACTCCAGCCTGGGGGACAAAGCAAGACTCTATCTCAAAAAAAAAAAAAAAAAAAAAAGGAAGAAAGTATTTCCTGGCAGATAGACTAGTGTAGTGGTTATGAGCCTGGGTTGAGTCATCAGGCCTAGGTGCAAATTTTGCCTCTGTCATTTGTTAACTGACTCTGACTAAGTCATCTAAACTCTCTGTTAATCTGTAAAAATATAGATAATAATGCCTTCCTCCCAGAATTCCAGTTAGGATTGAATAAGTGTGAAGTGTTTCACTTGGTGCTTGGCAAGCACCCTGATGGATCATGGCTGCTATCTTCCTAATTGTTCTCAAAATGCACCAGATTCCTGAACAATAGTATCGGGGAATGTCTGACGAGTATTCTGAAACCAGAAAAGAGGTGCCCTCAGGCCCTTGGCTTTAAGCACTTACATCAATAAGGTCAGATAGGTCATGGATGTAGTACTTGAAGACAGATGCATTGGTTGCCTCCAAAGCCAGCAAGTACTCATTCCGGGCTTTGATGGCCTTCAGCTTATTCTCCGTGTACTTGGCTTGGTGCTGAAAAGGAAACAGAAGTTCACTTTTACCTTTTTTTTTTAAGGGGGGCTTGTTCTCTAAAAGATAAAAGTACAGTGTATTCAAGAACTACAATTGTGTTGCTACTCCCTATGCGCATCTGCCTTAAATTGGGTTCTAATTCTGTTTAATGAGATTCAAGGGCACAATGTAGATCAATTCAGGAAAGGTTAATGAGGCTCCCTACTTAAGATGCGTGCCCCACTTTGATTCTATCTTCAAATATCATTCTTCATTCTTGCAATGCCACTCTGAAGGAGGTACCACTACTCTTGCCCCTGAACACCTGATACCTGAAACCAAATCCTGGGTTTACAGTCACCCCCAACCCCTCCAAAGCAATAGGATATTGAGCTCTATTTGGAAAATGGATTGGGAAAGGTGACTGCTGTTTCTTGGTTTTCTGCTAGAGGCTAGAAACTTGGATCCCACGTGCCCAGTTCTTCCAATACCTAGTATTCCTGCCAGGGCACAGAGCAAGGCCTCATTTTCAGTCATTAGGCACTAAAAGAACCCAGAGCTTCCTCGTCTGCTCTTCCCAGTGACTATTGGGAAATTCCTATCAGCCATGCCTTACCGAATGTTGCTTCCCAGCATCTACAGCTGTGGGAGCCTACATACCTTCTCCTTCATCTTCTCAATCTTCTTCACTGAGCTCCTCCGGACATGTTTCTCCTCAATGCGAACGTTGGCCGTGGAGTCAGGGGAGCGTGGGGTCTGCCGGTCCTCCTGCTTTACCGATTTACCAATTTGCTTCTCCTCCTGCTTCTCCGCCTCCTTTAGTTTGCTCTGAGCACTGATGCTGTCGGCATTGTACATGTGATATGTCTTCATGACCTGCAAGACATCGCCCACCCCCACCCCCAGAGGTCAAGCCAAGGGGGTCATTTCTCTGCTTTACAGACTACCAGACTCAGCTGGAGCTCTCCCCCATGAAGCAATATCCTCACACCCCTAAGGGAAAAATCCAGAAGTGTTTGGTTCAGCAAACACAGATTAAAGACCACTCCAAAGCACAGGAAAGCAATATGTGAACTGAGCCAACATTTCCTCTTATTGAAATAACTTAATGTCTATCCATCATGTATTATTTATTTCTATTCATTATCATTTGTAATCATTTCTCTTTAATATTGGCCAGGTGATTTCTATCACTTAGTCACCTCATAATACTGAGTAGATGGGAAACAACACCACCACTCTCAGGCCCCAAGGGCAAAGCCTTTCTGGGCTGGTCAGGAACCCCGAAGAGGGCAGTGCAGCCTATGGAGTAGCCTATGCTTTCTGTTACCTTTCAGATATAAAATAGGGAAGAGGAAAAGCTTCCAAAAGCTCCTTTTACCGGCCTGGCATTCTGGGGATCTGTCTGTTCTGCTTTATCCAGATCAAACACCCTCTCACAGCAACTAAAGCAGCAGCAGCAATTGCAATGCCAGTTATCATTTACTGAGCACTTAGTATATTCCTGGCTTTATGCCAAGTACCACACAACACATTTTCTCATTTCATCCTTAGGACAATTCCACAATCTAGACAACAACCCTATGAAGACTGTAAGCCTTCAAAACAATTCAGGTAAGAGTCTGGGAAGGAATAAAATCCATATCAAGTATAACTGGAATTGCCACAGGAGGGAAGTAGTATAAAAGGTGAAGGATGATTTTCCATCAAAGCAACCATCTAGGAGTCCAATCCTTTCTCTTAACAGGGAAGCCAGGAAGCCTAGAACTCAAGCTTGTTTCCAATCCTACTAAACATACTACTTCCAGCCACCTAGTGCCTGCTCTACTCTGTGGGAACTTTCTGTTTCCACACAGGGAGTTCACGAGTGCTGAAAGTGTGATGCCATAAGATTTCTTTGAGAGGGAGAATTAGAGAGTAGAAGTTGGGTGTGTGTGTGCGTGTGTGTGTGTGTGTGTGTGTGTGTGTGCATGTGTGTGTGTAACACAGGAGTGCAAAGGTACAATATTATTATTAATATCTACCACTTAATAAACATTGTGTACCATGGGCTTTACGTACATTACCTCATTTAATTCTTACAATAACTCTGTGAAAGGCACTGTTATTATTTCTATTTCTAAAGATAAGGAAATAAGGCTCAGAGAGATTAACTATCATACCCAAGGTCATACAATGAGTAAATGGTGGAATCAGGATTCAAACCCAGGTCTGTCAGACTCCAAAGACCACATTCTTAGCCATTAAGCAACACCGACTCTCCTCTGGATAGGACTGGAGCTGAACTGGTTGGGAGGAAAGGTTAAATATGGTCAAGATATTCCTGAAAAGAGAAACTGGTTCCATGTATGAACCTGAGTTAGAGAAGTGTCTCAACCTGGGGCTGTTTTGGCCCCCAGGGGAAATGTGGCAGTGTCTGGAAATATTTTTGATTGTCACAACTTGGGGATTGCTACTGGCATCTAGTAGTTAGAGGTCAGGGATGCTGCTGAACATCCCATGCACAGGACGGCCCCCACAACAACTAATTATCTGGCCCAAATGTCAATGGTGCTGACGTTGAGAAAATCTAGCTTAGAAAGACTTTGTGGGTATACTAATCTAGCACCTACGATCAGCTAGAGGCAGACGAAAGAATAAAGAATACTGGGACACTGACAAAATCAAAGTACATTAGAGTCTAAATTATGTCTCATTTTGAATGCAGAATGTTTTAAATCAGTTTCACCTCATTCTGAACCTAACACTACTTCCCGTAAATTTTACCAGGATAATACTCTTCATATTTTCTATACAGAAGAAAAAATACTTAACAACTAATGGCGTTTAAAAGCCTTTCTAAGTAATTCGAACAGACCCCCAGCTTTCCAGGTTAACTAAGAAGTGGAAAAGAGGCATCTGTTATCTCAGCTGAAGAAGTGTAGATAGGAGGCTCCTCTTTTTTTTCTCTTTTTCCACCTGAATCTGACCATGGGATTCAAAAGCTTAGTGAGAAGTTACAAAAGTGAGTGCTTTTTTTCTTTTTTAAAGTGATTTCCTATTTCATGAAGGTGCATGATAAAGAGAAAACGTTATGAATAAACATGAGATAAAAAAGAGGTCAAAGAATAGCGCTACCAAGTCAACAAATGAAGTAACAAAAATCAACAATTTACAATGTTACTTTCCCCTAAAAAACTTAAAGAACTTTCTTGTTAAAAGAGAGTAAAACGCTACTTTGCCTAAGAAACTATACATTCTTCACGCTAAGCTCTACTTCTTTTGTGTTTTCTTCTCACAGTGGAGAAATATGTCATATACACAATGGTAGTTTTACAAAGTGGTTGCCCAAATGACTGAATGACACTGAATCTCTCTTCTGGGTAAATACTGGAGAAGCTTTATTAGTGCCTTCCAGCTCAAGAGAAAACTGAGGTACCTAGAAGCTGAAGCTTAAATAAGTGATGCCAAAACAATTGAAAAAATAGGAAAGTCAAGACAGGACTTAGAAATGTATATAGATACAGATATACATGTTAAATATATATTTATAAATATATATTTATAGTCAAGATAGGACTTAGAGAAAGCCAAGATAGGACTTAGATATATAGATCTATGTACATATACATATGTAAATATATGTATATCTATATATCTATGTCTTAGACATATAGCTACTCATATATGTATATATAGATATGTATACATAAAGATATACATATACATACTTCTATCTATATATAGATAGGCAAATGCAAACTATGGGGAAAAACTGAAAAGTCTAAATTCTCAGTTCTGCAAAGAACATTCCACTTTACTTTGAAAAACTAAACACTGAAGTCACATATTTAGCTCTGCTCCCTCTGACAGCCACACTAAAATAATAGGAAAAAAAAGGTTCTAAAATGATTATCATTTAGGTATAAATTGAGAAAAACAAAAAGAATGGAAGCTGAAGCCGAAAAGCAGGTAGGCAAGCAGTAACTCATCTACTTGAGTCCTAAACCAAAACTAGAGTGAGCCAGGAAGCAGCCAGATTTATATCACAGAAGCCCGAAGAGAAATAAGTAGCAGTGGGATGAAGGTAGAGCTAAACACAAAATAAGCTATTGAAAGTCTGAGAACAGGCCGGGCATGGTGGCTCATGCCTGTAATCCCAGCACTTTGGGAGGCCCAGGTGGGCGGATCACGAGGTCAGGAGATTGAGACCATCCTGGCTAACACGATGAAACCCCGTCTCTACTAAAAATACAAAAATAAATTAACTGGGCGTGGTGGCGGGTGCCTGTAGTCCCAGCTACTCGGGAGGCTGAGGCAGGAGAATGGCATGAACCTGGGAGGTGGAGCTTGCAGTGAGCCGAGATCACGCCACTGCACTCCAGCCTGGGCAACAGAGCGAGACTCCATCTCAAAAAAAAAAAAAAAAAAAAAAAAAAAAAAAGGAAGTCTGAGAACAGTGAGGCCCCAAGATCCCCTCTCCCATTGTAGTGGAAGACTAGATGAGAGGTTTATTCTGTTAGAGAGGTTCCATGGACTAGGGGATACAAGGTTCAGCTGAGGATACGGGTATACTGAACTTCAACAGGAGGATTAGCTGAAGTCTATGTTAAATTTTGAGATGGTCTAGGCCTCTTCACAACTCAGCTCCCAGACATGAGTGGGAGATCAAAAGTGTGATCTCTCGGCAATCTGACCATCCAAGATAAGAGACCTAGAAATACTAAAGTTGGGGCTTCCACAAGGACACAGCCCAGTTAGAACACCCTACTGTGAAGGCCACAGCTGACATAGAATCTTTTAGTGCCTCACTTTAAAATGTGAATAGGCAGCTAAGAATGACCAGGCATTTAAAGGAAATGTCTAATATGAAAGACCAAGACCAAAACTAGCAATTTAGAAGAAATATTATACAACAAGAAGAAAAGTTTGAAAACAATATATCCATAATAGCCCTGGAGAGATAAATGAGAAATAAAACGATACTGCATCATGAAACAAAAGTTGGATGCAACAAAAAAGGGAACATGTAGAGAACAAGAAAAGAGTTCTTGGCAATAAAGATTCAATTCAAGTATCGGAGCCTGACTTCATCCCTGTCCTCTGTGCAGACATGTAAATGAGTTCTTGTCACTTCATTTTTCACTTGATGCTTTACTTTTCTGTCTCTCCCTATTAAAACTAAATGCCTTGAGGTCAGAAACATCTCTTATTTGTTCTTGTCTCCCTAGTGCCTAGTGCCAGAGTCAAATAGGCAAGCAGAGTTGAGGGACTATTAAGTGCCATTGTTTCAAGGGAACAGGTGCTAAATACCAGTCTGAAGTAGCTCTGCCAGCACACAGCCGATGCTCCAAGCCAACGGGATGTAAATTTAGGGGGAGTACAGAAGCATAAGGCCTCTGGAATAACAACAGCCCCAAATTGTCCCAAAGCCTCTTTTTTCTCAATTCTAGAGCTTCCTTGACTCTTCATACTCAGCCAATCCACACTGGCTTCAGTGCCTCCATGTACACTCCTTCCTGTGGGGGTTTGCTGGGTTTTTCCAGACACGACCTCTGAGTACAACTGAGGCAAAGAATCCCAGAGTTCTTTGGGAAGCAGTGTGTTCTGACTTCAAAGGCATTCCCGGTGCATCAGTCAGAAAATGAAAACCACTTATGCCATGGCTTACATACAAGCCAGCTCATTATGGGGGGAAAACACGTGGAGAAGAATGCTCGCTAGGATTGCTCTCTGAATAGCAGCTGTGGGAAGCAGGCCCCAGCACAGAATGCCAAGTCAGGGAAATCAAAGGCCCTTCAGGCAGAAAAGAGGAAGGTGCAGAGGGGCAGCTGGCCACTCATGGCGGCATTCTGGGCCCGGTGCCCAAAGGCATCTTTATTTGGGAACACCTGGGTCCTGCTCCTTGGATCATCAAGGTTCAAAGGTACTAAAATTACCAACCCTTGGATAACTAGTCCCCTAAAAAAAGGTATTCATGGGCATTAGGAGCAGATGTGAAGGACATGAAAAAACTGGGTGGGTTTCTTATATCCTTGGTTTCCTTTTTCCAGTGACCCCAAATAACTTCTATTGCCTACAACGTCATTGAAATGAGAGGCCCTTCCCTGCCTTCCTGACAAGCAAATAATGGGAAAGCTCCTTCTAAGAAACTCTCCCTTGTTCTCTTCTTGACTCCTCAAAGGTGTGCATACAGCAAGCAGCTTCCCAAAGCTAGCATGTAACAGTCCCAGCTTCCCACCTGATAAAACCACTCTACCATGCAAGGTGACCAATTAACCCTTTTTAACCTAGAACTTTTCCAGTTTCAGCACTGACAATTTCATGTCCCAGGAAACTCTTCAGTACTAGGCAAAGAGGGACAGTTAGTCACCGTAATCCCATGGTGCCTTATTCAGACCAGTCCTAAACCTATCTTAATCTCCAGAAGAAATAATTCTATTCTCTGAACTGCTATTATTTTTTTTTTTTTTGAGACCGAGTCTTGCTCTGTCCCCCAGGCTGGAGTGCAGTGGCACGATCTTGGCTCACTGCAAGCTCTGCCTCCTGGGTTCATGCCATTCTCCTGCCTCAGCCTCCTGAGTAGCTGGGACTATAGGCGCCCACCACCATGCCCGGCTAGTTTTTAATATATTTTTAGTAGAGATGGGTTTTCACCGTGTCAGCCAGGATGGTCTCGATCTCCTGACCTCATGATCCGCCCACCTCAGCCTCCCAAAGTGCTGGGATTACGGGCATGAGCCACTGTGACCGGCTATTCTCTGAACTTTCTCTTTTTTTCCTTTTTCTTTTTTTTTTTTTTTTGAGACAGAGTCTCGCTCTGTTGCCCAGGCTGGAGTGCAGTGGCACGATCTCGGCTCACTGCAAGCTCTGCCTCCCAGGTTCACGCCATTCTCCTGCCTCAGCCTCCCCAGTAGCTGGGACTACAGGCACCCGCCACCATGCCCAGCTAATTTTTTTTGTATTTTTAGTAGAGACAGGGTTTCACCGTGTTAGCCAGGATGGTCTCGATCTCCTGACCTCGTGATCTGCCTGCCTCAGCCTCCCAAAGTGCTGGGATTACAGGCATGAGCCTGGCTCACTGAACTTTCTAATGGCCTACAGACTCTGGAAACCTATTTGATCCTTAGCTATAGCCTAATATTTCAGGAAGTATAACTCACCCAACTACTCCACCCCCTAGGATATAGAAATACCAGTGCATGGAGTGTATGCAGACACCAAGGTCATAGAGGTTTGGGGTATCCCTCAAGCTCATACAGCTAGTAGTCAAGACAGGGTAGAATCTAGGCTGCTTAATTCAGGAGACTCTAGTCACTAGACCAGCATTTCTCAATCTTGTGGGTCAGAAGATTCTCAATGTCTCTATATTGACATTGTGGGTCAGATAATTCTTTGTTGTGGGAGCTGCCCTGTGCACTGTAGGATTTTAGCAGAACCCCTGGCCTCTAGATCATTAGATGTCAGCAGCACCTTCTACTCCTCCAGTCGTGACAATCAAAAATGTCTTCAGGCATTGCCAAATGTCCTCTCGGGGTAAAACTCCCTCTGCTTAAAACTCCATTTGGACCAGAATGTTTTGACTTCTCTGAAACTTCCTAGTGCCTCTACTCTTTTTTCCCTCTTTCCATTGCCTACTAGAGGAAAACATCACATTTTAATTTTGGCCTTTAACAGATTATGAGGGTGTATTCCAGCTCACCTTATGGCAGGGGATACCACACTCAGGCAATTCTCAGTTTGAACATCAATGGGAAGATGTTATGCTCTATGTTGACCATGGCCTCACAATGGCCAGTAAAGTAGTTGGCCAATATTGGGCTGTCTTAAGTCTGCAGTCAGAGGTAGCAGCTCGGCCCTCTGCAGACCAGAGAAATAAGTTCCAAGGTTTTCTTCCTCACTCAAACACAGCTTACGCCCTTTCACTTATTTTTTTTTTTTAAAGCACAGCATATGAAGAGACATAGGACCCTGGGTAAAAGCTAACAGATCCTTAGACAGTAGTCTTCTTCTGCTGCCTTGAGTCCCACTGAAGAAGTGGCAAGGTTTGTTGGTTATCCAAACTACTCCTCCCCAGAAACAGCTGCAAATAGTAGAGGGTCAAGATGCTTACAGGAAAATAAAAGAATTTATACAATGACTACATGTGTCATTTTCTATCTTAGGGAATTCTCTGCTAGGAGAAAGGAGTAATAGCTCTTCTTGGCGCTTAGAAATTGATCTAAAAGAGCAGAAGTAAAGCATTAAAAAGACAAGGTTCAGGAAACCCATCCAGTCTGAAAATGGCTCACATCGATGTGTTTCTATTTTAAAAACCTCTTAACTTCATTTGAGAGAAATGAAAACTTGGGAGTTGAACGAAAGGTACCATCTATCTATGCTTGGCTTCAGAGCAGAAGTGTCACAGAGTAGAAATTCAAAACAAACTGAACATCGCTGGAGATAAGTCAGATGACTACTCTACCCTATTTACTTGCTTAACAGTTGCCATGACAAAATGGCCACACCTAGGCTTCTGGATCAGCAACATCTGATCCCAAATGCCTGTCATGCATGTCACCACTGCCTGTTCTGTGAATTAAAAAAAAAAAACAAAGGAAGAAAAGAAAAGAAAAAATGCAGCAAATAAGCAAGTAAACATCAGAAATCAGTATCACCTTCAAACAGGATGGAGAAACCCTGGAGAATGACATAGTAGGCTGGCACATCCAAGCTGGAGAAGGGGCCCCTGAAAGGCATTAGCTGTATAACTTAAGTATTCCCTGTATAACAACAGGAATTTCCTTGGTGTGTATGTGTGTGAGTGTGTGTTTGTTTTCATTATAATTAGAAAAACATGGGTGGGGAACAACCACCACCACCACCTCTCTGCGCATGAATTAACACGCACCAGCCACAGGCATCATGTGCCTGAAGCGCCAGTCATCTCAGAACAGATTGTGTTCTCTTCTCCAAGCCCGCAGCCTGCCTCGTCACTGAGGTTTGGTTTTATAAAACTCCAGGAAGCCAGTGCAAAGCTCTCTCTGCTCAAACTCGTCCCTCTTACTGGGGGCATTTAGGACTCTGTGCTGCCCTCTAGAGCATTTGTTCTAGTCTCAAAGCCATACATCAATCCAAGATCTGATGAAAAACCTAGAACAATAAAGCCTTTCCGACAGGCACATATTAATAGTGCAATGCAGGCTACGTTCCTTGCCATTAGTTCAGGGTCCCTGGTTTGCTGCTAACGGGGTCCATTGTGCCAATGACCTAGACTTTGGCTGGTCTCTAGTAATTATGCCCCAAATAAAGCCAGGGTGAGCTTGCATAGCTGAGGAGAAAACTTATTTTGAGGAAGTATTTTTTGACTCATTCCATTTTGAAAAGACGAGTGTGAAAAAAGAGATGGGTGGGGTCACCCCCAGTGGGGACCATGCACTTGTCCTCAACCTCAGTTCAGTTCTGTTGCTGATGTACTATGGCTGCAAGCTGCCAAATGCTGCTTCCCTCTGCTTGTTAAAGAGCCAAGCAACCCATCTGATTTACCGAGTAGAGCTCGTTCAGGACCTTCATCAAATCATCTTGGAGCTGCTGGCCGACTTCTTTACTCTGCAAGGAAAGAGGAATGAAGGTTAATTGGGAAACAGAAGAGAGAGGAGGGAGCAATGAAGGCAAAAGCCACACTGGCTCTACAAATAACCCAGACTCAATTAAGGCCCATTATTTAACCCAGCAAATCAGATAACCACTCCAATCAGACCCAATTATGGTCAGATTACTCAAAGAGTTTTAATAAAATGAAATGTGCCCTCTCTATAGCCTAGCAAAGGCAATTGCGTAGAGGGAAAAAGGGTGGTAGCCTTTGGTTTTTCTATTGGTCCCCAAAGAGCAGGCCTGAAAGCCACATCCTACCTAGCAACTGTTGTTAGGTGGAACATGGTTTCTCAGATACTTGCAGTCAAGCATTCCAGAAGATTTCAAAGGAAAGTAAGATGTGTAATGGGATGAAATAGGAAAAAGTATATAAACATTCAGGGACTTCAAAGTCCCTAACTAAATAGAAAACTCCAAGCAGGATGGAACTATATTTCTTACTTGCTTTATTTCTACCCAAAACTCACAAGGCAGCGGTATCTCAATATTGACTGCCTGCGAGATTAGCTGTTACTAGATGCTGAAAATATATGTTAAGGGGTCTCCAACTAGTTAATCTTGAGCAGTGATGGCTCCTGGGTTCTTTGCTGCTGCCACCCAGGGCTGACATCTAACTACATAGAGCAGTAGAAATAAAGAATGAGGGCTGGGCACGGTGGCTCACACCTGTAATCCCAGCACTTTGAGAGGCCGAGGTGGGTGGATCAGCTGAGGTCAGGAATTCGAGACCAGCATGGCCAACATAGTGAAACCCCATCTCTACTAAAAATACAAAAATTAGCCGGGCCTGATGGCACACGCCTGTAGTCCCAGCTACTCAGGAGGCTGAGGCAGGAGAATTGCTTGAACCCAGAAGGTGGAGGTTGCAGTGAGCCGAGATTGCGCCATTGCACTCCAGCCTGGTGACAGAGTGAGACTCTGTCTCAAAAAAAAAAAAAAAATTTAAATTTAAAAAATTAAAAAGAAGGCAATGAGAAGACCCCTGGAAGGGAAGAATATCCCCTCCAGTCTCCTCACCCCAAAGGAATTGCTCTCTAGGGGGTTAAACCCATAGACATTAGAAAGCCTGTGGTCACCACACTACAGATGACTGCTCTAAGGCAAATAGAGATTTAAAGCAAAGCAGGGTATTCCTGATACT
The DNA here is from genome assembly GCF_000001405.40 of Homo sapiens. Classification (NCBI taxonomy): domain Eukaryota; kingdom Metazoa; phylum Chordata; class Mammalia; order Primates; family Hominidae; genus Homo; species Homo sapiens. The sequence goes on along the minus strand of NC_000001.11, from coordinate 144,044,560 downwards.
TTTTGACCTTTTTGCTCTGCCAGTTTCCATTTTCTGACCCTAAAACCCAGACAAAAGATTCTGATGTCTTTAGCCATCTACCCCCCACCTTCCCCTGACTGAACAATTTGATTCGACAATTATTTCCACACCTACCTAGTCTGATTTCCAACACGACTAAATTTGGAACAATGGAAGCAAGTGGGTGAAAAGGAACAAAGAAAATAAAATTCAGGAAATGACAATCTTCAGAGTAACAATATATAATTTGAAAAGTAACTCAGACCAGGAACAGACTTTATTTGAATATAAAATTACATACAAATCATATTTAATTCAAACCACTTCAATCCAACAAATCTTCACTGAGCACCTACTACTATGCCCTGCGGAGAAAGACAAAAAATACTTGGTCAGAGCCCCATCCAGTCTAAAACACAGCAGGCTCCCATTCCTGCACAAAGAGACTTTGGGGAGAACCTGTAAAGGCTCTTGATTAGGGATATATCATAAAGAACCTGTGCCCACCTAAAGATCACTCTTAACAGCATTTTTGGACCCATTTATCACCTCCACAACTCCAGAATGGACAAAGAGGAAAGTTACAGGGACTGAGGTGGAGAGAAAAAATAATACGATTGCCAGCAAAGCTCAGGAATATACGCTTTTTGATGAGACACCCGGAAGGGAGAGTAAAAGAAAGAATCTTTACATCATATTTTTCTTTGAGAAATTACAATCCACAAGAGAGGTTGTTCACCAAGATTTTTTTTTAACCACCCTAGTTTTTTGTTTGTTTGTTTTAGACAGGGTCTTGCTGCGTCACCCAGGCTGGAGTGCAGCGGCATGATCATAGCTCACTGCAAGCTTGAACTCCTGGGGTAAGGCAATCATCCCACTCCAGCCTCTGGGATTAGCAGGGACTACAGGAACACACCATCACACCCGGTGAATTTTTTATTTTTTATTTTTAGTAGAGATAAGGTCTCACTACATTGTCCAGGTTGGTCTTCAACTCCTAGGCTCAAGTGATCCTCCTGCCTTGGCCTCCCAAAGTGCTGGGATTACAGGCATGAGCCACCATGCCCAGCCCATAGTAGTTTGTTTTTGTTTTTGTTTTTGAGACTGAGTCTTGCTTTGTCACCCAGGCTGGAGTGCAGTGATACAATCTCGGCTCACTGCAACCTACGCCTCCCGGGTTCAAGCGATTCTCCTGTCTCAGCCTCCTGAGTAGCTGGGATTACAGGCACATGCCACCACACCCAGATAATTTTTGTATTTTTAGTAGAGACGGGGTTTCACCATGTTAGTTAGGCTGGTCTTGAACTCCTGACCTTGTGATATCATAGTTTTTAATAAGCTCATTTCTCTTTTCCCCTATCTTGTTCTGAAAGACATAGAATTTTCAGAGGGAGAATTAGGAATAAAAGTATCTCTTGATCTGGGATCTAGGAAAAAATACTAGGACATCAGAATCAACTGAATGAAGGGATAGAAAAAAAAAATCCAAGAAATTGGGAACAAGGGAAGTCTGCAAAGCTCCTGGTCCCGCAACATCTACACTCCCAAGCCCAATATCCCGTTGTAGAAGCACTTATTCTGAAATCATAAAAACAACTTCAACCCATAAATTCTCATCTCTCAACACAGTGACCACCCACAGACGGATTTTTACGAAAATGAAGAGTTCCCCTAGAAGCCTTAACTCTGAGGGTCATCAAAATTAGAACAATCTTTTTTGAGCTTACACACTGCTGTCCTCAAGGGTTGCTCTGGGGTCAGTCTGAAACTGAAGTGATATCAGACCTCTCTGACACTTATTTCTAGTGTCAGTATCTGCCAGCAACTCGCCAAGAGCAAAAGTCCAGGGAGCCCCTTCAGGGAGAAAGTTTCTCACTCTGGATCCCAATTCTACTCTGAAAAATTCAACTGTACAACTAATATTTTACAACAAAGAGGTTCCATTTTAAAAACCCAAGGACACAGAGGGACAGCCAAGGTGACAAGGCTCAAATTCTGATAGAAAATATAAATCCCCAGATATCCTCTTCCCCTGTCCAAGGGCAAAAGCTGACCAGGCCTAGGGAGGAAAGACTCCTGTACAGTCTGGTACACACCACTCCTTCTGCTCATTCCTCCCAGCAACCACTCTTGTTGGGAGATGAATGCAGTCAAATGTTCTCCAGTGATGCAGAGCATTCTCCCATTCTTCAGGGCTTCAAAACAAAGCCAAAGAGCTGCCTGCTGTATTTCTGTACTCTTATAACACAGTGAGATCCAAGGACTTCCAACCATCTGTGTGCCAACCCCCAGCTACTCTAAGACGTAAAAAGTGGAACAAAGGACTTTGTGGCTGCAAAGATGGAGAGAAAATGATGGCTTAAAAGAAAGGCATATCGTTTTCCTTGATAATTATTTTCTTCACTTTGCTTTTCTGTATTTTCCAAACTGTCTATGATAAGCATGTTGCTTTTCTAATTAGAAAAAGCAGGAAATGTTATTTTAAATGTTTTTTTTAAAATCAGCAGAGCACTATCCTGAACGCTTTAACGCAATGGTCTGGGGGTACCTACAACACGCCTTGGGGAGGGCAGGGGATGGGAGGCGGAAAGGGAAAGAATGAATGAAAATCCAGTTTTTAAAAAGAGGAAAAGAAAAACTAGGGGGTTGGGGAAAGATGGGGATTTCCTATGCATTAATGTGCACACTTAGACTAAAGAAAAAAATTGCTGGGCACAGTGGCTCACGCCTGTAATCCCAGCTCTTTGGGAGGCTGAGGTGAGTGGAGGAGCTGAGCTCAGGAGTTCAAGACCAGCCTGGCAAACATGGTGAAACCCCACCTCTACCAAAAATGCAAAAATTAGCTGGGCATGGTGGCGCATGCCTGCAGTCCCAGCTACTCAGGAAGCTGAGGCAGGAGAATCGCTTGAACCCAGGAGGTTGAGACTGCAGAGAGCCGAGATCGTGCCACTGCACTCCAGCCTGGGTGACGGAGCGAGACTCCATCAAAAAAGAGAAAAACGAAAAATAAAAAAATTAATTTATAGCAGTAGGCACCTGGTTAGTATACTGCACAAGAAAGTACTCAAAATAGAGAATCATTATTTCTGGGTATGTTCTGAGAAGGAAGATTTCTACTTGGATATATTTTACCCCTGGGCATGTCCAGGTTATAAGGCCCAGGTAGATAATACAGTTCTAAAGACTCAGGGTTTCTCTACTGTCTCAGTAACTCGCCTCCTGTTTCAGGAGGGCCAGAAGCAGCTGCTGGTCACTGCCAAGCAGACAGGACAGCAGCTCTGTTCCCCTTTGCAGTCTCAGTGCTCTGAAGCTCACCCTCCATTCTACTCTCCTTCTGGCCTCCTGGAAGACTAGGGTCTTATAGGTTCTTCCCCATGAGTCTTACGAGAGAGCCTTCTAATGATAATTCACTGTTACCTGGGCCTGGGCTCATAGGAAGCACACGCCACAGCGAGGGGAGAAACAGATGCCCATTTCCAACAGAAACATCTGTTCCTTCCAGCTCAGGAAAATCTGTTGGCAGAGAATCATGTGGTAAGATTTTTTTGTTAGGAAAAAAGCTAAAATGCACACCACAGAAAAATGGACCAGTGCTATTAGGATACAACCAGTCCTCTATGCTTTTTTTAATTTTTTTTTTTTTTTTTTTTTTTTGAGATGGAGTCTCGGTCTGTTGCCCAAGCTGGAGTGCAGTGGTGTGATCTCGGCTTGCTGCAACCCCTGCCTCCTGGGCTCAAGTGATTCTCGTGCCGCACCCTCCCAAGTAGCTGGGACTACAGGCATGTTCCACCATGCTAGGCTTTGTATTTTTAGTAGAGATGGAGTTTTGCCATGTTGGCCAGGCTGGTCTTGAACTCCTGGCCTCAGGTGATCTGCCCACCTTGGCCTCCCAAAGTGCTGGGATTACAGGCATGGGCCACCAAACCCAGCCATTCTCCATGCATTTTAAAGTAAGGGAACCAAAATCCTGCTTCCTGAAATCTTGCCCATTGTTACGAAAATCTGAGTGCCACACTTTTGCCCACACAGGTGCAACTCCCACTTAGATACAGCTCCCTGACCAGTCACTGCTCCAGGGCAAAGTCCAGTGTCACTGAATGAAAACCATGAGTTCTAGAAAGGAAGTTCATTTGAGTTTTTCACTAAGTAAAGGTCCATAACCATCCGTGTCGGTCAAGACCCTCCCTGCCAGGCCAACATAACCTGGAAACTGGGAAACCCTGAAGAGAAGTTACATTCTTTTAGACTCAAACAACACCACCACCCCAATCCACACCCTGGCCTTTTCAGAAATCTACAGGGGCACTTTTTGTTTGTCAGTGTCTAGGGAAGTGCTACTGGCATTTAGTGCAAAGGGAAAGGAATGTAATGTCCTAAATGTGTGGAACAGTCCCAAAATGCATCTAAAATGCCAATGGCATCTCTGCTAATAATCACTGTATAGAAATAGTTTGGTTTTATTGGTTTTGTCTGTTTTCCTAAATAGGTATAACAGTCATTCACCTGGGGGAAACATTCTCAATACAAAACAGTAAACAATGACAAGTAAGTTTCCCTCTCATCCCTACCCTTCCCCAAAGGTCTATACCTCTGAGGAAACCATTTTCTTATATATCCTTCAAGAAATACTAACTGTGTAAACAAGCATCTGTGTATATGCCCCTTCCCTTTTTAAAACGTGGCACGTGTGCCACATTTTTTTCATTTAACAGTGTGTCTTGGAGATTTTTCATATTAGTACATATCAATCTGCCCCTTCTTTCTACCAGCTGCATAGCATTCCACTGCATAGCTATGCTTTTGTTTATTCAACCGGTCTCTTTTTTTGGTGGTACCTGCCATTGTTTCCAATTTTTTGCTGCCATAAACAATGTTGTAATGAATGTAGATGTGGGTGTATCTACAGAATAAAGTGGTAGAAGGAAACCAGTAAGTCAAAGGGTATATACATTTTAAATTATTTCTAATACTGCCCATTCAACAATATAGGAGACTTCTTGCTACTCTGTACTCAGAATGCAATGTATGAGCAAATGTTTTTTATCTAATATGTGAAAAATGACTACATACTGTACTTGCAATTTAATTTGTATTCCTCTATTATGAATAAGACCTGGCATCATTCATTTCCTATGTTCATAGGTTTCCATGTTGCAATAAGTCTTTGCGGGTGTTAGTAAGTTATTTAGTTAGTCTGTTTGAAACAACAGTTCATGTTCTTTACTCATTTTTTCTTTGGATTACTGATCTTTTTTGACTTTTTGTTGACTGTGTGAACACTTTATAAAGGAAATTAGCCCCTTCTCATGTGTTGCAAATATTTTTCCCAGTCCATCTTTTGGTTTTATGATATTATTTTTAACCATGTAGAACTTTTAAAATTTGTCAATCTTTTCTTACATAGCTCCTGAATTTTCAGTCAGGCTTACATTATATTCCATGGTTTAAAAATATATACCTCTATATTTTCTTTTAATATTTTTATGGTTTCATTTTGTACATGTATATTTTAATCAATATAAAATTTACTTCCATATAAGGAGGAAGACAGGGATCCAATTTAATTTTTTCCCAAATGGCTACCCAGTTGTCTCAAAACCAGTTATTGAAAAATCCATTCCTCTCTCCCATCCCACCAATTTGAAATACCATGGTTTACTCTATGCCAAATGCCTTTGTGTATTCGGCTGTACTTCTGCATTCTCTACCCTGTTTTTCTAGACTCTATTTTTAATTTGGAGATGGCAAAAACAAATCTAGGGAGCAACCTTGAAGTGTCATAAAGAAAAGAAAATGGCCTTTAGAGCCTAGAGGCAGTGTTCATAGAAATTGGAATTAAAAATCATTCTCTCTGATGACTCTAAGTCCAGCTATTCCATGGGACTTTACCCCAAGCCTCATCTTCTGCTTGTAAATAGTTTATATTTTTAAATGTAAACCTTTTATTAAAATGTAACGTAGATACAGAAAGGAACACAACTCTTAAGTATCCAGCTTAAAGAATTTTCACAAAGTTAACAAAATCATGCAACCAGCACCCAGATAAAAAATAGAGCATCGCTAGTGCTCTGAAAGCCCCTTTGGCTTCCCTTCCAGTCATTACCCTTCCATAAGGGTGACCATGATACGGATTACTATCACCATAGATTGGTCCTGCCTCTTTTAAAATTTCACATAAATGGAATCATATAGGATGCACTCTTGTTTCATGCCTCTTTCACTCCTTACTATGAGATTCATCCATGTTGTTTTGTAAAATTCATATTCATACTCTCATTATATACGTAGTATTCCACTGTATGAATACACCACACTTTGTTTATTCATTCTACTTCTGAAGAGCATTTTGGTAGTTATTTGGGTCTTATAATTAACACTGCTAAGAGCATCTTTGTATGCCTTTAAGTCATCCTACTAGTTTTATCCTTTCTGAATCCTTTTGTTTTAGGTATGTCTCTTCTACAGAGCAATGAATTGGTTTTGCTTGAAAGTCAATCTGAAAATATTTTCCTTTTATTAGGTGATTTTCAGCTCATTTATATATTTATATTACTGATATATTTAGTCTTAAGCCTGTCATATTATTTTATATTATTTTTACTGTTTCTATTATGTTAAATTCACTCTGTGATTTGTTTTCTTTGCCTGTTTTTCTATTTAGGGGAGTCCGCATTTTTGTTCTAGTGGTTATCTTTATACTAATACTTTTTATAATGTCCTTAGCCCCCTTTTGTTCTTACTCTCCTACTATCTGGTTTGTCAGCTTTCAATAATGAATTCTTTGACTCCCAATTATTTATTAACTTTGTGACAGTCTGATTCTATTCTCCCCTTTTTATCTGCCTTCCTCCATTCTGCTCCCATTTTTATTGGCTTTATTTCTATTTTTCAGAACATATATCATTTACACACATTATTCTTCCACCCTTTCCTTACCTTTGCTTTAGTCTTATATCTATCTTAAAATATATTCCATGTTTGAATACTATACAGCCATAAAAAAGGATGAGTTCATGTCCTTTGTAGGGACATGGATGAAACCATCATTCTGAGCAAACTATCGCAAGGAAAAAAAAAACCAAACACGGCATGTTCTCATTCATAGGTGGGAACTGAACAATGAGAACACTTGGACACAGGATGGGGAACATCACACACAGGGGCCTGTCATGGGGTGGGGGGAGGTGGGAGGGATAGTATTAGGAGATATACTTATTGTAAATGAAGAGTTAATGGGTGCAGCACACCAACATGGCACATGTATACATATGTAACAAACCTGCACATTGTGCATATGTACTCTAGAACTTAAAGTATAATTTAAAATATATATATATATATATATATATATATATATATATATATAGTCCATGTTCATCATAAGCCCTTTTGTTAAAATTTTCCCAAATCATATTTGCATGGAAGAACTTGTCACCTTCATTTTAAAGGATATTTTCACACTGTAGAGAATTTTATTTGTATGTTATTTTCCTTATTTTGAAGATATAAATCCATTTTTTTCTGGATTCCTTTTTTTCTATTGAGAATTCATCCATCACTCTTTTCTATTCACTCTGCATAAAACCCATCCACTAAATTCTTACTTTCATTTATTATATTTTTAGTTTTATATTTGTCACTTTATCCAGTTTTGAATTTCCAGTTCTCTGCCAAAATAATATATCTTGTTTTTATCTTACCCTTAAACATATTTTGAAAAGTTATTTTTAAATCCATACCTGATGACTCCATTATCTGGATACTCTGTGGATCTGTTTCTATTATTTATTACGTCTCTTAGTTTCAAATTATTTTGTTATGTTACCTCATATGCCTGGCTGTTTTTAACTGCATACTGGACATTTTATATGAAAAAATATAGAAATTAGAGAAATAATTTAAGACTTCTCCAAGAGGATCGTCCTTTGCTTCTGAGATGGAGCTAAGAAAACTGGCCATCCAATCAAGATCCTTAACCCAGTCAGGGAATGAGAGGGTATGAAGCTGGGCCTCAGTCTCTATGAGGGCTAGTCAATTTTCCGTTCATACTCGATCCTAAAGTTCAGCACCTCAGAATAGCAACCCAAAGCCAAAGATATTTGCCACGGCCCACTCTCCTTGGCAGGTCCTAAATTTTGAGCCTCTAGCACCATGAATGTTTGAAAGTGGCCGGGCTCGGTGGCTCACGCCTGTAATCCCAGCACTTTGGGAGGCAGAGGCAGGCGGATCACGAGGTCAGGAGATCAAGACCATCCTGGCTAACACGGTGAAACTCCGTCTCTACTAAAAATACAAAAAATTAGCCCGGCGTGGTGGTGGGCGCCTGTAGTCCCAGCTACTTGGGAGGCTGAGGCAGGAGAATGGCGTGAACCCGGGAGGCGGAGCTTGCAGTGAGACAAGATTGCGCCACTGCACTCCAGCCTGGGCGACAGAGCAAGACTCCGTCTCAAAAAAAAAAAAAAAAAAAAAAGTAAGTTTTGCTGGAAAGATTTCTAGCCTCTCAGCTGCCTCTTTAAGAATCAGAAGATATGCCTCTAGGGGAAAGTTTGTCCCAATGTCACTCTCGAATTTCCTTGTTCTCCAAGATCTTGGCTCCATAATATCCTACTGCTTTGTTAGCTCTCCACTGACTTCAAACAGATTACCAAAATTTTGTCCCAATTTTGGATTATTCCTTATGGAATTATATTGTCCATGATATCCAGAAGAAGACCTCCAATGAAGAAACCTGGAGGAGGGACAAGCATAGCTGGTAAGGCAGCTTGATGATTGTCATTAAGGATGCAGGGCTCCATCTATTTTTCTTCAGTGAGTTAACACAGCACTTCACATCACAAGATGGCAGCTGAATGTCCAGGCATCTCATCATATTTTAAGCAATAAAAAATACAGAAGGTCGGGCGTGGTGGCTCATGCCTGTAATCCCAGCAGTTTGGGAGGCAGAGGCGGGAGGATCACCTGAGGTCAGGAGTCCAAGACCAGCCTGACCAACATGGAGAAACTCCATCTCTACTAAAAATACAACATTAGCCGGGCGTGGTGGCACATGCCTGTAATCCTAGCTACTCGAGAGGCTGAGGCAAGAGAATCGCTTGAAACCAGGAGGCGGAGGGTGCAGTGAGCCGAGATCGCACCATTGCACTCCAGCCTGGGCAACAAGAGCAAGACTCCATCTCAAAGAAAAAAAAAAAGAAACATAGAGAATGAAAACAATGGGCCATGCCAGCCAGGTCTGTTTCCTTTCCCATATTTTTTAATAAAAAGAATGCCTTCTTTGAGTTATGTTTGCCCTATTCATAATAATTTGCCTTCTCTTTTATAACTGGAGACTCTGAAGAGTCACATAACCTCTTTAGGTCTTAGTTTCAGTCAAATGAGTGACCTGCACTAGATGATCTCTAAGCACCTTCCAGCTCAAACATTCTTAGATTCTATTAACTTGCTTATCTTCTCATTATTTTTAGGAGAAAAGTAGAAAGAAATAGGAGAGTTTACCTATTTAAGAGGCAAGAACTGAAGTCTAAGGATGTAGAATGTCCAGAGCTTTATCCCCTGAATGGCAGAGGTCTCAATTTAAGTTAAATCAATATACCAAAACCTAGGTTTAAAAATTAAGCTGGAGAGAAAAAAACACGTTCACTTTATGAAAAATAATTCTAATCTTCTGGCAGGTTTTGTTATAATGCTTTTCTAATGCCTTGAAATTATGATTAGATTTACAGTAATTCAATTTGCACACAACTTTCAAAAATATCCACATGCTCTTTTGTTCATCTCTAATTACTATTATTTTTCTGAAACAGACCAATACACTATTCTTGGTGATTCCTATCACCAAGAATATCAAGCATTCCTTCTCTCTTGGTATTTCTGTGACCGTCTTTCTAGGACTTTAGGAGCAATTTTCTAAGTGCCTCTCAAGCCCAAATCTTCAGCTATTAATGAACATTCAAAGAGAACATCTTTAAATCCCCAACTTGAATTTTTATATTTTTACTTCTTTAGAGGTGGAATGTTGAGAGATTCCATATATTTGGTTAAAACAAATATGAAAAGATTCCTTATTTTTCTCCACCCTTCCTTACATTCCTCATGACCAACCATCCTCCCAAAAGGAAGCGGGGTACAATTTGTCTACATTATGCCAAATATTTCAGCTTTTTAGTTTCACCATGGAAAAAGCATTAAACTCAGCTGAATTATTCATGAGATCCTAGGTAACATGATCATTGTTTTTGGCCTTTGGCTTCAATACTTTCAGCCTTGCAACTCATTTTAGAGTTTCTGAATGGGGTTAACAAGGGACTTTGCTATATACACATCATTAAACTGTTGGCATGTGTCCTGGCACGGAAATTTACACTGTATCAATAAACCCATATATTTGCAAGGATGTGTGTGTCTTCAATGCTGTTCTTACTTTGATCAATTTTTCCTACTTCCCTGGAGTTTCACCCAGATCAGATTTTTAGAGTATGTGCCAACATGAGATGACTAAAATATTCGAGACAGAAAGAAAAATCTGAGCCCCAGTTTAGAGATTCTCAATCTTCCTCCAGGGATGATCATAAGACTGGCTTGATGGATGAGGGGCAAATGTCACCATGCACATCACTCTGAATTCCCTTCATTGCAGTAGCAAAAGCATGTTTCCCAGTTTGGACATAGAATTAAACAGCCCATACTCTTCCAGTGCCCAAAGTTTTTGAATGAATTGATTCTTCCTTATAACTGTCATTTAGACATGCCTCCTCTCCTGACCTTCTCCTATTCTCATTGCTTTGGTTTGCCCCAAAGAAAAGGAAGAAAAGAAAAGCAGATAAAGCTCTCCTTTCCCCATTACAACTCCCAAGTAACACTTTTCTCATTTCTTCCTATCAAGGCAGAATAGGTGCTGCCCACCCTCGTACCAAGAGATTTCTTACGGTCACACAAAGTAAATCATCATTGCCAACTGGCACTGAACCTAATGTTCCTCAATGATCAGACCTGAGCTCTATCCCTATGTTTCTTCCAGAAAAGTTATAACCATTCTCAAAGTTTTCACTGGAGAGCATTTAAGATTTAAGGAAATATGCCATCATTCTATTTCCTTCCAAAATTATATTATGCAAGATATAAGCATTATGCATCAATTTGCATTCCACTTCTCCCCAGTGTGAGAGTCTGGTTAATACAATTAAACTGGATCAGTACCTACTAAGCAACTAGATCTCTGGAAAGTCTGAATGCTGAAGATGGATGCCCTCGGGGAGGGGCTTAACACAGCACATAAACAAAGCTCAGATTTCATCTTCCACTAAACCCAGCAGGACACTAATGAGTTTCTAAAGATGCAGAGCAAACTAATATCATTCTCGGTTGTCATTTATTTTGGAGTACACTAGTTATTTAATTTTGTCACATGCTACCAAGTAATACAACACATTGCTTTCTTGCCTTCAGTGTTATCCCCTTTCCAAGGCATAAGAAACTACTCTAGAAGTATCCAGAGTCTTAAGACATATAGGGAAATATTAAAAGTCATTAATAAGAGTCCTGGGGGATTCCCATTTCCTTCTCATAGCCTCTTTGTTCTTTGGAGATTTTTCTATCACATGATCTTGTTTATTTTCTTTTATAGCACTTATCTCAATATTTAATTATCTTAGTTTATTTATTATGTCTCCCTCATAGATGTAATCTCCATTAGAGAAGAGACTTCTGTGTTGTTCACTGTTATATCCCCAACCTAACAGTGCCCAGCACAAAGTTAAATACTCAATACATATGTATTAAATGACTATTAAGGCAGTAAGAATGGGCTGGGTTCTGCTGCATGAACAACTAACCCCCAAAATTTCAGTGGCTTAACCTCACAAAAGCTCATTTATTTTTTATGCTGTGTGTCCAACAAGGGTCAGGGAGGGGCAATCTTTCCATCATTGTAGGTCAAGAGCTCAGATTGACAGAGGTTCCACCTGCTCACAAACTTTCACCATCACCAAGGCAAGAAAAGAGAGCACTGAACTGTCCCATACTGGCAACTGCTTCTGCCCAGAATTGCCATGTATGGCCACATTTTGCTGGCCAATGCAAGTCAAATGGTACCCCTAACTTGAAAGGGAAGGAAGGAAATAGATGTGAGTAAGCACTGGAAGCCTGTAAAAAATTAAATAGCGACTCCAGAATCTTGCTGTTTTAAGGGGTTCATTTGGTCCAGCCCTGTTTCCAGGCAAGGCTGCAATCAGAAGGTAACAGATAACAGCAGATGTACTAAACAAGCAGACAAACTAACAATGGACATTAAGTACATCATACCAAGAGGCTTTTCAAAATCAGTAATCAAGTGGCACTATCAGGAGAACCTTTATAGGAAAAAAAAAAAGTCTTAATTGCCCAATCAAAAGGAAATACTTGTATTCCTTATGTCATTTACCTTAGGAACAAGGTAAATGATTCAGGTACGCTCTGTATTCATGCTCTTTTACTAAAACCTTCTTGGGGACTAAACCAACTGTAGGAAAATATCCAACAATTTGACGTCATGTTTTCAGAAGACAAAAAAAAAAAAAAAAAAAAAAACCCACGATAAAACCCTGTTCACTGAAATCCCATTCATACATTTATTTTTTTACCAAAGTAATACATGCGAACAAAAGCAATCAACTGGTGGCAGCATTTAGGCCCACTAAGACACAACCACCCATTACCGAAGAAGGCCTGCACATCATTCTGACTCATGTTTGGAACTTTCTCTAGAGCACATCTCTTGGTATTTCCTGCAGATATACAGCAAGAAAGATTTCATTCCTGCCAGACAAGCTTTTTTTTTTTTTAATCTCCACCAGTCAGTCTCTTACAGTGAGATAACCTCCAGTCACAACTCTCCCTCCAAATGAATTCCCAAGTTGCCATGGCAACTAACACCTTCCTCCAATACTGTCAATATGCTTCCCAACCCTAAAGGCAGCCCTCTTGATTTACTGCCAGAAGTACCAATCTCCTCATGTAAAAGAGAGTGCCTTCCTTTGCTCCAAAACTATCATGAGATTCTTTAGAAGACCCTCTGTTAATAATATTAATAGTATCAGCTACCACCTATTGAGGGCCAACTTTATTTCTATTATCTCATTTAATCATTTCAAAAAAAAAAAAAAACAAAAACACTGCATGGTAGATATCACTCTCTTTACTTTACAGATTTAAATAATTATAAATCGGAGGTTATATAACTTGACCAAGAGGCAGAACCAGGATTTGAACACAGAATCTTCTGGCCCAGATTATCTCTGAGGCTTCCTCCTTTGACACAAGATCTTTTCCAGCTCAGAGGAGTAACTTCATCTGTCTTGTTCTCTCAGCCTAACCTTGCTTCTTTTTCTAAAAGTGCTTTCTACACTTCAAGACAATTTAGTTTGCTTTAATAACAACACTGCTCTAAATCCAATGGCACTTAAAGGTGTGTTAATGCTGATTAAACATTAAGAGAGAAAAGACTTCATTCTCCTGCTCTTCATCTCCAAGGGCTTTGGTGGGGAAGAATGAGATAATGGGTGCTAAGGGTTTTGTACTGAGAATGAAGGTATACAAGATCAATACCCAGCAGATATTGAGGTGTCCACAGTGTGACCAAGTGCCAAGGAATGCCCATAAGGGTAGAACTGCAGCCAAGTCTCCTGGATTTGCTTCCTTGGACCCCTTCCTCGGGCCCCACGCCTACCCGTATGACCACATCCTCACTATTCTCCCCTAAACACAAATCGAGGGACATACAAAGCAAGCACCGTACTTACTTCTTAGCCAATCCGTCCCCTCCCCCATCCCCAACACACAGGGAGACTTTATGTTAGCCTTGTAAATAAGAAACACCATTCCACAGTTATTTTTCCAGTCTGCCTTTTTTTTAACTGCTCACCTGGCAGAAACTGTTATTCTCCTGGCCAGCAGCTATTTGTAAAACTGGTCTGCCTCCTTATTTTTATACCAAAGATACTAATTCTTTAGTAGAAACGGGAGTATTCCAAATAAGACAATTAGCAAGTCACCTAGAATTTCCACCCACTCCACAGAGGCACACAAACAAGAGAATTAACCCAATTTGTTGTCTATAATAAACAGGACATTCTACCCACCACAGAGCCCCAGAGGTTTGTACGAGATTACTAACTCCTAGTAGTAACGGCTACAATGGCCCAGTTCCCTATTTTATTACTGTGTGCTGAAATTTTAAAGGTGCTCCTCTCCCACCCCCATCTTCCCTTGCATACTTCTGCACATCAATCCATTAAGAATCTGAAGTGTAATTTATCTTATTCACTATTATCCTGTTAAATTGCTCTACAGCTGCCATGGCAGTAATTGCAGTGATCAGTGATTCAGACTTCTTAAGCAAAGGGTCTTAAGTAGGTTTCATTATTAAAATTTCCAAAGGTTTTATTATTGAAATAAACCTGAGATAGAACAGTATGCCTCCATGGGGCAGTCATACTAATGATTCTTAAGTTATGAAGGGATGTCACATTCATCATCAATGTTGCACTCATGAATACGAGTAATTGGGAATTTATCAACCAACAAAACCAACTGGCATTCTAAGAATGAAGAATAATAATCTCATTTTAAGTAGCATATGCAGTGCTGTGCGACCCTTTAAAAAGCTGCCTTTGTTCACTGAAGTATTGCTTGTAATAGCAAATACTGGAAACAACTCAAGTGCACATTTGTAAGGAACTGATTCAATAAAGTAGGAGGCAGCCATCCACACAATGGAATACTATGCAGCTCTGATATACGAATGAGAAAGCTTTCTCTGTACCAACAAGGAAAGATCCCCAAGACATACTGTTAAGGACAAAATAGTACACAACAGGTTAGATAATGATTTACCTTTCATGTAAAAGAACGTGGAGGGGTAAGAACATATGTTCATATCTCCTTTTATTTACATAAAGAAACACTGCACAGATATATAAGGAACTATTAAGAGTGACACCCACAATAAGGAGCAGGGGTTCTACAGGGTGGACCAGACAGGAGTGGAAATAATACTCGTCAACATATGCCTTTCAAAAAAATTTTTTTCATATTTTAAATTTACCTTTACTACCTATTTATTTGGTTCAAGGCTCCATTTCGTCCACTTTGGGACTAGGTAATCAGGCTTTAAACTACTTACCTCTGCCTGTCAGAAGTCACTAACCTCATGACAGGAATAATTTAGGTTAGAGGAGTAGCAAAACTATTACTCAACTGTTTCTTTAGAAAAGGAGAAACTCATAAAACATGGGACCCTAAAATTTGAATATTATATGTAAGACGGGGTTAAAATGTGTTCAAAAAGTGTCTTCTAAAAATGTACAAACAACAGAGGTGTGACAGTATGCTGAAAAAATATGAGGGGGGTGGAAGAGCGGGATAGAGAGTGGTCCTCCTTCCCTACTCCCTTTACAATGTTGATTTCATCCTTGGATTTTCATAATGAACTTCTGTAAAGGGGAGATTTGCATCCAGTTTTAAGACCATTTTCAGCACAAGTGCTTTTTTATTAAGTATTTCTGTGGTTCCCCTTCCCCAGACAAAAAGGAAAGGGGAAGCTATTGTTCAGGACTTCTAATGGGTTTATCTAGCTTTGTGGGTTAAAAGAACCCACAATATTTAATAAATTTAATAATATTTAATAATATTTAATAAATTTATTAATATTTAACAATGTTTAATAAAACTTAGCCACTTACCTAACCCTTGGGTCAGAGAGTTCTTGCTCTAACAAAACACCAAGAACAACTAGACACTTCTACCTACCCATAGCCTCAACTAGATAAATGCAAACATGTTGGCTCACTCCTGTAATCCCAGTACTTTGGAAAGCCAAAGTGAGAGGAACACTTGAGCCCAGGAGTTTGAGATCAGCCTGGGGAACATAGGGAGACCCTGTCTCTACAAAAAATAAAAAATTAGCTGGGCTTGGTGGCACGCACCTGTGGTCCCAGTTACTTGGGAGGCTGAGGTGGGAGGATCACTCGAGCCCAGAAGGTCGAGGCTGCAGTGAGCTATGATCATGCCATCACACTCCAGCCTGGGTGACAGGATGAGACCCTGTCTCTTTTAAAAAAAAAAAAAAGATAAATGCAAATATGAATCACCTACAGAATTAAAAGGCCACAAATGTTCCAACCTTAGCAGAGAGTCTGGGAAGAAACCTCCACCACTGCCCCAGTCAACCCAACTAAGAGAAAGAGGTTGGCAGCCAGAGGAACAGATAAGGCAAGGCTTCATCTGAGCCTATCAGCTTCTGCAGAAAAAATATGCCATGGTCATGGGATGATCTGACTGACTGACTGATGCAAACTGTCCACACAGCTAGTTTACCTTTGCCTCCTCTCTGGATCCAAAATGTAATGGAAATGAATGCCTTATGAAATCCAACCCTGACCTTCTCATCACACACCCTTCTTAGGAGAGCCCACACTAGCTAACGACTCCAGAATTCTGGTTACCATAAGTCTACGCATCATGCCACCGAGCTCTGTCTTTCCAACTACCTTTTAGACATCTCTACCTGGATGTCCCGGGAGTCTCATGTCCAAAGATTAATTCCTTCTTCCTGGCAGTGTATGCTCTTTGTATCTCCACTTCTCCTGTCTCAGTTAATAGCCTGTTGATTGATCAATTTCATTCTAGGTTCATGGAACACCAACCATGCACCAAGATCCCTGAACCAGAAGCCTGAAGGGCATCTACAGTCCTCCTTCTGTCCTACTCCTATTTCTATTCACCTTGTCAACAATAAGCTGCACTGATTTTTTACCTCCTAAATATTTCTCAAAACCTCACTTCCCCTTCATATTCACTGGCACTCCCTTATTCAGCATCTCATCATTCATTCAACAATATTTAATGAGTATAAAGCATACCTAGGTGTTTTTAAACAGAACAAAAACGGTGTGATCTTTGCTTTCTGGTGGCTCAACATCTAGTTATTTCTTATCTGAACTATTCAGATATACTCTTGTCTCCTACCATTAATTATCTCAACAGTAGCCAGAGTGTCTCCTCAAAACTTAAATTAGATCATTTAATTCAGGGATAGTAAACTCATTCTATAAAGGCCAGATAGTAAATATTTTAGGCTTCTGGGCCATATGTTCTCTGTTGAAACTACTCAACTCTGCTCTTGTAACATTAAAAATAGCCATGGACGATATACAAACCCATGGGTATGACTGTTCCAATATGGCTTATTCATAAAAATAGGCAGCAGGACAGATTTGACCCATGGGCTGTAGTTTGCTGACCCCCTGATTTAATTAATCACAGTGCTTCTTACTCCACTGGAATTAATCCAGATTCCTTCCCATGGCTTAGAATGTGCTCCACCCTCAACTGACTATTACTTGCTCCTCTGGGCTCCACCATGCTCCAGCTACTCTGACCATCTTTACGGTGCTTACGCACCGTGCCAAGCCTGTTCACATCTTAGGTCCCTGCACTTGCCGTTCTACCCATCAGGACCACTCTTGCCTAGGTCTTCTCATAGCTGCCTCAGCTCAAATATCACCTCCTCAGAGAGGCCTTCACTGCCCATTCCCATTAGTACCCATCCCAATGCCCAAACACTCTAACTCCCATAGCTCTATTTATTTATTTTTTCAAATTACTTATCACCATCTGAAAAAATATCATTTGTTGCATGTATACATATAGTATATATATATATATATATATATATATATATATATATATATATATATATATATAGTCTGCTTTCCTACCACCACACTACTCTACCACTATTAGAATGTAAGCTCCATGAGGGCAGAGACTGTCTTATTCACTCACCCCCTAGGTTCCCAGCACCTGGATCGGTGCCTGGCACTTAGCAGGGGCTCAGTAAATATCTATTATCTAAACTGTTATTGCCTCTAGTCTCCCTCCCTCCAACCCACTGGTATCTTCACTGCCACCAGTGATCTTTCAAAAATACAAATGAGACCAAATATAGTGGCTCACACCTGTAATCGCAGCACCTTGGGAGGCTGAGGCACAAGGATCGCTTGAACCCAGGTAGGTGAGGCTGCAGCAAGCCATGATCACGCTACTGCACTCCATCCTGGGAAACAAGAGTGAGACCCCATCTCAAAAAAAAAAAAAAAAAAAAAATAGCAGTGTGTAGTGGTGCACAATTGTAGTCCCTGCTACTTAACAGGCTGAGGCAAGAGGATCACTTCAGCCCAGGAGTCTGAGGTTACAGTGAGCTATGATCACACTACTGCACTCAAGCCTGGGCGACAGAGCAAGACTCTGTCTCATAAAAGAAAAAAAAAAAGTAAAATGCAAATGAATCATGTCACTCCCCTGCTTAAAATATTTCCATGGTTCCCCACTGGCTTTAAGATACAAATGCAAATTATGTGGCAAGACCACTATAGCTCTTATCACACCTTCCCACACTCTCGCAGTAGTAGACTGTGAGCTCTAAGTGGTAAGGACCAACTCCTGTTTATCTTTTTATCTCAGGTACTCAGCATAGTACCAGGCACATTGTTGGTGTTCCATGAATGTAGAATGAAATTAATCAATCAACAGGAGTACAACAACTAGCACAATGCACGATTCTAATGTGGTAACTCAATAAGTACCCAATTTAAAGGCAAAGAAGCAAGATTTTACACAACACTCTTCCTTTCTTTTCTCTGGAAGCAACTTGGGTGGGGGCTATGCTTATAACTCTGAATCTAACTTTGGATTTTGTCACCCAGATTTTACCTGGCAGGCAGCCACTCACCACTTTCTAAAAGAATGGCAGGAGAAGGCAGGGAGCTAGGTCATGCAAATCTATCATGCTGTTTCCTGTGATCAGCTCTGGTAAAAAGGTTAGGGAAGGAGACATAACATGAAGGCTAAAATGCAACTTAGGGATTCTCCATGGATTCCAAGTGTCTACATTCTCCCTGTCATCTATTAGCAAAGAAAACCCAATGCTGGTTCTTTTGCTGTACAAAATAACCTAAGAGGTTCAGGGACTTTCTTTAGAACTGCCTCACCAATAGAATGGGAATTGTTACTTCTAGAAGAATTTCCATTAGCCCTTTAAAATCCTTCAACATTCATTAAGGCCAAAGAGATTTCACCTAATTTAGTCTGATGGGTATGTGAACAGTCTTTCTAGGGAATACAGACTCCCAAATTGTTCAGCTGGGAAGTAAGAAGGGAATTTATTACTCAAAATCAAAGGGAAATGAAAAGAGGGCAACCCGGAATTCATTACTCCCCTTCTTGGGTGGGGTAATGGGTTCCAGAGTCATTCTGTTACCTTTACTATGACCTCCTTACTTAGCATCTAAAAGCTTCTGGTGTTGGATGCAGCCAGGTAGGTTCTCTTCTAATGTAATAAAATCTGCTTCAGCAAAGCTTATACAGAGTCATCTCCAGACTCCAGAAATAATAGACTATAAATTACTGGATCTCCCATTTGATACAATGAAGTGTAAGTTAGCACAGTCCTGAATGACCACTCTACACGCTACTCTGAGTGGCTCAAAGTGAACTTTGACACAAGGACTGGAGCGAACACATAGCACAGCTAGATCCGGGATTAATTCGCTTGAGCCCAGCTCCTCACTACTCACCTATGAGTCCAGTTCCAGAACCCAAGTAGAGGATGGGGGAGCAAAGCTCCTAGCTTTTTCCCTACTGTCTGCATCTCTTTCACATATCTTATCTTCTTGAAGAAGTTAAACAGGCTCAACTAAAATAACTAAATGATGAAGCCCTATACAGACAATCACCAGAGATTCACAAAACTGCATTCAACACAGTTACACAGACAACTTTGAGGATGACTTGATGTACCAGCGATTTACCACATTTGGGACCATTCAAAATTCCTGTCAAGGATCTGCCTATATCAACATGGGAATCAAGAACCAACCATTCAAATGGGCCCTGCTGCCAAGCCTCTTTATAATGCCATCTCTTCATATTGTTCCATTTAACAAAACTGCAGCCTATCATCTAACCTTAAATCCCTTTGCCAATGATACAGAGCCAGAGTATGCTACTCCCTAGAGCAGGAACTCAACATGATGACCTACTAAACACCATTCAGAAGATGCTGAGACTCATGAATTGCAATAGGAAAAAAAAGACAGAGAAGTAGTCAGCCAGGTACACGCTGTGTCAAAAGTGCACTACAACCCCCAACCCCATTCTGCTTAATCCTAGCTGGGCTGACACCAACCTGACGAGACAGGCCAATAAGATCTCGAACTGAAAGAGGAACTCCTGAACTGGGTTCTTTAGAACCCAGGAAGCAGCAGAGTAAATCATTAAAGACCAGATAAGATCTTGATGAGGTGAGGGAGGGTTTCAGATAAATGGAATGCTGGTAGAACACAGGGCCCAAAGGAGAAAAGTTAACCTGAGCCCAGGTGGAACCTTGCTTACTAGAGTATTAAGCATGAGTTGGGACAACTATTCTAACCAGAGAAATTGGCTCCAGTGAGGGCAGTTTGGCAATCCAAGGTATGGCATGTCTATGGCTGGCAAAATTCAGGGTGACTGAAGCAAAAGTTTCAAAACCATAAAGACTACAACGGGGGTAGAGCACAAAATTCTCAAGAGATGAATCTTTGTAAGAGTGAGGCAGAACTACATGGTGATTTTCGATCTGTTGATGCCCAACAAGAGCTTCTACTGGCTATAAGCAGGGGTGCAGGCTGTAATCGCAGGAGAGGAGGTTCACAAAAGTAATTCAGTCCTAGAGCCCAAACTGTGTTCTCTACTAAAAGGAATCAAGACCCCCTAGAGAAATGGCTGACTCCATGTATGGTGCAGGATATAGATCCTGGAACACCTTTTTTTTTTTTTTTTTGCCAGAAAGCAAGGAAGCCATCCAAGTCCAACAGGATCACGTCAAAAGGCCATGGGAGTCAACTTGAAGAGATACTTATTAACCTGAGACAATATGAGCATCTAAAACAATTAATAGTGACTACAATGGGCTCAAATGCAAACAATAATCTATGAGCTCATTACGATATTCAGGAAAAAAAACTATTGGTCACTACAGTGGAGGTTACTAGTCACTAACTCATTATTCTGAAAAATGACTTAAAATGGGAGATAGGGTGGAGAATTAGGTATTTATCCAGTTTTTCCTGTACAAATGTAAATGTTTAGGGAGATTGAAGTAGATGAAACAAGTCTGGCAAAATTGAGATAACTGTTTAATCCGGGTGTTGGGTACATGGAGGTTCATTATATTTCTTTCCCGTATATTTTATATTTGAACCCCCTCCTAAAAAAAAAAAAAAAAAAAACAGAAAAAGCAAGACAGAATGTGAGCTAAGCAGCTTAGGGTTTAGGCAAGGCTTCTGCCTACAAGAGAGACTAGGATATGAGGGGTAATATTAGTCCTGATGGGCCAAACCAACTGGAGGGATATAGGGAGGTGCCAAGTTGCAGAGGTATCATGTTGCCCAGCACTTGATCTAGAATCCTAGATTCTAGGTCTGGTTAGTAGCAGATTTACTAGGTGGTAGATCTGAGGCTACCTATAGAACTTCCTCTGCAGTCATAATTAGCTCAGAAACTACAAAAGGGCTTGCTCTTGAAAATGGAGCCTTTGTCTATTTCATGCTGTTATAACAGAATGCCACAGACTGCATAATTTAAAACAAAAAAAAAAGGATCGATACCATCCTGGTTAACACGGTGAAACCCCGTCTCTGCTAAAAATACAAAAAAAATTAGCCGGGCCTGGTGGCGGGCGCCTGTAGTCCCAGCTACTCGGGAGCTGAAGCTGGAGAATGGAGAATGGAGAATGGCGTGAACCCGGGAGGCGGAGCTTGCAGCGAGCCGAGATCTAGCCACTGCACTCCAGCCTGGGGGACGGAGCGAGACTCCGCCTCAAAAAAAAAAAAAAAAAAAGAAAGAAAGAAAAGAGAAAGAAAGAGAGAGAGAGTGAAGGAAGTGATGGAGGGAGGAAAGAAAATAAGAAAAGAAAAGAGAAAAGAATTTCTTACAGTTCTGGAGGCTAGGAAGTCCAAGGTCAAGGAACCTGCCTCTGGTGAGGGTCTTCTTGCTGCATCATCCCATGGCAGAAGGCAGAAGGGCAAGAGAGAGCGAAAGAGCAAGAGGGCAAGAGGGCCTGAACTCTCTTTCACAAAGGCTAGCAAAGAAGTATGCACAGGTTAAGGGAAAAAGTCACAATGAATCCTGTAGTACAGACTACTTTATCAAAAGCAGCTAAAAAAAGATCTCATTAACTCCCCCAACTCATCTCCACCCACATCTAAAGAGCCACACACAGCACCACCAAAGGCAGCAGAATGAGAACAGCGTTCTCCTCGACAGACCAGCTGTGAGTATCCAGACAGACACCCGACCTCAACAGCTCCAGAGCAGCCCCAGAACAGCCCCTCCCTAACCACCACTCAAGTAACCAGCTGGGAAAGTATTCAGAAAACCCGCATCCTGACACACCACTGCCAAACAACTTAAACAGCAAAGAACAACCCATCTAAACAGCAATGCCAGCTGCCAGGAAAAGTTGTGTAGGGACAATGAGTAGAGGAAAAGCAGATCCCTTGGGGTCCACCAAGAGACCCAGTCTCTCAGCTTCAGCACTTCCAAATGCTCAATCCATACACCTCTAGGGCCTGTGGATCTCCACGAGGCATATTGTCTCCTTCCATCTCCTCAAAGATAAATGAGCAGGCAAGCTGGCCAGAAAACCACTCAGGGTATTACTCTTTAAAGAATCTTTATAGGGTCAAAGAGGAATGGGTCTACAGGCTATATGTATTCCCCAAAGATTCTCAGGATGATGTCAGAATCCCTTTCCAGATGTGTTTAACACTTTGTGGTCACTTGTATTCCTGCCACTGAGAGCCAGTGCTTTGCTAATTTGAACTGATTCCAGCTCACACTGACTCCAGCTTCCTGGATCTGATTACATTTAGCCAAGACTGTCATCCATACTGTACCCTTTCAAAGAGTCCTAAAAACAGCTCTTCACCTACTCTTTCAAGACAAGTAATAATATCTGCCAAAGAATGGGGAAAAAAGATGCAGAAAAAGAATACAATTAGCATACTACCAAGAAAGCAAAAAGCGAAGGGAGAGGAGAAACTAAAAAATTACATGCGGACTCACACTTATTTCTAAAGCTGTGCTAATATCTTTTTGCTTGCGTCTAAGGCACCAATTTTAAACTGTTACTGGGGGAAAAAAAAGAGAGAGAGAGACAGAGAGAAAGAAAAAAGCAGGCCTAAATCTTAAAGTAAAACTTTTAGCATAGAAGATAAGAATTGGTGAGAATTCCATTCCCGGTTATTTACCCTATAGGCTAAAGAGCTGCCTCTGCCTCTAAGGATCAGGGCATTCTGTGTTTGATGGCAGAACCTAAGTCAGAATCCAGCACAATCCCTGACAAGTGAGAACCTCAGGGTAAGTTGTCCTGACCTTGAGATTGCTTCTCTACCTCTTCAATTAAAAAATATATATAAGGGCCGGGCACGGTGGCTCATGTCTGTAATCCCAGCACTTTGGAAGACTGAGGCGTGTGGATAACCTGAGGTCAGGAGTTCGAGAACAGCCTGGCCCACATGGCGAAACCCCATCTCTACTATAAATAAAAAAATTAGCCAGGCATGGTCGTGGGTGCCTGTAATCCCAGCTACTTAGGAGGCTGAGGCAGGAGAAACACTTGAATCCAGGAGGCGGAGGCTGCAATGAGCCAAGATCGCACCACTGCACCCCAGACTGGGCGACAGAGCAAGACTCTGTCTCAAAAAAAAAAAAAAAAAAAAAAAAAAAAAAAAAAAAAGAACCAAGGGGGAGATCCCTCTTGCCACCTCAGTTGTTTGAACTCAGCTACTCAAGGTCCACGTTGTCCAGATCAAGGGCTCCCATGAGTGACAGTGAGGCGGATCTGATCACTTAGAGGGCTAAAGGTAATCCTACAAAACCTGAAGATGTACAAGGAGAATGCAGCTGCTGCTCAGAAACTCCACTAGCCCAGCTTGAAAAGACATCATCTACAGGGTAATACCCAGTTCTCAATTCTAGGCCTCATAGTTTTGCTGAGTGTCTCAGAAAACTGTCCTAAACTTTTCTGGCCTTTCTTATTTTGCCCACCTAATGTAAGAAAACTAAGCTAAAATAAATTTTGTCACCAAACCAAAATGAAGCTCTCCAGGTGGTGTAGCTACTATACTCAGGAGACTTGAACTTCCCTTAACCCAAAAATGGCTATCTGGAAGTCAGCATCCTCAGAGTACACTTCAGATGCAAACTAGAAATATGTCAGTGTAAACTATGAAAGTGCAGAGCCTTTGCTTCAGTAAAACTAGATGCAGCAAAACCACGGGCTTTATGCATGACTGGTATTGTAAGAGAGGCCACAGGGAGTAGAATTAAATATGACACCTCCTTGACATATGATCAAAGCTCCTTCTAACCTCAATTTGGGGCACCATATATCACAAACCAGACAGCAAGAAATTAAGTAAATGTAAGTCTTTTTTTTATGCCATCCCAATTACATCTTGCTCAGTTCACAAACATGTTCCAGCAAATGCTGGAGGAGTTTTTCTCTCTTTAGGAGTCCTCCCTCACTTTACCCTGTTTAACAAAAGACCTCACACACTTAGAAAGAGGATGGAGGCAGGCCAGCTTCAGGACATGCTGCACAGGGAGGACTGACTGTCCCAAAGAGGGGGCTCTACACCCCTCTGACAACTCCACAATAGACCAGCTACACACAAATGCCTGAAATAAGGAAGCCCATCAAGAAAATGAACAGTTGGCGAGATCAAGGCTTCTGGCCCAAAGGGCCTGCAGCTGGTCTGGCCATTCATCAAAAAATCTGAATTTAAATGGAGACACATTCGACTGTGACATGTAATAAAAGAACTGGAGCAACAAAGGGTCTTGATTTTGGTTTCCTTTCCACCCTACACATCTCCTGCCAATGGAAGAGTGAGCGTGTCTGTGGTGCTCCTGACACATCTGGGGTAGTTCCCATTCACAGTGCTCACCCTTTGGGACTTTCCACACATTACAGGGTCATCGTCCATCTATGCTAACCTAGAATGTCCAGATAAAAGCTCCTGTTTAGAGACTGGAGAGAAAATTGTCAACTCTGAAAGCCCACAAACTGTCTCAGCCAGGGGGAACACATGCAGGAAAGACTACAGAATCGTATGTCAGAAGCCTAATTTCAGATTGACCCCTACAGCTTTATGACTGTGAGTAATTCACTTACTTTCTCTAGGCTCTGTTATTCTCACATCAATAATGAGAAAAGTGGACCAAACAGTCCCCCAGATCCCTTCCAGTCATAACATCCTCTGACTTTATGATTAAAGAGTGGTACTAATAACGCTAAATCTGTGGCTTAACCCCAATAGGAGTCTTCTGGGATTATACTAAGAAAAACTATCCCACACAGACAGAGCCATTCTGACCATGTCCCTCCCTACACTGACCATCATACAGATATGTGCCACTGGTATGAGAAGTCCTTTTTACAGAGGACATTGACTGATTAAATAATAGGCTGATTTATTCATTCAACCAACAAATATTTACTGAGCACCTTCTAGGTATTTAGGGATACAACAGAACAAAACAGACAAAATCCCTTCCCTTATGGAGCTTACGTTTTAGTGAAGGAGGAGGGGGAGTCAGACATCAAATAGGAAATATGAAGTGGGGTATATTTTATGCAGAGTAGCCTAGAGGGTCTTGATAAGGTGACTTTTTTTTTCTTTTTCTTTTTCTTTAATTATACTTTAAGTTCTGGGATATATGTGCAGAATGTGCAGGTTTGTTACATAGGTACACATGTGCCATGGTGGTTTGCTGCCCCCATCAACCCATAATCTACATTAGGTATTTCTCTTAATGCTATCACTTCCCTTGCCTCTCACCCCCCGACAGGCCCTGGTGTGTGATGTTCCCCCCACTGTGCCCGTATGTTCTCATTGTTCAACTCCCACTTATGAGTGAGAACATGCGGTGTTTGGTTTTCTGTTCCTGTGTTAGTTTGCTGAGAATAATGGTTTCCAGCTTCATCCATGTCCCTGCAAAGGACATGAACTCATTCTTTTTTATGGCTGCATAGTATTCCATGGTGCTTACGTGCCATATTTTCTTTATCCAGTCTATCATTGATGGGCATTTGGGTTGGTTCCAAGTCTTTGTTATTGTGAATAGTGCTGCAATAAACATATGTATGCATGTGTCTTTATAGTAGAATGATTTTTAAACCTTTGGGAAAGGCCTTTGATAAGGTGACTTTTGAGCAGCAATCCAAAGCAGTGAGAGAGCGAGCCATGCAGACACTATGGGAAGAATGTTCCAGGCAGAGGGAACAGCAGGGCCCTGAGACAGGACAGGGTCAAGCATGCCTGGCATGTTAAAGGAAACACCATGAGCCCAGTGTTTATTAAGAGGAGAAAGGGCAGGAGAGTAGTAGGAAACACAGTGAGACAGGTAGTAGGAGCCAGATCATGTAAAAACTGGAAAGTCACTGGAGAATTTGAACAGAGGGGTAAACATGATCTGAATTCCATTGTAAAAGGATTGTTCTAGCTGTTATATTGAGAGTAGACAGAAGGAGGCAAGAATGGAAACAAGGAAACCAGTTGGGAAACTACTGAGATAATCCAGGTGAGAGATGATGGCAGATGGACCCAGGGCAACAGCAGTGAGGAGTAAAGAGGGACAGAGTCTGGGATATATTCTGAAGTTGAATCAATAGAACACTGGAGGACAGGATGATCTTGGAAAATCTTGGGACTACTGCAGAACCTAATGAAGCTAAACGGTACTAAATTCCAACATCCACTGTGAAATCCCAAGATTAGGGATTTGTTCATCTCTGTCACCTAGTGTCCAACCCAGTACTTGGCACATAATGAGGACACAAAAATCTTGAATGAATAAATGTGGAACTGAATATATTACAAAGCCAAAAGATCTGCAGTTTGATAGGTCTTTGGGAGACCAAAAAGCATCTGGTCCTCGACATATTTCACCAACAATGAATACCCCTCCCCTGAGTGAATCCATTTATTTTTATTAAAAGTTCCTCTTTATAACTTATTTCACAGTAGTAAGCAATGAAGCTGACAAACAACTTCACATAATACAGCTAAGAATCTGAACAACTTGGTTATTTCCCTGAGAGGCCGGATGCAGTTACCAAACCTTATACCACCTCAGCAACTCCCATCTAAAATACAGGGACAAATATTACACAAACAGTAAGCTTATGCTCTTACAGATAGTAAATCATGAGGGTAACTGAAAAGGTATGCTTATGAATAATAATATTATAATAAGCAAGGAATAAAATAAGCCAAATCTATACTATTCCTATACGAGAAGCCAATGGGCTACCCTTGAATGTGCTTCACTTCCTCTGTGAAGCTGAGAACAAAAATGCTTAGATTTTTTTTTCCCAATAGCACTGCTCTGAGAAAGGTAACAATTCCCAACTGCAGAAGCTCCTCTGTCAAGATGACCCTTGAGAGTCCCAAAGTTCTTAACCCACAGAGACTGACAATGTACAAAATACAGAAGCAGAAAACCGAGTATAGGAAAAAAGGTACATTATAAACTACATTCTGGCAGCAGTTTCCTCGGTTAAGTCATTGATCATCTTGAAGGGCTAAATTAAAACCCAACATTAATCTGGCAGTAGGTGTAAAAAACATCTTATTTACCAAAATAGAAAAAGGAGGAAGAAAAATAAGACACGTAAAGTGTTTGAGATCAAATTACATTGTAAGGGAAGCTCCAATATTTGGAGACCGAGACCTAGACAGATTCATCAGCTGAGTTGGAAATCATTTGATGTGACCTTGGACTAATTATTTAACTTCTCTGCCTCTGTCTCTCATCTGTGCCTGAGTCTCCCCTCAATGTGAAGGAGAACAAATGATTTCAGCCCCCTCCTATCTTAACAGGGATGTTATGAGTCTGAGATCACAGAGGACACTGTCTTTAGTAGGATAATTAAGGACCAGGCTGCTCTTAGAAACACCCCCACAGTATGGAGGCTCTCTCTCCCTGGCATCATTTGGCTTCAGAGTTGGGCAACCAAATATGCCCACATAACATGACAAACTCAGGGTTTGGGGCCAGCATCTTGACAGATACTGTCAGGAGCCCTAGATGTGAATCCATTCTCACATATATAATTACTATATTCAAGTGTTTAATAAACATTTAGTAATGCTTTTAAGTCACCAGTATCTTCACAGAAATGACCATATTGTTGCCCATCTATTAGAAGAGATGGTGTTCAAGGTATGAAGTAGTAGAAGGTTCGTGATCATGAACCCCTGGGCAAGTCAAGATCCTCAATTGCCACCTCTATAGGTGGAAGTATAGGCCTAACAATACTAAGGATTAAAAGTGAAATGCTGCTGGCGCAGCCCTGGGCTCACAGAAGCAGCAAAACAAGCACTAAAGCCCTCCTCCCGCCCACGGTTCTGCTCAATAAATAACAAGTGCTGTTAATTCTTTAATTGTGGATCCGAGGAAAATGAAACAGGGTTCACCCATAAACATCTTATCTGCCTTGATTCCCCCTGTAACTCCTTGACTGGAGCAGAGTAAACAGGCTGAACTTTAATTAGGATCATAACATGAAAATGATCCCAGGTAAGCCAGGCTCATAAACTCCAGACAATTGGGAGGAGACTGGTTTCTAATGGACTGCTCCATACCTGGCCTAGTCAATGACAGAAGCAGACCCGGTCCTTTGTCCCAGCTTCCCAAAGAAATCCATTAGCCAGGCCCACATGGCTTCAGTTCGGATGTGGGGTCGGAGGCTTTCTATTCCGGTGATTGTGGTCTAAGAATAGAACTCCCAAGCACAAGGCAAATGGATTCA
Organism: Homo sapiens; assembly: GCF_000001405.40. Lineage (NCBI taxonomy): Eukaryota > Metazoa > Chordata > Mammalia > Primates > Hominidae > Homo > Homo sapiens. Next base: position 144,015,666 of record NC_000001.11, on the reverse strand, counting down.
CAAGAATTGTGTTCATCTACTATCTACATTACCGTCTGAGGACTATTTAAAGCACAAGGCTAGAAAGCCCCTCTCTGAATGGGAGGACCAACGAGGGGAAACAGGCAGGGCATGTTTTTAATATAGTTCTGCTACAACTTGCAAATATAGTGTGACTTGTAGAGCCCCAGTCTGAATGCCAGGATCTTGAGATACACATCCATCCTCAACAGCTCAGATATCTCACTTGGCTCCCTGTCAACCACTGAGTAAGGAATGTCAAGTCCATTTGACAAATGGGCAAGTGGGAAGCATGGAGGGACAGATTTATACAGTGCTAAGTCCACTGCTAATAACAGAAACAGTTAAAGCTGATTGTGTGCTTCTACGTGCCAGGTCCTTACTAGGCATGTCACCTTCACTCACTCTAACTTCACAACGTCTCTATAAGATAGCCAGTTATTTTGTGCACATTTAGCAACAAGAACACTGAGGTTCTGGGAGATTACGCAATTTACTCTCATGATAAAACTTATATGTGGCATAGCTAGGATTTGAACCCAGGTCTCTCTGACATTAGCACTTGTTTGGGGTTTTGTTTGTACCATGCTGCTTCTCTTGGTTTCCTTCTGCTAACTTAAGAATGCAAGGAACCTATAATCCAAAACCATACTCTAAACATTAAATCTCATAACTTGTAACTTATGTCACCGATTTGGTGAGCAAACAGAATTAAGTAGTCCAGGGCCAACAGCAGAATCTTCAGGGACAGAAACCAGATAACTCCAATTAGGTGGGCTAAACGGATAAATTCCACATCAAAGGAACCTTTACTAGGAAAATATCCGGTGACCTTCAGCCTCTGATAAGACTTCATCTCATCATTTCTCCTGTCCCAACACCCCTACACTTCAACTAGCTTCAAATATTCTGTATCCACACCAAAGACTGATTCAACACTTTGCAATCACAAACCCAAAGGCAAGTTCTCTGGGATTGCATCAGTATGAAGATTTTATTTTGCAAAGTTACTTCCCTGACCAGCCTCCCTGCTGCAGACCTCTTCAAATTTCCCAGATTAAGAAGACATTCGAAGTGACAATTCCAGGCCTTATCATGTTCAACAAACTGGTCACAATGTGTCAGATGAAGGGCAAGATCAATTCTCTGGGCCTCTTGCTTCTACATCTCTTATAGAAAGTTACCATCATCAAAATCTTTCGCATCACTCAAATCATCAACAATAGTTAGAAGAACAATAACACACACAAAAAAATTAGTAGCAAAGATAAGCCAGTACAAGTAAGTGTGACACAGTCCAAACCAACCTGGGCACATTCTCACAATCCCTTGGAAATGACTTTACCTGAAGGCTACGTGACTCATTTAACTCGGCACTAAGATGGAAAGGTCTAGGGCTCTACAGAAGTTCCTAGTAGGAAAACTTCATTCTTTTCCAAGCCAGGTCTCCAGGGCCTGGCTCTGACATGGTTACCACTTCCACGGAGAAGCTGACAACAGCTGGTCACATTCTTTTCTCTACCCTATTCCTCCCCATCAGGTGAAGATAGCTAACTGCCATGTATCTTATCTAAGGAGGCTAACTTGCAGCAATGATGTGGCATGACAAGTGAAAAGTAATGGGGATCTTGAACAGTCAAAGTACACAGTTAACATAAACAAGAACATGCTGTTCACCAAGTTAACAGTTGTCAAGTCTACAGCCGGTATTTTCCCTATATTCATTTCTCATAAATCTATATCAAATCAGGAGAGGTGGTGAAATGAGGCTCTAAGCTTCCATGCACCAATCTTAAGGAAAAAAAAAAAATGTCTTTTCTTCTAAGAGGGGCGCCCTGGCTATAACCTCTTTTGAGGTGGCTGAATGGGCTTGGTGTTCTGAGTAAAAAAGAAACAAAAACAAATTTTTTTTCCCATTTAGAGAAATGGAGAAATTAAATGGTTTATATACAGACCCGATCCCTTTCATAAAGTTCGCTTGGAGGTAATACCACAATTTCAGGCCCTCTTTGAAGAAATACCATCTCGTGTTGGGTTCTAATTAAAGATATGCTGTTTTGCCGGGCGTGGTGGCTCACACCTGTAATCCCAGCACTTTGGGAGGCCGAGGCAGTTGGATCACCTGAGGTCAGAAGTTTGAGACCAGCCTGGCCAACCTGGTGAAACCCCGTCTCTACTAAAAATACAAAAATTAGCTGGGCGTGGTGGCGGGCGCCTGTAATCCCAGCTACTCGGGAGGCTGAGGCAGGAGAATCACTTGAACCTGGGAGGCAGAGGTTGCAGTGAGCTGAGATCACACTCCAGCCTGGGTGACGGAGCATGACTCTGCCTTAAAAAAAAAAAAAAGATTTAAAACATTAACCTGTAAGTTGTCAATATTAAATAATAAGCATTTAGGGTAAGGGCTGGATGTATAATACTATACTAAGTCAAGAAAGTTCAAAATACAGATCATTCAGTAACAGTGGCAGTGACAAAAGAGATCCTGGCTAATGCCACCACCATCCTAATCCTGTGGGAAAATGCCACCAGGAAACATTTCTATCAACCACACCATCAGATTGGGAAGCTGAGTAATTGGTCCAACTGCCAGACATTGATATATTCAAATCAATTAATCGGTAGTCACCAAGTGACTAAAAAGTGGACAACGCTCCACTGTGTGCTACAGTATACATCAGGCATTTCTAGTTCTAGTCCTAGTCCTGCTCTTAACTTTCAAAGGCAAATCAGGTTCAACCTCAATGTGAAAGAATAAACAATAAATCAGAGAGCATTTATTATAAATTGCCAAAGAAGGTTTAGTCCAGTCAGCCAAGGTGCCCCTCTATTTCTCAAATGCTAAACCCACTCAGAATGAGAGGAGCTGCTCCATCAACCGAGTAGATCCAGATGGTCTCCGTGGAAGAAGCAGCACAGCTGAGAAGCCCACTGCTCAAGACTACATCTGCCCTTTCTCTCTAGATCCCTTAGAAAACAGAGTCACCCCTCCTCCATCTCAGTCTGAGACACACAAAGAATGAAACTTTCTACAAAAGAGGAAGGTCTGAAGGACACTAGCAACTGTCATGAGTTTCCCTATGACTCGAAGCCTCTTGGCTCTAGCATAGGGCAGCCATAGTCCACATTCAGAAGCATCTTGTTTCCTGTTCTCTAGGTTAGAGACCCAGCTAAGAATAGCACCCCATTCATGCTGCTGTGTACACATCCTTTTCACTTGCTATTTTCTCTCACACACGCATGAAGCCCAGGTCTTGTACATTCTCCAAGGTAAATGCAAATATTTATAAACGGGCACAGAGTAGTGGTTTTATTCCCTGTCCAGTCTACAAACAGGCACTACCTAGAAGAATTCCACTCCAGAGCTGAGTGACACAGGAGTAGCTGGGCCACAGGCTCCCTCTCTGAAGTTCCAAATAGAGACTCACACTCGGAAATAGTAACCTAGTGGAAATACATATAGGATGCCCAGTACCTGTGCAGAACTTCACCTCTGTGCATGACCTGAAACCAGAAGTCTGTAAAATTGATCTCTTTTTATTACATGGAACCATGTGAAATTATCAACAAAATGGTAATTTCATATGATTTAACCTAAAAGAATCCTAAAAAGCAAATCAGGCATTTAGCTAACAAACAAGAATGCAAAATCAATTGTTTCCCAGGTGGTTCCACTATGGAACACCTCGTAAGACAGGCCGAGCATTGATAAGAAACATCTATTCGCTCATGGTTCCATGTTTATATCCATATTTGTTCCTGGCCCTCGAGAGCTCACAAAGGAACAGGCAAGTGAACAGGCAAATACCGCACAGTATGGAAACTACTACTCTACAGAGACGTGCAAAATAAGAACCCTATATATAACTCAATTACAACATTTCTCAATTACACTGAATTCTGCCTGTTTGTTTGTATGTGAGCCTCACCAGTGAGATGATGCACGGCTCAGAGGCAGAAACTGTATTTCTTTGTCTTTAAATCCCCAGCATACAGCACAGTTCTTGCACATAGTCAATGCTAAATGATGTTTGTCCAAAGACTCAATGACTTAGAGGCCAAGCGGCCTCTGTAAAAATGAGGTGAGTAGTGACATTTCCATTAATAACTTTGAGGTTTTTATATTTTAGACCAGACTATTAATTATAGCATTGGAAAGAGAATAACAGACTCCTGATTACAGAACTACAAAGAAAAGCAGACAGGGGGTGGCGGGGGGAGACTACACTTTATAATCAAAATAAATCTGAAAATATAGACTAAAGTCTGCCTCTAACTGGGAGTGTGGCAACATCTTTTTGTCTCTCAATTTAATATCTTTTTATTTCAACTGATTTTCCTTACAAGTACAACAGAACCATCAAGTGCAAAAGGAGTAAAAGGTGTTCTGCAAACAAAAGCAAAGGGGACAAACCCAAACCACCACAGCTCAGGTGTGAGGGGTACTTGCCATGTGTCTTTTGGAAAAGAATGTCCACTGGTGGATGGGAGGAGATGGGCACTATGCCCTCCAGGAACTTGGATACCTTTTATGAGTTCAAAAAAAGCCAAAAAAACAATCAAATTCATATGGATACCAAGATAGGTAATTAAATGTTGAATTAAAGATCAACACGAGGGCAGAGATTAGGCTGACTTCCAGGTGGTCAGAGTTGAAGGAGATAAAACACACACACACACACACACACACGCAAACTCCTCCCAGCATTAAAAAATAATAATAATAAAAAAGTCATTTGGGTCACCTTTTAAATCCATAAAGCAATCATTTCTAAAAGAAACAGCAGGTACAAAACTAGCCTCAAGAAAAACCCTCATCTTTCAAAGCGGAATATTCTGACATAGGTTCGAGAAGACTTCCCCTCCCATCAAATAACCAAAGCTTTGGGAAAGGGCAGCACAGAGCTCTCCCTAATATGAAATATTTTATCTATACATTAATTTCTCAAGAGACACTGACCCAAGCACCATACTGCTTTGGAAGTAGAAGTCTTTATCTTAATGAATTGATCTCATCAATTTAGCTGTACATTTGATCCCAAGACCCTTTGTGGACCTGATAACCCTGGGGAGGCCCTTAAGTGAAGCTGTCCCTAGGGTGGCCCACTTCATCACAGAGACCAGCAGACAGGAAAGGGCCATTGGGGAGATTCTTATTTTATTATGTAAGTCAGAGGAAGCCACGTTTAGCTCCTCTGCTCTACTGCAGCATCCCTATTTGTACCTGGTATAACCAGCAGAGGTAGAAAAGGAAGTCTGTCTGCATAAATGAAAACAAGGGCTAGCCACTCCCGTCTGATGGTAGGTGGTCCTCCACGAGTACCTAACTACGAACACCCACAGTTAAGTTTCTCTCTCTTCTTCTCTCTCAAACCCATTTCTTTTGTTTTTAGGGGGGTTTTTGTTAGCTTGTTTTTGAGACAGGGTCTTGCTCTTTCACCCAGGCCAGAGTGTAGAGGCATGATTACAGCTCACCGTAGCCTCGACCTTCCGGGCTTAGGTGATCCTCCTGCCTCAGCCTCCCAAGTAGCTGGGACCACAGGTGGGCGCCACCAAGTCCAGCTAATTTTTAAATTATCTGTAGAGATGGGGTCTCCTTATGTTGCCCAGGCTGCTCTCGAACTCCTGGGTTCAAGCAATCCACCCACCTCAGCCTCCCAAAGTGGTGGGATTACAGGTGTGAGCCACAGCGCCAACCCAAACCCATTTCAATTTACTCCCAAGGAATGGAAGAAGTAACATAAATGGCAAAGTGCAAAGGTCAGGTTCAGCAGCCCTATGGGAAAAGCATAGGCTTTAGAGGCAGACTTTGGGATCCTGGATCCCTGTTCCTAGGACCTGTGTGACCATGAGCACGTATCTTAATTTCTGAGCCTTAGTTTCCTCACTTCTGAAAAGAGGACAATAATATCCACCTCACTAAGGTGGTATGGGATAGTTGCTATGTTTGTTTTGTTTTTGTTTTTAAGCCTCTAAGGCCAGAGGTTTTGTGAGTGCTGGATGACTTCATTTCTAGCTCAGGCAAGCAGAAACTGGATATGAAACTGAAGAAGAGTGACATCCACATATGGCCTAGGCGTGAACAAATTCTGCTTGCTTGCATGCGTGCATGGCTAGGACGCTAGCATTTCAAGGAGCCAGCTCCATGAGTTTACAGCCAAACTGGAGAACCATTCCATAGTGATGAGTACAGCACATTTACACAGACATGCTCAAAAGCACTGCAAAATTCTCTCCCTAGTCTAGAATTCCTGAGTTGGCCAACTCTACACAGTTCAGAATAAAACCCAAAGACTGCCAAGACCAGTCAATGTCTTTTTTTTTTTTTTTTTTTTTTTTTGAGACGTTGTCTCACTCTGTTGCCCAGGCTAGAGTGCAATGGTGCGATCTCAGCTCATTGCAACCTCTGCCTCCCGGGTTCAAGCAGCTCTCCTGCCTCAGCCTCCTGAGTAGCTGGGATTACAGGCGCCCACCACCATGCCCAGCTAATTTTTTTGTATTTTTAGTAGAGACGAGGTTTCACCATGTTAGTCAGGCTGGTCTCGAACTCCTGATCTCGTGATCCGCCCGCCTTGGCCTCCCAAAGTGCTGGGATTACAGGCGTGAGCCACCGTGCCTGGCCCAATGTCTTTCTTTTTAAGGAACATGAAGTAATCCGAAAAAGACCCAGAGATTTCATTCTAATATGAAATCAGTCTTGCTAATAAAGTTACTGCCTCTATCAAAATCTATAATCTTCTCAAGATATCTGTCAAAAATTGTAACTGTTGCAGACATGTGGAAAAACTGGCCACACAGCAGCATAAACTCCCTCTGGCTAAAAAGTACATCAAAAATCTTTTCATTCGGCTGAGAGCAATGGCTTATGCCTGTAATTCCCAGCACTTCGGGAGGCTGAGGCAGTCAGATCACCTAAGGTTGGGAGTTGAAGACCAGCCTGGCCAACATGGTGAAACTCCGTCTCTACTAAAAATATAAAAATCAGCCGGGCATGGTGGCGCATGCCTGTAGTCCCAGCTACTCGGGAGGCTGAGGCACAAGAACTGCTTGAACCCAGGAGGTGGAGGTTGCAGTGAGCCAAGATCATGCCACTGCATTTCAGCCTGGGCAATAGAGGAAGACTCTGTCTCAAAAAAGAAAGAAAAAAAACTTTTAACTTCCAGGCCAGGGTGTCTTTATATCAATTTAATGCCAACCACAATACTAGCTACGGCTCTTCTTTGGGGAAGGGGGACTAAAGAAGGTGGCCTCCAACTGCTATCTCTTTCCCTTTGCTGCTGCCTCCTTCCAACCTACAAAAAAGGAAAGAGTCTGACATTCAGAATTAACCTTGCAAAGAAATTCTGTTTGCCAGCCCACAGGCATTTTGTTTGTTTGATTGGTTTTTCTGCTGTTGCCACTGCTGTCACCTTCCTGACCAAGAGGCCCACAGACTAGCACTTTTTTAGATTCATTTCTGGCAGTGAGTGGGTTTGTAAAGATTGCATTTGTAGTATCTGCTGGGTCCCAAAAGTGTGGAAGGACAAAAGACCATAGCCTTCTCTTAAATTCAGCTCAGAACCAACCTCGCACCTCAGCTAGAAAAATCACTTCCATCAACACTGCTCCCAAATGGAGCCCTTCCACCCTCTGCCCAGCTTCCAAGCCCAGGCCCTGAGACCCACACTGCTGTTTGTTTCGGCACCTGCAAGCAGCTTGTTCACAAGCATCCAGACTACAGAGCAAGAGGAGTTTCAGAAGGGCCCTCCAACAAGTGAGTGGCCTGGGAAGAAAAGTGACAGGCAGGGTCTAATGTCCCACAGTAGCTTGTTTTCACTGCCACTTTGGCATTACCTACCATGGCCAGCAGCTATTCAAACACTCTGCCCAATGCCCAGCCACAGGATCCTATTAATTCTCTTCAATTAAGAGAGGACCTACCCTGGTTCCCAGAAAGCCAAAAGTAAGTGTCAGTTTCTCCCTCTAGGCAGTCTCTAGATTTAAGGGTTCCTTTCACCTCGCCTAGAAGGGCCCTCAACCTTGAAAATAAGAAGCAGCACTATGAAAACAAACTACCCATTTCTCAACTGTTCAAAGATTAGACCTTGTACCACCTCCTTGCTGGCTCCCAAAGAGACCTCATCTATAAATGGAAATAATAACACAACATGTCTTGTTGTGTCTTCTTTCAGGGCTGTAGATATGAACTAAGATAACATACACACTTAGCATACTGCCTGGCACACAGTAAGCAGTTGATAAATATTACTTAGTACTGATATGATTTTTATTATTCTAAGAATGAGTTGTAGTTATTATTAAGAGAGTAATCTTTCTAAAATACATATTGTTCCAACCCAAGCCTAAAAGCTCCACAGTCAATTTTCAGTTTTTCATGCAAACACAAGGAACCAGTATGGCAAAAATCCTAAAAAATAGATACTCTATAGGTTCTCATTTGGATTTTGAGTACATTATGTGCAGTAATACATACATATATCCATCTATTCAATAAAGAGCTGTTTGGCACCAACAAATATATAGCACTGAACTAAGACATATATATGTCTAGTTAGTACTTCTGAGCACCTACTATAGGCCAGACACTATATCAGGAGACACTGGAGATACACACATAAGTAAGAAAAGGGCCCTGCCATCCAAAAGCTTATAGTTTAATAGAGGAATTATGATAACAGGTGCTAAGATAAAAGTCCCATAGCAATCAGTAGAGGCAAAAAGGAGAGAAACATACGGGTGATACTTTCTTAACTGACTTGCCAGCTTATGTGACATACCAACTTCTCTTCAAAATAAACTGGCTGAGTTGCATAGCACACTGGAGGCTGGTTGTGTATTACTCACATCTACTCCCACCAGCCAGGTTGGCTGCTTCAGGGTCAGTAGTTAGTTCACGCTAGGTATACTTGTTATTTTAATTACATATTAAATTATTATATAATACAAACAAGTGAAATATGAGTATAAAAAAGATATTTCTATGAAAAAGAGGTTGAATGCTTGGAAGAAATTTGAAGGCAAGTTGCTAAAAAAAATTGCTGCTGAATTAGATATGGGCAAGACAACAGTAAAAGGTTGTAGTGGTGGAGCTTAAAAATCTGGAAGAATTCTGCCCTTCATTTCTCAAATGTATTTAAGAACTTGGTTCACTTAAACTGGAAATCACAGATCAAATGTTAAGTGTATAATTTATGAAAGAAAGTCAACTGAACTCTACTTGAAAGATCCACACTTTAAGAAAAAGCCCTGGCCCACATAAAAAGATTTGTGAATATGTGTACATTCACTTTTTTTTTCCCCCTCTGAGACAGGGTCTCACTCTGTCGCCCAGACTGGAGTGCAGTGGTGTGATCTCGGCTCACTGCAACCTTCGCCTCCCGGGTTCAAGAGATTCTCGTGCCTCAGCCTCCCGAGTAGCTGGGATTACGGGCACCTGCCACCCACCTAGCTAATTTTTGTATTTTTTTTTTTTTTAGTAGAGACGGGGTTTCACCATGTTGGCCAGGCTGGCATTTACATATTTTTAAGTTAAAATAAAATTCTAGCTAGATGATGACATGTGCCTGTAATCCCAGCTACTCAGGAGGCTGAGACTGTAGGATGGCTTGAGCCCAGGAGTTAGAGACCAGCTGGGGCAATAATAGAGAGACCCTGTCTCAAAAAAAAATTAAAATAAATAAAATGCTTGAGAAAAGTTTTGTCTTCGTTTTTAAAGACTCTCTGTTTTAACTGACTTTTGGAATTAACTGACCAATTACTAGTCCAATTGCCCCAGATAAGAAGGTGTTTCCAGTATACCTGCCTATTTCTCAGGCTGATAGCAAAATGAGTTTATATTCATGCAGCCCAATCCAAGCAGGTAGCAGAAAAGGCTGCCTTGGGATTTTATAAAATAGACCTGTTAAATACTTCTCAAGTAGATCAAGTGCAGGTGGAATACTAAATTTTAGCCATATTTCAAAAGACTGAGATGCTAATGCCTGTGAACATGTGCTATACACTAACTACTCATGGCCTGAAGCACAGACCAAAAGGTGAATGATATCCCAAATGCCACCTCAGTTTTGGTCACAGGTCTGGATACAACTCATTGGTTGATCCAAGCATCTGATGTTCCACCTTGACATGTGATGCTATCTCTGGAAAAAGAAAATGTCACAGGTGTTGAGAAAAGGTACAAGTACCAACTATCAAAGAGGAGTAAGATCCCTTCCCAAGACCCCTTTATAGTCAGTCTAATACCTTTTGGTTTATTCGCCTAGAATGCTGGACTTCTATACCACATAACAAGATTCCACACACTGAAACGGAACCAACATCATTAGCTTCTTACCAGTGTTCTGCCATCGAGATGCAGTCTGTCAAGAGAAGCAGCACAGAGTCTCATGTCAAGAGAAGTCTGCAGCGGCAGAAAGACAACTAAAAAGAGAGACTTCAGTGGAATTTGAGTCACCTGACATTAGTCTTAAAAAAGATATTTAAAATACAGAGAATCCCACTGATGGAGGAGAGAAAAATAACCCTCTTTTTTTCTTTAAAGACAGGCATTGATATGAGCGAAAGGAAAAGAACTGGGGAAGTCTTTGTATATTGAGAGCTCAGTTTATTTTTACTCTCTGCCAATAGAGGCAAGGTAATTCTATAAGCACCATTTAACTTTCTCACTACAAACAAAATAGAGTAAGTCGTATTAACGACTTACTTGCGCTCTAAACTTCCAGCTCCAGAACACTTTTTTTCCCCTGAAAATTAAATTGATTCTTACAGAATGGTACCCAAATGTGTGATTTCAAAGGCAGATCCCAAAACTGATGGGATCCTCAATGAGAGGATGAGGAGGCATTTTCAGTTTCAACTTCAACTTATTTTCTTCATTAGGGGTAGGCCTAGACGACTTCTAATTAAAATCCCTCTCTTTCCCAAACTCTATGATTTCAAAGAAACAAAAGGAAATGAGTTTCAACTATAGCTGTCAAATTTTAAGTCAGGTATCAGCAAGAAATTCCTAATTGGAAAGCTGTCAATCAATGAAACAGGTTTCAAAATAGGTTGTGGAATCTTCTTCCCCAGAGACAGTTAAAAATAGGCTAGGCAGCCATCTGTCTTGGTGGGATACAGCCCTTCCAGGAGGCTGGCATCAGAACAAAACCCTTCTTCCCTCCCTCCCAGGGAGTCCACTAATGAGAAGTGATTAAGGGCTATGAAGAATAAAGGAAGGAGACAGCAGCCCAACCAGGCCCATGGGCTAGGCGGCTGAGATTTCCTGTAGAAAGGGAAGATACAAGCTGCAAAGAGGAATATACAAGGGGAAAAAGACAGGAAATAACCACAGGGCTGTGAGCATTTTGGGGAGGGCTGCACCAATCTGCTTCCCAGCTGCAACAGCTCAATTTGGTCCTGGGGACTGGGAGCTCAGCCACAGCTCTTTGGGGAGGGTATTATTCCCCTTCCTAGCTCCCAAACCCATGTATACATGAAGCCTAAGTGGAAAACGGGAACTGTCAAATAAATCCAAGATTTCCCCAGGTGACCAGCAGCATCCATGAAATAGCTCCAAAAAGTTTTCCTTTAAAATACATTGTCTTTTTTTGTTCCTTGCTACTTTCCTTGGCCATCTATAATCTTACCCATTTCCTGCAGTTCTTAACATTTCTTTCATTACTATGGAAAGCTCTCTTGGGGCACGAAAACGAATAAAACCTTCATGGACCTTTGGAAACCTAACCCCAATGAGAAATGGAAGAGACAGCATTGCTGTGGACTGTCACCTCTGCAAGAGTGGGACTGTCCCTCTTTGCAGACATGAGCAGCTCTCTGCCCCCATCTTTGTACAAACACTTCAGATATACACACTTGGGGCTTTCAACTAAGTCTCTGTTCCTGCTACTGTGTCTCCTGAAGAATACTGGAGTCAGCCATGCAGCACTGTCACATGGGGATTCAGGTACCCAGCTTTGCTGGTAGACAAAACACAGGAAGCCCACTGTTTTCTAAGCTCCCCATAGTTCAAGAGGCCCCTGCAGGGGAAAGAAGATGGCAGTAAGGTCAAGGAGTCAACATCAAGGACTCATCAAGCTGAGGTATGCAGCAAAGTAAAGATGGAGGCCAGGGATGGCCACCAGCTGTTAAGAGTTAGACACTGGGGAGTACAGGGCAAAACCAGTGCCTGAGGCTCAGTGCTCTCAAAAAGAATTTTTTTCTGGTTGAGGCTGCCAGCTAAGGAGAAACCTGAAGCTCAAGCATGCAGTCTGGTGATTTTTTCCCCCTTCAGCAAAGCCAGAAAAATTTGTAGAGATAACTAGAAGAAAATCAATACCATAGGGCCCAAGATTTAACAGGAGCCTTTGCAGAGAAGAAATCTGAGTCTGTCCTGTCCTTGCAGCTGTCTTAGATCAGAGGAGATGGAGCTTTTACTCTAACAGAAGATATCAGACTTATTGAGAACAGGAGATAATGGATAGGAAAGGGCCCTAAAAACTCAAATAGCCCAAAATGAATGAAAGAGATAATCATAATACACAGGGCTACTCCCAAACTGGGTGGCTAAATAGGAGCAAATAGAAAAGTAGAGACCACCATTCTGGATCATATCCTGTGGCCACCTGAGGGGCTTAGTGAAGGCACCTATCTTCCATCTTGCTGGTATGGAGGCAAAGCTGGCTATGAAAAGGAGCAGGCTCCCAACCTGCCTTTGCTGGATGCCACACAGCAACGCCGGGGAGCAACTCTGGTCCAGCACCTGGGTAAACAATGTGACTCTCCGGAATGTCCCGAACACTACAGTCAAAATCTAGGATTTAGGAACAGTATAATGGGGGATATCTCCCCTCAAAACCTAACTCAGTTACAGAGGGAGGGATCTGTCTAGGACCCGATCTGTTATGAAAGTTTCAATTATAAAACTTGGGGTTTGCTCATTTTTCAGAACTGGGATCTTCAACACCTTTGGGATTCATTCATCAGATATGGAATTCAGACTGCTTAAAGCCTTGGGGAACTGCAACTAGGCAGCAGAGAGCTAGCTGGTTTCTACGGAGATCGAGACTGAGTAGACGATACAGAAGTAGAGCATCCTCTAGAGGTCGCCTAGTCCACCACCCCACCACCTCCTGCTCACTCCCACCCCTCCCCAGCAGCAGGCTACCAGGAAGCAAGAGCAGACAGGTGAGCTGGTGTCCTGTTTTTCAAGCTCTCCTGGGAAGGAGAACCCACATAATTTTTCTATAGCCTGGAGCTGGTAAAAGAAGGGAAGGAAGGAACTAACAATGGAGTAAGCAACCCACTAACTTCCCATTCACTCTCATAACTCAACATGATGAGGCAGGCTGGCTGCCAGCCAGGACTCTCTCCAGAAGGATATGGCTGAAGGGCTGTCAAGTCCGAGTGTGGGACAGTGAAAAGAGCATTGCATTAGACATCAAAAGACAGGGGGAATTGGGGAAGGAAAGAGGAAGATTAAAGCCAAGGACCGTGAAGGGACTTTTTGGGGTGATAGAAATGTTCAACCTATTGATTATAATTGTGGCTACACAAGTATATACCATTTGTCAAAACTCATTGAACTATAGGTTTCAAATAGTGAATTTTATTGCACATAAATTATACCTGAATAAAGTTGTTTTTAAAAGAAAAAACATGCATTCTAAATTCTGATCCTGCCCTATTAACTGTGTGACTTTGGCCATGTCACTTAGCCTACCTAATGCTTCAGTTTTCTCATATTTTAAATGGGATTACTAATTTCTGACCTGCTGGCCAGGTGAGATGGCTTATGCCTGTAATCCCAGCACTTTGGGAGGCCGAGGCTGGTGGATTACCTGAGATCAGTTCGAGACCAGCCTGGCTAACATGGCAAAACCCCATCTCTAGTAAAAATACAAACATTAGCCGGGCATGGTGGCACACACCTGTAATCCCAGCTACTTGGGAGGCTGAGGAAGGAGAATCACTTGAACCCAGGAGGTGGAGGTTGCAGTAAGCCAAGATCATGCCACTGTACTCCAGCCTGGGCAACAGAGTGAGACTCTGTCTCAAAAAATAATAATAATGATAATTTCTGACCTGCTTAGCTCACAGGATATTTAAGATCAGATGAGATATGAAATAAGACCCATTTTTAAAAGCACAAAATGCTAAGCAAATAGGAGGTAACTATAATTAGGTTGGTTCCACAATACTTGGGATCTCCCTGGCTATGTATTTTCTGGTGATCTTGAGAAGATTCTGTTTTATTTAATTGACGATGGTTCAAAATCTTTCCTCTGGAAAACCTTGACTGGAGTGTTCTTTCTACTTGCTTCAGACTATCTGCTTGCTCACCTCTCCACTATGTAAACGTAACTTACTGTGAGCGCCCAGGCCGTCTGGCTACTACAGATAAGCACCCCAGCCCGGGAGCACAGATGCTGAATGCAGCCGCCTGACCAGAATGCAGACACCAGGGCAGATACCATTCTGAAGCTGTGGACTCTTCCCTTTCTGGGGAAATCAGTGAGTTGATATTTTCTATGTTGCCACAGGGAGCTCTTTCTGGCAAAGGAAACGGAAAGAAAACGCAGGATCTCCTCACCAAAGCACAGAATGGGGAAAAACACCAAAGCCTGGGCAGTTGGGCAGTTAGGTACAAATCTACCAAGTGAGCAGACTTAACTAAAAGGGATTGTGATGATCTACTCCAACAATTTCATTTTTAAAATTAGGAAACGAGGCCGGGCATGATGACTTACATCTGTACTCCCGACACTTTGGGAGGCAGAGGCAGGTGGATTGCTCGAGGCCGGGAGTTCAAGACCAGCCTGCCCAACATGGCAAACCTCTGTCTCTACTAAAAATACAAAAATTACAAGAGCATGGTGACACACGCTTGTAATCCCAGCTACCGGGGTGGCTGAGGCACAAAAATCATTTGAACCTGGGAGGCAGAGGTTGCAGTGAGCTGAGATCACGCCATTGCACTCCAGCCTGGGCAACAGAACAAGACTCTGTCTAAAAAAAAAAAAAAAAAAATTAGAAAACTAATTATCAGAGAGGCCAAGAGTTCAAGGCTAAGCAAAATTGTTAAGTAGGTCAAACTGGAGGTGCTTCAACCTTTTGATTTTAGCCCCATATACCTGCTTACTTCCCCCAGAGTGCCCTCCCTCACTAAACTGGCATCTAGTAGTCTTAGACCCTTATCAAAACCTTGTAAAGAAACAAATGGAATCTCATACTAAAGTATAAATAAACAGCTAGTCTTTTGAGTGAGATACAATAAAAGAATGTTTTAAAGAGATAAAGCTACCAGTAGAAGAGATGTCTTCAGTCTATCCACCTTCAGGGACCTTGACAATAGCCCTAAAATCATACCCAATAGGTGGTTTTGTACCCAGCTGTTGGCAAATAGGGTACCAAAGCTTGAAACTCTTCCAGATTAGTTCAAGTGGGCTTACAAAGAAGTTCAAGTGGACCTGCAGAGTAGTGGGTCTTATCTCCAAGCCCGAGCTGTAAGTAGCAACACTATTCTTTAGAAAGGCATTACATATCTTGCATAAATGAGAATCAGAGCTCCCCATACAATACTGCCACTGCCACTCTTCCTTGCAAATGCTCCTTTTAAGTCCATACGTTAAGAATACCATTCTGGGCTGGGTATGGTGGCTCACGCCTGTAATCCCAGCACTCTGAGAGGCCGAGGCAAGCGGATCACGAGGTCAAGTGTTTGAGACCAGCCTGGCCAATATGGTGAAACCCCATCTCTACTAAAAAATACAAAAATTAGCCGAGCGTGGTGGCGGGCGCCTGTAGTCCCAGCTACTTGGGAGGCTGAGGCAGGAGAATTGCTTGAACCCGGGAGGTGGAGGTTGCAGTGAGCCGAGATCGCACCACTGCACTCCAGCCTGGGCGACAGAGCGAGACTCCGTCTCAAAAAAAAAAAAAAAAAAAAAAAAAAAAAAAAAAAAAAAAAAATACAGCTCCATGAAAGCAGGGACTTCCTCGGTCTTGTTAATAACTCTATCTCTAGCACCAGACCAGAGCCTGGTACATAGTAGGCATACATAATCATGTGTTGAGTACATGAATGAATTAGTGATTGAATGAATGAATTTTTTAAAATGCACTGAACTGAATGTCTCTGAAGACAGTGTAGGGCCCTCTGGTACCACAGAGGCTGTGTCATGGGTCATGCCAGTACTCACAAGAAATGTCAACGCTGGCATACACTTCACCAACAGGCAGATATATCTGTAAGATGCAGGGGTAAGTTCAAGTGCTTCCATGAGGCATTTCCGTAATTAATTATTAGCATTCATAGGCTAGATACCTATAATACCAACTTCAGCATCGATCTAAAGGAAACCTATTCATTTAAACTGACAAAAACATGCTGTCATTTTCATTTCCATTACAAAGCATGCCAATGCAGTAGAAACATTTTGATTGATTGAATGGCTTTCTCTCAATCTGCACGGCAACTGATCAGTTTACCAAGGGACAAATAGTTCAACAATTCAAGTCAAAAGCAGAGAAACCTTTTTTCTTTACTTATGAGGCATAAATCAGCTATTTAAAATATATAGAAATTACAAATACTTAAAATTATCTTCTGGGAGATCCTAAATAAGGTAAAATGTATGTGTGTGTGTGTGTGTATGTGTATATATATATCTCTCAACATGTAACCAGAAGAACTGCTGCAACTGCCTGTTGTAGACTGCCTCCACAGCCCAGTAAGTGATGTACCACTTCATCTCCATCAAGACCTTAATTCCTGCCCCTAGAGAATAAATGAGGTAACAAAACTGGAAGCACTTTGAGTCTCTAAAAGAAGCTATAGAAATCCTGAAAGAAGAAAAGACCAAGTACAAATAGAGTCTCTGAGAGGACAAAAAAAAAGTGTTGCATAAAAAGAGAGTCAAGGTGTTAATTGCTGAAGAGTCCTTCAGGTTGAAGAGAAGGATCCTTCACTATCCTGTATCCTGCAGCCCCTTCCTTCTTTTCAAGGAACTGCAGAGATTATGTCCGCCATTCCTATCAATTTGTTTATTCAGTGACCTTTTGACAGCCAAACTGCTAGGAGCTGCTCAGTTGCGGCACAGCCAAGCAGGCCTGCACAAGTTTCCACCACACCCAGGCTTCAGCTTGGTAGAAAATGAAAATGGTCAAGAGTTTTAATGAGTTGTTAATGATTTAAGTACTCACAGTGATATGCTTGCAAGATAAGACAAAAGGAACTTAGGAGCAGTGAAACCAAATCAAACCAATAATACATTCAACAGTGATGAATACAATTACACAACCTCTGCATACATTTAGGGAGCTTCCGAAACAGAATTTGGACTGGAACATCCCAAGGTCTAGCCTGCTTCCTCCACTCAGAAGCCCACCCATACCCTTGCTAAGAAAGTATTCTACTGTTTTCTTTAAACTCTCCTGGAATTCTATAGGCTTCCTTCATAATTTTACCTTATTGCTCCACAAAAACTTGGCTTCTAACGTCAACCCTACCTCTCATCTGCTTACTGAGGACAGGACGAAACTTGAGTTGTTCCCTGCAGACAAAAGTACAACGGTTGACACTAAAGATCACCTATTTGAAGTAAAACTGGTTTTAAGCAGGTTAATGAACCCCAGGCTTACAGGTTCTTGCACTTGGTATATTTCTCTAACACACCCCAACAAGATAAGAGATTGGAAAATGGCTCCTTTGGCTGGTTGAGAAGGAATGTCATCTTTTTTTTTTTTTTTTTTAAAGCGCTGATGGAATTACCCTGCTAGGGAACCAGCATGCATATGTCATTCCTTTGTACAGTATTTTTACAAGTATTTGATTTGTTTACCCTAATTTATCCAACTCGGGAATAAAAAGGAATCTCAGATCTATGAGAAGGACCTCCAATTTCTCATTCTCAGCTTCAAAACAAATTAGTCAGTTTAACATTAGTCAAGACACAGGTTGCTGTGAAATAAGAATGATTCTAGGTCATGATTAAGATGGTTCTCCAAACTATCAACAAGACTGTCTAATCACCTGTTATGAACCCAACACTGTTAAACAGCAATGGCATGTACAAAAGAAGTAGGAAATAAAGTTCCTGTCGTCCACACCTAACAATCTAGAGGCAGCCTTCAATTAATTTGCTGATAGGGTGTATTGCATAATAAGTTTTATATATTTGTTGTTTGAAGTTCAAACACATTTCGCCATAAAAGGCATGCTATCGTGTTTCAGTTCTCATGCTGGTAGAAAACTGTCTTAGCCTCTAATGTAATTGAGATATCAAGTACCGTATGTGAAATGAAACATGATATTAAAAACTGGTGTAACATTAGAAATATCTGACATGTATCTGGTGCTTTGTGAGCTTGAAAGAGTTCTTCATCTACATAAACTTCACATCATAGTGTATTATGTGATGATACACGGTCATATTGTCAACGGTTGAAGAAATTGAGGCACAGAAAGCCTAGAAGCTTATACAGAGTCACACAGCTACTAAGTGGCAGCAGACGCTCACGTTGGCCTTCCAACTCTAAATCCCGTTCTCTTTCCACTAGTGTAAAACTGAATAAGAAGCAGGTGTGAAGTGTTTTGTTTTGCTTTGTTTTTTAAGACTCATGGCTGAGAAAGAGGAAATTTTATCTGAGAAAGACAGGGAGGTAAGTGAAAACTTTTAGTGATTCAAAAGGAGGCTTAGGGGCACTTTTAGAAGCTTTCAAGGTTGACGAAGCTGGTGTTTATGGCTTTCATTTCACTTGGAGCCTCGTGGCCAGGCTTTTCCTCCTTTCAGATTTCTCACTGACTCTTTTCAAGTTCGACTGCCCTGATTAGAGTATGTTTTGTTTGGGATTTAACTCATGAATAGGAATACACCAACAGCAAAGAAGGGTTGGAACAGATTTCCTTGAGGTTACTGGACAAGCACTGGAAAAGAGAAGAGGAATGAGGAAGAGAAAAGTACAGATAAGATAAATTGCCTGAAGCAGAGTTAACTACACAGCAACCCTTGAAAGGAAGATACAGGGAAAAGGGGCTGAGGGAGGGTATTATTCTATGAAAGAGACATGGGACAGATATTGAGACAGCCCTCACCACTGTGCCATCAGGCCAGGGCAGCAGCAGCTGCAACTCAACTATGCGTAAATAGGTCTTTCCCTTATATGAAGGTCTACAGTTGAGAAGACATCTGTGAAATTAGCAGATGACGGCACAAATAATCCCACATATATGCCTTTCAAAAAATCTCTCTAACCGAGTAAAAATGCAAAGAATTTCATTCGTTCATTCATTCATCCAATACACATTTATTATATGCTAAGCACTCTGCTAGATGCTAGAAAACAACGATAAACAGAAACAGTCCCTGCTCTCAAAGAGCTCATAGCTTAGCAGACAAGAGATGTGTAAACAAATACGTGCAAAATAGTGTGATTGGTATGACCTCATTTTGTTAAATAGCGAGTACAGTATTGGCACAGTCATACTTCAAGCATGAACAGAGCCCAAGAGGTTCCCCAATGTGCTCAACTTGGCAGACTTGCTATTTATCATTTACCCATCCGTATTCAGAGGCTCGCACTCATGCTTAGGCCAAATCTCCATTATTAATCACATATTTACCAGCTAAGTCACTTTCCTAATGTCTACCCTACCCAAGTCACTGTTTTGTTTCTAAGAAGGAGGAAGGTGCGTGTTCATCTATCTCGCCCAAATTGTGTAAGGGCAACCTGAACTTGGGGCGGTGCAAAAGGGGTTCACTGTAACACGGCACGTCATTTCAAGTATGGCCCAGAAAGCAACAGGTGATTCACTTTAACAAACATACTTGAGCCTGTGTTATATAGGTCAAGTCTCATCAAAACAAACACCAAGAGATGGTCCACTTTCTTCTGTTGCAGCAAATAAAATCTTAATATATATTTGTTTGGGGTATGTAATTTGCAAAGCTGATACACAAGCATTACTTCATTTAGTCAACACAGCAACTCCTAGATGTAGGAATTATATGTTCATCCTATATCTGAAGAGGCTTGAGGCCAGGAGAGGTTAGAGACTTACCCAGGGCCACATAGTTGATGGCAAGGGTCAGAGCTACCACTGGTACCCAAGCCTCTGACCTCCAGCTGAGTGGTCTTTTTTCTACCAAACTGTGGCGTAAAACTCTCAAGCCAACTGTGGGTAATCTCTGTTACACAGAAAGAATTTATAAAGGAGGAGAGTAATAACTCCTATAGTCTCCTTGGATTGAACACATTGGATGAGAAGTACTCATAGGCCACTCTCCTCAAAATAGAAATAACACTAAAAATTCAAAGCCTTTGGAAGTGAGAATAGAATACATTAAGTTCAACTGCCAATATCTGAAATATAATTTCCTATAAATGGCTTTAGCCTGATCCCCTCTTTCAACATATCCTACAATCAAAATCTCCAATCAAATCCTCTATCAAAGCGCCATCTCCCCATTCCAAAGTTATTCAAATTAAGGAGATCAACCACTTCTGCCTCCACACCCCGAAACAGCACCAGCACCACCTAGTCATGTTTTGCTGAACTCAGCCTCTCCCACACTCCCCAGGCTGCCTTTAAAAGAACTTGTTCATTAGCTGGCTCTTCAGTCACCCATGGGAGGTCAGGTGGTGGAGGGTGCTGGCAGGGCTTGACTTGACTTTTCTTTCATTCCCAGCTGACCCTCATAAGGGGCCTCCAACCAAACTCGGAGCAAGGCAGCTCAGAACTCCAGTTTTCTCTCTCTTGTTTAGCTGTGCTCTTTCCCTACAGGGCACAGGGAAAGAAAATGCTATTAATTCCTGCACACAAACACGAAGCCCCTTCAAGGGAGAATATTTCTGAAAGTGAAAGGTAAGAAGCTGCAAAAGGAGGTCAGGTATTTGGCACGTAAAAGGGGTGTCATCTATTTCACAGTTTCTCTGCAACATTCCCAATTTAGAAGAAAAGAAAATGACAGATTTAATGAAAGGCGGATGGGGGTGGCATTGTCACTTGCCTAATGAAATTCCTGCTTGAATGGAACTGTCATCTCAAACTCAGGGTATCTAAAATAATTCTCATTCTCTCACCAACTGCTGCACCTCTTCCTGGCTTCCATATGTCTATTTCTGCCATTGCCACCATCGTTCTCCCTGTCTCCCAAACTAAAAACCTCAGGCATTCCTGACTCTTACTTCACCCCTAGGCCCCACACCCATCTCGGCAGCTCATCTTCCCATCTTAGTGGTATCTCCTGATTACAGTGTGGTCAAACATAAGATCCAAGATAAAAGAACCAGCAGGCTTTAGAGTTGGACAGACCTGAGCTGCAGTCCCCATTCCATCATGGGTCACCATCACCTCGGATCATCTGCCTGACTCAAATTTCTTGTTCAGTAAATGGGGACTCGCAATTCCCTCACAGGTGACTCCAGTAATTGATCACATTTAACAGCATGTTTGCAGCACCCACCACAAGGCCTGGTATGCTGTGTGGGCAGGAACAAGCCTCTTGCCCCCAGCCAGGCAACTCAGAGCAACCAGGGAGTCCCTCTGAAATGACTTCATCACACTTCATCACTCTTCAACTCAGAGTGCCCCCACTGTTCTTTGTTGCCCCAGTATGAAGCCAGACTCTGGCTGATCTTCAAGGTCATCAAAAACTATCCAGTTCGATCTTACTCCTCTGTCTATAACTCCTCTGCTCCAGACCAAGAGTCTACTCCCTCACTCAGCACACATTTATTGGGTGCCTACCACATGCAAACATGGTGCAGGAGGCTGGGAATGTTGAAATGACAGGCTGCCCACTGCCCACCCTCAAAGAACTCACAAGCTTTCTGGTAGTGAGTGTAGTCTGGGGGAAGGAGCGTGGGGGTGGGGGTGAGGGTGGATAAAACCATCATTGTATTAGGGTGTAGGAAGTGATGCAGGAGCGGTAAGCACGGTGGGGGCTGTGGGAACTCCACTGAGGGAAGACACACTGCCTCTGTTCTTTCCTCCTACTCTCGACTTAGCCAAATCCTAGTCCATAAATCAAGGTCTTATTCATTCTGGCCCACACCTCTCCCATCTCAAAATTCCTCAAGTTCTTATCAACACCACTCATTTTCAGTCATCTGCTGGCTGATGTCATTTCTTGTATTGCTGTGGGTTATTTTTTTTTTAACTACTTTCGTATAGGTAGGCTTTTTTTCTCCATGGTTTCTATGATCACAGACAATAAGGACTAGGCTCTAGACAGTTCTAAGTCTCTCACGGAAACTACATACTCATTATTTTGTGGAATAGTTGATATATTTGGAACTACTGACAACTGCAAAATAACACATTCCTTTCCCTTTGAAAAACAGGCACTTCCCTCGCTGCTAGGTTCTGAGTTCTGTGTTGTCTTACACTTTTCATCCAACCCAAGATGAGAGACGAAACCCTTGCTATCTCAAAAAACGATCCAAAATGTAATTTGTTTAAAAATGGTAGTTTTTAACTTTTAAAATTGTTCCATCTAAAAAGTTATTCAAATAAAATCTTAGCGGGACACCCAATATCGTGAACATAAAAGCAGAGCTATTCTGGTTGGAGCTGTGGGGACAGCCTAGTGCTGCTACCTCAAAGGGGAAAATATTTGACTCCCTCATCAGCAACCCCTGATGCACATCCAGTGGCAGCACCGCTACAGCATGATGGAGAACTCATCTTGCCCACAAATATGTATAATAAACTTAATGTATGTACAAATGAGACATTACAAATCAATGGGGAAAAAGATGAACCCTTTAATAAATATAGCCACATGGAATATAAAATAAAGTTAGATCCCTACCTCACGCTGTTCACGAAAATTTACTCCTTGTTTATTCAAGACGTTATGTGAAAGGCAAAATGTGTAGGTGAAAATATAGAAGAATATCCTTATGATTGTGTGTGTTTGTCTTTTAAATAAATCAAAACAGTAAAGAAAATTAATTTCTTTAACAAAAAGTAAATTTGACTATATTAAATTTGGAATTTCTTTCTTTTTTTTTTTTTTTTTTTTGAGACAGGGTCTCCTTCTGTCACCCAGACTAGGGTGCAGAGGCATGATCACGGCTCACTGCAGCCTTGGCCTCTAGAGCTCAAGTGATCCTCCCACCTCAGCCTCCTGAGTAGCTGGGATTATAGGAGTGCATCACCATGCCCAGCTAACTTATTTGTATTTTTGGTAGAGACAGAGTCTTAATATGTTGCTTCAGCTGGTCTCAAACTCCTGGACTCAAGTGATCCTCCCACCATGGCCTCCCAAAGTGCTGGGATTGCAGGTGTTAGCCACCATGCTTGGACTTGGAATTTCTTATATATCAAATAATTCAATTAAAAGTAAGATGATAAACTAAATCTGGGAGCAGGTATTGCAACCTATAATCGTCAACAATGAGTAAACAGAATATAAAAGGAACATCTACACATCAATTATTAGAAAAAGCAAGATGGCCTAAAAGAGTTGTCTCTAGATTGCAATTTAAGAACTACTCTGAGCCTGGGCATGGTGGCTCACGCCTGTAATCCCAGCACTTTGGGAGGCCAAGGTGGGAGGATCACTTGAGGTCAGGAGTTCAAGACCAGCCTGGCCAACACAGTGAAACCCCATCTCTACTGAAAATACAAAAATTGGCCCAGCGTGGTGGCACGCACCTGTAATCCCAGTTACTTGGGAGGAGGCCATATATTATCTCAGTTTATCTATACAACCACCCTGGGATGTAGGCAGAACATATATTATGCCAGTTTCTTGATAAGGAAATTGAGACAACTTAAATGATCAGTCCAAAGGGAGAGAAATATACATGTATCTTCCCTGGTAAGATGCAAAACCTACTTTTCTATCTTCTAATGTACAATCTTGCCATTACAAAAAACTACCTCCATCTTTTTTTTTTTGGAGACAGGATCTCCAAAATGTTGCCCAGGCTCATCTTGAACCCCTGGGCTCAAGAGATTCTCCTGCCTCAGCCTCCAGAGTAGCTGGGACTATAGGTACACATCACCATGCCTGGCTTATCTCTATTTTCTAAAAAATACCTGTATACACAAAAATCTATACATGAATGTTCAGAGCAGCTTCATTCATAACAGCCTAAAATAGGAAACAACCCATATGTCCGAACCATCATACATTCATACCATAGAATACTGCTCAGCAATAAAAAGGGATACACTATTGATATGCACAACAACCTGAATGAGTCTTCAGAGACTTGTGCTGAGTGAAAAAAAAAGGCCAATCCTAAAAAGCTACATGCTAATGGTTCCATTTTTATAATATTCTTGAAATGACAATATTATAAACATGGACAAGAGATTAGTGGTTGCCAGCAGTTAAGGACTAAGGACTAAAGTGGGGTGAGATGAAAGAGTGAACTGGGAGGGGCAGGACTAGAAAAGGACAACATGAGTGATCCTTGCAGTGATGGAACTGTTTAGAATTTTGACTGTATCAATGTCAAGGTCCTGATTATGATACTGTGTTATAGTTTTGCAAGATGTTAACCATCAGAGGAATCTAAGTAACAGGTATGTGCAATCTCTCTGCATTATTTCTTACAACTGCATGTGAATGCATAATTATCTCAAAATAAAATATTAAAAAAAAAAAAAAAAAAAAGGCCGGATATCATCCTGCCCTGTGTTGTACAATTCTGAGGTTAAATGAGATAAAGTATGGCAAGGCACTTCGACTGCCTTGTGCCCTGTAAATACTAGGTAACATCATCATCTTCCTCTATCAACCAGTCTCATCAGCATTACTCACTGTTAGACTATTCCTTATCCACAGAGCCTTCGATATCTCTCTACTATGACCCTATCACTGTACTTGTGTAATCCGATCACCCCTCTTGCTATTGTTTGAATGTCCCCTCCAAAACTCATGTTGAAACTTAATCCCCATGGTGGGGCCTTCAAGAGGTGACTGGATCATGAAGGCATGTCATCATGAATGGATTAATAGATTAATGGGTTATCTTGGCAGTGAAACTAGTGGCTTTTTAAGAAGAGGAAGAGGGACCCGAGCTGGCAAGTTTACACACTCAGCTCCCTCTCTATGTGATATCCTACGCCACCTTGGGACTCTGTGGAGAGTTCCCATCAGCAAGAAGGCCCTCACCAGATTCAGCCCTCAATCTTGGACTTCCCAGCCTCCAGAACCGGAAAAAAAAAATTGTTTCTTTGCAAATTACCCAGTTTCAGGCATTGTGTTATAATCAACAGAAAACGGACTAAGACATTTCTAATAGACTGCAGCTCCTTGAAGGCAGAAACTTTTTTCTGTATCTCTCTATGCCCACAGCTTAGCATAGTATAAAACATATAGGCCAGGTACGGTGGCTCTCGCCTATAATCCCAGCACTTTGGGAGGCTGAGGCAGGCGGATCATGAGGTCAGGAGTTCGAGACCAGCCTGAACAACATGGTGAAACCCTGTCTCTACTAAAAATTTAAAAATTAGCCAGGCGTGGTGGCACGTGCCTGTAATCCCAGCTACTCAGGAGGCTGAGGCAGGAGAATCACTTGAATCCGGGAGTCGGAGGTTGCAGTGAGCCAAGATAACATCACTGCACTCCAGCCTGAGTGACAGAGCAAGACTCTGCCTCAAAAAAAAAAAAAAGACAACATACAGTAGGTGCTAAATAAATGGCTGCCAGGTTGAAATTAGCTCATGATCTTCTTGTTCAATACAAAGTGTCCCAACACTGGAGGAAGTGAGGAGGGGAGGGGACAGGAAAGAAGAACACTCCAGTAGCTATAAGCCAACGCCTTGAAAGTTTCATCAATAGCCTCCTCCTTCCCAAGTTGCTGAGAACCCAAATGAAGCAAATGTCTGTATAGAGGGTGTGGCCACAGCAGCAAAAACATGAGTTCAATTCATCAAGTCTCTTCTTTAAACTATTTCAAGTTCTGCAAATGAAGGAACTGACCATTTATAGATTGGGTCACTGGAACAAGATGGAAAGGTGGGCTGTGGTATACTATTCTGGAAAGGATTTTAAAGGTTAGCTGACAGCCCTTTTCCTGAAATGATTAACACTGAAGAATTGTCCGAGGGCAGAATGTATTTAAATACTCTGTCAAGATCTCTCAGAGATCTGACACTCTCGGCCCAGGCAAACATATTTGGCTAGTGAGGTGGGGAGGGGGTTCCCATGCCCTGAAAACAATGCTAGCTCCTCACTCCTACTCCAAATAGTTTCAAGCATAAAAAAGTACAAGCAGTTGCTTTGCTGCTCCTAACGTTATCGGATAATTTTTCAAATTCTTACTCAATTACATATCACGCTCTTATCTTCAATCTCCACAGGCCAAATAGCCTTGCTTTCACATCGTGCCCACTAAGCCTGCAGAACACAAGTATCCCTCCCAAGTAATTCCAGCTCTCATAAACATGAGATCATTTTACATTAAGTTTTGTTAGAGTATTTGTGTGTATGGTGTTTGTGTGCGTGCGTGCACACGCGCATGCATAAGTGTGCATATGCCTTTTCTTCTAATAAGAGTAAGGAGATTTAACGCAAGAGAAGGTTAGAAACTTGGGAGGTTTCTGTCTCTGCTTAATGATTAACTCTTTTGCTACTGAATCCAGAAGAGCTGGCCTTTCTGGACTGGCAGTCCCACTCCCTGGCCAAAACAGCAAAAGAAAGCTCATACGCACACATTCACTCTTAGAAAGAAGTAACCAGCACAAATAGGTTTCAGCTTTGGCAGTGAGAACACTATTGCAGTTTTAAGGAGAATTAGGTGTTTCCATATTGTGTTGTTACTGGCCTTAAAATATCCAGATCAAGAACCTCATTAATCAAAGTAACACGTCATCTACCCAAAATGCTTCAATGTTTGATTTAAAATTGCTGACAGCAAAGAACTGAGATAACTTACATAACCACAAATCACTGAAAAAGAGAGATCAGGAGATACAGCACAACGGACTCTAAAAATGGCTAAAAACACAAAGCCTAATTAATGTCATTTAAAGATGAAACCTTTAAGAAGAAAACAAAGAAAAAAAAAAAGATGAAACCTTAAACCAGAAGTAGAAGAGGGGAGTAGGAAGAACCTGTGCTATCTATTCTCTGGTTTCTATCCTTCCCCCAGGACAATAATCAACATCTAGACTCTATGTGACAACTCACTTAACAATAGCCATTTTTTGTTCATATGTCCTAAAAATCATGAAGCTAGGAACTAGTAATCCATCTTTCCACTTTCCAGCTGAGAAGCTGAGAATCCCAAAGGTGGAATGACATCTTCAACATTACATAGCTGGTCCTCCATTACCCTACATTTCTTCCTCCCTATGAATGATATTTTTTAAATGCTGTAATGATAAAAATATGAGCTGTCATTATTATTAATAGTACTCATTTAAAACAACAGACTATTACTAGCCTATTCATTAGGCGAAAGGAAAACAAACATAAACATGAAAACATTTCAATTCCACATTACAGCATGCTTCATCACAATCCTCAAAGAAATCCTTAGTTGACAAAAGGCCTAATACATAAAGAGCAATGTAAGAGGCAAGAGGCCACTCCACATCCTAAAAGGGCCTGAAGTCACTTCCCGAACAACCCAGATGTC
Organism: Homo sapiens; assembly: GCF_000001405.40. Taxonomy (NCBI): domain Eukaryota; kingdom Metazoa; phylum Chordata; class Mammalia; order Primates; family Hominidae; genus Homo; species Homo sapiens. The sequence goes on along the minus strand of NC_000001.11, from coordinate 143,988,087 downwards.
TAGATCAACCCTATACCAGTTCCATAACCACACTGCCTCCCCCAGGTTTGTCCCAGACCAGATGTCAGAGATTAAGAGCCTCCCACTTCCTTATTTCTTTAATTTTCATTAAGGACAATCAATCAACTTCCTTTTTCTTTTAAATTTAAGTACTGCACACAACAACATAAATATCTGTAATACTAACAGTTACACAAATTCCATTTCTGACCTACCAACATGGATGGGGAAAACCATACAAACCAGTTACAGCAGGGAATTTTCTAACTCTAGAAGTCTCTGAGCTTACTGGAAGTCCAAAGTTTAATAGTTATCCTGATTAAAACATCCTGATTAAAGTGATCCAGTCACAAGTTCACCTGTAGGCCCATCAAGTAACTCTCTCTCCCCTCGATTTTTCTCCAGCTGTGAGGCACATCTTCCTATTAGATCATGATACTTCAACAAGTATCACTTCAACTGCTCTCCAGGCCAGCTGCCACTCTGGTACTACCTACCACCTGGGGCCTACCCTCCATAAGTGTGCAGCAGCCATGCAGGCATGGCAAGTTCTGGGGGTGGAAAGAATGTCATTCAGAGAATATAATGGTTTTTGTACTTCAAAGTGTGTCTACTTAAAAGGGACAAATCATCATCTTCAACATCTTTTTTGTTGTTTGTTTTTGAGACGGAGTCTTGCTCTGTCACCTAGGCTGGAGTGCAATGGTGCGATCTGGGCTCACTGCAACCTCCGCATCCCAGGTTCAAGCAATTCTCCTGCCTCAGGCTCCCAAGTAGCTAAGATAAATTACAGGCGCCCGCCACCATGCCCAGCTAATTTTTGTATTTTTAATAGAGACGGGGTTTCACCATGTTGGCCAGGCTGGTCTTGAACTCCTGACCTTAGGTGATCCGCCTGCCTCGGCCTCCCAAAGTGCTGGGATTACAGGCTTGAGCCACCCAGCCAGGCCGATCTTCAACGTATTAATAAGCAAAAATAATGAACCCTGAAAGCTGGAAGGACCTAGGAAAGTTTCTAATGTTTAACCCCTAGTATTTTAGATGAGAATACCAAGGCATAGGGAGGTACGGTAGGTATGTAACAGAAAGACATTTAAAACACTGCATTAATTCTTTATTGTACCAAGTTACTAGGAAATGAGGACAATCAACTGAGTGTGTACAGCATCTCATAGTTTCAACTGAATTCTTTCATTTCAGCTTCACACCAGTGTTAAGTCAGCTTGGGTTCATAATCTGTCCTCATCACTTACTAGCCATGTGCTTCAGAGCAAGTTATTTAACCTCACTGTGCGTCATCTGTAAAATGGGGATAATAATAGCAGCTACCTCACAGGACTGTTGAGAAATTCATGAGTTCATATACGTAAAGCACCTAAAACAGAGCTGAGACATAAGAAGCACTTGATAAACGCTAACCATCATCATCATCATTATTATAAGGGCCAAGAATTGTTGTTCCCATCTTACAGGGATTTTATAGGGAAACTAGGGATTTTGAGACCTTAGGTGAGTTATCTCCAAAATCATGGGAGCCAATGACAAAGCTAAACTAGAACCCAAGCTTTCTGCCTCCCAATCCAGCACTTTCCCTTAGGATCATTCTGCCTGTGTAGAATCCTGTAGCTCAACGCGTAACAAAGTACTGTATTGGCCCAAAAGAAATGTTGCTCCAGAATAGGTACCTCAGTCAAGATGTCTTCCCAGAGAGCAGCTTACTCATCTGACAAGCTCTGGTGCAGTATCTCCACCGCCTACCAAAATAATAAACACACGCACACACAAAATCTAATGGGGAAAGGAAGCAGATTTCTAAGGGATTTCAATGTTTGGAGAAGAGTTGGCAACAGCCAACTCTTCAGAAACAAGACATATTTCTTAAAGCTTATGGCATGGCTTGTCATGGCCAGCTCATGCTCTTAAGTCCCTTTGTTTTCTGTGCTTTGTCCTCCTGTGGAGCCCTGGCCACCCAGCCACCCATGGCTGCCAGGGTCATCTTCTCCAGGGAGAGTATTCAGATCCTGCCCACCATGCCATGATTCTAAATGCAAGATCTGGGCTCAAACAGCAAAGATAAGGTCCCAACTTTCACAGTGATTTCTGGGTCACCTCTCCACTGATTAATGCATTTAGAAGATATGGTTAAGAAAAACAAACAAACAAACAAACAAACAAACAAAAAAAACAAAGAGAATATGCCTTCTTCCTAAAGGATGATATCCTAAAATATACACCAAAATGGAGGAACATGTCCCAACTGTTTTTCCTTCCTCACGAATACATATTTCAAGTTCAGAACCATTCATTCACAACGTATAAATAAGGTCAAGGCTATTTCATACCAAATGACTTGAAAAACCATAAGGGACCATTTTCCTGCTTGTTCCTTAGGACCTCTCCTTCCCCATTTACCAAAGATCTCACAGCTGCTTCTAACCAGGCAATAGCTCTCTCCACACCGTGCTTTGAAAAAGGAACAAAACAGTTCCTTTTTCAGGTCAACCCAGTTTTAACTCCAGGTCAAGACAGACAAACTTTCTCAAACTTAGACTTTTAGTGCCTGATTAAAATGGTGAATAAATCCTGGACAAATGTACAATGTGTTTTTGCTTCAATTACAGAAAGCCTTATGTTTGTTTTAAACTCTCGGGAATTTCAGTGTTAACATTTTTCTTGGTTTCCAAGGTGAGAGATGTGACTGAAGAAATTTGGTCAAAGCAAGTATAGCTCTAGGGCAGTGACTCTAAAGAGGGCAGTGATTCTAAAGAGGGCTGTGCCAGCAATAAATTTAAGGAGAAACACACCCCCGTGGGGGAGGATCCATAAGGCTATGTAGTTTGTACTTGTCCTTGTATAATGCAAATATATTCACAAAGTTTAATCTATATCAAATTTCAAATAATATTAACATAGGGCATGGGTTTCTTACTGGAGTCGGGGAGAAATGCAGAAGCGTGCCATCATGGCACTATCACATCCAAACTCAACTCAGAAGACAGTTCAATTCAACTTATAAACATTGTAGTGCTTACTATGTGTCAGGAGCTGGACATGCAGAAATGAATAAAAGACCATTCTTTCCTGAAGGTGCTCAGTGAGTTGTAAACAAAGAGATGTAAATGAAGAGATCGCAATGTAATATGATGAGTGCAATAATACAAGAGTGTACAAAGACACTGCAGAGGAGATGCTGAGAGCGTACTGAGGAACTCTGTGCAGAAGGCAAGGGGAGATGCTGAGGAATCCTGCTTGGGATCCCGCACAGGGGAGCAGGGAAGGCTTCCTGGAGGGGTGGCATCTGAGCTGCTTTAAAGGATGAATAAGTTTTACAGGTTCAAGGAAGAGGACCCATTCCAAAGAGAGGGCACAGCATGGATACAGCACAAACCATGACACAACATGATAAAGAAAGGAAACTAGAGGCAGTTCAGCTGTAAGGCAGTATAAAATGTAAGCAGGGTAAGTGGGAAGTGATTAATATTAACAGTCTTTTATGCTACGATGTTAGCAAAAAAAAAATGAGTTTTTAAAAATCACTCTGGTGACATTGTGCAAGATACAGTGTCAAGATACAATTAAACTATTTCTAAAAGATTATTTGTAGTAGTTAGGTCATCCATTCATTCAGTACTACAGACAATAAGTGTTTACTGAGAGCCACCATTTGAGCTACAATAGTCTTCCAGACACGTTTCCTATCTGAAGGGACCTTATAATAAGCTATTTATTTAGCATTTAATATTTGCCATACACTGAGCCAGTACTCTTAACACAACTGCAATTAATAGCAAGGCAGGTCTCATTATCTCCACATCACAGAAAAGGAGGCTTGGAAGAGAAGTTGAGTGACTTCAGCAAGGTCACACAGCAAGGAGGTGATGCTGACAAGACTCCAACTGAGGGCTGGTTCCAGAGCCTGTATTCTTTGCATTGCACTACACAACTTCAAAACATTCCTACATTCAGAAGTCTGGTAGAAGAAAAAAGAATGAAATACAAATATTCCAAACATAAGGCAGTATGAGATCAATGCCATATGAGATCTATTAAGAGAAGCACTATGTGGGTGAAATAGAGAGAAGGGTTATTTCTGGTCAGAGCAATTAAGGAAGGAATCCCAGAAACGTTGGGCTTTACCAGAAAGGTGAGATTTCTTTCTTTCTTTTCTTTTTTTTTTTTTTTTTTTTGAGATGGAGTTTCACTCTTGTTGCCCAGGCTGGAGTGCAAGGGCACGATCTCGGCTCACAGCAAACTCCAACTCCTGGGTTCCAGCCATTCTCCTGCCTCAGCCTCCCAAGTAGCTGGGATTACGGGCAAGTGCCACCACCCTCAGCTAATTCTACATTGTAAGTAGAGACAGCGTTTCACCATGTTGGTCAGGCTGGTCTCGAACTCCCGACCTCAGGTGATCCACTGCCCCCAGCAGGATGAGATTTCAATAGGTGAAGATACGGGACTGCGCAGCGAAAAAGGGGCATTTCATGAGCAACACGTAGAACTTAGACTCTGGCGACAACCAAGGTTCCTATTCCATTATTCACCAGCTGCAGACCCTGGAGAAATAACTGAATGTCCTACACCTCACTTTTTTCATCAGTAAAATGGGATACTAGTAACATCTTTTTCCTAAAGTTGGAGTAAGGATTATGGAATAATCTATATAAAGTATTTAGCATAATGCTTAGTAAGTGGTAAACATCCAACAGACAGCAAATGTTAGCTAGTAGTCTGTTTAAAGAATGGTAAGCAGTCAAGTTAGGCTTCCAGTCCTCTTAAAGCAAAATAAGAAATGTGGTCGAAACAATAGTTTGCAGTCAGATTGAGAATGAAGTTCATGTCTACCTTAGAAAGTTGGTCTGTATTTAGCAGGCAATAGGGAGTCAATCATTAGAAGAAAGAAGCCATATTAAGAACATTCTGAGTAGATCTCCAGTGGGAGCCCCTAGCCCCTCTCCTTGACATCTGGCTTATTTGTGACCCCTTCTAAAAAGGCATGAGGCCCTAGGACTAGTTCAGGCCAGATCTATTTTTTCATTTGCTTGTTTTTTGTTTTTGAGATGGAGGCTTGCTCTGTCACCCAGGCTAGAGTGCAGTGGCATGATCTCGGCTCACTGCAACCTCTGCCTCCTGGATTCAAGCGATTCTCCTCCCTCAGCCTCCTGAGTAGCTGGGATTACAGGCACCCACCACCACGCCCAGCTAATTTTTGTATTTTTGTAGAGATGAGGTTTTGGCATGTTGGCCAGGCTGGTCTCGAACTCCTGACCTCAGGTGATCCATCTGCCTCGGCCTCTCAAAGTGCTGGGATTACAGATGTAAGCCACCACACCCAGCCAAGCCAACTCTATATGGAAACAGACACTGTCATTTGTCCACTCCTAACATGGCCATGATTTTTTTTCTTTTCTTTCTCACTCCATCCTGTACCTTCCCTCCTAAAAGCAGAGTAATGGCTGAGACACAATTATTAGCCTGACTTCCCTTGGAGATTGTCTTGGTTAAACAAATTTTCCAGAAACTAATCTGGGTAGCTTAGATCATTATTTATTTGTTACTTTTTAAAATTTGTTAATACCAGGCTTTCACTTAGTTATCTTGAAGTTAATGCCTCTTCTATAACATAATTATTAGCTCTATCACCTAGGCTAGACTGCAATGGTGCAATCAATCATGGCTCCCTGCAATCTCGAACTCCTGGGCTCAAGCAATTCTCCTGCTTCATCATCCTAAGAGAGCCTAGGACTACAGGTATGTGCCATCACACCCAGATAATTTTTTTTTGAAATGGAGTCTCGCTCTTGTTGCCCAGGCTGCAGTGCAATGGTGAGATCTCAGCTCATTGCAACCTCTGCCTCCCAGGTTCAAGTGATTCTTGTGCCTCAGCCTCCCGTATAGCTGGGATTACAGGTGCCTGCCACCACACCCGGCTAATTTTTTTATTTTTAGTAGAGACAGAGTTTCACCATATTGGCCAGGCTGGTCTTAAACTCCTGACCTCAGGTGATCTGCCCACCTCCCAAAATCCTGGGATTACAGGCGTAAGCCACCGTGCCCAGCCAGGTTTTTGTTTTTTGTTTTTTTTTCTTGCAAAGATGGGGTCCCACTATGTTTCCCAGTTTGGTCTTGAACTCCTGGGCTCAAGCAATCCTCCCACCTTGGCCTCCCAAAGTGCTGGAATTACAGATATGAGCCACTGTGCCTGGCCAATAGTACTGGTTTATTAATACATTATAATGAAGAAACTTTGGGGGTAATGATTACATTCACTATCTTGATTGTGCTGGTTTCATGGGTATTATATATGTCAAAGCCTATCAAATTGTATACCTTAAATATGTGCAATTTATTAAATGTCAATTAAATCTCAATAAAGCTATTAAAAATATGGTAAAAGTTTAGTAATTCATGTAATTATTAAAAGGTGTACAACTTTATAATTAATAATATACTAATATACAAGCTAATGCACATATTAAAACCTTAAATTTAAAAAATTTATCAGGACAAGTGATTATATAGAAATGTATATACAGGCTTGTAAAACTTTGGTATAGTGTACCTTTTAAAAAAAAAATAACCAGCCTGGGCAATGTAGGGAGACTTCATCTCTACAAAAAATTTTAAAACTAGCTGGGTGTGGTGGCATGTGCCTATAGCCCCAGCTACTTCGGAGGCTGAGGTGGGAGGATCACTTCAGCCCAGGAGGTCAAGGCTGCGGTGAGCCATGATCAAGCCACTGCAATCCAGCCTGGGTGACAGAGTGAGACCCCATCTGAAAAAAAAAAAAAAGAAAAGAAAAAAGAACACCCCTATGTTACACCTATGTTCACAGCAGCATTATTCAAAATAGGCAAAAGGTGGAAACAACCCAAGTGTTCATCAATGAACGAATGGGTAAACAAAATGGGGTATATACATACAATTAAATATTATTCAACCTTAAAAAAGAAAGAAATTTGGACATATGCTACAACATGGATGAACTTTGAGGACATTATAGGAAGTGAAATAAGCCAGTAACAAAAAATATATACAATATGATTCCACTTACCTGCAGTATCTGGAGTTATCAAATAGAGACAAAGTACAATGGTGCTTGCCAGAGACAGGGGCAGGAGGGAATAGGGAGCTGTTGTTTAATGGGTATAAAGTTTCAGTTTTGCAAGATGAAAAGAGTCATTTAGATGGATGGTAGTGATGGCTGCACAACAATGTGAATGTACTTAATGCTACTGAACTGTACTCTAGAATGGTTAAGATGGTCAACCTCCTGTGTATTCTACCACAATTAGAGAGAGTAAGGGAGATATGAGAGTTCCTACACATTATTGTAAAATCAGTAAGGGTGTTAATTTTGTAATTTTTTAAAATGTTTTTAAGTGCTGTTATTACTTATGTTTAAACCTAACAACTTCCAAGGCAACTTTCCCAGATTCCCCAAAAAGTCAATTCTGGAGCTGACACCAGGTTAAAACTGCTAATTTTATTACTACCAGAAATCTACATATCAACTGCTTTTTCCCTGCAATATGACATATTTTCCTAATGTAGCTGTCAGAGGTCAAGGGTATAAGGTAAGCACAATTCCCATGAAGCATTCTCACTTCTGGAAGGACAACTCTACAGGTGCCACTGGGTAGCCCAGTTTATCTGGAGTGAATAATGGGAGTCAGGGTCTGGGTACCTGCTGATTTTAATAGTGAGGGCGCCTACATACTGCAGCCAGGTCCATCTCTGGACACCTCATAGCAGAGAAATCATCAGAGCCTGTCTAAGTTTTCAACCTGCATGATACATAACGGATGTGGCCACAATTACCAGATAGGCTTCTTCAAAGGAAATTTCTGTTCTCATTCCCCAAGAACACCTGAAATTGAAAAAGCTAAGGACCCCTCATGAACACTGTTTCCAACTACTGCTTCTTTGCACAGTACACTGCATCCCCTGGCTCCTTGCCTACCATGTTCCTCTAGGGTCTTTCAATTGCAAGATGCAGAGTATGGTACTTGAAAGTTTCCAAGAGTTTCATTTTCTTCCAGGAGTTCACCTTACTGCTGCAGAGTAGCTTTTTTTGTTGTTGTTTTTTCCCCTGAGCAAGGGACAGGAGCCCTCAATCATCTTGCAGGAAAATGATAGCATCTGCTTGAGGATTCCAACTAAATGTTTTACTGCAGCTTTTCAAACTGACTATATTTAACTGATTATATTTAAAACTGATTAACTGATTATATTTAAAGCTCCCTTGGGGAATGGGAGCTGTGAGGAAAGAAGCTTTGGAGAAGACCTTTGTTGGCATGAATGAAAAATTGCTCAGACCTCCCAAGGGAAAGAGCTTGTTTATATACCAGCCATCAACATTCCCAAGTATATATACATACACAATACGACTCCAGTTTTAAATTTCATCTCCTGCTCTTGAAGGGTCCTGAAAGGGTTAAACTGTTCCAAGCAAAGGCCTGCACTTTTTCTATCAAAATGCTCCAGATGGAAATTACAAAATTTCGCTTCCAGCTCTGTGGTGCACACACACTGTTCTCCTAAGACATTAAAAAAAAAAAAAAAAGACAAGACCCCTAATGTTCTCGAGAAAGAAAATGTGACTGCTCAGCATAGAGTGCCACCCTGTTTCAGACTATTTCTTCTGGAATATTTGCATGAACTGTCAATCTCAAGCTTTCTGGGAGACTGTAAAAACTCAAGGTATAGAGAGGGTAAAGGAAAGGGGCCTTAAATAAGGAAAGAACAATAGCTGGGACTGTATACAGTCATGTGTATTCACCCAAATACCACCCAGATTCACAACCCTGGTAACCATGCCCTGCACCTTACCACCTTCGCTGCTCCAATCCCAGCAACAAGCTAACAGGCTAGAGGCCAAAGGCTTCAGTTTATGACCATGAATCTGACCAGGGTTGTAAAGAATTTCCAGAGATTAATGTACATCAGCCCTCCCCATACCTGCAGGTTCCATATCTGCAGATTCAACCAAATGGGAATGGAAAATATTCAAGAAAAAAAAAAAACAATAAAAATACCAATACAACAATTTAAAATAATACAAATTTTAAAAGCAGTATAACAACTATTTACATAGCATTTACACTGTATTAGGTATTATAAGTAATCTAGAGATGATTTAAAGTATACAGAAGGATGTGTGTACATAGGTTATATGTAAATACCACACCATTATTTATCAGGGACTTGAGCATCTGCAGATTTTGGTATCCTGGGGGAAGTGGGGGTAGTCCTTGAACCAATCCCCTGAGGATACTGACGGACAACTACATATGAAAGCATAATGTAAATTGGAAAGAGCTATGTAAAAAGACTAAGAATATTATTGCTTTCAAGTCAGACATTGAGAGGCATGAACTTTCCAAGGAATGTGGGCACCCACAAACCTGAAACAATGATGGTTTTTAAGAAGACACTACAAGGCAGGCTGACTAAGGAGGCACACCCCTCATAAAACCACTCTGGGGTAGGGTTGGGGCTGAAGCCTCAGGAGTTCCTCAGGGCACATGCAAGCAGGTGGTTTATAGGGAGGCAAAAATCAAGGGATAGGTAGGGTCCCAGAAAGTCCCATGAGATGAGGGTCCCATTTAGAGTCCATTTGACTCAAACAATTCTGATTGAAAAAACAGGACCTGGGACTCTGGTCAAAGACAGGCTGAACCACAGTGGCCAATAATTAGTTTACTTGTTCACTGACAGAAAAAGAAACTGATGTCCAGAGGGTTTAAGTGACTGACCCAAGATGTTTTGTTACGACTAAATGATCTTAAGCTAGAACTTAAGTTTCATTCCTTACTTATTTCCTATCATTTAATAGCTGGCACTTTGGGAGTGAATATGCAATGCAGCCTCAATAGTCAGCCCAATTCAGCAAAAGAAAGGCTCACAGAGAAGTAGACCGTACCATTATTGAGCACTTACAAGTGCAAGATACTGTTCTAAATAATTTATATATCTCATCAACAACTCACTACTATCTTAGGAAATGTATTTTATTTTACCCATTTTCCAAATAAGGAAACTGAGGCTCAGACAAGTCATGTAACTTGCCTGAAGTGAAAGGCTAGCTACTGGCAGAACCAAGATTTAAACCTGAATCACTTTGACTCTAAAAATTGCACTTAACAACCAAACCAAACTGCATAGCTGTTACAGCAATTTTCTTTTTATCTTGGCATCTGTAAGAGAAGTAAGTCTGGCAGCACCATGAGTCCCATATAACACACAAAAAGCTGACACTCATAATAATTCTGACCCAGGGCTTCTAGCTAGTGGGGGGCAGAGCCAAACCAGATCGCAGGCCCTTTGTCTCCCAATTCTGTGCTGTTCCATAGAGAGCCCAGCTTCCAGAATATAAGCTCCACGAGGGTAGAGACTTTTTCTTCTTCACAGCTGTATGGCCAATCGCCAGAACACACAGCAAGCACTCAATAAATAGTTAATGAATAAAGGAATGAAGTCAAGCTGCCATGGTTTGGCTGTGTGACCTTGGAAGGGCTTCTCATCCTCTCTAAGCCTCAGTTTCCTTATATGGTGAATGGAAGGTGACAATAATACCCATTTCCTGGGTTGAGGTAAGGATTAAACCAGACCATTCATTTAAAGCACTTGGGATGGACTGGAACATAATGAGCAACCAAAATGTAATCTATTATCATTATCATTATTACTATCATTATTCATTGACAGATTTGGGCTCCTTAAGAATTTTTTATTTTTTTCCACCCTGGTCAGATGATGTTTCATAGTAAAGATACAGAATAGAGAATTGAGAGTTGGTAAATCTGCTTCTAGTTTCAGATCTGCCACCATCTAGCCGTGTGACCTTGGACAAGCCTCTTCAGTTCTCTGTATTCTCCTCAGTTGTAAAATGAAGGACTAAACTATTCAAATCAGTTCCATAAGCATTCATCAGGCACCTTCTCGGAGTAAGACATCATGCTCAGCCACCTATAAAATTCTATGATCCTGAATAGTATCAATGGGAAAATATCAGAGCAAAGCAAAATAGTCTGTTTGTGGCAAGGTTGAAGAGAGAACCCAAATAGCCGACTGCATTACCTCATCTCAATGAGCAATGTTTGTAAATATCCAAAGTGTTTAATTTTGAGACACTCTTGAGAAATCCTTTGCCAATAAGAAATTGGCAGATATGGTTCTATTAACACCTATCAGCCTTGAACCTTCCAAAAATTAAACATTTAAAGTCACTTTGCACCTTAGTCAAATGGCGTGCTTCTGGAGAGAAATCTGGGAAGATCAAAGTTATTAACACTCCCGATGGCAACAGTTTAAGAATAGGATGTGTTAAAAAAAAAAAAAAAAAAAAAAAGACATATCTGGTTAAAACTGCAGGGGGGATTCCAAGAGCAAATGCAATGCATCTGGACAGGACATGGAGGCCAGTGGCCTATTGTTTACAAAAACAGGCCTGGATTATGAACAGTGACAAGAGGCCAAGACCTCAATAATAACTCACAACCACACCTCTCTCAATCCCAGTTCAACTGAAGCTATCAATCAGTCAACTCCCCCATCTCTGTAATAAACCTACCAATATTTGCAGCCAAGTGGATAGAAGGCCCCTTAGGGCACCTCCAGCACTGACCAAACTAATGACATAAAAAAGATCCTGTAGGTACAATGAGGACTTCAGACTACCTTCCAACCTTCCAAGAGATAAGGGAGCTGCCCATTTCAAACTCTACGCCTACCCCCACCCCCCAGCAATCATTAGAGGGGAGCCATGGCCCTTCCCAAGTCCTCTCTGATAGGAAAAGGTCTCCTTGCACTGGTGCAGGGAAAGGAGGGGCCCCTCCCTCTGTACTCTGAAACAAAGGAAAACCCAGAGCTCCAACCATGTGGTGTAACATTCAAGGCCACCCACCTCTTCCACTCCCCAGCTAAGGTCTCAATGGGCTGGAGCCACATGGCTCTTTCCAGTGACTGACCAGGAAGGGACAGTGCCTTGCACAAACACATGCTGCAGCTCTTTAACAGGCAGGAACCCTTCCTATGGGAATTGCTGGTTTAAAAAACGCTATCTGAGTAAGGGCTCTTATTCATGAGTCAAGTCAGTCGACTAGATGAGAAGACAGGTCACTTGGTTTCTCCTAGTCCACATTTTGCTTTACCCTTCACATTTTTCAGGAGAGGGAAATGGGGCTTTAAAAGCATGTCTTCCGGAGCAGAGGGCCACAGCACAGAAGGGTTAAACAATTATGTCTTCCCATTTTCCAGAATCAGCACCAACCGGCTACCCTAACATCCTCCCAACTCTATTCAGATTTAGGTGAGGGCGGAGACCGGGCGTGGGTGGCCTTATTCTCTGATCTCTGATTGTATGCAGGCCGACCAGAGACCAGGCAGGTACAAGGTACACCCAAGGTGGCAATGGACTTTTGGTGCCAATGCCATTGCAAATCTCATGTTTTAATATAGTGCATCCAAAAAACCCCGCCTCTCCCAAGGCTCTCCAAATGGTACACCTTCCCAAGGTTGCCTTTCTGTCTGGACTCCTCTTCAATCTCTGAAACAAATGTCCAAACACCTGTCAGATTTCAGTTGTCTTTCAAGGAAACCTGACCCAGAGAACCGGAGGCAAACTGCCTTTCTCTAAGAGCCTCCTGCCCCTCCCCCCACCCTGCCCGGCTTGGGGGGAAAGGGCTGCCAAAATCATGGTCAGCCCCACAAAGATACTCCTACAGCCCACTGCAAAAATTCCTTTCCAGTGTCAATGGCCCCCTGGCATTGCCCATCCTTTGGAGGTTCAGACCCATCTATGAAACCACCTCTGGGGTCAGCCTGCCCCCATCTGCTCCACCCAAAGAAATGAACAACCTGCAAATCACGGTGGAAATACACGCCTCACCAGTCCACAGAGCATTTGCAGTGTGCTATTTTTCAAAACCCTTACCTTTGACCTGAGTATCGTACTCTGCTATGATCTCCTTATCCTTTTTGAATTTGGCTGGAGACGTCATGTTTTCCTTCTTTCTTCCAAATTCGAATTGTGAATTGATAGATCCACGGAAAAAATCCAACCACTTAAATCAATACCTCCAAGACCGCTTCTCTCGAGGGCAGAAGGGGCCCCCCACGGTGGTCTCCAGCGCTCCGTGGAGCGCGGGCTGCGGGCTGGGCAGACGGCTACGGCGGGCACATGCAGACGGTGGGCGCTGAGGCCGGGTGCGGCGGCGGCTGGTGCCTGTGCTAGAGCCGGAGCCGCAGCCTCAGCATTAGCCGGGAGAACTGCAGCGCCCGGAGGCTGGCCTGGGGTCTGACATCAACGACACAGGCGGGGAGTGGAAGTCCTTCCGCACAACATGGTGTGGGGCTGCGGGGGTGTGGACGCGCCCAGCTGTGTCCCCGGGAGGGAGTGGGTGCTTTTCGGGGTGCCGGGGGAGGGCTGGGCGTGCTTCGCGGTTTTTTTGTCGTAGAGGCTCAAAGATGCTGCAAATCAAATCCCAAACGGGAGCTGCAACAGCGCAGACTGGATCGGAAGTCGTTTGCTCCGGTTCACTTGCCTGTAAATGCAGGAAAAGGGGGAGGGGGCGATCAGCCAGAGCGCAGATCCTAATCGCGGCGGGGGTGGGGTAGGGGACGTCGTTCCGAGCCCGCCCTGGGCCCATTCCTGTCCGCTTAACGTCTCCCCGCCCGCAGAGCCTGGCGCTACGAGGTGGGGAGGAAGGAAGCTCCCTCCGGATTTTAAGGCTGAAAGAAAACACTTTGGAGCAGCCGCCTGCGCGGGCTCCGGGCGGGGACTGCAGGAACGCGGGGCACCGGGCGGGGAATGCGGCACCTCGGCGGCCTCCTGAGCCCCGCCAGCGCTGGGCAGCGGCCAGCCCCAGGGAGCCCTCCCGACCTAGCCCCCGACGTGGCCCCAGACCCCCGGCCGGGGCACCTCCCTGTACATCAAAGGGGATCAAAGCCGGGGAGGGACAAGCCACCAGGGCACAACTTTTCTTCCTCTCCCGCCCCTCCTCCCAGTTGTTTTGTTTTTGGTTACTAGCTTCTCTTGGCAGCAAAATGTTGATGGTGGGGGGGCAAATCTGCAGGAAAAAGCCTGCTCGGCACGGGACACATCCAGGAAAACAATGTGGTCAGCTGAAGCAGGAAACGGGTTAGAGGATAGGGTCGGAGCCGGGAAAACCGGGGGGCGGCGAGCGGAAGGCAGCCGTCGCCTCCCTCAAGCTAGGGACGATAGTGACTATAAATGCCACCCCCAATATTTTTTTGACACCCAAGCTCAGAGATCCCAGATATCCCACCCAATCCCAGGCTGGGGATGGGAGGAGGTCGGTGAGGTCGCAGTCCTGACTCCTCGCACCAGGCGGTGCCCGAGAAGATCCGGCCCCGGACGAGGCCCAGGGGGCTGGAGGGACGCAAGCGGGAGCGCGGAGCCCGGCGACTAGCTCCCTCGCGTGCCGCAGCGGCGACCCTTTCTACTTGGTCTTTCCTTTTCCTCCGAGCGCCGGGAGGAGGAAGCTCCCGCTAGCGTCTCCCACTTCCCGCGGCTGGAGGAAGGGGCCACGCTGAGGGAACAAGACAGGGAGCAGAGGCGGCGGGGTTCAGGCGAGCGGGAAGCGGGAAGCGAGAGGCGGGTGTGAGATGGGGTCCTGAGGCTGGAAGGGAGCCCGGGGACAACTGGAGTTGCACACGCTCGGAAGGCGGGAGGCGGCAAGGAGAAGGCTGCCTTAGAGGTGAGGGGAATTGGGGCATGATCATGGGCCGCGATGTTGCGTGAAGCGCAAGGATGTCAGGAACTGTGGGGGCCGAGATGTGGTCTAGGGATGGGAGTGGGCGAAGAGAAGTCCATCGGGGCGGGCCGGGGGGTGGGACTCGGGGAGAGCCCCGGAAGCTGCGCGGAACACCCATCCTCCTGGGTCCTAGGCTGGGACCCGGGCTGTCCGCCAGGGCTGGGAGACACTGGAGGAGGCCGGCCGATGATTACGCGCGATGCCAACGACGACTGCCCTACGGTGGACCGCGGCTGCCCGTGTGCGGAGGAAAGGGAGAGGCGGCTGGGTGCCGGCTGCGCTGCGGTCCGTGAGCCAGGACGGAGTCCCAGGCTGTACAGTGATGGGCGGAGAGACTCGCAGTCCTGAGAAGTATTATGGGCTGTACTGGGAGATTTGGAGAGGGTGGAGGAGGGGCGGTCTGAGGGATTCCGGGCGGCACCGCTAAGGCGATGCCGCGAGCAGCATCCGCGCCCTCTCCTTCCCGCCCCAGCCCGGGTTTGTTCAGTCAGGGCTCCAGCCCGGCGGCCGGGAGGAAGAAAAGGAAGAGGGAAGGAGCCTTTACCTGGCTCTGACGCGACGGGTCCCAGGCCCCCGGCTCCGCTTCCCACTCAGAGCTCTCCTCCCCTCTCTTCCCCGCCACCCGTTTCTACGCAGATCTGTGCCCCAGTCCCTGGAGGAGCCTCCGCCAACTCCGCAGGACCCCGCCGGGAAGTAGAGCCCACCCCTTTACCAATCACCGCCCGTTTTCTATCGACCGATGGGGCCCATAGCCAATAGGAAGAGCTGATCCCGAGAGGCCCGGAATGAGGGGGAGGAGCTGGCAAAACTTGGAGGTGTGACTAGCACTGCCGAGGCGTGGTCACAGATTAAGCTCCACCCCGGGTTGTTGAACCCCTAAGTAGAACTGATGGGCGGGATTAAGGTGGAACCGACGACCAAACACAAACTCTTGAGCTGAGGCACGGCCAATTGGGCCGGGGTAGAGAGGAGGGGTGTTGCGGGGAATTTTAACCAATAAAGAGTAGAGACCGGTGGAGACTGTAGACCCTCTTCCAATAAGAAGCGGGAAGGGCGTGCCTTGCCACTTTCACTAGGGCTAAAGCAGGGTTTGCCGAAACCTCCCGAAGCCGGCCAATGAGATCGGAGGCGGAGCCAAGCTCAGCCGACCAGAAAGCCGAATTGATCTCAGCACCGTTACTGGGGCGGTGCCTACGGTCTTCAAGCCACTAAGCTCTCGTGAGGGGAGGCCCCGGAGCCTTCCAATGAGGGACTGGGGCTAACTCTAGTTCTTCCAATCGGTGCGCGGCGCTGGCAATTCAAACTGATACCGGGTTGGAGAGGCAGGAAAAGCGGAAGAGGGAGCGAAAACCAACGTGTTCGGTGACAGACCCCAGCGCCGACTGAGCCTCTAAAGCGACTTCAGCTCTGCCCCACCAACACCACCGCGCGCCCGGGAACAGCCGCTCCGGGAAGAAACCTGAGGGGACTGCGGGGGGCACGAGGGACAGCTGAGGGAAGGGAGGACGCGAGAGAAACAGCGCGAGCACGCTGAGGGCCGGGGGTTGCCAGGAGAGGGGCCCGCGGACCCGCAGAGCGGAGGAAGGTCCGGGAGAAAAGGGGCGGGACGGAGGAGAATCCGGGATCGCCTGGCAGAAAAAGAGAAGGGAGTTTCTGAATCCTGGGAAGAGGAGGCGTGGGTAGGGACGCTTAGCCCGAGATCCGACAGCAGGGAACCGGAGCGCTCCGGGGGAGGGGCTTAATGCTGGGGAAGGGATGTCTTAAAAGAGGAGAAGCTTTAAATTAGACGATCGGAGAAGGCTGAGGGAATTGCTATGAAGGGGCGGGAGCTGAAGTGTAGAGGACTCCTTTAGACAGCAGAAAGGGAAAGCCGTTGAGAAGTTCCCTTCAAACTCCACCTGCCTCCTCTCCAATTCAAACTCCACTCCCTTCTCCAAAAGTTAAAAGGAAAGCCAAGTTTGCCACGCTCCCCTGTTCCTACTCAATAAATACTTCTTCTACTCCGCCACCGGGAAAACAGAAAAAAAAACTAATTTCCTTCCCAATATTAGGACTTAGAAAAGCTCTAGGTCCCGCAATTTGAATTTTAGCCTAGGGGAATCAAAATAGTAGGAGCATTACTCTTGTTTCCTTTTTCAAAATCCCACACCTCATCCTTCCTGCGACGCCATGTCCACCAACATTTGTAGTTTCAAGGACAGGTGCGTGTCCATCCTGTGTTGCAAATTCTGTAAACAAGTGCTCAGCTCTAGGGGAATGAAGGCTGTTTTGCTGGCTGATACTGAAATAGACCTTTTCTCTACAGACATCCCTCCTACCAAGTAAGTCATGCTAGTGGCGGGCAACGGTAGCTTTTAACTAAATGGGAACACTTATGGCTTGGATCTGTGGGAGTCAACAAGGAGGTTATCATTTCGGTGTTTCAGCCACTCCCACCAGTTTGATGATCCCCTTGGAATATATCTAAGTGGGCAGACTGTCTGGACAAAGTCTGTGGTTTAGCCAAGGTGGTCAGTCCTGATGTAATGCTTCTAGTTCAATTGCAGTCATGCGACCACACATCTCTTAAGTTTGATCCCTGGTTCAGTGCCCTGCCCAACCATCCTATTTCACTGAATCAAGTCCGTGGCGTAGACTTTAGGTAAATTCAGGCAAAATTTTCTGTACTGTTGGAGAGGAGAGGTCATTTAAGTTTTTCATTTTTATCCATGAAATTTTGCACCAAAAAAAAAAAATCCGTTTTCTATCATTATTTGCAATTGGCATCCTAAATCAGATCCGTTGTTCATCAAATTCAGTTTTCTTTCCTCAAAACTCTCTCTCTCTGAAAGAGATGTAAATAGATTTTTATGGGATGAAAAATAGAGACTTAGCCTTAATCCTTATCTCCAATAAAGACTATTTTGGACATTACACATTTGTTCCCATAATTGAACCCTTTTAAAATCTGTTTGTTTTCAGCCACTAACTGCTTTTGGGTGTAGAGTCCTTAAGAATTTGCTTCCTATTTGGTAAAATAGCCATTTTATTTGACTCAAATAAACCTCTTTCTAGCTCTAAATGGTACTTTCCCTTTCCATAATCAACATATATATGCCCTACATGAATCTTCAAAATTTAGTTATTTATTGAAATTTTATTATTAAAAGGAAAGTAATTATCCAAAATATGAGTGGACAGTTATTCTCTAAGTCTTTGGATATAGAGCCAGAGGAAGCAGGTTAATAACCACAATTCATTTTAAATGAATTTCATGATAATGATAGAAACTTTACAAGTTTTTTGATTTACCCAGGTAAAGCTGTGTACTCTTCCTTTCTTGAAATCTTTTCTGAATTGGTCTAAGTGTAATCACGTCTAACAGCAAAGCCAAAGGCTCTCATTTATTGCAGAGATAAATGTGTTATTTTAAAATCTTTTTAATTTTTTTAAATTCTAAGTTAATATTTTACATTTGTGTGTGTGTACATCGTATATGTATTTCAAAAAAGGGAAAACACTAGAAAATAAATCATAGAACCTACTGCTACAAAGTTCTGTGATTCATTGTCCACTGCTTTTTCTTTTTAGTAGCTCATACACAAATTTAAAATATTAACCCATTCATCTTTGCAATAGCTATGGTAAGTAATAGGGCAGTCATAAGGAAGGCTAGGTGAATTGTTACAGGTTAGACCCAAGTCTAGAATAGAATCATGTTTTTCCTATTTTCTACCCTTCTTTGTAGGGGTTAAAATAATAATGAATTAGTGTGCTAAGATGTATGTGAATCAATGAACACATAAAAATTTTTTTAATGGAAAATTTGTCAGATGTTTATGTTGAGCTCACAAATATGAACTGACTCTTTAAAAATATACTATACTTCTATGTTAGCTTTCAGCTCTTTGGATTGACAAAATTTGTGCTAAATCAAGCGTAGAATTACTATCTGATCCAGCAGTTCTGGGTACATATCCAAAAGAATTCAAAACTGGATCTTGGAAGAGATATTTGCACACCCATGTTCATTAACAGCATTATTCACAATAGCCAAGAGGTGGAAGCAATCCAAATGTCCATTGATTCTACAGATGAACAGATAAACAAAATGTGGTATAGGGCGCCTATAGTTCCACCTACTCAGGAAACTCTGGTAGGAGGGTCACTTGAACCCAGGAGATTCATTACACAGCAATGTGATTATATTTAACACATCTGCTCTGCACACATAAAACTTGTTAAGTTGGTAAATTTTGTTAATTTTTTGCCACAATTAAATTTTTTGTAAAGTACATCTGACTGTCTTTTTATACCTTTCTCTCTCCAGCGCAGTGGACTTCACTGGAAGATGCTATTTCACCAAAATCTGCAAATGTAAACTGAAGGACATCGCATGTTTAAAATGGTAATTTGTGGCACTATTCTGGATAGCTCTGGGTTTGGAAGATGGATATTGACACCAAAGCATAGAGAAAGGTTCAGTGGGCTGCAACAAGGACTGGTATAAAGCATGCAATGAGCCATTGAAAAATTACTTATTACTTAGAGCTATTTTTTAAAAGGGTTTTCTGATGCTTCACATTAGTATATAATTTTACAGTTTTCAAAGTGTATTCACAGTATCCGCTTCAATTTTCAGAACAAGGCAATGTAGGTTAGGGGGGAGAAACACCTGGATTTACAATAATAAAAATCATGTTTGAGGTCTGACCCTACCCTTACTCTCTATGTGATCTTGAGTGAACTCCTTTAGCCTCTAAACTGCTGAACCTCTGTTTTCTTATTTAATTTCTAGGTTATTACTCCTTCTTTCTTTGTTTTTAGAGGGGTCTCATACTGTTGCTCAGGCTGGAGTGCAGTGGCATGATCATAGCTCACTGTAGCCTTGAACTCCTGGGCTCAAGTGATTCTCCTACCTCAGCCTCCTGAGTAGCTGGGACTACAGGCAGGCACCACCAGGCCTGGCTAAGTTTTTTATTTTTGTAGCAATAGGGTCTTGCTATGTTGCCCAGGCTGATCTCAAACTCCTGGCCTCAAGTGATCCTCTCTCCTCAGCTTCCCAAAAGGCTGGGATTACAGGTATGAGCCACTGCATCCTACCTTAATTTCTTTCTTTCTTTCTTTTTTTGAGAAGGAGTTTTTGCTCTTGTTGCCAAGGCTGGAGTGCAATGGCGCGATCTAAGCTCACCACAACCTCCACCTCCCAGGTTCAAGTGATTCTCCTGCCTCAGCCTCCTGAGTAGCTGGGATTACATGCACGCACCACCATGCCCAGCTAATTTTTTTTTTTTTTTTTTTAGTAGAGACAGGATTTCTCCATGTTGGTCAGGCTGCTCTTGAACTCCCAACCTCAGGTGATCCGCCTGCCTCGGCCTGCCAAAGTGCTGGGATTACAGGCATGAGCCACCCCACCCAGCCATTCTGTCTTATTAAGATAGAAATTTAATAATCTTCTGTGTTTACCTTATCAAGTTATTATAAAGAGCAAATATGAATGTTAAAGTGCTCAATAAACTATAAATTACAACAGCTGAGAGCTATTACTATAATCTTTTGAGAAGTAGACGTGTTATTATTTTCATTTTAGGAGGATAAAAGTTGAAATTTTCTCATTTAGATGGGGTTTGTATTTAGAAGGGGTTTGTATTATAAATGACAATCCTAATAATTTAAATTGGCAAGCTCTTCTTATGTGCTATTTGATTTCATTCCTTTATTTAAGCTATACTTGTATTGAGGAACTAGTATGTGGTAGTCATTGTTACCAGGGCTGGAAATACAACAAAAACTAGATGAAGTCACTGGCCTTTGGACATTATTTTCTTCTTTCTTTTCTTTTTTTTTTTTTTTTAAGACGGAGTTTTGCTCTGTCGCCCAGGCTAGAGTGCAGTGGCACGATCTCAGCTTACTGCAACCTCTGCCTCCCAGGTTCAAGCGAATCTCCTGCCTCAGCCTCCTGAGTAGCTGAGACTACAGGCACGCACCACCATGCCCAGCTAATTTTTCATATTTTAGTAGAGACAGGGTTTCACCATGTTGGCCAGGCTGCTCTCAAACTCCTGAGCTCAGGCAGTCCGCCTGCCTTGGCCTCCCTAAGTGCTAGGATTACAGGCGTGAGCCACCGCACCCAGCCCACCCGGCTAATTTTTGTATTTTTAGTAGAGACGGGATTTCGCCATGTTAGCCAGGCTGGTCTCAAACTCCTGACCTCAAGTGATCCACCTGCCTCGGCCTCCCAAAGTGTGAGATTACAGGTGTGAGCCACCGCACCTGGGCAACGACATTTTTTTTGTTTTGCTTTGAGACGGAGTCTTGCTCAGTTGCCCAGGCTGGAGTGCAATGGCATGATCTTGGCTCACTGCAACCTCCGTCTTCTGGGTTCAAGTGATTCTCTCACCTCTGCCTCCTGAGTAGCTGGGACTACAGGCACGTGCCACCATGCCCAGTTAATTTTCGTATTTTTAGTAGAGGTGGGGTTTCGCCATGTTGGCCAGGCTGGTCTCGAACTCCTGACCTCAAGTGATCCACCCGCCTCAGCCTCCCAAAGTGCTGGGATTACAGGCATGAGCCACCGCACCTGAAGAACAACATTTTCAAAAGAAAACCAAAACAGGAAAGTTAATTTTAATCATATATTTTGTCTAACCCAATGTATCCAAAATATTATTTCAACATGTAACCAACATAAACTACTAATGTAATATTTTATATTCCATTTTTTGGTCTTACTCTTTGAAATCTGGTGTACATTTTACACTTAACAGCACATCTCAATTCAGGCCAGCCCCACTGCAAGTGTACAACAGCCACATGTGGCTAGTGGCTATTATTCTTGACAGCATAGATCTGGACCTTGGTATGGAAAGGTTTTTATTTTCATTTTTGGCTATTGAAGAGGTTTTAACCAGGGAGCAGAATGATCTGATGTAGCCTCGCTAGACTGTTAGCTCCGTGACAACAAGGGCTTTGTTTTGTTTACCAGTGTATTCCTAGCACCTAGAGCAGTGCCTGAAAGATAGCAGATACTCAATAAATGTTAGTTTAAGTGATGAATCAATGGATGAATGAATGAATATAGGCGGTAATTAAAGTCATGGAATTTACTTTTGCAATATAGTCTTACAAATAACTGGCACTCCTAGTCCAAACACAACTTTTGTTTTCATTTGTTTGCCTTTCAAGCAAGTTATAATTAGAAGACATATTTTAGGTGGAATGGTACCTTTTATAGTAATCTTTATTGGGTCTCATAAAAATGACTGACTCACAAATCTCACAGAGTAAGACTAAGCTTGAATAAGAATTTTTACAACTCAAGGTATAAACAGTTCATGTTGCTATTTTTTTTAAAGTACTAGCTAAAACATTCCCTGTAGGTTCACTCTATTTAATATGTGACTAGCTAGTTAAAAAAAAAAAAAAAAAATTGTGAAAGACTGAGGTACTTATAATCAGCTGGATAATTCTGAAAACTGTAAAAACTTTTGCAACTTTCTCTGGAGGCTGTAGATTGCTTTATTTCTGAGTTCCTTCAAAAACACTGAGACTAAAATTAGAGCAGCCAGATTGTATTTGGTTTACAGGGACTCATGCTGTCTTCCTACCTCTCCATCTGTTGAAACAGTTTTTAGGTGCTGGCATGAAACTAGAACATGTAAGAACCCAACTTGCCACAGTCCTGGGATAGCAAAAACCTTTACCCACAGAACTGAGTTAAT
Source organism: Homo sapiens (assembly GCF_000001405.40). Lineage (NCBI taxonomy): Eukaryota > Metazoa > Chordata > Mammalia > Primates > Hominidae > Homo > Homo sapiens. The sequence continues at coordinate 143,965,610 of NC_000001.11, read as the reverse complement.
TTAATTTATTTTGTCTGTACAGCACATCAATTTGGGTGGTTTATAAAACAAATCACAACATTATGGCATCTAGAAGCTAACTTCTGAAGGGAGAATGCATAAAATAATACTAGCAGGACAAGCATGGTGGCTCATGCCTGTAATCCCAGAACTTTGGGAAGCCAAGGCAGGTGGATCACCTGAGGTCAGGAGTTCGAGACCAGCCTGGCCAACATGGTAAAACCCCATCTCTACTAATAACACAAAAGTTAGCTGGGCATGGTGGCACACGCCTGTAATCCCAGCTATTCTGGAGGCTGAGGCAGGAGAATCACTTGAACCTGGGAGGCGGAGGTTGCAGGCACTCCAGCCTGGGTGACAAGAGCAAAACTCGGTCTCAATAATAATAATAATAATAATAATAATAATAATAATAGCAAAGAAATGTGAGAATATTTTACTATTATTCACTTAAAGACTGCTTTCCCACTTGATGGTAGAACTGCACCCCCATCCCATCCCAAAGATCTCAGCAATGAAAGTTGTTAGGAAATGAGATCTAAATTATATGGTCTATTTATATAAGCAATATGAAAAGACTTATCTGGCTAGTTATTACATGGTATCTAGTAACATTTACTTTCTTTTCTAGTGGGAACATTGTAGTTTATCATGTGATTGTTCCATGTAGTTCCTGTCTTCTTTCCTGCAACAACAGACACTTCTGGATGTTTCACAGCCAGGCAGTTTATGATATTAACAGACTAGACTCCACAGGTAAGAAACAATTGACTTGGACATTCCTGTAACATTTCTCTATCAATACCTGAGTAAAATTCCCAATAGATCATTTCAGGATTCCTTTTAGATCTTCTTAGCTGGATTAGCTAGAGTGAAACTTCAATTCTTTTTTCCCAGACATTCACTTATGAAAACTATTAGGCAAAATTCATTGTCATTTCTATGTTCATCCTTGTACTTAAGGCCTCAAACTTGGCTGAATTTCTTGGTCTTTTAAAATGAATATTATAATTGCTCTTAACTGCTGCCTTGATACATATTCTGACTCCAGAGAATTTTTGAAGATTTTAGATTTGATAGTCTAATGCATGTGTGTGTCTGTGTGTGTGTGTAAGAAAGGGAGAGGCCAGGCCTAGGGCAATGGGAGTTGAGAGGAGGAGGACTAAGTAACCTCTGTATTTGGTGATGCTTCAGAATAAAAACAGACATTTCGACATCTATGTTAATACGTTATGACAGAATTTTAGTCAAGGGAAATATTTGACACCAAAGTATAAAGTATGTTGTACAGGCACAAGTGGAGATATTGTAGGTTCAATTCCAGACCACCATAATAAAGCAAGCAAATATCACAATTAAAGCAAGTCACACAATTTTTTGGTTTCCCAGTGTGTATAAAAGTTATGTTTACAATATATTGTAGTCTATTAAGTGTGCAATAGCAGGACATTTAAAAAACAATGTGCATACCTTAATCAAAAAATACTTATTCGGCCGAGAGCAGTGGCTCATGCCTGTAATCCCAGCACTTTGGTAGTCCAAGGCGGGAGGATCACTTGAGCCCAGGAGTTTGAGACCAGCCTGGGCAGCATGCTGAGACCTCATCTCTACAAAAAAAATACAAAAATTATCCAGGCATCGTGGGGCATACTATCGTCCCAGCTACCCAGGAGGCTGAGGTGGGAGGATCACTTGAATTTGGGAGGTAGAGGCTGCAGTGAGCTGTGATCATGCCAGTGCATTTCAGCCTGGGCAACAATATGAGACCCTGTCTCAAAAAAGAAAAAAAAAAATGCTTTATTGCTAAAAACTGCTAATGATCATCTGAACCTTCAGCAAGTCATAATCTTTTTGCTGGTGGAGGGTCTTGCCTTGATGTTGATGACTGCAAACTGATCAGGGTGGTGGTTGCTGGAGGTTAGGATGGCTGTGGCAGTTTCTTAAAATAAGACAACAATGAGGTTTGCCGCATGGATTGACTCTTCCTTTCACAAAAGATTTCTCTGTAGCATGTGATGCCATTTGATAGAATTTTACACATAGTAGAACCTCTTTCAAAATTGGAGTCAATCCTCTCAAATTCTGTTACTACTTTACCAACTATGTTTATGTAATATTCTAAATCCTTTGTTTTCATTTCAACAATATTTACAGCATCTTCATCAAGAGTAGATTTCACCTCAAGAAACCATTTTCTTTGCTCATCCATAAAAAGCAACTCTTCATCCATTAAAGTTTCATCATGAGATTGCAGCAATGCAGTCACGTCTTCAGGCTCCATTTCTAAGTGTAGTTTTCTTGCTATTTCTACCACATCTGCAGTTACTTCCTCCACTGAAGTCTAAAACCTCTCAAAGTTACCCATGAGGGTTGGAATCAACTTCTTTCAAACTCCTGTTAAGACTGATATTTTGACCTCCTCCCATGAATCAGGAATGTGCTTTTCCAGGTTTTCAATGTACTTTGCCCAGATCCATCAGAAGAATTACTATCTATGGCAGCTATAGCCTTATGAAATCTATCTCTTAAATAATAAGACTTGAAAGATTAAATTACTTCTTGATCCATGGGCTGCCAAATAGATGTTATGTTAAGGCATTAAAGCAATATTTATCTCCTTGTACAATGCCATCAGAGCTCTTGAGTGACTAGGTGCATTGTCAATGAACAGTAATATTTTCAAAGGGATTTTTCTGAGCAGTAGGTCTTAACAATGGGCTTAAAATAGTTAGTAAAACATGCTGTAAACAGATTTGCTGTCGTCCAGGCTTTGTTGTTTCATTGACAGCGCACAGGCAAAGTATATTTGGCATAATTCCTAAGAACCCTAGAAATTTCGGAACAGTAAATGAGCATTGGATTCAACTTAAAGTCACCAGCTGCATTATCCTCTAACAAGAGATTCAGCCTGTCCTTTGAAGCTTTGAAGCCAAGTATTACTTCTCCTCTCTAGCTATGAAAGTCCTAGATGGCATCTCCTTCCAATAGAAGGCTGTTTTGTGTATATTAAAAATCTCTGCCGGATGCAGTGGTTCACGCCTATAATCCCAGGACTTTGGGAGGCCGAGGTGGATGGATCACCTGAGGTCAGGAGTTTAAGACCAGCCTGACCAATATAGTAGAACTCTGCCTCTACTAAAAATAAAAAATTAGCTGGGCGTGGTGGTACATGCCCAGCTACTTGGGGGACTGAGGCAGAAGAATCACTTGAACCCAGGAGGTGGAGTTTGAAGTGAGCCGAGATCGCACCATTGCACCAAGAGTGAAACTCCATCTGAAAAAAAAAAAGGAATAAGAGGCCGGGCGCGGTGGCTCACGCCTGTAATCCCAGCAGTTTGGGAGGCCGAAGCGGGCAGATCACCTGAGGTTGGGAGTTCGAGACCAGCCTGACCAACATGGAGAAACCCCGTCTCTACTAAAAATACAAAATTAGCTGGGCATGGTGGCGCATGCCTATAATCCCAGCTACTTGGGAGGCTAAGGCAGGAGAATGGCTTGAACCCGGGAGGCGGAGGTTGCGGTGAGCCAAGATCACGCCATTGCACTCCAGCCTGGGCAACAAAAGTGAAACTCCATCTCAAAAAAAAAAAAAGAAAAGAAAAGAAAAATCTGTTGTTTAGTGTAGCCACCTTCATCCATAATCTTAGCTAGATCTTCTGGATAACTTGCTGCAGCTTCTACGTCTGCACTTTTTGCTTCACCTGAACTTGTATGTTATAGAAATGGCTTCTTTCCTTAAACTTTATAAACCAACCTCTGCTAGCTTCAAACTTTCTTCTACAGTTTCCTCAACTTTCTTGCCCTTCATAGAATTGCAGAGAGTTAAGACCTAGCTCTGGATTAGGTTTTCGCTTAAGAGAATATCATGGCTGGTTTAATCCTCTATCTAGGTCACTAAAACTTTCTCCATATCAGCAATAAGGCTATTTCACTTTTTTATTCTTGTTTTCACTGGAGTAGCACTTCTTATGTCCTTTAAGAACTTTTCTTTGCAGTCACAAGTTGGCTAACAATTGGGCATAAAAGGCCCAACTTTCAGCCTGTCTCAGCTTTCAATATGTCTTCCTCACTATGCTTAATCATTTCTAGCTTTTGATTTACAGTGAGAGACATGCCACTCTCTTTCACTTGAACACTTAGAGGTCATTGTAGGGATATTAACTGGCCCAATTTCAATATTGTTGTATCTTAGGAAATAGGGAGGCCCCAGGAAAGAGAGAGAGAACAGCTGGTCAGTGGAGCAGTCAGAACACACAAAATATTTATCGATTAAGTTTGCAGTCTTAAGTGGGTGTGGTCTTAAGTGGGTGTGGTTCATAGCACCCTGAAACAATTATAACAGTAACATCAAAGATCACAGATCACCATAATATATATAATAATAATGAAAAAGGTTGAAATATTGAGAGAATTATGAAAATGTAACAGACACAAGGTAAGCATATGCTGTTAGACTTACTCAATGCAGGATTGCCAAAACCTTCCATTTATATAAAGCCCAGTATCTATGGTGTACAATAAACTAAAGCACAATTGAGGTATGCCTATACTAATTATTTTAGCAAGGCCAGGCATGGTGGCTCACACCTGTAATCCCACACTTTGGGAGGCCAAGACAGATGATCACTTGAGGTCAGGGGTTCGAGACCAGCCTGGCCAATATGATGAAACCCCCCTTGAACCTAGGAGGTGGAGGTTGCAGTAAGCCGAGGTGGCACCGCTGCACTCCAGCCTGGGCAACAGAGTGAGATCCTGTCTCAAAAAAAAAAAAAAAAAAAATATTTTAGTAAGAAAGTACACTACCAATTCTTTTAAAAAAAAAAAATTCTTTTTCCTTGTGTTAAGGTGCTGAGGCACTGAAATACTAATTCTTTTTTTTTTTTTTTTTTGAGACAGAGTTTCACTCTTGTTTCCCAGGCTGATGTGCAATGGTGTCATCTTGGCTCATGGCAGCCTCTGCCTCCCGGGTTCAAGCGATTCTCGTGCCTCAGCCTCCCGAGTAGCGAGATTACAGGCATACGCCCAGCTAATTTTTTTGTATTTTTAGTAGAGATAGGGTTTCACCATGTTGGTCAGGCTGGTCTTGAACACCTGACCTCAGGGGATCCGCCTGCCTCAGCCTCCCAAAGTGCTGGGATTACATGGGATTACAGACGTGAGTCACCATGCCTGGCCTGAAGTACCTTTTTTTTTTTTTTTTTTTTTTTGAGATGGAGTCATTCTGTCACCCAGGCTGGAGAGCAGTGGCGTGATCTCGGCTCACCGCAACCTCCACCTCCCGGGTTCAAGTGATTCTCCTGCCTCAGCCTTCTGAGTGGCTGGGATTATAGGTGCGCACCACTACACCTGGCTAATTTTTGTATTTTTAGTAGGGACGGGGTTTTGCCATGTTGCCCAGGCTGGTCTCGACCTCCTGACCTCAGGTGATCCGCCCACCTCAGCCTCCCAAAGTGCTGGGATTACAGGTGTGAGCCACTGCACCGGCCAAAGTACCAATTTTTAAAGGGGATTTATATAATACTTTTTATATTGCCTGGAGCCATTGAGTTTTGTTATAAGACACATGTTCTCCATGTCTAACATCTATTTACACAACAGACCAAGTTGATTTTAAGGAACTTTTTTTTTTTTTTGGAGACAGGGTCTTGCTCTGTCACCCAGGCTGGAGTGTAGTGGCACAATCTTGGCTCACTGCAGCCTCGACCTCCCAGGCTCAAGCCATTCTTCCATCTCAGCCTTCTCAATAGGTGGGACCACAGGTGTGTGCCACCATCCCTGTCTAATTTTTTGTATTTTTCGTAGAGACCAGTTTTTGCCATTTTGCCCAGGCTGGTCTCGAACTCCTGTCCTCAAGTGATCTGCCCACCTTGGCCTCCAAAGGGCTGGGATTACAGGCCTGAGACACCTCGCCAGCCGACTTTAAGTAACTTGACAATCTAAGTTGACACTAGCATTCTTAGGTTCCTAAATGCATGTTTTAGTCTCCTTTAGAACTTAAATGTATTTTTTAAATATATGATTTGCCTTCACAGACCAAAAGATCACGAATTGCAAGCTAGGTTGTCAAGGGTCTTTAAATCCTCCAATTATGCTTAGATTTTTGTAGATTTGATTTTTTTATCTGGGACTCAACTGTGGCTCTCAATCTATCATTTATGGGGTCTTAATTTAAAACTTTGGTATGTTAAGAAGGCCATTTTCATGTAAGGACTTATCTGAACTCCCCTAAGTGGGATACAGTCTCCTAATTTAAGTCTCCAGTTTTATATTTGTGTTGCCCATGGGACACATTAAAGGAAGTTTCTGCTTTGATAGTATTTTTCCTGCTTTACAGAATTCAAAACACAGGGTGGAGATTTTTCAAGTTTGATTTACTTTTTAATATTGGTCAATTTTTCAAAGATAAAAGCCCCGCATTCTTCCATTTGCACTGAATCTAATCCATAAGAAACATGTATCACAGGATTTCCTTCCTCCCTTCTTAACAGAGAAAGGAAGGTGCTGCTTCTGTCAGATCCAATCTCTTAGTTTATTTTTCCTCCTTTGAACCAATTGTGCTGAGCTGCTTCATGTCTCTGAGTACTGACTCCAAGAATATCAAGCTTCTGCTTTGTAACCCTAATATTGTGATTTCAAGCAAGATTTTCTAGATGCTTGGTATCAAAGCAAGTTTCTAATGGCGCCACAACTGTCCTTGAATCACCTGAACCAGCAGTGTCAAAGGAATGCATAGACAAGCCTTATAAATTCTATAATGTTTAAACTGAAAAGGACTCCTGGAGGTCTGTTTTCTAGGCTAGTCTTCATTTAGAGACCTGATTTCCCAGAACTTTCTGGAGGAGCCTTGGGAAACCTCAGCTCAAATTTCCTGAAATTGGCAAATGCCCTCAGAGTCAAAATGGCTTCAGCCCTCCATTTACATTTATGGGTTCTAATTTTCACTTTGATTTTTGCCTCGCAATTCCTTACAGCTCTTCCTGTCAGCTCTTCCATGACATTTACCTGGAGCAGAACACCATTCATTCTTAGGGTGGGGGTGGGGATGGGGTAGCGTTTTCTATTATAAACAATTCAAACACGAAAAGATTATAGAAAATAATAAGATACACATCTGTATCCCTACCAGCATCAGATACATGCTAAATTCTTGCCAGATTAGATTCCAGTATCTCCCTCAGTCAAGGTAAACAGTTAATTATTTCTACTGTTTCAACAATGTCACACTACACATCCCTGTGCATGTCGCCTTGAACCACCTATGCAAGATGGGCAGCTGAGGAAGGGATGAGCAATGGGCTGTATTTGCAACATTTTTAAAAATTCACAAAATGGAATACTCTCCAGAAGTAAAAATAAATGAACGAAATCTACACAAGTTAACATGGATTAACCTCAAAAACATGACGAGTGAAAAAGCAAATTAGAAAACAATATGTAGTGTAATAACATTCTATACAAAATTTAAATCCACTAAACAGTAATATATATTGTCTATGTTGCATGCATTTGTAGTAAAACCATGCATGGTGTACTAGCAGTGGTGAACACTGGATTCAAACCAAATCTCCAAATCCTGGCTCATTCCATTCCGCCATGTGGCTGCTATCTCAGTGTATATGGGGTGGGTATCCTGAATTGCTGGATCCTCTTTGTGTCCACACTGATAACTGGACAGCTTAAGATTTGTTTTTCTGGCCAAGTGTGGTGGCTCACATCTGTAATCCCAGCACTTTGGGAGGCCGAGGCGAGGGGGATCACCTGAGGTCAGGAGTTCAAGACCACCCTGACCAACGTGGTGAAACCCCATCTCTACTAAAAATACAAAAATTACCCAGGCATGGTGGCATTCGCCTGTAGTCCCAGCTACTCGGGAGGCTGAGGCACGAGAATCACTTGAACCTGGGAGGCAGAGGTTGCAGTGAGCCAAGATTACACCACTCGACTCCAGCCTGGGCAATAGAGCGAGACTCCGACTCAAAAAGAAAAAAAAAAAGATTTGCTTTTCTTGTGAAGTTAATTGGCTATCCTAGAGGTCAGTTATTTTCCATTTAGTGCTTTTAACTAATAATGTAATATATGCCCAGAGTAATAAACTTGTCATTATCCTCTACTGTATGTTTAGTCATTTACTGTATACCTGTGCTTCATTCTTCAATATGAAATCTGACTATTCTTTCTCAGTGAAGTTTTTGATTATTCTTTTGTTTATTATAGTGACTGCTGCAACCTGGCCCTAAAGTTCAGTTTAAAGCTCTGCCTGTGGACTGAAACCCACTGGTACCAAGGATTGCAGTTCATATTATAACTGGCTCCGAACCCTTGCTTTTTTTCTGAATCAGAAAAATGGCACCAGCTACTTCTCTGCTTATTGAAGGGATGAGGAGACTTATTCAGGACTTCTCCCTGAACCCTCCAAAGAGGCATTTAATCTAAAAGGATCTTGTGAGATCTCCATTCTTAAACATCATTAAAATAGATCAGAAAATTATCAGTGTATAGTGATTATGTTATAATGCAGCTGGAGGCAGAGTTTGAGTAAATGGACTCCTGAGAGCCTTTTGAGCTGTAAAATTCTAGAATTCAAGCCCTTGCTTAAAAGGATTTAAAGAATGTTTATGTCCTAGCCCTTTAAAAAAAAGTGTTTGCCAGGCATGGTGGCTCATGCCTGTAATCCCAACAGTTTGGGAGGTCAAGGAGAGAGGATTGCTTGAGCCCAGGAGTTTGAGACTAGCCTGGGCAACATAGTGGGAACCTGTATCTACAAAATAAAATTAGCCATGTGTGGTAGTACACGCCTGTAGTCCAAGTGACTTGGGAGGCTGAGGTAGGAGGATCACTTGAGCCCTGGAGGTTCAGGCTGCAGTGATCTGTGATTGTGAACCGTGATCCTGCCAGGCACTCCAGCCTGGGCAACACAGAGAGAATTTCTCTCAAAATAAATAAATAAAGTTTATGTCCTAGATGGATAATATTAGGTAATTTTATTTGCAGTACATTCTTCAATAGCTACTCTTTTTACTGCTAACACTATGGTTTACATAAGAATATTAACATATAAAGTTTCGTAATTTGTGTTCTGAGTTATAACAGTAGTAAGCATTAAAGAATTTTATGACTTTTTATTTTCAGGTGTAAACGTCCTACTTCGGGGCAACTTGCCAGAGATAGAAGAGAGTACAGATGAAGATGTGTTAAATATCTCAGCAGAGGAGTGTATTAGATAAATGGAATTATGATATATATGATATACAAACTTTTTTCTATTTAAAAATATATTAATGGATCAACTTTAAAATTGTTAGTTGCCAGTGATCTTTTTTGGAAAACAAAAATGGGGCATTTGTTGATTTATTTATTTTCTGTCTCTAATTAGTTACCTCAGTTTGATTGAAGCCAGTGGAGTTGTGCTTTTCCTCTACTTCTACTTCCTCTCCCCCACCTTTTTCTGCCCAGTGTAGGTGTATTCTTAAATTCAGACGGGAAGATTCTTTCACATATCACTCAGTTACCTCCCAATCTGGGGGAGTTTTTCTTACAACTTGATACCAGATACCATTAATTTTACATTCCTGAATAAAGGCCTAGTACCCACGCATATTTCAACCATGCATATATCAAGTTCAACCGAGTTTTAATAGGGGATTAAAAAAACAAGCTGTTAGGTTTCCATGGGCACTGGTTCTCATAGGTTCTATTGGTGATAACTGCTTTAACATGGAGCAAGAGTTTGTGAATCAGGAAATAGAATAAATTAAAATTTAAAATATATAGAGGAATCCTCTTGATTGCTCAGCATGATGTTAGATAAATGAGTTTGTCAGAAAATATCAGTATACGCTGTTTACCAATGTTATTTATTTACATTCTTCTAAAGCCATTATGGATATTGTATTATGAGAGCTAAACCTAAATAAGTTATCCTGTTCCCTAGGACCTTCTCTGTAAATAGTGAATTTTAGACGAGTAGTCTGTCCTAAATCTTAAATAGAAAAAAAAACTAAAGCGATTTGCTTAAGCCATTGTACATTATAAAGAGCTGTTTTGTTTTGCTTTGCTTTGCTTTGTTTTGTTTTTTTTAAAGCTGCATTCAGAGCCACAAAGGAATAGGAAAGTAGGGTAGTGTTGGATTCTGGTTTTATGTAACTCTAAAATAAATGTATCTCTTTAATATCTCAGTTGTAGGGATTTTGTCAATACCAAAGCAGACTGAGTTGTGGTTTTGTAAATAAAGTTTTTTCTAAAAATGACCATTCTTCCTTTAATTTTTTGTTATGCCCACATATTGTATGTAAAAATATAAATAAATGGTACTTAAAGTATAGAATATAAGGCTAATGTTTATTGAATACTTACCATATGCCAGACACTGTTCTAAGTGCTTTAGACGTTTAACTCCTCACAACAAACCTATGAGGTAGGTACCATTATTATTCCTTTTTTTTTAAACTGGTAAATCAGGTGAGACAGAGAGAAGTTAAGTAATTTGTTTAAGGTAGCATAACCGGTTAGAGGTGCTCAGACAGAAGACTGACTCCAAAAGCTCCTGCTCATATGATTTATTTATGGTCTTACTTAGCCGCGATACCTGCTGGGTAACTAACTACATTGTTATGTGCCCTAGATGAGGGCAGAAGTGACTGATTTGAAGGTTGAATAAACTCATGCAGGGTCTTAGGGTATAAGTGACCTGAGGGCATTGAAAGAATCATTTGCCACAAACCAAGATAAAAGGTGCTTCAGGAAATGCTATTACTCCCTCCTGGAAAACGTTTCCAAAAATCTTTCACACCAACCATTAACACTGACAGAAGGCCATCAAAAGAACCAATGGAATGAGTATGGAATAATTTGTTTTGCGATTTGGTTTTTTGGGTGTGTGTGTGTGTGTGTGTGTGTGTTGTAACCTCAAGTTCTTAGGTGAGCATAATCTATAAGAGAAAAAATATATATATACTTCTTTGGTTAACTTGCTCAACTAGAGAAGAAAAGTTTAATACTAGACTAGGAAATGTGGCAAATTTAAAATTCAATAGAGTTCATCTGGTTTCCGTTCAGCTCATGCCTTCAAAGGCTATGGTTGACCTAGGGTCTCTCTGAAAAGCAAAAGCAAGACAGAGGTGCACTGATTGAAGCAAGCCCCAAATGTGATTCTACTCCAGCTGGGGAATATTTCAAATTACTCAACTACCTTTGGTTAACTGGATTATGGGAAAGCCAATTCTAAACAGAAAGCTGATTAATAAAGTTTTATCTAAAGAAATATATTCATGACACTAGTGTGGTTTGAGGGTTTTTTGTTGTTGTTGTTGTTTTCTTTAGAGACAGGGTCTCGCTTTGTTGCCCAGGCTGGAGTGCAGTGGTGTGATCATAGCTCACTGCAGCTTTGAAGTCCTGGACTCAAGCAATCCTCCTGCCTCAGCCTCCCCTGTAGCTAGGACCACAGGCATGCACCACACCTGGCTAAATGACACTGGTTTGTGGGGCTTTTTTTGTTTGTTTGTTTGTTTGTTTGTTTGTTTTTGAGAGAGGGTCTCGCTCTGTTACCCAGGCTGGAGTGCAGTGACATGATCTCAGCTCACTGCAACTTCCACCTCCAGGGTTCAAGCGATTCTCATGCCTCAGCACCCCCGAGTAGCTGGGACTACAGGCATGCACCACCATGCCTGGCTAATTTTTGTAGTTTTAGTAGAAGGAGTTTTGCCATGTTGGCCAGCCTGGTCTTGAACTCTTGGCCTCAAGTGATCCACCAGCCTCGGCCTCCCAAAGTATTGGGATTACACGCATGAGTGTGAATCCAACACTGTTTTTGGGATTTTTTTTTTTTAGATGCAGTTTCACTCTTGTTGCCCAGGCTGGACTGCAATGGTGTGATCTTGGCTCACCACAACCTCCGCCTCCCAGGTTCAAGCAATTCTCCAGCCTCAGCCTCCCAAGTAGCTGGGATTACAGGCACGTACCACCACACCCAGCTCATTTTGTATTTTTAGTAGAGATGGAGTTTCTCCATGTTGGTTAGGCTGGTCTCGAACTCCTAACCTCAGGTGGTCTCCCGCGTTGGCCTCCCAAAGTGCTGGGATTACAGGCATGAGCCACTGTGCATGGCCTGTCAACACTGTTTTTAAATAAAAGCAAATTACATTCACTCTGGTAAGACCAAAGCAGAATCACATACATGGATTTAGGATACACCTTCTACTCCTAGTATAATTCCTAGGCCTAGAAGATCCATCTATTCTTTGGTCCTCTTTTAATATTTCATTCAATTCAACACACCTGTATTATTCTCCAATAGTGTGGCAAGAATTGTACAATGACATGCTCACACTTGCCTTCAGGGAGTACACAGTAAGTTGAGGAAAGGATAGAACTCTGTGAGTCCATTTATTTCATTGGGTTAAGTGATTTAACAAAGGCATGCTTAAAGTGCTATGACTCCAGAGATGAAAGAGCAATCATTCTGAGTAGCAGGAGAGAGTGGGAGTTGAGCAAGAGAGCATAGGAATTGAGAAAGCTACTGAGAAGAAATGATACTTGAGGCAGGCTTTGAAGCAGTTAGGAGTTGCCAGCTGGGATGAGAGTTTTAAGCAGAGGGAATAGTGTAAACAAATTGATGGGAATTTAAAAGTATCTTGCTTATTTGGGAAGTTCTAAGTTGTCCCCCATACCTTCCAAGACATGTAATAAAAATTAATTCGGCCAGGCATGGTGACCCACACCTATAATACCAGCACTTTGGGAGGCTGAGGAGGAAGGATTGCTTGAGGCCAGGAGTTTGAGACCAGCCTGGGCAAGATAGTGGGAACCCATCTCTACCAAAAAATACAAAAATAAGCCCAGGGTGATGGCACAGGCTTGTAGTCCCAGGTACTTGGGAGGCTGGGGCAGGAGGATCACTTGAGCCTAGGAGGCTGAGGCTGCAGTGAGCCATGATTGGACCACTCCGCTCCAGCCTGCGTGACAGAGTGAGACCCTGTCTCAAAAGTTAAAAAATAAATAAATTTTTTTTAAAAAAAGAATTAATTACAAGGTGAAGTTAACAAGGAAGGTTATATGTTATGAAGAATATTCTACTATACGATTGTAAGTTTAGACTTGGTCCAGTAGCAATGTGGAGTTATTGAAGTTTTTAAGCAGGAGAATAAAATGATCAGATTGAGGATGATGGCTCTGATGGTAAAGTATAATCAAGTTTAGCTTTCCTAATGTCCTTTCTTTGATGCACTTAACAATTTGACCATGGAAATTAAACTTACTGCCTTTACCCTAAGAACCCATGTAGTTCTTCAAGTTCTCGGAATTTCTTGGGTTTCATGGAGCCTCTAGTCTGCAGTAGGGCATTGCCTTTTTTTTTCCCCTTTTCCATTTTGTCATTCTTGCAGTTCAAGGAAGGGGCAGTGAGTCATCAGCTCACCCGCCATGACATTTCTGCTACTTTATCTTTCTCCTTAAGCTAGTTTCTCAACCTCAAACTTAGCCTCTGAGGAGGCATCTTGGGTGGAGCCTAATCTTAAAGACATACATTTTAAATAATCAATGGTTCTGAAAACCAGGTCCTTAAGTATTAGCAATTGAGAGAGATTACCCAAAAAGAACACTCTTTTGACCTCTGAGTCACATGTGGCTGGTTAAGAATAATCTATATTGTTTAACTTTAGTGAGGAAGTGACCATGATATATAAACCATGATCTAGAAGACAACTAACCACAACACAAATACGGAGTGAGGGGAGGTAGGTGAGAATATGGATCAAATAGTTTTGATTCAGTAGTGAATTGCTCGATGAAAGCTTTCCCTATTTTAACATTCCTGCTTATAAAAGGAAATAGTTTCCTTTTCTGCCTTTTTTTTTTTTAACTTTAAAAGCAGCCTAAACCATAGTTTCTTTCTTGCCTGGTATTGAGCGTATGCCAAATCTACCCTAAACTGCACAGATGGAAAAAATTAGTCTATGTCTGTGGTACCTCTGGGGTTGAATATTTTTAGTACCGAAATCTTTAGCTAAAGATTCCTTTTTCCAACACTCTCAAAGAATCCCTTTATTGTCATCCAATGGAAAAACTTACTGAGATAGAAATTAACTATATCATGCTTTTGTATATTCCTTTACAGTTTATTAAGAGCTTTCACATGCAGTGTCATTTACTCCTCAGAATAACCTTGGGAGCTATCATTCCCATTTTACAAATTAAGAAAGAGTCCAGGCATGGTGGCTCACGTCCGTAATCCCAACCCTTTGAGAGGCTGAGGCCAGAGGATCACCCGAGGCCAGGAGTTTGAGACCAGCCTGGGCAACAAAGTGAGGCCTAGTGTCTACAAAAATTTTAAAAATTAGCCAGGTGTGGTGGCGCGTGCCTGTAGTCCAGCTACTCAGGAGGCGGAGGTGGAAGGATCACTTGAGCTGGGACATCAAGGATGCAGTGAGCTGTGATTGTGCCACTACATTCCAGCCTGGGTAACAAAATGAGACCCTGTCTCAAAAAATAATAATAATAAGTAAATAAATAAATGAGCAAATTAAGAAATAAAATCCTGATTGCAATACCCAGAGAGTTGGAAGAATCTGAACTTCAATCAGGCTTCTCATCTTAGTTTAGGGTTTTCTTCTACCTCCCTGACTCTAAACTGCTGTCCATTTTTCCCTCACTAGCTATAAAACTTAGGAGAAATTTCCTTTGACTTTCAACCTCAAAGCCCAGTTATTTTTCATTAACCAGTTAGTTCAACGAATATTTATTCAGTGCCTACTATGGGCAAAATAGATGCTGAGGCTGCAGAACTAAGCAAGACAGAATTGCTGCTGTCATGTGGAGCTGACTTTCTAGTTGAGGGTAAAGAAGAAAATGAGTTACCATTGATAGAGGGCTTACTGTGTGCCAGGCATTGTTCCAAGTGCTTCACATGTAACCCCTAACTGATGGATCCTATCCTCCCCATAGAGATCAGGAAACTGAGGCACAGAGAGGTTAAAGAACTTGTTCGTGGTCACCCAGCTAGCAAATGACACCACTCTAAGATTTGGAAAGCCCAGAATTAAGTAGCTTAATAACTGTGCTTTCTTTTTCTTTTTTTCCTTTTCTTTTTTTTTTTTTTTTTTTTTTTTGAGATGGAGTCTTCCTCTGTTGCTCAGGCTGGAGTGCAGTGGCGTGATCTCAGCTCACTGCAACCTCCACCTCCTGAGTTCAAGCAATTCTCCTGCCTCAGCCTCCTGAGTAGCTGGGATTACAGGCACATGCCACAATGCCCGGCTAATTTTTTTGTATTTTTACTAGAGACGGTGTTTCACCATGTTGGCCCAGCTGGTCTTGAACTCCTGACCTCAAGTGATCCACCCACCTCGGCCTCCCAAAGTGCTGGGATTACAGGCATGAGCCACCGTACCCGGTTCTTTTTATTTTTCAATGCAGTTGTCTTCCATTCAAATAAATAAAACAAATAAAAATTTAAAAATTAAATACAAATAAAATGTAAAAATAAAAGTTTTCCATTAGCAATCTTCCTGTACACATCTTTTCCTATTAGAGCTTAGTTGATTTTTGTTTTAAATTGAGATGGGGACAACAACATCTCCCTTTTCAGTAAGGGAGATTTGGTTTATCTGTAAACAATAAAAATGCTAGTCTTATACACTATAGAGAAAGAAAAAAATTATGCAAAACTCTTACTTTGCAACTTTGCTGTTCTATCTAGAAACAAAGTCTTTTTTACAAGTCCAGATTTTTATCTTACAAGCAACAAAAGTTTACAGCAGAGTAAATAAGCTCTTTAAGCTATTTGTATGTCTCAAATATTTCATAATAAAAAGTGAATTAAATGACTGCCTTTTGCAAATTGCTCTAATCTCAGCCTTCTTTATAAGCTTGTATTTAAAAATCTATTCATATGGAATTTCAGAAGCAGCCTTGCCTTAAAAGAGCACTACTGAATCTTCATAACAAGATTATGTATTTGTTATGTGGAAAGCAAAAATAGGTATCAAATTCATATTCGAATTTTGCATTTTGAGACTTACAGAGGAATGGGTTGACAAATAGCTGACGATTAATTGGATCTGCTAAATATGGGCACCAATGAAGTGTACCCACCAGAATGCATCTCTACACCTCCGTTCACACAAATCACTTCCTCTGGAAAGGCGCCCGTGGTAAAAGTAGGCATATGGGAATGATTCACTTGGGGAAAGTTGTACCCAGAATATCAAAACAGTTTGCTTTCTGTCGCTATATTCTTGCCATAATTTTTCTACCCAAAGGAACCACCTGCTATTATGGCTGTGACACCTGAAAAGCTTTCTGTATATTGCAGGAGATTGCTCATGTGTGGGTGGGTTTTCAGGCTGTTCAGTGGTATTTTAAAAAATAGTTCTTTGGGGAAAATATTCTCAGAGACTGGAACATTGCCTTGTCTTATCAAAATTGCTCTGTAGTCATGTTCACAAATACCTTCAAACATTGAGCTACAGATGGAATTCAGTAGAAGACATACTGAGCTAATTTCCTTTGTGTGACATTACCCAGAGAAATCAAGCTGTCAGTATCCTGAAGAACAAGCCCTCAAAGTGAGATGGTGGCCAAAGCCATAGGAAGCAGAAATGACTGAAGGGCTTGCCCTTCAAAACCTTCTTCCCATTCTCCCAAATTCATCTTTTCCAATTAAAATTTATTACAAAAAAAAACCAAATAGACTCAGCTTGTCTGACTTGGGATGGTTGTACACTTATAGTAAAGATGGTAAATATTGGGCTGAAAAAAATCCTGAATCCTAGATCTTTCTTGATATTCCAGAATATATTCATAAAAGAGAATTACTGAAAGAGAGTTTTAGGCATACAGAATTTCATACTTTGGGCGAACTAGAGACAGTCATTTCTAAGTTATGCCTTTGCTTTATCAAACTTTAGTTCAATCATTTAACAAATATTTAATGAGCATCTCTTTTGTGTGAACACTATTGTGAGCGTTACGCAGTGAACAAAGCATTTTTAAAAAAATTCTTTCTTCTATGCCTACCCACAGTGCCTAGGCCAAAAAGCTAAAAGTGGGCTGGGTGCGGTAGCTCATGCCTGTTAATCCCACACTTTGGGAGTCCAAGACAGGAGGATTGCTTGAGCCCAGGAGTTCGAGACCATTCAGGGCAACAAAGTGAGACCCCAGTCTCTAGAAAAAATCAAGAAATTAGCGGGGCATGGTGACATGCACATGTGGTCCCAACTACATGGGAGGCTGAGGTGGGAGGAAGGTCTGAGCCCAGAAGCTCAAGGCTGCAGTGAGCCATGTTTGCACCAATGCATTCCAGCCTAGGCAACAGAGCAAGACCCTGCCACAAAAAATAAACATAAAAAATAAAAAAGCTAAAAAGATTCTCTTGCAGCTAGGGGTTTATATAATTTACTTTTTGCTAGTTATATGCATTTGCATAAGTCTTGATTTCAGAACAAACTTCAGTGGGGAAAAGGTGGTCACAGCACTTTATCCATTTTGCTATCTAAAATTGATCTGTGGTATGATTCTGAAGCCAACAGACTTGTGGAGACTTCCTGATGTCCAGAGCATGACTAAGATAGTGTGTTTCTGAAGCTAGAAAGTGGTTGATGGCTTCTTGATCCTTAGCTTTCAGACTATGGTAGGAGCGGCGATTCTTCTAACAGGGCAGTTCTGTGGTGTTATTCTGTGAGTCATTCCTGGAGGCCACATTTACAGCCTGCCCCACCAACCCTCCAATGGTTTTGCAATCCCTAAATTTAGTGACATTTCAGTTATCTCTTGCTGTGTAATAAGCACCCCAAAAACTTAGTTTGGCTGGGCAATTCTGCTGATCCTGCCTGGCTCCACAGGCAGGTGGGTGTATTCAGCTGTCAGTGGCCCTACTTTGTCTCACTCGTATGTCTAGGATTTTGGCAGGGATGCCTTGAAAGGCTGAGACCTCTCTCTCCTATGGTCTCTCATCATTCAGTAATCTAGCCTGAGCTTCCTTACAGGACGGCTGCTTTCTTCTAAGAGGGTGAGAGTGGGAGCCGCAAAGCCTCTTAAGGCTAGGTCTGGAAGTGACACAGCATCAGTTCTGCCTCTTTCCATTGGTCAGAATTAAACCGAGGGCTAGCCCAGATTTACAAGGAGAGAAAAATAGACTTCATCTCTTTATGGGAGTTGTGGCAATTGCAAAAAGGTGGGTGAAACAGGAAGGATTTTTGTAACATCAATCTACCACAACTGTTTTGAATCCCTTTCTGCTTCAAATAGCTAGAATGGCTTCTGTTATCTGCAAATGAACTCTGGCTGATACAGAAAACATGCAGTGGGACCAGATAAGAGGCTGCTATCAGAAGTGTGTACATTAGCTGATAAATGAGACTTACCAGCCCGTTTCTGGATTATTGTCAGTTTCTTTACTGACGATACCCTATTCCATCCCGACGTGTCCTTGTTTGAATTGATTGAAATCTTTCATTTATTTCCACTAATGCCAAATGTGTAGCTGTGAGTATACAATATATCAAGTCTATAATATAATATATATTATATAATCAAAACATCATATTTTGATAGCAGCCTCCTATCTGGTCTTCGAGATAGAGGAAGATTTGGGGCATATTTTGAAAGTAGAGCTGACAGTACTCTGATGGATTGGAAATGAATATGAGAGAAAGTGAGGAAGATGCCAAGGATGCAGTCAACAGTGACTTCAAGGTTTTATGGTAATCATGGTGCTATTTATGGAGATGAAGAAGGACAAGTTTGGAGAGAAAATTCAAGAGTTTGTTTTTGAATATGCCTATTAAATGTCAATCAGGCAGTAGGGTATAGGATTCTGGAGTTTTAGGGAAGAGGTGTGGGCTGTGGATATAAATTTGAGAGCCATCTGCATACAAAAAGACATTTAAATATGAGAGACTTGATTTGATTAACAAGGGAGAGGTGTAGGGAGGGAGATACTGAGCACAGCACTGTTTAGACTATGGAAGATAGATGAGTAGGCTCCATTTCAGTGTATACAGGAATCCCTGGAGACACTTGCTAACAATGTAGATTCCAGGGTCCTAGTCCCATAAATTCTGATTCAGGTCTAATATTGAGGCCTGGCAATCTGCATTGTCAACAATGCAGCTTATCCTGAAGTGGGTAATCTGGGAATATCCTTTGAAAAACACTGAAATAGACTACCAACATCTATGAAAACATTTACGGGTGCTTAAATTTCAGGATGTTTCTTTTCTTTCTCCCCATTTCCTCTCATCCATTATGCATGAAAGACTTCTGCAAGATGCCAAGAGGGGAACTTGGGCTTTTTCTTTTTTCTAATTGCCTTTTACAGAGTGATGGAAAGTTAACTACGAACTCCTGCGGGGAAAAGAAGAGACGATCTAGGCCTAAAAATCGTGTCTACTCTCCAAGAGAGGTATATTCTCCTTTAAACACCCAATTTGATGCCCAGTGGTAACACTTTATGAAGCAAGACCAAGAGCAAAGTCAACATTTCTTTGTTCCTTAATTATAAGCAGCATGTGCACCTTGCATATCTCAGCAAGTGATAAACAGTCATACTCCCCCAAATATTGAATGGAGGGTTGAGAAGATTAGATGAAAAACAAATGCTTAACAGCCTGTGGTAGATTTTGCTTTCCTATCTCTCAAAATTAATGCTGATTAAGCCTCTGTAAAGGGAAAATGCCCCTCCCTGTTTATACCATCATTTATACAAGACTGAATTCTTATTGACAGTGAACCTGTATTTCTAAAATATATAAATATGAAAATATGTTCACTCCTGTCTAGTCTGAGATTGTGAATCAAATGTTGTGTTGGTGGTAAAATTCTACAGACATAGTCTCCTCTTTTGCAGTTCAGTGGTTGCAAGAGGGCCTGAAGCTGCAGTAGCCATGTGCTGTAATAATGATTGCATTGATTAAGTGCCAATTACTTCTGGAGACTTTTCAAAGGCCTCTGCTGCAGAGTTGAAACTAGGCTTTCTGTCTGATATTAGATACATCTCTAATGCTAGGTGATGGCTGGTTTGGGATCTCTGGCAATTACTTCTGTCATGTACTTTAATCAACAGCGTGCCTACTATTATAACAAGTCCCCACACCCACTGTGAAGCATTACTCAGACTCTCTTTCCCTTAACCCCCACCCTGCTCACATGAACCTGAGCTTCTGATCCGTAGATGATTAAGTTGCTCTGGTGAATCACCCTCAGTGGGATGGGACAGCCTTCCAACCAGAGCCAGATCTTTACCACAACCAAGTGCTTGTCTGGAGGGATGATGAATCCTACGGGCCCAGCCAGAGGTCAAATTACCTGTCTAGCTATTCTGCTGGGTATCAGTCTTCTGGTAGGCATCCTATTTAGCACATGCTTCCATTAGCAAATATTTAGGAAGGACCTATGCTTGCATATAGTTCCCCGAAAAATTATTTGCAACTAAGTTTTGGATCTAATCACCATCATTGGCTGATTTTGCCACCATCTTTGAAATAGTTGGCAGACTGTGATAGAACGTTGATGGACTGAAAGTTGAGCTAAAAGAGTGACTAAGTCACCAACTTGCTGTGTGACCTTGGGCATTTATTTCAAAACAAGGGGATTGTGCAATACATTTTCTGAGATCCCGTCCAACTCTAGCACTCGGTGGATTAATTTCATTTTTGCAGTGAGCTTCTTATTCATTTGCCAGAGGCAATTGAACTAATTCACTAGGGCTGCCATTCAAAGTTCTTCAAACTGGGTGACTTAAGCAACAGAAATTTATCTTCTCACAGTTCTGGAGGCTGGGAACCCAATATCGAGGTATTAGCAGAGTTGGTTGTTTCTGAGGGAAGTGAGGAAGGAATCCATTCCAGGCTCCTCTCCTTGGCCTGTAGAGGGCCATCTTCATCTTCATATGGTGTTCTTCCTTTGTGTGCATCTGTCTCCAAATTTCCCCTCTTTATAAGGATAGCAGGCATATTGGAGTAGAGATGCCCTAATGACCTCATTTTAACTTGATTACCTCTATAAAGACCCTATCTCCAAATAAGGTCACATTCTGAGGGACTGAGGGTTAGCACTTCAACATATGAATACTTGGGGGACACAATTCAACCCATAACAAAAAGTAAGTATTAAATATAGGTAAGGAATAAAGAATAATGCCTTGGTAGCCTTTAAGGCTGGTAACTGACAGGGACATGGTCAGCCAGCAAGTAAGCATAGATTGTCAAATTTATGTTGTAACTCTAATGGCTTAAACCTACATTAACACTAATTTTATCTCCACATATGGATATTGTGTAAGAGTCAGCTCTGAATTCTCTTCTACCTGAAATTTTTCAGCGTCGCCCTGCTTTCCAGTGTTATTTCATCTGTTTTTATAATTGGATGTGAAACTTCTTGAGAAAGGGTCCTATGACTCTTTAACCAATTATTGTTCAAAGGAGTCCCCAAAGTGTTAAGCAGGTAGGTCATTGTTTAATTAAATGACTCTGTTGAGGTTTGAGTGTGTTTGGCCCTCAGAGGATATAATTATAAGTAGAATATGCTTTCTTGTGCTGATATGGGTCTCCTGATTATATAATGTTATTTATATATTAAGAAGAGAGAAAAGGAATGCATTAGATTTTGATGACTTACAGCTACACATCTGGCATTAATGGAAATAAATGAAAGATTTCAATCAATTCAAACAAGGACACTTTGGGATGGAATCGGGTATCGTCAGTAAAGAAACAGACGATAATCCAGAAACTGACGATAATCCAGAAACTGACTGGTAAGTCTCATTTATCAGCAAATGTACACCCTTCTGATCACTGATCTCTTTTCCAGAGTCTCTCTAGCCTGGAAATCCACTAGGTGGAGCAAAGGATCAAGAATTACCTGCCCAAGAGCTCTCACAAGCAAATATCAACCAGTACTGCAACTATACCTTTTCCTCTATAAAACCTAGACAAAGGCTGGGGGAAAATTGAGTTTCTGAAGCTGCTTGAGATCAAATGTTCCCTGTTCATTAAAATGGACAGTGGCTCAAGGAATAAAGAAACTCAGATTTGCTGAGCTGGACATGATTACTAAATACACAGGAGGCACACCCATCTTGGACTATTTCCCCATGGCTTGGCTCTCATTACGTATTTCCTTTCTGCTTTCATTGGTGGCAGATGGAATTTGGGATAGACTTCTTATCCAAGCTCCTGTATTCGAAATATCCTGTGCTTAGATCATACATCTTTTTCCCGCCTACTCTAGGCATCCCAAAGTTCTAGTATCAACCTGGTTTCTATTTAAATATATTCTCTTTGATTCCTGGCCCTTGGATTCTAACATTTCCTTCCTTGGATTCCAATCTTGTCTTTTTTTCTGCACTTATGTGTCGGTTAGCTGAGCAGAAGCCAGGTTCTTATTTGAGGATTTTTAAGGTGTAAAAGGAGACTGTCCTTGTTTCCCTATCAGTTCTTTGTCCCTTGTGCAAAGTGTACTCTGTCTGCCTTTGCATTCAAACTGCAGTTGTTAACTGTCCTATATCTCAGTCAAAATCTGCTACCAATAGAAGGCATGGTTCATTACAATCATCATTCCATAACATGCAAGTCCAAACACTTGCAGAGGGAAACTTGAGGTAGGAGGTAAATTCCAAATCCAAAGTTATTGTTTTTCATGGCTATGACTCTGTGGCAGGATAATCTATTGAAATATTAATTTCTTTGTCTACTTTCTGTACTTTCTCTACCCCTTTGATCTAAGTGAGTTAGGTAGGCCCTTAGTAATTTCTTACCTTAGAGATATTTTGCAGAATGATCTAGCTGTCTGTAGATAAAACCTGAACTCAATGAAGATAGTATTATCAATGTCTTTGAAGGCAGCAGGAAAAGGAAAGGAGAAAATTTCCCAAGAATATAAGGAAGTTTTCAGTCTATGGGTGAGGGTGAGTAGGACTACACATGGCCGCAGGAGAGTACTGGACTGCAATGGACATGTCAGTGGTAACCAGTATGTATTGACAACTGGCAGGATCTCTGCCAAGCTTTGGTGCCATGTAAGATTCCAGGACCTTGAAAAACCCTTGCAGTGGAGAGTCCAAATAATGACTGAGATTACAATTTCTGCCAATCAAGCTGGATGGGGACTCAGAGTCAGAGTTAAGTAGGTGAAAAGCAAATGAAGAAGTGAGATATTTCTTGTACATCTGAGTTTATCTGAGTTTCCTATTGACTGCACTCAATTAAGAGTTCATCATGGAGGTCTGTGACCTCAGAGCAGTATAGAATGGTGGGTAAAGTATGGTCTCTGGAAACAGGCTGCCTGGGTTCAAATCTGAGCTCTGCTACTGATTAGGTATGAATCCTTGTACAAGTTATTCAGCTTCTCTCTACCACAGGTTTCCCCCTGTGAAGTGGGGATGATAATAGCACGTATCTTACAAGGTTGTGGTTGAAAAATCAGTACCTGACATATAGCAAAATTGAATGTAAACTGTTATTTCTATAGGGTTTTTTGCATCACTATAACGGTTGTTGAAATTTAAATTAATTTTTAAAATACACAATACACACAAATGGTACAAAAGGTTTTGAAAGAGATACAATGAAAGATAAAGGTGTACAACAAAAAATTGTTCCCTAATTTTCCTCCCCAGATGCAACCTGTGTCACTAATTGTATATTAAACAAATGAAACTCCTTACATATGTTTCTGTACCTTCCCCCTCTTAAAAATACATTGTGAAAATTGTTCTTTGATAGTATTCCATTATATCGATATATTCTAGATTATTAACTTATTGAACTAGTCTTCCTCATGGACTGGTTTTTTACTCTTACAAATAATACTGCAATAAAATCTTTGTACCTACATCTTTGAGCATGTCTGGAATATCTGTGGGATAAGTTCCTAAAAGTAGAATTACTGAATTCAAGGCTCTGTACATTATAAAATCTGATAGATACTGTCAAATTGCCCTCCATACAGCAAATTATACTCCCGAGGCCAAGGCGGGCGGATCATGAGGTCAGGAGTTTAAGACAAGCCTGGCCAACATGGTGAAACCCCATCTCTACTGAAAATACAAAAATTAGTCGGGTGTGGTGGCAGGAGCCTGTAATCCCAGCTACTCAGGAGGCTGAGTCAGAAGAATCGCTTGAAACTGGAAGGTGGAGGTTACAGTGAGCTGAGATCGTACCACTGCACTCTAGCCTGGGCAACAAGAGTGAAACTCCATCTCAAAAAAAAAAAAAAAAGAATGCCAGTGGAGGAGGTTGTTCACTTTTCTGATGTTTGCCAATCTGTTAAGTCCTCTTATAATTTGTATTTGCATTTATCTTAATAATGAGATTGAACATATTTTTCATATTTTAAAATCGCATTTCTATTTCCTTTTTGAGAAACAATCTGCTATAAAAAGCATTGTTCAGAAGTGACAATAACATATCTGATGGTTATATGAAGATCCTTCTAATCTCATCACCAGGAAAATATGTTTCTGCCATCAAAAGCTTCCTGACAGTTCCGTTATGTGATGTACTCTGAATTCTTTGTGGTTATCCCTCAACTCCACTGCACCAGGGAGCTAAGAGAAGATTTTTGTTTTAGTATATCTGGTAGTGAAAGGCACTCAGGGATCAAAGGATGAAAGTGATAAGATGCTTCCTTGGACACAGTCTTAGATGCAGTCACTTCCTCAGAGAATATGGAGAATCCAAAAGCAAAAGAACTTGAATGAATCTTTGCAACCAAGACACCCCAGTAACATCTTTCAGAGGTGAGAGAAGCAGAATCAAATTTTTAAAAATGTCTGAATAATTTAAAAATGATTACCTTGTGCTGTTATACCTACTACAGTTTTTCTGTGAAAGTGAAAAATAAGTGAAATGAGAATGGTTCAATCAAATGTCAGCCATTTATCAAAAGAACCTCAGGGAAACCATAAGCTCCTTTTTCTAGGCTGTTATCTAGAAAGGGAGAGACACCAGGAGAGCTGCACAGTCAGAGCTAACAATAATGCAAGGAAGAAGGAAAAAAATGATCAGAGGGGGCTGTTCTGTCTGACACATAACTATTTCTTTTCCAGGAAGGAAACAGTGCTAACTAGGAAGCCAAATCCAAATTTAGAGATTTAATTAATTTTCCATTTGAAAGTTACAGTTAGGATAATCAGTGTCTACTTGTGGGACACCCTCTCTGCCACCCTAAGCATCAGCACACCTGTGTGTGTAATTGACCTAGAAGGTGGGCTGTTATTCCAACCATAAGATGGATAGAATCTAAAATTTTGGGTATCATCTAGTTCATCATTTTAC
The DNA here is from genome assembly GCF_000001405.40 of Homo sapiens. NCBI lineage: Eukaryota > Metazoa > Chordata > Mammalia > Primates > Hominidae > Homo > Homo sapiens. Next base: position 143,940,342 of record NC_000001.11, on the reverse strand, counting down.
AGATGCAGGAATCTAAGATGAGAGTCAAGTGGCTTCTCCAAGTCTATGCTGTGGAGAGTGGATACCACTGCTGAAAGGGAAATGTAAGCCCTTCACCTCATCATACTATAGCATAGGGCTCTTTGCATCAGTAAAACCAGCTATGTGGCTTCTGCAGGGTTCCTATTCAAATATATGTTTACATATAAATCTATATTAGTCTGCCGGGTTGCTGATAGCAAAATACCAACAAACAACACACCAATACCAAAATGTCAACAAATACCAACAACAAACAAAATACCATAGACAAAATGTCTGTTAAACAACACACATTTAGTTCTCACAGTTCTGTAGGTTGGGAAGTCCAAGATAAAGGTGCTGACAGCTTCAGTTCCTGGTAAGGGCTCTCTTCCTGGCTTGCAGTCAGCTGCCTTCTTGCTGTGTCCTCACAGGACATAGAGAGAGCCCTGGTGTATCTCTCTCTCTCTCTTGTTTTTTCTTTCATTTTGAGACAGTCTTGCTCTGTCACCCATGCTGGAGTGCACTGATGAGAACCATAGCTCACTGCAGCCTCAACCTCCCGCCTCAGCCTCCCAAGTAGCTGAGACTATGGGTGTGTGCCACCACACTGGGCTAATTTTTTATTTTTATTTTTATAGAGATGGCGTCTCACCATGTTGCCCAGGCTGGTCTCAAACTCTGGACTCAAGCGATCCTCCTGCTTTGGCCTCCCAAAGTGCTGAGATTACAGGCAAGAGCCACTGCACCTGACTCTTTCTCTTCTTAAAAGGGCACTAATCCCATCACGAGTCTCCCACCTTCATGATCTCTTCTAAATCTAATTATTTCCCAAATGCCCCATCTCCAGATACCATCACGTTGGCAGTTAGGGCTTCAACATATGAATTTGGGAGGGGAGGGAACACAATTCATTCCATTGCTCTTCCTCTGTGTGTATTCGTTGTTGTTGTTGGCCTCCTCCCCCAAGGAAGAAAGCTCCACAGATTTCGTCTGTTTCACTGACTTTAGTATACTCATCAGCCAAAACAGCAGCCACACCTATATTCAATAAACATTTATTGAATGAATGGATTTACTGAGTGCTTGCTCTATGCCATACACTGTCCTAAGCACTTTAGATTAACTTTTAAAATCCTTATAATGGCCTTATAAGCTAGGTACTATTGCTCCCTTCATTTATACATGAGGAAACTCAGACATGGAGGGGTTAAATAGTTGCCCTGGTTTCATAGGAGACAGAGCCAAGGTTGTGAAATAAGGAAGCCTAGCTCCTTAGCTCATTTTCTTTTCTTTTCTTTTTTTTTTTTTTTTTTGAGGTGGAGTTTTTGCTGTTGTTGCCCAGGCTGGAGTGCAAGGGTGCGATCTCAGCTCATTGCAACCTCCGCCTCTCAGGTTCAAGCAATTCTCCTGCCTCAGCCTCCTAAGTAGCTGGGATTACAGGCATGCACCACCACCCCCAGCTAATTTTGTGTTTTTAGTGGAGGCAGGTTTTCACCATGTTGGTCAGGCTGGTCTCGAACGCCTGACCTCAGGTGATCCACCCGCCTCGGCCTTCCAAAGTGCTGGGATTACAGGCATGAGCCACCGCACCCGGCCCTTTAACTCATTTTCTTATCCATTACACGATGCACAGAGTATTATTTTCCCCCAAAGCTACTAGGAGGTGCCTATAGAGTTTAAAATTTGCATAAATGTAAAGTACAATGTTGGCTAATGTGTTGGCTTTTTTCCCTAATATTTCATAGTTTCTAGAAATCTTTCTGATTATAATACCTAAATTCTTGCATATAAAAGCTATCCTGGTGAGGACAGTGTTTCTCCTGCACTGTTGTTATCCAGGCTTATATTCTAGGTGTGTATTACTGGGTCTAGTCCTGTGTTTCTGGTAGCCAGGGGACAGGTTCCCTCCTACTCAGATCCTTCCTAACACAGTATTACCATTGACTTATTTTTCCATTCTCAGAGGCTGCTCATCGTTGTAAAAAGTGATAATAAGTTAGGTTATTCATGGCACTTGGAGTTGGGGTGGGGGCAGAGGGCGGTGGAGAAGATCTTTAGAGGTGTACCAATAGCAAAACATGATACAGCTGTGTTTTGAGATAAAATGTCATCTTACTGGTCAGGATGGAAATTCCAAGAATATTAAATAAATTTCAAGTTTACTCTGGGTTGGGCACTTTTATATTTTATGTTGTAATTCTTACTTAACCTTGAGATGTGGGTATGGAAAAGAAGCTGACGGCTCATAGCTAATAAGAGGAAGAACCGGAATTTGAAACCACGTCTGTGTGACTTCAGATGTCTGCTATTTCACTGGCCTGTTATTGCCTTCTTTCCAGGGAGAGCACCATCCCCTAAAAAAGTGAGATGGCAACGCACCTCATCCACTCTTTCAGGTAAGTATTTGCAGTTCTTAGGGATAGGAAGTGTGTGTGACCAAATCAGGAAGCGAATTATGCTACCATCATATCACAATCTGATCAAAAAGTAAAATTCATCAATGTACCAGTCATATCTCTAACCAATCTCCAATTCTTTTCTGTAGCAACTGCATAGACTCTCTCTCTCTCTCTCTCCCCACCCCCCCAGCATTGAATGGTTATCCCAGACTGAAGTGCAGTGGCACAATCATAGTTCACTGTGTCTTCGAACTCCTGGGCTCAAGCAGTCCTCTAGCCTCAGCCTCCAGAGTAGCCAGGAATACAAGCATGAGCCACCACGCCCAGCTAGTTTTTATTTTTTGTAGAGATGGGGGGTCTCACTATGTTGTCCAGGCTGGTCTTGAAATCCTGGTTTCAAGCAATCCTCCAGCCTCAGCCTCCCAAAGTGCTGGGCCCTTTTTTTTTTCCCTTTTTTAATAGCTTTATTGAGATAACTTACATACCATAAAGTTCACGCATTTAAAGCGTACAACTCAATGGTTTTTAAGTATATTTAAAGAATTGTGCATCATCACTGTAATCTAATTATAGAATATTTTCATCACTCCCCAAAGAAATTGTGTACTCATTAGCAGTCATTCCCCAGTCACCACCTCCTGAGCCCTAGACAACCACTAATCTATTTTCTGTCTTTAGATTTGCCTATTCTGAAGATTTCCTATAAATGGTTTCATGCATTATGTGGTCTTTTTGTGACTGATTTCTTTGACTTAACATAATGTTTTTGAGGTTCATCCACATTGTGGCATATATCAATACTATATTTCTTTTTGTTGCCTGCAAAGTCTCCTTTTAAAAAACCCTTCCTTTACCCATAAATGTGTTTTGAGTTTGGGCTGACCTCTCCAGTGAGCCCAGCCTTGACCAGAGCCTGTTTCCTGGCGAACCAGCTTCCACATGTGACAAGGACAACGTCAGAACAGGACAGACCAACCTTGGGTTCCTTTCCTGGCCGCTGCCAGTAGAAATCCCAGAATTTCTTCGAAGGACAAGGTGTGGCTCTGTAGATGGCAGGCAGGGAATGACATCAGGATCTGTCATGGCAGGGGCCAATGGCACCAGCTCCTCACTCTGTTTTGTTTTTGTTTTGTGTCGAGTTTAGATTTTTAGATTAAAGGTTTTTACTCAAAAGCTGCTTCTCCTCCGAAAACCATTTGAAACTTTATACAGCTGGCTGGCTCCAGAAGTTTCTGCAACCAGAAAGCTTGATTCTGCTGCCACCTGCTGTCTGAAGCCAGAAACAACTTTAGATAAGAGACCTTGTTCAGAACATGTTCGAATAAGGCATGAGTTGCAGTTCTGAAAAGGCTTTTTCCCAATGTTATGCTTATATATTTAGGTCTCTTCTTTATGTCTGTATTTTTCTGTTTTCTGCCCAAACGTTCTGATCCCTTGAAAACCCACCAAAAGAGTGTTCCACTAAAGCTTTGTCAATATGAAAAGACCCTTACAAGCTTTTTTCCTTTCTTTAATCCGGCCTCAGGTGCTACGATTGTTCATTTCTTTGCTTCTTTCCCTCTCTTACGTCCTTCTTGCCTTTCATAGGCATTTGTTTAGTGTTTATTATGTAGCAGTTTTTGTCAGGGCTGTGAAGGTATAAAATGTGAAAGACTTGGGTGATTGCCTTAGAAGAAATTACACTCTGGGTGGTGGTTATGCCCAGATAGCCAGGATGGCCTGCTGAGCGGTGAATCCCCTAGACTTTTTTCTATGAAAAAAAGGCATAATTCTGCACATATTTTTTACTTTTTTTTTAATCTTAAAATACTTTTTGGCGATCCTTCCATGCCACACAAATCTATTCCACTTTATATAGAATTTCTCTTTATTTATGAATCATGGTGAATTAAACCTTTCCCCTATCAGTGGGCATTGAGATCATCACTGTTTTACTTTTACAAACAATGCATAAGGGAACTTCCTTGTACATGTCTCTTGGAGGTACATTTCTAAGTATTTCTTTAGGATACACACCTGGAGGTAAACTTACTGAGGCAAAGGTATCTATGTTTTTCATTGTAATAGATACTGCTAAATCATTCTTTTCAAAAAGCTGTCCAATTTACGCCTCCACCATCAGATTCAGATTTCCCATTTACACACAGCAAGATGGACACTTTATATTTTCAGGCTTTAGTTTTGGCCAATCTGATGAATAAAAATTGGTATTTCATTGTTTTAATTTGTCTTTACCTGCATACTTAATAAGATTAAGAATATATTTTCATATTTTTATTGGTTATTTGTATTTTCAATTAATTGTTGATATCTTTTGCTCACTTTTTGTATATTGGTTTGTCTTTTTTTCTTATTGACTCTTAAGGTGCTCTCTATATATTCTGGAATTTTTTTTTTTTTTTTTTTTTGAGATGGAGTCTTGCTCTGTCGCCCAGGCTGGAGTGCAGTGGCACGATCTCGGCTCACTGCAAGCTTCGCCTCCTGGGTTCACGCCATTCTCCTGCCTCAGCCTCCCAAGTAGCTGGGACTACAGGCGCCTGCCACCATGCCTGGCTAATTTTTTATATTTTTAATAGAGACGGGGTTTCACCGTGTTAGCCAGGATGGTCTCGATCTCCTGATCTCGTGATCCGCCCGCCTCAGCCCCCCAAAGTACTGGGATTACAGGCGTGAGCCACCGCACGGCCTATTGTGGATTTTAAATCATTGTTGGGTTTGCTGTAGAATGGGCACTGTATGTACAATTTCTTGTTCTCACAGCAACCACGGAAGGTAGGTTTTGTCATCCTTGTGAAAGAATTGTCCTATCTGAGCCTAAATGTCCACTGGGCATGTGGGGCATGTGATCACCCCTGTCCCAAGCATATATTTGTATGATCTGATGGACAAGAGACTTTTGTGTGTACACATATGCATGTGCATGTGTGTGTGTGTGAGTGTAAGAATGGACAAAGTTCCAGTACAGGTGTCTTGGAGGCAGTGGGAAGAAGAGAGGGAGGGAAGGGAGAATGGAAGAAGAGAAGGGAGAATGGAATGGTGTAGTGCCTAGTCTCCCAGCCCAGCCTCAGTTTGGTAGAGGGAGCTGTTGGGGCGTCAGGGGCAGGCAATGGTGTTTTAGGGCCCAGGTGACAAAGCACAGTGCAAAGTGGGAGGAGAGGCATTTTTCCTGTTTCTCCTAGAACACAGCAGAACCACTTGGCAGGCCTGCTGAGCAGCAGCAGTGAAGTGTCAGGAAGGTGCCTCCTCCTGGCAGGCATGGCAGCAGTGACAGTAGCCAGGGGTCCTCCCCAAATATCTTGTCAAGAGAACGTGGGCATCTATGAGAGACCTCCTCTAGGCACCTAGAAATAACAGAGGAGATTCTGTGGTTATGCAGCCAGGAATCAATTGGTCAGCATATTCTTGTGCTGGCCTGTTACCCATGGGCATAGGTGGCCCTGGAACATTTAGCTTACATGTATGGGAGGACATTGAAGCCCAGAGAGTTTAGGTAACTTGCCCAAAGTCTTCTAGCAAATAAGTATTGAAGAAGCCAAACGTCCTACATCTTTGTAACTTTTTTTAAAATTAAAAAGTAAACTTTAATGTCAAAAATGCAAACTGTAACCTTTCAAATATGGCTCCCAAGAGGGATCATCAAGCAAAATCAGAAGACATGATTCCTTGAATATTTTTATGAAGCTGGACCTGAAAAGGATAGAGCATTGACAGATTCTGTGTTAAAATCAACTCCCCACAACAGGACATGTAAAGTCCCAGGAGGCCCATTAGGGGAAAGTGTCACAATTCCAGATTTTTTATGGCTGTGCTGTAGAAGAGGCCTTCCCCACCCACTCTACCAGTCAAGCTGGGACTCCTGCCTCTGCAGGTCACAGGGAAATCAAGCTCAATTAGACTTTCCCCCAGATTCATTCAGATCCAGATGTTATCAAGACCCAAAGATTAAATGCACCAGGCTTGATTCAGAAATCTCATAGATCACTCATTCAACCTGTCAACCAACAATCACCGAGTTTCAAGGTCTCAGGCACTGTCCTAGGCTTGAGAAGGATAAATAGATAAAACCTACTGGTTCTGCCTCAAGAATTTTACAGTCCAGTGAGGGAGGCAACACATAAATGGATATTTACAGCTCAGCAGTAAGTGCTATGAAGAGGGGAGCCCAGGACCATGAGATCCTAGAGGAAGGTCAGGTAATGAAAATTGGGGAGAGGTCATTAAAAAAAAAAATCTTTTGTTTTTTTTGAGATGTAGTTTCACTCTTGTTGCCCAGGCTGGGGTGCAATGGCGCAATCTCAGCTCACTGCAACCTCCAACTCCAGGGTTCAAACGATTCCCCTGCCTCAGCCTCTGAATAGCTGGGATTACAGGCGTGTGCCACTATGCCTGGCTAATTTTTGTATTTTTAGTAGAGACGGGGTTTCGCCATGTTGATCAGGTTGGTCTCGAACTCCTGACCTCAGGTGATCCACCCACCTCGGCCTCCCAAAGTTCTGGGATTACAGGCGTGAGCCACTGTGCTCAGCCAAAAAATTTTTTAAATTGTGTATACTTGAGGTTTACAGCACAATGTTATGGGATACATATAAATAGTAATATGGTTACAGTTATGAAGCAGATTAATGTTTCTATCATCTCAAATAGTTACTTTTTTGTGACAAGGGCAGCTAAAATCTACTTATTTAACACAAATTCCCAATATGATACAGTTTTTTTTAACTTTAGTCTTCATGTTGGACCTTAGATGTGGAGACTTTTCATATTTCGTATCCTTTGACTTACAGTGTCTCATTTCCTCTCCCCACCACCCAATCATGGTAACCACTGTTTCATTCTCTCTGTGTATTTGAGCCCTTTTTAAAATGCCATGTATAAGTGAGGTCATGCAATGTTTTTCTCTCTGTATCTGGATTATTCCACTTAGCCTAATGTCCTCCAAGTCCACCCATGTTGTGGCAAATGACAGGGTCTCCTTTTCTTTTTTTAAGACTGCATAATATTCCATTGTATGGGGGGAGCTACAAAAGGTTCACGGAAAAATGGAATTAAAAGATAAAAATTGAAAATATAAACTATTTCTCAACATAATCTCCATCAAGTTCAAGATGCTTTTGAAAGCAATGATACCAGCCATTTAGTCCATCTCTGAAGAACTGAGGGTCTTGGGAATTTAACCACATCAATGCAGTCGTTTTTACATTACTAACTGAAGAAAAATGGGTGTACCTTATAGGGTTTTTTTAAGAATAGGAAACCAAAAAATGTCAGAAGAAGCCAAATCAGGACTGTAAGGTGGATGCCTAATGATTTCCCAATGAAACTCTAAAAAGATTATCGTTGTTTGATGAGAGAAATGAGCAGGGACATTGCCATGGTGGAGAAGGACTCTATGGTGAAGCTTTCCCAGGGAATTTTCTGCTAAAGCTTTGGCTAACTTTCTCAAAACACTCTCATAATATGCAGATGTTACTGTTCTTTGGCCCTTCAGAATGCCAACAAGCAAAATGCCTTGAGCATCCCACAAAACTGTTGTCATGACCTTTTCTTTTGACCAATCCACTTTTGCTTTGACTCGACCATTTCCACCTCTTGGTGGCCATTGCTTTGGGCTTTGTCTTCAAGATCGTACCTGTAAAGCCATGTTTCATCTCCCATTACAATTGTTTTGCTTTAGGAGCTTGATGTCACTTCTTTAAAATTTGGATTGAAAGCTCTGCTCTTGCCTGCAGCTGATCTGGGTGCAACGGTTTTGGCACCCATTGCGTGGAAAGTTTATTCAACTTGAATTTTTCAGTCAGATTTACGTAAGTGGAACCAGTTGAGATGTCTCTGGTGTTGGCTATTGTTTTTGCTGTTAGTCATCAATTCTCTTCAATTAGGGCATGAACAAGATTAATTTTTCCCTTGAAAATTGATGTGGATGGTCTGCCACTATGGGCTTCATCTTCAACATTGCCTCATCTGTTTTTAAAACAAGTTATCCATTTGTAAACTGCTGATTTCTTTGGGGATTGTTTCCATAAACTTTTTGTAAAGAATCAGTGATTTGATCATTCTTTCACACAAGCTTCACCATACATTTGATGCTTGTTCTTGCTTCAATTTTAGCAGAATTCATGTTGCTCCGACAGGGGACTCTTTTCAAACTGATGTGTTGTCCTTAGTGTCTCTAACTAGATCCTGACCAGACATGTTATAAACAAGTTAGTACTAGTTTATTTTGTTGTGAACAATTTTGAAATCCATACACAGTGTTTTCTTTGTTTGTTTGTTTTTTTGTTTTTGTTTTTTTTTTTTTGAGACGGAGTCTTGCTCTGTCGCCCAGGCTGGAGTGCAGTGGAGCGAACTCGGCTCACTGCAAGCTCCGCCTCCCGGGTTCACGCCATTCTCCTGCCTCAGCCTCCGGAGTAGCTGGGACTACAGGCACTCGCCATCACGCCCGGCTAATTTTTTTTTGTATTTTTTAGTAGAGACATTGTTTCACCGTGTTAGCCAGGATAGTCTCGATCTCCTGACCTCATGATCCGCCCGCCTCGACCTCCCAAAGTGCTGAGATTACAGGCCTGAGCCACCGCGCCCGGCCACATAGTTTTTTTTTTTTTTTTATATAATACAGACTTTCCATGAACTTTTTGAAAATACCTTGTATGTACACCACAAAACCCATTTTCTTTATCCATCCTAAATGTCAATGGGCACTTAGTTTGTTTCCTTATCTTGGCTATTGTGAATAACATAACAATGAACAGGGGAGTGCAGACATGTTTACAAGGTGATGATTTCCTCTCCTTTGGGAATATACTCAGGAGAGGGATTGCTGCATCATATGGTAGTTCCATTTTTAATTTCTTTAGGAACCTCCATACTGTTTCCTATAATGACTGTACCAATCTACATTCCCACTAACAGTGTACTGTGGACCTGAAACCATAAAACTCCTAGAAGAGAACACAGGGGAAAAACCTCTCGACATTTGCCTTGACAATGATTGTTTTTTGAAACGGAATCTCTCGTTCTGTCACCCAGGCTGGAGTGCAGTGGCGCAATCTTGGTTCACTGCAACTTCTGCCTCCCGGGTTCAAGCAATTCTCCTGCCTCAGCCTCCCGAGTAGCTGGGACTACAGGCACGTGCCACCACGCCTGGCTAATTTTTGTATTTTTAGTAGAGATGGGGTTTCACCATGTTGGCCAGGCTGGTCTCGAACTATTGACCTCAAATGATCCACCCGCCTTGACCTCCCAAAGTGCTGAGATTACAGGTGTGAGCCACTGCGCCCGGCCTGATTTTTCTTTTTCTTAATATCACATCAGAAGCTCAGGCTACAAAAACAAAAATAAATAAAGGGACTACATCAAACTAAAAAATTCTGCACAGGAGAGGAAACAATCAACAAACTTGAAAAGCAACCTACGGACTAGGAAAATATAATTGCAAACCACATATCTGATAAGGAATTAATATCCAAAAAATATAAGGAACTCTTACAACTCAATAGCAGAAGAACAAATAACCCAATTTTAAAAATGGGCAAAGGGCTTTTCTGCCTCCATTGCCACCATGGCGCCCGCGAAAAAGCTTGTGGTGAAAGGGGGCAAAAAAGAAGCAGGTTCTGAAGTTCACTCTTGATTGCATCCACCCCATAGAAGATGGAATCATGGATGCCGCCATTCTACCAATTTTGAGCAGTTTTTGCAAGAGAGGATCAAAGTGAACAGAAAAGCTGTGAATCTTGGAGGAGTGGTGACCATCGAAAGGAGCAAGAGCAAGCTCACCGTAACACCGGAAGTGCCTTTTTCCAGAAGGTATTTGAAATATCTCACCAAAAAATATTTGAAGAACAATAATCTATGTGATTGGTTGTGCATAGTTGCTAACAGTAAAGAGAGTTATGAATTACGTTATTTCCAAATTAACCAGGACAAAGAAGAAGAGAAAGATGAGGATTAAATTTTATTTATCTGGAATATTTTGAATGAATTCTTGAATAAAACTTGGGAACCAAAAAGAATGGGCAAAGGATCTGAGCAGACATTTCTCCAAAGAAATGGGTCACACCAGCTCATTGCTGCAGCAGTGGTGGAGTAAAAAAGGTAGGTAAGGAACGTGAGCAGTATGTGGGAGGTGTCTCATGTACTTTACTAGGGAGCTTGAAGTCTTCCCTGAAGGTAATAAAAATCCAACAATGCAATAAAATTTATTTTTCAAGTTCACCCTGGCAGCACTATGGAGAAAAATTTAGAAAAGATTAAGATGAGAGCTAGGGTCTGTAGATTAGCTTTTAAGGGTTGTCTGTTATATGTAAAATTTTGTGCTTGTGTGACCATGTGATTCTTCTGTGGAGAGGTTCAGAGTTATTGTTGGATTCTCAAAGGGCTCCATGGCCCAAATAGAGGAGGGTGATCATTAAGGCATCTAATGCAACTGTGATGATGAGAACATGAACCAAGACTGTGGGTGTTACGGCCAGGTGTAACTGGCATTTCTCCAGGCATATCATCCTGAGGGTATGGTTGGGGTACAAAATGCTGCAAGCAGGATTATAGTCAAGCACTGCATAGTGACATTTCAGCCAAATGGACCACATATATGACGGGGTCCCAGAAGATTATCACGGAGCTGAAAAATTCCTGTAGCCTAATAACCATGTAGCTGTCATAAAGTCCTAGCACAATGCATTACTTATGTGTTTATGGTGATGCCCAGTATAAACAGATCCACTTGCTGCCAGTCATATAAGAGTCTAGCACATACAGTTATATACAGTACATAATACTTGAGAATGATAATAAATGACCATGTTACTGGTTTATGTATTTACTATATATTTTGTTGTTTTAGAGTGTACTCCTACTTATTGAAAAAAAAAAAGGTAACTGTTAAACAGCCTCTGGGAGGTCCTTCAGGAAGTATTCCAGAAGAAGGCATTGTAATCATAGGAGATGACAGCTCTATGCATGGTATTGTCCCTAAAGACCTCCGAGTGGGACAAGATGTGGAGGTGGAAGACAGTGATATTGATGATCCTGACCCTGTGTAGGCCTAAGCTAATGTGTGTCTTTGTGTCCTAGTTTTTAACAAAAAAAAAAAGAAAAAATTAAAAATTTAAGATAATAGAATAAAGCTTATAGAATAAAGATATAAACAGAGAAAATATTTTTGTACAGCTGTACAATGTGTTTGTGTTTAAGCTAAGTGTTATTACAAAAGAGTCAAAAAGTTTAAAAAATTATAAAGTTTATAAAGTAAAAAATTTACAGTAAGCTGAGATTAATTTCTTATTAAAGAAAAAAAATGTGTTAAATTTAGTGTAGCCTAAGTATAGAGTGTTTATAAAGTCCACAGTAGTGTATAGTAATGTCCTAGCCCTTCACATTCACTCACCACTCACTCACTGACTCACCCAGAACAGCGTTGAGTCCTGCAAACTCTATTTATGGTAAGTGCCCTATACAGGAGTATACGTTTTTATCTTTTATACTTAGTGGAAAAAACAAAAACTGTTGTTACTCTCCTCTCACATCACAACCACAAAAGACTCCTGAGACCAAATGTATGGCGGTTTCTTGCCACCACCAAGCAAGCAGTCGATTCTACAGACACGCTAGCTTGGTGTCCTCCAGTTCAATTCATTCTGATGCTCTCTACCTGGAGATAGTGTCAGATCATACAGTCCCCAAGACTGCCCCTACTTCACATACCTGTCAGAAGTCTGGACCTCTGGAACTTCTGACCAACTGGCTTTAAGTTGAGATTCCTACATCCTCCTCTTTTGACTCGATTAATTTGCCAGTGCTGTTCACAGCACTCAGGGAAACACATTTATATATTCTTTATAATACACAAAAAATGATATATTATAAAGAATACCACAAAGCATGCAGATGCAGAGACACACAGGGCGAGGTATGGGGAAGGGGCTCGGAGCTTCCATGCCCTGCTTGGGTGTGCCACTCTCCAGAAACCTCCATGTGCTCAGCTACCTGGAAATACTCTGTACCCAGTCCTCTTGTGCCTTTGTGGAGACTTCATTGGGTAGTCATGATTGACAATCATGCAGAAATGGGCAAGAAGGGTATGGTCTAATACTAATAGACTGAGTGGAGAAACCCAGCAAGGCCTGTCTGTTCAGATTCTTCTTGGCATCTCTGTGCAGCATTTGTTCTTCCTGGGTGTGGGGCAGGACTCCTTCTGAATTGGGGGTTCTTATGACCTACAGTCAGATAGGGTAGGTAAGAGAATTTCTTTATGGTCAGCTCCAAGAGAGGTGAGAGAAGAGTCCTGCCTTGGGGAGAAAAAGGAGGGCAGGAGGTGGTCGGAAGGCCAGAGAGACAGACATTCTGTTTTCTGAGGCCTGAAGCACCCCAACATTATATAACAAGGGCTATGGGAGTTATGAGTCAGGAGCTGCGGACGAAAGCCAATATGTATACCAAAATATCACATATACCATATTTTTACTGTACCTTTTCTATGTTTAGATATGTTTGGATACACAAATACTGACCATTGTATTACAATTGCCTACAGTATTCAGTACAGTAACATGCTATACGTGTTTGCCACCTGGGAGCAATAAGCAACGCCATACAGGCTAGGTGTGTAGTAGGCTCCACCATCTACATTTGTGTAAGCACATACTATAAGGTTCACACAATGACAAAATCACCTATCAATGCACTTCTCAGAATGCATTTTTAAGTGGTGCATCACTGTATTTGGGGACTTTCTCCTTCCGCACTTATATTGCTAGAGGGTGAGGAGAGGCAGAAGTCCCTAGGGTGTCTTTTAGCTGATGTCTTCCATTCTGTTTCCACGTAGCTCCTGACTTCGAAGGTGCTGTTTTGGTATCCTCTCTCCTCCTAACGTATCAGGCTGTCTGAAGCCATCACTGCCCCCGAAATCCACGAGCTACTGTTCTGTCCATCAGCCTCTATACCAAGGCCTGGCCTCAGGGAGCCACCCTCCACCATGAAAATTTTCCACCTCTTCTAGGTACATGGCAGCACTATTCTTGTGCCTCTATTATTTCATTCAAACAACAAATAATTGAGTGCCTACCAGGTATCAGGTACTATGTTTGGCACCAAACGACAGTGAACTACAGACATGGTCCCTACCCCATGGAAGTTATAGACTAGCAAAGGAAATTGCCTTGTAACCAAGCAATGACAATGCACACTGTAAATGCTGTGATGATGGGGGAAATACAGGATCTGTCGGAGCACAGAGGAATGACATCTAATGCAGACTTAGGAGATCAGAAAAGGCTTCCTGGGAGAAGTAAGATCTAATCTCAACCCTAAAGGTTAAATTTGAGTTAGCCAGATAAACAGAGAGAGAAAACCTGGCCCAGGGAATATACCTTTTTTTTTTTTTTAATTGAGACAGGGTCTCACTCTGTCCCCTAGGCTGGAGTATAGTGGCATGATCATGGCTCACTGCAGCTTTAACCTCCTGGGCTTAGGCAATCCTCCTGCCTTAACCTCTTGAGTAACTGGGACCATAGGCATGTGTCACTATGCCAGGCTAATTTTTTTAAATTATTATTTGTAGACACAGGATCTTGCTACATTGCCAGGGCTGGTCTTCAACTCCTGGGCTCAAGCAATCCGTACAATATGGCCTCCCAAAGTGCAGGGATTATAGGCATGAGCCACCATGCCTGGTCTGCAGCTTTTATTTTACTCATTTTATGCATTCTTCCCCTAATGGAAGCATAGTTCAAGGGGAAGAAGCCTGCCTTAGCGCTGTTGTTTCTAGGTGCAATTCACAGTATCCACTCCCCTCTAATCCTGTGTCCTCACTCCCCCACATCAGCTGGTACATCCTATCTCCCTCTCCTCAGGGTAAGGCCTTCCCCTGCAGCTAACACTGCTTTGGGGCTGGACCAGAATGAGACCTGCAGATACTTGGGTTGTATTTTCTTTAAATAGTTCCTCAGTGCCCTGTAGAAAAAGGATAAAGAGGAGGACCATCAGCTGCAAAGCCTCCAAAATCCAAGGGGCTTTAACTCTGGCCCCAAACTTACAACCTCTCTCCAAAACAACAGCCTCATAGTTCACTTGACTATCCTTTTTAGAAGGACCATCTGTTGTCATCCAGGCATACCCCTTGGGGTCTTACCTTCCACCCCCATCCCCAAGTGGCTCATCAAGGTATTTACTCCAACCCTATTGAGTACTCTCTGTGAGATTTCTGATTTAAAAAAATTTTCATCTTTGAAGTTCTATTTCCAGTGATATTTTAGTGCACTAGTCATGTTTTACCCCTCGTCATAGATTGACAGCAAAGGGAATTGTTCAGCTGGTTGGTCACCCCTTAATGTAGGTTCTCCTTGAGGAATTTGAGAAATGAAGAGGTTATAAAGCAGCACCCACATGTCCAACACTATACTCTTCCCACAGGTTCCTCTACTTGTGATATAATTAGCTCTCCCTGGTGGGTCCATCTCTCCCCTGCACCCAGACTGCACCCCACGCCACCCCCTACAGGCCTAGACCTGTCTGAATTAGTTGAGTAAGTATAGATGAGGCTTACATGCTGGTGCCTCAGTTGACTTGTAACCCAATAGAGAAGGGACAGGGATTTATGATTAAGAGGCCAGAGAGGAGGAGCTAACAGCTCCTGGGTTTTAAAATATCAACAATACTAATACTATAACATTCCATTGTAATGTTCTCTATAATGTTCAAAGATCTTCGAATCTTTTTTTTTTTTTTTTTTTAAGACAGGGTCTTGCTATGTTACCCAGGCTGGAGGGCAGTGGTGCAATCATGGCTCACTGCAACCTCGACCTCTAGGCTCAAGTGATTCTCCTGCCTCAGCCTCCTGTGTAGCTGGGACCACAGGCACCTGCCACCACACCCGGCTAATTTTCTGATTTTTTATAGAGACAAGGTCTCACTTTGTTGCCCAGGCTGGTCTCGAACTCTTGGCCTTAAGGGATCCTCCTGTCTTGGCACCCCAAGGTGCTGGGATTACAGGTACTCAATTTGGTGAGTGAAAGAAGTGAGGTCCTCTCAGCCTTTCCAGACACCATCTACACCACCACAGGCACTGGCTGCTTCAGGTTGGGGACCTTTTGAGGATGAGTCGTAGATAAGATGGGCTCCTTGCTAACATGTGTCATTCATTGCCTCAAAGGGTGTCTATTCAACAGCAGGAGCCTCCGCTTCTTCTTTTATTTTTTTTCTCAAAAAAAAAAGAGGGTCTCACTCTGACACCCAGACTAGAGTACAATGGCGAGATATCGACTCACCGCAACCTCCGCCTCCCAGGCTCAAGCGATTCTCCTGCCTCAGCCTCCCGAGTAGTTGGAATTACAGGCCTGCACCACCATGCCTGGCTAATTTTTTGTATTTTCAATAGAGATGGGGTTTCATCATGTTGGCCAGGCTGGTCTTGAACTCCTGACCTCAAATGATCCACCCGTCTTAGCCTCCCAAAGTGCTGGGATTATAAGCATTAGCCATCATGCCCGGCCCAGGAGCCTTTGCTTCTAACTCCTATAGGGCTGCTGAAAGATTAGTTCCCTGTTTTAGTATTTAATCTAGTCCCTTGTCTCCATTTTATGGGTTGGTAAAAGGAAAAGTAACAATCTCAACCGGCTGTTACTTTCCTTTAACTAAAAGGTTGCTGATTACAACTGGAATACTATATGCATTAAGATAAGGTCTCAACGGTTTCATTTCTACATGAACAAATAAGATTAAAAGGTTTCAGGTTGTTCTTTCTAAGCACCTTTAAGCAAACAATACATTGTGGTGTGTAAAGTCTCCATTCTCTGTAAATGAGAAGCCAAATCAGATAGGCCATTACAGGGTCCACCGGAGTCCCCTTGCACTTGAGTTTGTGGCACAGGTCCAGGGTTGCTGTTCAAACCTGCGTGGGACACTCTAGGGCCAGTGTGGATTTCTTGCGCAGGGAGTCCTCTGGTTTCTTGGGTTGGGTTAGTTCTCTGGTTTCTTGGGTTGGGTTAGTTTTACAGTTTTGTTGTGTTTTATTGCAGGACTGGGAGGCAGCCAGTCAAAATGGTCTCTAGCCATCTAATTGTTGATCAGTTCAAGCATGTAATACAATTTCAACATCAAACAGACAAAGATGAGGTGGAGGAGTGACTGATTAGATGATCTCAAGCAGCAGGGACAGTCCGGGATTAGCTACTGCCACTCCAGTTGTGACTGTGTCACAAGTAGATTCAGGAAGCAACAGGAAGTTGAGATTCACATACCTCCCAGAGAATAGTAAAACAGTGTTTCCTATCCAGTGGGTCATGATCCGTGACAGGTTTACCATGTTACCCTGGGGGCTTTACATCCTTAAAAGTGGAATTAATGTCTACTTTGTTTTTTTTTTTTTTTTTTTTTTTTTGAGACGGAGTCTCGCTCTGTCGCCCAGGCCGGACTGCGGACTGCAGTGGCGCAATCTCGGCTCACTGCAAGCTCCGCTTCCCGGGTTCACGCCATTCTCCTGCCTCAGCCTCCCCAGTAGCTGGGACTACAGGCGCCCGCCACCGCGCCCGGCTAATTTTTTGTATTTTTAGTAGAGACGGGGTTTCACCTTGTTAGCCAGGATGGTCTCGATCTCCTGACCTCATGATCCACCCGCCTCGGCCTCCCAAAGTGCTGGGATTACAGGCGTGAGCCACCGCGCCCGGCCGTCTACTTTGTTTTGTAAAAATCTGTAAAATACATTGGTTTCTCAAATACAAGATAGAAGAATCAAATATCAGGCCTTGAAAGTAGTTTTTTTCTTGTTATATCATGTAGTAAATTTCAATGTGTATTTTAATCTGAAAACCCCAAACCGAACACTATAGAATATGTCTTTTCAAGACTTATTTATTGATTAATCATCCTTTTTCATGCAATTAATTTAAAGTAAATTTGAGGAGCATGCATCATTTTTTGAATAGGGAGAAACATAAAACTGGCTCAGTGTTATAGTAAAGCATTAGAGTAAAATGAACATCATAAATGCAATCCTCGATCATGTAATGAATTAAAGAAAATATTTGTTTTTAAAATCATATGTTATTATATACTTTGTGTGATAGCATTTGTCATTCTTTTTTTTTTTCTAAGCTCTCTAGTTGCTTTGAATACTCTTTATATTTGGGACTCTCCCATCTAGTGAGTCTGCCTTTTGAAAATAGAGGCCAAATTTTCCCAGATTCCCTTGAAGTGAGGAAAAATTGTGGCACAGACTCCACCAATCAGTGCTCCTGCATGTGATTTCAGTGTGGAAGACTGAAGTCATGAAGACGGGGTCCTGAGGGAATCCATTCAGGTGACAGCAGAGAGGCAGCAAAGATACATCCAGTTTCCAGAGAGAATCAAGGCAGGGGCTTGGCATAGCATCCCTGCCCACTATTCGGCCTGTGTTGAGTGGCAGGGACAGCGGTAGCAGTATTGGTTCTGGCTGCTCAGCCTCTATGCTTGGTTTTCTGGTTGTGTCTCCTAGAGATTATGCTAATAGCCTTTTAATACAGTGGTCCTTCAACATTTTATGTGCGCACTCCCAAAACAAATGTAATGAAGCTGGCTTTCTAGAGTGTTCAGGTCATTACACAGTAGTTTACAGCTTAGGAACATTTTGTTCTACATAAGTAAATGTTCTACTGTTAAAAATGTAGTTTAATCTATCTTGTGGAAATAAATAGCAAAAGGAAAGGCAGGTGTTGAAGCTCTGGTAAGTGTGCTGATTACAAAAGATACAGTAATTATTATTTAAGTGCATTATTTTCAGTTGAATTCACAACATATCTCCATTGAATTAATCTAAATCTAGTAAGTACATACTTTGAATGACTAAACCCACAAAGTGGTTGATGAGGAACAGCAGGAGAATGTGTCCAAGTAAAAACTGAGTATGGTTTTATGACATCAATAAGCTTTTGGCCAAAATTAATGACAATTTTTTTACAAGTCTAAAGGAGCATTTATGGAAATATAGAATGCCACTACCTACTTTCAATTGCTTTTGCTAACTTGAAGATATAATGTTGATCTGTTGGAAGTAAATGTGTGACCTCACCTTCTCTTTGAAGTAATGCAAAATAGGCAGGGCATAGTGGCTCACACCTGTAATCCTAGCATTTTGGGAGGCTAAGGCAGGAGGATTGCTTGCGCCCAGGAGTTTGAGGCCAGGAGTTTGCAACATAGCTAGACCCCATTTCAAAAAAAAATAAAATAAAATACAGTAAAATAAAAATGTAACAATGCAAAATACTCAGCTGACACATGGGTGAACACAAGTGAAATTTTATAGCATGTTGTTATTCTCTGACATGCTTCAGACAAAATTTAAATATCTTAATTCTAAGATGGATAAAAAGACAGGAAGGAAAGGAGGCAGGGAGGTGGATAAGGCACAGAGTCTTGTCATAAGTTTGTCTCCAGGATGGAATGAGCTCTGATAAGTTCTGTATTTTGTACTGAGCCTCTCTACTTTGCCCTCTCAGAACTCTCCTATAGTAGCAATGCATTATTTGATCATAATTAGGCAATGCAAAAGGCAAGACCCTTCAACAAAATTTGCCATAACTCCTGCCACTTCACTCCTCAATGTACATGAATTCAGGATGTCCCCAAATACCTTGTTTCTATATTATGCTGCACCCTTATCAAAAATATAAAGACAAAAACATGTAGCCTTAGTGTAGGATTACAATTTCTTGACTAAAGGAGGCTTCCATATATTGAGTTGTTCTACAATATTATGCTGCAGGTAATTACACCCCAATGGAATGCCCCATAATTAAATTCAGGAAGCCTTAAACATGTGATAATCATTTATTCATTCATTCATTTTTAATAAAATGGAGAATGGGAATTGTGAAAGAGGAGGTGGAAATGATGAGACAGTATGACACCTTGACCTCACATATGCAATAAGACATATTAATTTTAAGAAACAGGCTGGGCGCAGAGGCTCACGCCTGTAATTCTAGCACTTTGGGAGGCCAAGGTGGGCGCATCATGAGGTCAGAAATTAGAGACAAGCCTGGCCAACATGGTGAAACCCTGTCTCTACTAAAAATACAAAAAAATTAGCTGGGTGTGGTGGCACACGCCTGTAGTCCCAGCTACTTGGGAGGCTGAGGCAGAAGAATTGCTTGAACCCGGGAGGCGGAGGTTGCAGTGAGCTGAGATTGCGCCATTGCACTCCAGCACTCCAGCCTGGGCAATAGAGGGAGACTCCGTCTCGAAAAAAAAAAAAAAAAAAAAAAAGGCTGGGCACGGTGGCTCACACCTGTAATCCCAGCACTTTGGGAGGACAAGGCAGGCGGATCATGAGGTCAGGAGATCGAGACCATCCTGGCTAACATGGCGAAACCCCGTCTCTACTAAAAAAAAAAAAAAAAAAAAAAAAATTAGCCGGGCATGGTGGCGGGCGCCTCTAGTCCCAGCTACTCAGGAGGCTGAGGCAGGAGAATGGCGTGAACCCGGGAGGCGGTGCTTGCAGTGAGCTGAGATCGCACCACTGCACTCCAGCCTAGGCAACAGAGCAAGACTCCGTATCAAAAAAAAAAAAAGAAAGAAAGAAAAAAAAATTGGTGATTTAGGCATTTGGAGAATGCATGCAATAAAGGAGCTTCTGGCCTGAGGAGCTATGGGGTTGATGTTAGGTTTCAGTAACATGGAGAATGCAGAGAGAAGAAATTGCTTTTATTTTTGTTTTTGTTTTTTTGAGAGAGTCTCTCTCAGTTGCCCAGGCTGGAGTGCAGTGGCGAGATCTCTGCTCACTGCAACCTCCGCCTCTCAGGTTCAAGCAATTCTCCTGCCTCAGCCTCCCAAGTAGCTGGGATCATAGGCACCTGCCACCACACCCAGCTAATTTTTTGTATTTTTAGTAGAGACGGGGTTTCACCATGTTGGCTGGGCTGGTCTCGAACTCCTGACTTCAAGTTATTCACCCACCTCGGCCTCCCAAAGTGCTGGGATTACAGGCATCAGCCACCACGCCCAGGCAGAAATTGCTTTTGAAAGCAAAAAGATGCATAAAGTCCCTCCCAACATTAAAAATTGAGATTCCTGTTCTCTACCTAGGAGAACACTTCCACCAGTTGTTATTACTCTCATCAGTAAAGGGTCTCAGCTGGAGAAACTTGTGAGTAAGCCCTCAGCAAATCGATAAGGAAAACGAGAGGCAGGGAATTTGATGAGATCTTCCCAGGGGTTAGGGAGAAAAGAAGAGGACTGAGACAGGCACCCTGGGCAAGCAGGAACATTGATGGGAGTTGGTAGATTAGGAGAATACCAAGAGACAGAGGATAGCTGGAAAGGGATGAGGACCACCAGAAGAGAGTATGTCCCAAGGAGGCAAAGGAGGTGTCAACAGGGTCATATTGGGCACTGAAGTTCAGAAATAATGATTATAACTTAACATTCCTTAAGCTCAGTGACTGCTGACTATGCTTGATATTTTATGTCTTACACATCACCACAACAATCCTGCAAGGAAGGCAGATGTTTTGTCATTCTCACTTTACAGACTAGGAAGCTTTGAGTATTTTGCCCAAGTTCCCCAAACTATTAAGTGTCAGGGCCAGGGACTTTGTCCAAAGTGCTAGGTCTTCCAAAGTTCATGTGCTTGGGCAGAAAACAGCCACCGAGAAGCTTGTACTGGAAACTCAGAGAGGAAATGACAGGAGGCATTGTGACACACAGGGTTGAGGGCCTCACTGCTTCTCCTGACTTCTCTACCTTTTCAGACAGCATTCTGCTCAGGTTCTAACAAGCTTACCCTCTCCTACCTGTTTTAGCAGTTCCTCCCAGATTCATTTATCCTTCCAGTTCCCCGTGAAATTCTGAGTGCCGTCAGAATGAGCATTTTGCCTTGTTCATCTCTCCAAGTCAGCATCCTGGAGCATAGCAGATGATCAGGAAATGCCTGATTGCCCTAATTCCACTGGCCTCTGAATTCTCACTCAAAAGGGCATAATACCCAGGCCCCTCCTAGGTTTCAAAGAATTCTCAGGAATTTGCAGGCCAGAAGCAAGTATAGCCTGGACTCTGGAAGGAACTTCCTCCAGGTTGGCCCGAGAAGAGGGAGAGGTAGCTGCCCTGAGCTGTACCCCTTGCCTACAAGTTGCTACAGTCCACCATCAGGATAGTTGTGTAGCCTTAGCTGAAGGCAGAGTTCCCCTCAGTGCTCGAAGATAAATACTTTAGAAAGGAATGCACATTTGTGGTAGACTGAATAATAGCCCCACAGAGATATCCACATCCCAATCCTTGGACTCTGTGAATATGTTACCTTATATGGCAAAGGGACTTTGCAAATGTGAACAAATTAAGGACCTTGAGATAAAGAACTTATCCTGGATTATTGAGATGAGCCCTTAATATAATCACATGAATCCTTAGAGAGACGAGAGGGTCAATCAGGGAGAAGGGGGTGTGATGACAGAAGCAGACATTAGAGTGATCTGTCCAGGTGCTAAAAAATGCCAGTTTCTAGAAGCTGGAAGAGTCAAAAAGTGGATTATATACCTGGAGCCTCCAGAACAAACCAGTCCTTCAGACATTTGTTTTAGCCCCTTAAAACTTATGTTGGGCTTCTGACCTCCAGAATGATAAGAGAATAAATTTGTGTGGTTTTTTTCGTTTTGTTTGGTTTCATGTTTTTTTTTTTTTTTGAGACAGAGTTTCGCTCTTGTTGCCCAGTCTGGAGTGCAATGGCGTGATGTCGGCTCACTGCATCCTCTGCCTCCCAGGTTCAAGCAATTCTCCCGCCTTAGCTTCCTGAGTAGCTGGGATTACAGGCACGCGTCACCACACCCGACTAATTTTTGTGTTTTTAGTAGAGACGGGTTTTCACCATGTTGGTCAGGCTGGTCTCGAACTCCTGACCTCAGGTGATCCACCCGCCTTGGCCTCCCAAAGTGCTGGGATTACAGGCATGAGCCACCACACCCGGCAAATTTGTGTTGTTTTAAACCACTAAGTTTATGGTAACTTATTAATGCAACACTAGGAAATGAATACACCGTTCTTACAAAAGTCACTAGGCTCTTTTTATTTGACAGGGGCGGGGGGGCGGGGGGAGATCTGAGTGTCATCAGGAGCAGAGTATAAGGTATACTTGGAGGGAAAGAGGAAAGGAAGTGGGCAGCAGAGGTACAAAGGAGATCAGGAATGGGAAGTCGGGGGCCCCACAGTGAACCTTTCCTTACGGCTGACTAGGCTCCTTCATGGGCCTGACCAGCCTCCTTCACCTGCTCAGCCCAGAATTTGTAGAGAGATCTGTCGTCTTTGCAAGTGGCACTGAGCTCTCCTAGACAATTGCTGGCCTCCCCCAGCCATGGACCTCTGTAGAGCTCCCTGGGGTCATCCAGGGCAGGAGGGTGACAGGCTGGCTTCACCGTGGTCATATAGCAGAAGTGGCAAGCTCTTCTTGCTCTTGAGGAAAGCTCACACCTAGATTGTTGCAAGGATGTTGTACAGGTTGAGCACCCCTAATCTGAAGATCCGAAACCCTAGGCTCCAAAATCTGAACAATTTTGAGCACTAATGTGGTGCCTCGGTGGAAAATTCCACACCTGACCTCACACAACGGGTCATACAATGCACAGTATTTCCCCCAAGGAAATAAAAGGCCCTCCCAGCCCCTTTCCGCTGAGATATATCTTTTCTGCACATGCCCGGTTTCCCCAACGTGCACACACCCACAAAGGGTCATAAAATGGCATGTGTGCAGGCCAGTGTCGTCAACAGCACGTTCCCCATAATGCCCCATGTAGGAGCCAAGACCTACGTGCCTTACTCACTGTGGGGTTTTTTTGCTTATTCTCTGCTCTGTGGTATAAAGATATTGTTGAAAATATCAAAAAGGTTGGCCGGGCGCGGTGGCTCACGCCTGTAATCCCAGCACTTTGGGAGGCCGAGGCGGGCGGATCACGAGGTCAGGAGATCGAGACCATCCCGGCTAAAACGGTGAAACCCCGTCTCTACTAAAAATACAAAAAATTAGCCGGGCGTAGTGGCGGGCGCCTGTAGTCCCAGCTACTTGGGAGGCTGAGGCAGGAGAATGGCGTGAACCCGGGAGGCGGAGCTTGCAGTGAGCCGAGATTGCGCCACTGCACTCCAGCCTGGGTGACAGAGCGAGACTCCGTCTCAAAAAAAAAAAAAAAAAAGAAAATATCAAAAAGGCCTGCAGATACCCCATGAGTAACAGTGATTTTAAAAGAGAAAAAGCAAGGCCAGGCGCGGTGGCTCATGCCTGAAATCCCGGCAATTTGGGAGGCCGAGGCGGCTGGATCACTTGAGGTCAGGAGTTCAAGACCAGCCTAACCAACATGGTGAAACCCCGTCTCTACTAAAAATACAAAAATTAGCCAGGCGTGGTGGCACATGCCTGTAGTCCCAGCTACTCGGGAGGCTGAGGCAGAAGACTCACTTGAATCCAGGAGGTTGCAGTGACCCGAGATTGTGCCATTGCACTCCAGCCTGGGCGACAGAGCAAGACTCTGTCTCAAAAGAAAAAAAAAAAAAAAAAAGGGAGAGAAAACATTTATGTTTATCTATAGTACAGAAAGTCAAGTTGTTGGAGAAAATGGGGCACAGTGTAAGTGTGTATAAGGTATTTATGAAACATAGATGGATTTTGTGTTTAGTCTTGGGTCCCATCCCCAATATATCTCATTATATATATGCAAATATTCCAAAATCTGAAACCCGAAACAGTCCCAGTCCCAAGCATTTCAGATAAGGGATACTCAACCTGTGTTAGTTTCCTAGGGCTGCCATAGCAAATGACCACAAACTTGGTAGCTTAAAACAACAGAACTGTATTCTTCCACAGTTCTGGAGACCAGAAGTCTGAAATAAAGTACCATGCTCCCTCTAAAGGCTCTCAGGGAGAATCCTTCCTTGCTTCTTTCAGCTTCTGGTGGCTTCTGATGTTCCTTGGCTTGTGGCAGCCTCATTCCAATCTCTCCCTCCATCTTCACATGGCTTCTTACTCATCTCTGTGTGTCCGAATTTCCCTCTCCTTTCTCTTATAAAGATACCAGTCATTGAATTTAAGGCCCATCCTATATCCAGCATGATTTCATCTCAAGATCCTTAACTACTTACGTCTTCAAAGCCCCAGTTTCCAAATGCGTTCACATTTTGAGATGCTGGATAGACACGAACTTTAGGGAACATATTCAACCCACTACAGGTCCTGAGCACTAAGCCTTGTGGGAGGACACTCTGGAAGCAGGTCCAGACTTCCCCAGTCTTGCCTCTTCAGAACCTGCGCACTCTCCACCTCCAAAAGGCCCTTCTATCAGTCACTTACACCTGAGTATAAAACTAAGCATGATAGCGGTGCAATTTTGACCAACCCTCCCGTGTTCATGAGTGTAGGTGTTGGGGAACAGGCTGTGTCTCCACTTGGGGAACTCACAGCTTCAGGGGCAGGACAGGAAGATGTTGGTGGTCCTTGGCCAGATGCTTCCTATAATAATGAAAAGCCTGAATGGTTGGGCAGCTGGCAGACTGTGGCCTGCATTTACTTGCCTGGGAAAAGCTGGAAGGAAAGAAGACATGAGGCTAAAATAGAGGCTCAGTGTCTTAGTTTCAATATCTGTAAAACAGTAACAATAAATACACATACCTCATAGGATTCGTGCAGGGATAAATTGCTATACAGTCCATACAAAGTACTTAGAGCAGAGTCTCAACATGACAATAAATTAATAGTTATTAGCAATTTCATTATTTTTATGATAAACGTTACTTGATATATATCCTAGATCTTTCCCTTGGAAATATTACCATCATGCTGGGAAATAAGACAAGCACATGGAAAATAATGGGTAAATTATCCAGTCTCTAGATGCTAATTATGTAGAGATTCTTCTAGACTATGTGGCCAAGGCAGCAGAAATAATTGGGTTCCTAGGAGCTTTATAACTCACAAAAACCTTTCACTAACAGCCTCTCGTTTGAGTCCACAACAACCCTGGAAAGAAGAAAAGGCTTTTTCCCTATTTTAAAGATAAGGAAGTTTCTGGTAAAGATTAGACACCGGGGAACGTGAGTTACTCGGCTAAAACATGGCCAAGGTGGAATTTGAGCCTAGGTTTTGTGTTTTGCTTTTCTTTTTTTGTATTAGATTTGATGCTTTAGGAGAAAGTGATACATGGAATAGATACAAATAATATCAATATGTGTACAGTACAGCCCACTCTCCTGACCTCAAGTCTACAGTAAGAAATACATTTACATTGGCCGGGCGCTGGGGCTCATGCCTATAATCCCAGCATTTTGGGAGGCCGAGGCGGGCAGATCACGAGGTCAGGAGATCGAGACCATCCTGGTTAACACGGTGAAAACCCGTCTCTACTAAAAATACAAAAAATAAAAATAAAAAAAGTAGCCAGGCATGGGTGGCGGGCGCCTGTAGTCCCAGCTACTCGGGAGGCTGAGGCAGGAGAATGGCGTGAACCCGGGAGGTGGAGCTTGCAGTGAGCCAAGATCTGCCACTGCACTCCAGCCTGGGCGACAGAGTGAGACTCCGTCTCAAAAACAAGAAAAAAGAAATACATTTACATTGCCTCCCAGTCACATTCACAGGAAAATAAAAATTGCAACAAGTTTCACAAAATGATAATTACTATTGGTGATATTTTCCCGTTTTATGATTCTTACAAAAGGGCAAAATGAAAGGAAAAGATGATCTCTACCAAGTAAATTAATTGCACTATGGATTACAACTTATAGTTGTGGTTTTTTGGGAGGTTTTTTTGTTTTTGTTTTTCTGGATTTTTTTTTTTTTTTTTTTTTTTTTTTGAGATGGAGTCTCGCTCTATCGCCCAGGCTGGAGTGCAGTGGCGCAATCTCAGCTCACTGCAAGCTCTGCCTTCTGGGTTCAAGGGATTCTCCTGCATCAGCCTCCTGAGTATCTGGGACTACAGGCATGCGGCACCACCCCTGGCCAATTTTTGTATTTTTTGGTAGAGACAGGGTTTCATCATATTGGCCAGGCTGGTCTTGAACTCCTGACCTCAGGTAATCCACCCGCCTCCGCCTCCCAAAGTGCTGGGATTACAGGTGTGAGTGACCGCGCCCGGCCTACAATTTACAGTTTTTAAAACTGGCTAGAGAAAACTACAAAGAAGAAAGTTAAAATCATCCGACTGATTTTAAAAGTCTTCATATTTCTTCTGAATCTTTCTGTGTATGCACATACAACCTGTCTGTCTTTGTGAGGAGGTGACCCCCATATCCAGAGCCAGAGTGGAAGGTATCCTGTGACAGATGGTGACTTGAAATGTAGGTTGAGGCCTGGTGCGGTCGCTCACGCCTGTAATCCCAGCACTTCGGGAGGCCAAGGGGGGCGGATCCCCTGAGGTCAGGAGTTTGAGACCAGTCTGGCCAACATGGTGAAACCCCGTCTCTACTAAAAATACAAAAAGTAGTCTGGCATGGTGGCAGGCACCTGTAATCCCAGCTACTCGGGAGGCTGAGGCAGGAGAATCACTTGAACCCGGGAGGCGGACTTTGCAGTGAGCCAAGATCGTGCCATTGCACTCCAGCCTCGGGGACAAGAGCAAGACTTCGTCTCAAAAAAATAATAAATAAATAAATAAATAAATAAATAATACATGCAGGTTGAGCTTTGTGGGAGCCAAGAGGGAAAGGCCAAGGCCAGCTGAGCAAATAAAGGAACCCTTCCAGGAGGAGGTGATATCTGAGCTTGGTTCTAAAGAATATTTAGGATTCGGGACATGTTTAGATTGGGGGTTTGGAGAAGATGATGTAATCCAGGCAAGAGGGGACAGCAAAAACAAAGACAGAAGAATTGTTCCTGGACCACATGCAGCATAGGCAAAGGTCAGTCATGAGAAGTAAGCTTTAGCAATGGGGGCCGGTTTAGGGGACCCCAAATGCCAAAGTAGGGAGGGAGTGCTCTATAAACAATGTTGGAGCAAAGGATATGAACAGGCAATACACAGGAGAAGAAATCCGAAAACTATCAAGCTCAGGTAGAGATGCTTGAACTCATGAATACCCAGAACAATGAAAACGAAAGCAATGCTGAGATACCACTTTACACCAGGCAGTCTGGCAAAACTTAGAAAGTTGGATGACCCGAGGATTGGGCCTGGATGTGGGCTCAGAGTCCAGCTACCTTGGTATTGGAAGTCCGGGACAAGCATTCTGGAGGGGAGGCTGACACTCCTTAGTTCAATTAGATATAAATAAAAACTCTGAACAGAACTGCTGGTTTCTGGCTTCTCAGCAGTTCTGTTCCTGAGTTTTTATCCAAAAGAAATTCTTATATAGGTCCAAAAGGGAATATATACAACAATGTTCATTGCAGCATTTCTGGTGGTGATGGAGAATTGGCACAAGCCTAGTTGTCCATTGCTGGGAAAGTGGGGAGATAAAATGTGGTGTTGGAGCAACATGAAGTTTAATGCAGATTGACCTCATCTCTACAAAAAAATAAAATATTAGCCAGGCACAGTGGCATGCGCCTGTGGTCCCAATTGCTTGGGAGGCTGAAGTGGGAGGATCACTTGAGCCTGGGAGATTGAGGCTGCAGTGAGCTATGATCATGCCACTGCACTCCAGCCTAGGGGACAGAATGAGACCCAGTCTCTAAAAAAAAAGAACATGGATGGCAAAGAGATGCAGGTTGGGTTCTATAAGGGTTGAAAATAAAAGGTAATTTTTTTGGGAAATCAATATGAAGTTTATTTAGGTTTCTTGTTTTTCCTGTTTTCCCTGTGAGCCAGATGACTGCCAATTATCCCAAAATTTATATTATCAAAAATGGATACCTGCTTCCTAGCATTTGGAAAAATAAAATAATATGCCCCTGACATGAATTAATGAATTACCCCTCTAATTACAAAGTACAGAATTCTCTCTTTTTTTTTTTTTTTTTTTTTTTTTTTGAGACAGAGTCTCGCTCTGTCTCCCAGGCTGGAGTGCAGTGGGATGATCTCGGCTCACTGCAACCTCCGCCTCCCTGGTTCAAGGGATTCTCCTGCCTCAGCCTCCTGGGTAGCTGGGATTACAGGCACGTGCCACCACGCCCGGCTAATTTTTGTAGTTTTAGTAGAGACAGGGTTTCACCATGTTAGTCAAGCTGGTCTCGAACTCCTGACCTCGTGATCTGCGCGCCTCGGCCTTCCAAAGTGCTGGGATTACAAGCGTGAGCCACGATGCCCGGCCTGGTTTTTTGTTTTTTTTTTTTTTTTTTGTCGTTGTTGTTGTTTTGTATGTTTGTTCGTTTTTAACTTTTATTTTAGGTTCAGGGGTACATGGAAGAGTTCAATTTTTAAAATATAGATTAGGCCAGGCGCGGTGTCTCATGCCTGTAATCCCAGCACTTGGGAAGGCCGAGGCCGGCAGATTACGAGGTCAGGAGATCAAGACCAGCCTGGCCAACATGGTGAAACCTCGTCTCTACTAAAAATACAAAAATTAGCCAGGCGTAGTGGCGCGCGCCTATAGTCCCAGCTACTCAGGAGGCTGAGGCAGGAAAATGAGGCAGGAGAATCGCTTGAACCCGGGAGACAGAGGTTGCAGTGAGCTGAGATCACACCACTGCACTCCACCCTGGGGACAGAGCGAGAGTCCGTCTCAAAAAAATAAAAAATAAATAAAATAAAATATAGATTAAAGGGGGGGAAAATAAGAAATAAAGTAAGATATAAAACACATTACCACTAACATGCACTTCGAGAAGCAGAAATTCGCTAGGACTGAGAAAATCAAAACCTGTTCTGCCATTCATTAGGCTGCACTAACAGAGATAAAGCTAGACTAGAAATGACAGAAAACATTCTTTTCCCAAGGGCATGCTACAGCTATAAAGGCTCATAACTCCCCTCTTTGAGTGACCACTCCTTTCTTATTCACTGAGGAACTTGTACTCAAAATCACAGACTATCAGAACTTTGGCTGCTTGAAATCCTATCAATCAGTAACAATGCAGTATCCCCCTCCTGTCTGGAGGACCTAAGCCACCTTGACACAAAAAACCAGCAGTAATTTTCAACCCAGGTGCAAAAACTTCAAGTAAGGGGTTTCTGAACACAGCATTCCACCTCTATCTCAACTTTGTAGTTTCTGAGGAAACAAGACCCTGGATCCACTTCAAAGTCCCATCCTATGCCTACCCTTTCACACAGCCCTGCTTTGCTTTGAGCCTATGAAAACTACACTCCACTCGTCCCCCAAAATCAATGATAACTCTAATTTTCCTCTTGTTTGGTGAGCACCCTCCTCCCACCACCCTGCCACCAGTTTCTCTGTTGTGTGTTCTCCCTCATTGTAACAAGTCAACAGACTTGGCTTAGGTAGACTAAGTAGTGGTCTTGGGCTAATTGGGATAGGTTGAGTTTTTACTTAGAATTAACATAACTCATTTCAGCATTCCTACGTTGTCGGAGGTGGTTTTGTTTTGTTTTTAAGACAGGGTCTCTGTTGCCCAGGCTGGAGTGCAGTGGTGTGATCATAACTCACTGCAGACTGCAGCCTCAATCTCCCAGGCTCATGCGATCCTCCCACCTCAGCCTCCCAAGTAGCTCAGACTACAGGCGCGCACCACCACGCCCAGCTAATTTTTATATTTTTTGTAGAGACAGGGTTTTGCCATGTTGTCAGGCTGGTCTCCAACTCCCAACAAACTTGCCCGCCTCGGGCTCCCAGATGCTGGAATTACAAGCATGGGCCACTACACCCCGGCTCTTGGTTGTTTCTAATCTTTTAAATTACTATCAATGTTGCATCAACATCTTACTTATTTGATATTAGTAGTGTAGTATAGTGACTAAAGGAAGACTCTGGAGTTGAAATCTGGTTTGGCACCGACTGTGTGACTATGAGAAAGTTTCTTAACCTCTCTGTGATTCCTCCATCTCCCAATCTGTAAATGGACATACTTATACTACCTACTTGACAGGGTTTTGTGAGGATAAAATGAGTTAATACATGTAAAGTGTTTAAAACATTCTTGGCACCAAGAAAAAGTATGTAAGTGTTAGAAAAAAATATGCATATATAGGCCGGGCGTGGTGGCTCACGCCTGTAATCCTAGCACTTTGCGAGGCCTAGGCGGGTGGATTGCCTGAGCTCAGGAGTTCGAGACCAGCCTGGGCAACACAGTGAAACCTTGTCTCTACTAAAATCCAAAAAATTAGCCGGGCATGACAGTGTGCACTTGTAACACCCCAGCGTTGGCAACAGATACCTTCTTCTCCCTTGGCTGCTTCAGGGTAGAGAAGAAACACGCTTGCCCCTTTCTGACTCTGTCATAACTCTTGCAGAATGTATCACAGTATTTTACATCTTTCTTTCTTTTTGAGGCAGAGTCTCGTACTGTCACCCAGGCTGGAGTGCAGTGGCGCGACCTGGGCTCACTTGAAGCTCCGCCTCCCAGGTTAATGCCATTCTCCTGCCTCAGCCTCCCGAGTAGCTGGGACTACAGGCGCCCGCCACCACGCCCGGCTAATTTTTTTTAAAAAAATATTTTCAGTGGAGACGGGGTTTCACCGTGTTAGCCAGGATCGTCTCTATCTTCTGACCTCGTGATCTCCCGGCCTAGGCCTCCCAAAGAGCTGGGATTACAGGCGTGAGCCACCGCGCCCGGCCTATTTTACATCTCTTTACATCTTAGTACTTCTTCGTCTTGGCTGTTTGTTCCTTACTGGCAGTGATTTTTTTTGGGGGGGTGGGGTGCGGGGGACGGATTCTCCCTCTGTGGTCCAGGCTGGAGTGCAGTGGAGCGATGTCAGCTCACTGCAACCTCTGCCTCCCGGGTTCAAATGATCTTGTCTCAGCCTCTGGAGTAGCTGGGATTATAGGCGTGGTCCACCTCCCCCACCCCTGTTTAACATATAATCAAGAAATAACCATAAAAATGGGCAACCAGCAGCCCTCAGGGCTGTTCTCTCTATGGAGTAGTCATTCTTTTATTCCTCTACTTTCCTAGTAAACTTGTTTTCACTTTATGGACTGGCCCTGAATTCCTTCTTGCCGGATATCCAAGAACCCTCTCTAGGGGTCTGGATCGGGACCCCTTTCCTGTAACACATATTCCAGTGGAATACGTTACATAATAAAGGCAGAAATTGTAAAAAATTTGAGCTTACAGTACAGGTAGTAAGTATCAGGGACCAGTAGAAAGGAGAAGGGTGCCAAGTTTTATCAAATGAGCAAGATATTTAAGGAATGAGTTTATCTCATAATGGGGTAAGGAAAAAAGCTGAGACTCTCATGGCTTCTTCAACTTGGTCCAGGGCTGCAGACCATTCAAGAGAAATTCAAATCAGGCATAGGGCTTCATCAACCCACAAACCAATTCAGCCGGTCTCAGCTTATGATACTTATAACCCTGAGGATACTTGAAGCCAAAAAATGAAACATAAATTATCTTATTGGAACATCTATGTTAACTTAGTCCGTTACTTTTGTATTAAAAGTAAACACATGTACATACAAAACATTATGTGCCTAATAATTCATTTATTAATATTTTCTTTTGCCTGCTTATTTCTTGTTAGGTAAATTTTAATCTTCTCTTGTCTATTCCCCCGTGCTACCTAATGAAATTTCTGTTCTCAGTATTCAAGCTGCACAGCCTTATAATTTCTGCTGAAGGACACTTCAAAAATTTTAGGAGGAATATTCCGTCTTTGTTACAACTGAAGAAAAGCAGAGCTTCTTTTGCACCATAAAGCTGCTTCTGATATAGTGGTGGATTGAGACCTTTCACAGAAATGTCACTCTAGTGTCCAATGTGGGGACTAGGTGAAATTGAACTAACAATTGATCTGAATTCTGTTATTAAAGATGACTTTTAAGGCAACTATACATCTGATTGTTTTATTCTGAGAAATGATACCTATAGCCATTAAAGTCTGATTGAATGCCATTTTCTTATTTAAATGAACACATCCTACATTATGGTCAAGACTGCATACATCATAGAGAAAGTATATTGCAAAGAAAAGTGATGCTTGGGTGGGCTGCTTTGGGCTATCATCCAGATTCCATGGGGTAGTTTTCCCTTCTAATGGGAATAGTTGGGTGTAGATGTTTGAGAAATACTAGATGATGTGATTGCATGATGGGAAAACGCTTTTGTGCTTTAAACTGTGTTGGCTGGGTGTGTGGGGCTCATGCCTGTAACCCAAGCACTTTGGGAGGCCGAGGAGGGTGGATCACCTGAGGTCAGGAGTTCGAGACCAGCCTGACCAATATGGTGAAAACCTGTCTCTACTAAAAATACAAATAAATAAATAAATTAGCTGGGGGTGGTGGCTTGCGCCTATAGTCCCAGCTGCTCAGGAGGCTGAGACAGGAGAATTGCTTGAACACAGGAGGCGGAGGCTGCAGTGAGCAGAGATCCTACCACTGCACTCCAGCCTGGGTGACAGAGTGAGACTCCATCTCAAATGAAAAAAAAAAAAGGTATCCTCTAAGCCTAATGAAATAGAAAGTTTCATCATTACCGTTTCATTCTTTTGCTTTAGAATATTACACAGGCTTTGTTACTTACCCAGGACAAGCCATAATTTCTCTGAGACTCAGTTTTCTTATCTGTAAAGTGAGAAGAGTAAGATCTATTTCACAGAGTAGGGATTAAATGATAAAGTGTATGTAGAAGAACTTTAAACACTGAGTAGTGCCTGCTGTCTGTAAGGCATTATTACAAAACTACCACAGAGAGGGATAACATTTGTTCACATCAGTTACACTTTTGTACATTTTAGATCTCTCGAGAGGAGGATGCTTCTGCCCATGAGAGACTCTTGAAGATATTAATTAAGCTCACAGATTTCTACTTTGTGTTTAGTGTTCAGGAAGTCCCCTTGAAATCACTTTTACTTTACTTTGACTTCAGTAGGAAGATAGTTCATAATGACACCATCAAAGTAAGTTTTAAGCGTTTCGGGCCTGCTTTTCTCAGGTTTGAGTTTTTATAGTTTGTAATGATTTTTTTAGTAAAATAAGCATATGATTAAAAGTTTTATATTAACTACTACAACTTTTAAGTATCAGTTGCTTCTACATAACCACTATATTTACTGTTCTGAACAATACATACTTCAAAGCACATGAAATTGAAAAAGCAAAGCATCTTTACTCTCTTCATAGAGAACAGAAAAAAATATTAAACTTTTAAGCATTATAAAATACTTTATTGAATAAAATGTTAGCAAGTCAGCAATTGATGAATAATTTGCTTTGAAACTTTAACTTGTAATCTGGCTAATTAGCACTAATTTACAAACTATTCTACATTGTAAAGGAGAAATGAATTTCTGGTGTTGTCCTTCTTTGATTTAGAAGCTTAACATCTGCAGGACCTAATTGGCCATTGATGTGAGGGTGAGGAAGAAGGAACCACATCGCAGGGAGAAAAGACTAAAGGAAGGCAGAGGCTCTAATATCAGGTCAATATAGGTCAGCACACTACCCACATGAAATGGCTTTGGCTGGGTTCCAAGGTCAAGTAAATAAGATCAATTTTTTCATTCCTTCAATTACATATTTTTTTGCTAAGCTTCGGTCATTCATGGTATACAATGCATCTAACTTGCTGAGCAAAATGCTAGACATGAAATAAATGTTAGCTATGGTAGAAGAGCTTCAGTAACAGGTAACCTGAAACAGGCTGATAGCTCATAGAAGGGCATGCTTGAATTCGGGGAAAAAAAAAAATCTCTGTTAAAATGGGATGCAAAACACTTTATACATTGCTTTTACAAAAGTTAGACTAATTTAAAGGAAAGTCTTCAAAAGCAATCCGTGATCGATAAAATTACAGAAAAAAATCAGGAAAGGGGGAAATAATAAGGGAAGAAAGATTAGCAGAACAATCTTCCGCCCCAGTAAAGAGGACTGAATTTTAACCAATGAGATCACAAGTTTGAAAATTTCCTTTTCAGGCCCAATCAAGAGGAGGCTATGTCTATAAATACGACTGCCTAGACCCTCTCGTATCAATGAGACAGCATGGCCCGTACTAAGCAGACTGCCCGCAAGTCGACCGGCGGCAAGGCCCCGAGGAAGCAGCTGGCTACCAAAGCGGCCCGCAAGAGCGCGCCGGCCACGGGCGGGGTGAAGAAGCCGCACCGCTACCGGCCCGGCACCGTGGCTCTGCGGGAGATCCGGCGCTATCAGAAGTCTACGGAGCTGCTGATCCGCAAGCTGCCCTTCCAGCGGCTGGTACGCGAGATCGCGCAGGAGTTTAAGACGGACCTGCGCTTCCAGAGCTCGGCCGTGATGGCGCTGCAGGAGGCCAGAGAGGCCTACCTGGTGGGGCTGTTCGAAGACACGAACCTGTGCGCCATCCATGCCAAGCGCGTGACCATCATGCCCAAGGACATCCAGTTGGTCAGCCGCATCCGCGGGGAGCGGGCCTAAGGTATATTTTTAAGTGGTCGATCTAAAGGCTCTTTTCAGAGCCACTGCCGTTTTCATCAAGAGCAGCTGTACCGGCTCTCCATCTGATGTGCGTCTGCCTTGCGCAGCGGTCAGGGGCCAGGGGCACTCGTGGTGGGTGACGTTACAGAACCCAAAGCCCAGCCGTGAGTTGGCCGGCAGTAGAGAAAGCCGCAGAGGCATGGTCCTTGTGGTTCCGGCCGAGCCTTTTCACGCTGGTTTAAGGCTAGAGGTCCGGCTCCCAATTCTGTGGGTAAAGTTTTGCATGGGGGCAAGAGACTATGGGGAGTTTCTAGATGTGGAAGATCCTGAGTGTAAGGGTGGGGCGAGTCCCTTAAAAATTATAAACTCGTTTCCTGGTTTATTTAGGAACTATAAGCTTAATTAAAGCTCAGCATCTTCCTCATTGCATACTACAGGCGGTGTCCAAGCCAGAATAGTAATTTAAGCGGGCGGGAGTAAATATCTGGCGATTTTTAAAAATGTGTGGGTGAGGTAGTATTTCAAGGAAGAGAAAAAAATTTCCACAAAGTATAGAATAAAAATGCAAAAACGAGGCAAGAGAGTTAACTTGTCTAGCTGGCGTTAAGATTTCTTCCGTATGCAAGTCTAATGGAAAGTGAAAACCAAGAAAAAAACCTCAAGCCGTTGAAACTATCGCTTCACCTAGCTTAAAACTGGTTAGTGTGAAATGGACCATTCTGATTGGATAACAAGACTTTTGTTACAGTGACCATTAAGGAAGCAAGACTAGAATCTATTATTTACATAGACTCCACCCCCTCTGACGACACCGTTGTAAGTTAACCAATTAAAGCGCAGCACTTTGCGAGTCTTCATTTGCATACAGGCTCTATAAGTAGCGCATAACCAGCCCGTTTTGCGGTAGTTCGGATTACTTCTTTAAGTCTCTGTTCTCTTTTTTCGCGCAAAAATGCCGGATCCAGCGAAATCCGCTCCTGCTCCCAAGAAGGGCTCCAAAAAGGCTGTTACGAAAGTGCAGAAGAAGGACGGCGAGAAGCGCAAGCGCAGCCGCAAGGAGAGCTACTCCGTTTACGTGTAGGAGGTGCTGAAGCAGGTCCACCCCGACACCGGCATCTCGTCCAAGACCATGGGCATCATGAACTCCTTCGTCAACGACATCTTCGAGCGCATCGCGGGAGAGGCGTCCCGCCTGGCGCACTACAACAAGCGCTCCACCATCACGTCCCGCGAGATCCAGACGGCCGTGCGCCTGCTGCTGCCCGGCGAGCTGGCCAAGCACGCCGTGTCCGAGGGCACCAAGGCGGTCACCAAGTACACCAGCTCGAAGTAAGAGTGTGCAAGGGACGCAATAGATCAACCACCTAACCCCAAAGGCTCTTTTCAGAGCCACTTCAGTAATCGAGAAAGCAGCTGTAAACACTTGTCAGAGCGTTTGATAGCTTTTGGTCAGGTAGGGAGTGTTACCATGGTCACGGATGCATTCGGGTTTAGGACTAAGGAGTTTCCTGTAGTCCTGTAATGAGTTGGCCCTCAGTCATCCCCGTCTAGTCTTACTGAGTTGCTTGTTATCTGTGCTACGAGATTAGAAAGGTTTGACTCGTTCTGGGATATTTGGGAGGGATGGAGGGAAGGAGGCGGGGGGTGGTTCTACACCCCTTCAGCCTTTAACCTGTATCTTTAAAGTCGTTTTCCTTTTTGTTTCTGAAAGTAATGAACGAGATGAGATTTCCCATACAGATGAGAAACCCTCGGTCCAACCTCTTACTATTTCTTAGTGTTTTAATCTGTTTTCCTTACCATATACCTACAGGCGTCTGTCACAAACTTTGTCTAATATAGCCATGTGCTTTCGTCCCTTAGCCTTTTTGCAAGTCCTGACTTAGCCATCCTCCCCTAACTTCCATTCCAGTGACTTCAAACAGGGAGATATATTGCCACCACCCCACCCCCTGTGGAGTATTTGGCAATATCTGTAGATGTTTTGGGTTGTCAGGTGTGTGTGTGTTGGGGGGGAGGTGCTAGAAGTATCCAATGGGCAGAGGCCAGGAGTGCTAAGCATAAGGCACAGGACAGTCCTCTGGGGGGACAAAGAGCTACCTGGCCTGTAATGTCTATCTTTGGTGATTGAGAGACCCCAGCGCCCAAAGACATCCCTAACCTTCAGGATTTAATCCTCTTCAGTCAAACTTTTCCTTAACCCTATCAGCCCATGTTTTTCTTGGTGAAAGCTGAGCACTTCATAGGCTGTTTACAGGTCCTTCTCCACAGGAAAATACTTCCTCCAGGACAAGAACCCTGTCTTGGTTCCAAACTTTCCCAATTATAAGAGTCACCTTTGCGCTTGTTTTTTTTTTTTTTTTTGAGACGGAGTCTCGCTCTGTCGCCCAGGCCGGAGTGCACTGGCGGGATCTCGGCTCACTGCAAGCTCCGCCTCCCGGGTTCACGCCATTCTCCTGCCTCAGCCTCCCAAGTAGCTGGGACTACAGGCGTCCGCCACTACGCCCGGCTAATTTTTTGTATTTTTAGTAGAGACGGGGTTTCACCGTTTTAGCCGGGATGGTCTCGATCTCCTGACCTCGTGATCCGCCCGCCTCGGCCTCCCAAAGTGCTGGGATTACAGGCGTGAGCCACCGCGCCCGGCCTTGCGCTTGTTAAACCTGCTTCCAGGTGCTTCTCTTGAGGTTTCCTGATTCAGCGAGACTGGAGGTGGGACCTGACGAGGTGGTTGGTTTTTAGTGTTCTCAGGAGTGTGGATGTTTTAATAGGTGTTGGGTCCTCATGTTAATCGACCTGTGGGTGTGTCACAGTCTTTGTGTCACAGATGTTCTGAGAAAGGAAACAATTTGAGGATGAGTGGAGGGGAATTTGTGGTGTAGAGAAGGCCACAGTTAATATGTGGGGTGAATTTCTGAAGACCTCTCAGTTCAAAACTTGAATAACTCAAGACTCATCCTGACAAAAGCCAGTGGATGTTTCTTTTGCCAAATAAAATATACCCTTGGTGCAACTGGAAAATCTTAGCTTATAATTAACTTGACAGCCTTTGAAATTAAGCCATTCTTGATAAATCTTGGGGGAATTAACAACTTTGTGCTTAAAATGAATTTTACTAATTTTTATGATGTTGAAGTTCAAATTTACACCCAATTAAAAGATATAAAATGTGGTATACGTGATTATTTTTCCACTAGAAAATAAAGATTCCCAGTTTAGTCATCTTTTTCTGATCACCAGACAAGAGGTCAGGGAAAGATAACTGAGAATCCAAAATTTCCGTTGAAAGTAAAGAAATCATATATAGCACATTCTCTGGTAGGAAAGGTTACTCAGTAAGTGAGACGGCCGAGGTGGTCTATTTTCTATACAGTTGGGCCATAAGAGAATTTTTCCAATCTCCTCCTAGCTTAGGGTCCTGAAGTCAGGAGTTCCTTTTTTCTTAAGGATTAGGGACCATGTTTTTCAGGGCCTTTTGAAGTTGTTAAAGCATTGTCAACTGGCTCAACTACACAAATGCCATCATTTATTACCCACTGACCAAAAGATTAACTTCCAAATCCTCATCCTGACACTAAAGGCCACCTATTATCTAGCCAAAACTTACCTTCTTCACTTGTTCTCCCCAGTCCTCCAGCTTAGCCTAAATGTTCTACTGTCATGTAAAGCATCTTAACTTTGTCTTCTGTGCTTTTGTTACATTGTTCTGAGTTTTAGTACTCAGTCCTCTGGACTACTTGAAGCTTTTTATCAGTCTGTCAGTTCTTTTAAACTCTTGCTCAAATCTCACTCTGAGAAGCTTTTTCATCTCATTGTAGTTCACAGGGAAGTCTTTCTCTTAAGTCCTCATTCCTTGCATAACGAATAATTGTGTAGCTTTGTAAACTGTAGGCTTATTCCTCAATTTCTTTTTCTTGTTTTTACATTTTCTTGTCTGTCTTCTGCTAGAGACATATGCTTCTCGGTATTTATTCCACAAAGGCTATCCCAATGCCTACTATAAAATAGCTTCTCAATGAAAGTTTGTTGACTGGTTGCCAGTCAACAGAACACTAGAAAATTGATCTGAGAGTGGTGGGTTCTAGTAAATACTCTAGTAAATATTTTTCTCTACTTTTTTTCTAACTTTTTTTCTTACTCCTTTACTATGGATACTCTTTTTAATTATTGCCCTTCATAATTATTGGCCCAGTTGAAACAACTGTTATAGATTCAAAAATCCTCAGAGTGGTAAAGTACTACACTTGGCATCTTCCCTTGAGCCGATGTATCTATGTAGCTAAAATGATGAGATTAGAGTGGAGCTTTCTCACCCTGGTTTGAGGTGCTGCAGAAATGGTCTGCTTTTCTAGTGCCTTGAAAAAGGATGAGAAGAGAGGTGCATTCCAGAAGACAAAAGGTGTGTAGTATCAGGATAAGGGGCTTTAAATATCAGATCCAGAGAACACTGCACATGTAGAAATGGGCTTGGCCTGGGTCAGGGCATTGAGATTGGTTACATAATCTTTTCAAGGATTGGTGAATGAGTTGGAGTATGTGTAGAAACCTACAAAGATGACAGTTTAATCTCATGTCATAATTTTTAGACAAATAATGTATTTTAAAACTGGGTGCAGTTCCTAAAGCTGTTCTAAAAGTCAATGCAACTGAATTTGGAATGTAAGCATAGGACAACAGATGGGAAATAAGTACATGACCTCTGTGGGATAAAGTGAGAGTTATCAAAGAATGTCAGTGTTTATAACAAGGAACAAGCTTGTTTTGGAGAATTACTAGATATTATGGAAAATTTTTTTCTTTTCTACATTTGGTTAACTATAGCTGAACTATAGCAGATCATATGACTTGGCAAAAATAGAAAACTTGATAAAAATCTTCTAGGCCCCACAATGTCAACATGAACAAACTTCTGAAAAGTAAAAGTAGACCGTGTTTTCTCAGTATGTGTTATCAAATATATGTTGAACATATAATTTTTGCCCCTCAGCCAGGTTGTAATATTTTCCTTTAGTTTATCTCTTTAATAATTGTTTATGTTAATCCATTTTATTTTGAAAAAATAATGAGCTAGAGGATACAAAGATGTAAATGAATCTAAAAGAGAGAATTAAACTGGCATAAAGATAAATATAATTCAAGCAAGATACGTTATTCCCAAAAGAAGAGAAAGAAGGAAATGTTATGTGAATGGAGAGTGAAAGGTTGCCTCTGGTTGGAGAGTTCAGGAAAATTCTGTGAGAACTGACATGGTGCCAGCTACTGTGCTAAGTGATGGAGAAACAAAGGTATCCATTCCTCAAGTCCATAAGGTTCAACTGGAGTTTTCTGTGTGACGAGTATATCATGTATCCTCTGAAATTATTTTTTAAGTTTTAGTTTTACCCAATTTTTACTGTAACCTCTTTCGACTTTTTAATTGTCTGATTTGGGTAGATGGAATTCTCATTCCATTTTTATTCTGTGATTAGAGGTTATTAATTCCTCACCCCTCATCCAGGTTGTAACATTTCCATTTACTTTAAAATATTGCTTAAGAAAATTTGTATTTTACTTCAATTGAGATTTTATTTTTTAATATTATTATATTGAACAGCTTTGGCTATCCCACCCTCCTACCTGCAGAGTGCAAAACAATTTATGCACATCACACTCAGTTTACAGCATCAGAACACTCTTGGAGCATTGTTCACCATGGTCCTAGCTTGATGTTCTTGGGGTGTGATTATTCTTTCTTTTCTCTCTTTCTCTCTCTCTCTTTCTTTCTTTTTCTTTCTTTCGAGATGGAGTCTTGCTCTGTCACCTAGGCTGGAGTGCAGTGGCACAATCTCGGCTCACTGCATCCTTTGCCTCTCGGGTTCAAGCGATTCTCCTGCCTCAGCCCCCCGAGTAGCTGGGATTACAGATGCCAGCCATCATGCCCAGCTAATTTTGTATTTTTGTAGAAATGGGGTTACACCATGTTGGCCAGGCTGGTCTCGAACTCCCAACCTCAGGTGATCTGCCTGCCTCGGCCTCCCAAAGTGCTGGGATTACAGGTGTGAAACACCACACCCGCCCCCCCACCCCCCGCCATGCCTTTTTCTTTTCCCAGACAGGGTCTTGCTCTGTCACCCAGTCTGGAGTGCAGTGGCATGATTACAGTTCATTGCAGCCTTGACCTCCCAGGCTCAAGTGATCATCCCACCTCAGCCTCCTGAGTAGCTGGGACTACAGGTGCATGCCACATGCTTGGCTAATTTTTAGAGTTTTTTTTTTTGTAGAGATGGGGTCTCACTATGTTGCTCAGGTTGGTCTTGAACTCCTGGATTCAATTGATCCACCTGCCTTGGCTTCCCAAAGTGCTGGGATTATAGACTGGTGTGACTGTTAGAGTGGTGAGTGAATAAGCTTTTTCTTATTTTCCAAATGCAATTTATCAGAAAATCCTCTTGGCTCAAAATATGTCCAGCATCCAACCACATCTCACCACCTCCACCACTGTTTCCCTGCTCCAAGCTTCCACCTCTCTTGGATATTTGCAATGGCATTTTAAATGGCCTCCTTGATTCTGCTCTCTCCCTCCTATATTTCCCACAAAGCAGCTAGAGTACACTTTTTGAAACATAAGTCAGATCATATCATTCCCATACTCCTCCTCAACAGAAAACCCTCCAATGGCTTCAGCATCAAGGCCCACATTCACTTCTCTGACCCTCTCTCTTACCTGTTTTGCTCCATTTCATCATAATTTTCTCCTTGTACTTCCTTGAATACATCAAGGCCCTTCTATCTCAGGATGTTTTCACTTGCTATTTCCTTTTCTCAAAGGCTCATCCCTAGATATTTGCATGACTGGCTTCCTAATTTCTTGTAAGCTTTTGCTCAGAAGTTACTTTACCAACTGTCATTGAGGTCTTCCCTGAACATCTTAGGTAAGATAACAAGCTCCCCTCCTTTCCTTTCCTCACTTCTTGGTATTCCTTATCTCGTAACTTTTTTTTTGGGGGGGGGACGGAGTCTCGCGTCTCGCTCTGTTGTCCAGGCTGGAGTGCAGTGGTGCAATCTCGGCTCACTGCAACCTCCACCTCCCGGGTTCAAGCGATTCTCCTGCCTCAGCCTCCCGAGTAGCTGGGACTACAGGCAAGTGCCACCACACCCAGCTAATTTTTTGTATTTTTAGTAGAGATGGGGTTTCACTGTGTTAGGATGGTCTCGATCTCCTGACCTTGTGATCCACCCACCTCGGCCTCCCAAAGTGCTGGGATTATAGGTGTGAGCCAGTGCGCCCGGCCTCTCATAATTTTCTTAATTTTTCTCCATATACCATCTGAATACTAATGTATTTATTTATTTGTTTATTTCTGAATGAGACTGATATCCATAAAAATGATCTTTCCTTGTATACTCTAACTCCCTGCTTTCTGGGCGCTTGGCTTCTCAATTAAAGGCTAATTTACCAGCTTCTCTTGCATCTGGGTTTGTCCAAAGTTTGGGGCCAATGAGATGTGAATGGAAGTTGCATGTATTATTTCTAGTTTGTGCCCTAAAAAAGAATATGTATGTGTTACCCTTGCCCTCTTACCCTCTCCACTGGCTGGGGTGCAGATGTGATGGCAGGAATTGGGGCAACTACTTTGGACCCAGAGGCAGAAGCCCTGTGATGAGGATGGCAGAACTGCTCTGTTAGCCCTGGACTGTTACATGAAAGATAAATAAACTTGTATCTTATTCAAGCCACTGTTTTTAAAGACTTATTTGTTGTATTACTCAGATATAGTCTAAGTTATTATATCATTTGTCTCCCCTCCTACCTCCTCAGAATAAGTCCTATGAAGGTAGGTGCTTTGTTTCATACACTGCTCTATCCTTATTATGTAGAACTATATCTGGAATACATTAGGCACTCAATATCTATGGGATGAATGATGGATTCGAGAAACAGAAGTAATTGAGTACATGGGAAATGCGATTGTGTTTATGACAGGTGGAGCTCCAAGAGTTGAATTTAACAAGAAATGATTGAGTTTGAAATCTTTTGCCCTCTAAATTAGGGACAGCACAACACAGAATGAGGATTTGGGTGAAGTTGCAACCACCGAGTTCCACATACCAGTTTAGAAGCCTCAGAGTATAAGTCATTGGGTATTTAAGGACCTTACCTAAGCTAACTCAGAAGCATTATGAAGGGCAGTATTGACATTAACTGCCAGGAATCTCCTAAAAGAGTCAAGGGATTATACATGAGTCATAGAAGGATACTTGAAGATGGACAATTATAGTCCCATCACTTTATGGAAGACTATGAGACCCAAATAAGAGAAATCCCAGTGGTCCACGAACTTAGCTCTGGTAAGTCCCCGATAATTATTTAAATTATTTCAGGTTCAATATCACTGATTGCTGTCACCATTTTCAAGGCTAATATCTAATCTGCTTTGGTTCTGCTAAGATCTCCCTGTTTTTTTGTCGTTGTTTTTTTCCTCTAGAAAAAACAGAAAAGAGAACTATCTCCAGATGAATACAGAAGAGGTGGTAAAAAGAATACACATAACGTGGCTCTCACATGATCACATATCATGCTGAAGGCTCTCAGAGGCAACTGAGGTTGGAGATCATTTTTAGGGTCTTAAGTTCAGAGCTGTATCTGTAATATCAACAACAGATATTCTGGCTCTTACCACCTTGCCCATTTCTCCTCTTAGCACTGTAAGAGTAGTTCTTGCTGAGAAGGCACTAGCCTGTAGTGGCGATGAACATCAGCTTTGAGTATAGCTTCCCCACGTAAGGACTGTATGACCTTGGAAAACTTTCTTTACTTGTTGTGATAAATAAACTTCCTTACAGCAAATTGATCCTCAAGTTATTCCCCTGTAAGGTGGAAAAAATAATGGAAACTACCTTCTAGGCTTGATATGAAGATTAAATGAGGTAATGTACCCAAAGCACTTAGTACAGTGGCTGGAACATGGTAAATATTTGATCAGTGTTGTTCTTATTATTGTTATGGTTAGGAAGGCGCTAGCAAGAGCACCATTGTACTTCCAGAGCACATTCCATTTTCCAGCAAGTGGTGCTTTAATAGATTTCTAGTGACTTGAGAGTGACTTCCCTAAGCACCTTGCATTAAGGAAATAGGACCTTCTGTATTCTAAAAACACCATCCAATAAGGGATTTTCACAATTTACTTGTAGGACCTTTGTTACGTAGAACCTTCAGTGTCTGCTATGTGGCCCATTAGGAAAATAATAAATTAGGAAACAAAAGACTTTATAGTGTCTGTTACTAGTGCTCTATAAAGGCCGATATAACATTTGGCAAGTACCTTCTTTTTCTATCAGATGATGCTTTTAATACTTCATGTCAATACTTTCAGAAAAAAGTGAAATCATTTCATTAAACACTTCTTTCCTATTTCTGATTTTTGAGTTGAAAGCTCTTAATTTTGAGGATTTAACATAAGAACAAGTCAAGGGAATAGAAATTATCTAGAAAACTATTAGCTAGCATAGAGAAAAACAAGACTTACAGCCAAAAGAAGAATGTGCAAATAATTTGGGAAATGTTTAAATAGAAAT
The DNA here is from genome assembly GCF_000001405.40 of Homo sapiens. Lineage (NCBI taxonomy): Eukaryota > Metazoa > Chordata > Mammalia > Primates > Hominidae > Homo > Homo sapiens. Next base: position 143,896,003 of record NC_000001.11, on the reverse strand, counting down.
TTAAAAATGGGGCTGGTGGAGTCATGTTGATGATTTCGGAGTTAATCATTTCTGCGTATTAAATTGTTTCCAGCATTTTCTAGCTGAAGTTACTGTTGTTGTCAACTACTCAGCATCCAAAATTTTCACAAGAAAACAAGGTTTTTTCTCTTCAAATTACAGTCCAAAGAGTGGCAAACAAGAAAGATGACAGAGTCGGAAGACCTTAAGATTTCTTTTCTTTGGTCAAGAACTCATTACACAATGGATGATACATCTTAGGTGGCCCTACTAAAAAGAGACACAAGAATCTAGAGACTATCTCACTGTCAACCAATCCAAGGAACTTTGCTTTAGATGGCCAAAGCCAGAAACAGCAAAGTAGAAGAACTACTAGAGCTTTAAGCAGTTCCTTAGTATTTTTCCTTGGCTTATCCAAGCCTGAATACTGGTCCACTTTCCCAAAGTTGGTAAAGAGGTAATACAGCTTGGGATTGATTGGATATTGAGACAGAAAGAGAGGGGGAGAGAGAGATATCTAGGTACTGGAGCAGCACTAGGCACTCAGAAGAAGGAACACTTGGAGCAAAAAATGAAGGATATAGATTAGTGAAGTGAAGTCAGGAGCAAATGATCTCAGTTGCTTTACATGATCAAAGGACAATAACTGCAAATTGCCAGAGGGTAGGTGAAGCTCCATATCACTTTTTAATATTAGTGTTTTAAACACCTAGGAATAGAATATACCTAAAGATAATAGCTTGATTTCCCCACACCCACCTTTGCAATGTTTTGATTTTGCACAAGTCTTGGTTTCTAGTTTGTGGGATTATCATTTTTCATTGCATTGAAGGAAAATTCTTTAGGCCAGGAGGGAGTCTAAGACTTCAGACACAGCACAGATACGATCCTGGGCAAGGGTCATTCAGTGTTCTTAAGAAAATTCTAAATCCTAAGGTGTGATGGTTAATATTAGGTGTCAACTTGATAGGATTAAAGGATGCCTAGATAGCTAAGTATTGTTTCTGGGTGTGTCTGTGAGGGTGTTGCCAGAGGAGATTAACATTTGAGTCAGTGGACTAGGAGAGGAAGACTCACCCTCAATGGGGGTTGACACCATCCAGTCGGCTGCCAGGGTAGCTACAACAAAACAGGAGAGAGAAGGTGGGCGGGCTAAGCTGGCTTGCAGAGTTCTGGCTTTCATCCCTCTCCTGTGCTGGATGCCTCCATCCATTCCTCCTGCCTTTGGACATCAGACTCCAGGTTCTTTGGCCTTTGGACTCTTGGACTTAACACCAGTGGCTTGCCTGGGGCTTTTGGGCCTTAGGCCACAGACTGAAGGCTGCACTATGGGCTTTCCTACTCTTGAGGCTTTTGGACTCAGACTGAACCACTACTGGCTTCTTTCTTCCTCAGCTTGCAGACGGCCCACTGTAGGACTTTGCCTTGTAATCATGTGAGCCAATTCTCCTTAATAAACTCCTTTTAATATATCTATATCTAATCTATTATCATCTATCTATATCTATAGATATATGTCTCCCCTATTAGTTTTGTCCCTCTGGAGAACTCTGACTAATACAAAGGGTTAAGTCTTAAACTACTTATAATTTCTCTCTGGAACTGTATTTCATCTAGTTTGGAATGTTTACTTACTTAAGACCCATATTATATGTAGAATAATGAGCAGGAGAAAGGTATGCTGATTAACTTGTATATATATTAGCCATAGAATTAGTTCCAGCAAAGGAACATACTTGCTTTTTTTGGTTTCTTCAATCTTCTCCCTGTTACATTATGAAAATTTGATGATTTTACTTATTTAAGTGTCTTTGTAGGAGATTTTTCGTGGATCTTTTTAAGTGTTGACCTCTGATTTTCATAATTTTTTTCACATTAGTATCAAGGTATTAGGTAATGGAAATTATTCTTAAATAACTCCCGCCTGCCCCCCTGAAACAGCAAGCATCTATAGAGAAGAAGACAGTTTTCAGATTAGCAGGAGAGTTAACCAAGTAAAACTTGAATTTTGATCCTTAGCCTGGAGAAAAAGGTAAGAAACTTTTTCATTTGTCTAAGAGAAGTTTATTTCATGATGTTTATGATTGTGGAGATGTGTTTGTGGGGGAAAGTGGCATATTAAATTTTTCTAGACTAGTATGTGCAAATAATTTATAGTGGGGAGGGGGGAATTTGAGTCTCAAAGATAAAAGCATAGTGAAACAGAACTGTGACTGTTCTTCCTGGCATGAGGAAATAACATATGAATTACAAGCATGCTTGAGTAATGTAGATTGAGTTGATGGGTAGAAATGTGGCCCCTTACAGCACAGAGATGACAAAGTAAATACATTTGGCCCTCCTGGCAGGGTAGAAGTATAATGTGTTCCCAAAATCACCCGGATATGCCATCGTATAGTGTATTAGTAAAGAGTTCAGGCTTCTGAGACGGACCACCTGGAGTGTAACTTGGCTCTGCTCTTTAGGATGTTTTTAATCTGTGTTTTCTCATCTTAAAACTGGGACTATAGTAATGCTTACTTCATAATGTTTTTATGAAGGATAATTGCTTAATGTTTCCACTAATAAACAATTCAATAAATACTAGTTGGTGATCGTAGGGAAGTCCTGTTAAGTGCTCTGCAAGTTTCCCGTCTCTAATGCACAGGTGAAAAATAGCTACTGATTCAAGATTGTGTCCTGAAGATATGTTGCTTTCTTCTCATATTCCACCCCAAATTCCTAGAAATGATAAAAAATTGACAAAGATGGCAGATGGGGTAACAGTGAAGAGTGCCAAGGAGGACTTCTGCAGAAGACAGGAGTGGACCAAAAAATGATCCACATGTTTTGGAACCAGGAGACAAAAGTTGGTCTTGGGGCAACTGATAGGATGACAGTTCAGGTACCCATGCTGGAGTGCAGTGGCACGATCTCAACTCACTGCAGCCCCAACCTCCTGGGCTCAAGCTCTCCTCCCACCTCAGCCTCCCCAGTAGTCAGGACCACAGGCAGGTACCACCACAACCAGCTAATTTTTGTATTTTTTGTAGAGATGGGGTTTCACCATTTTGCCCAGGCTAGTCTCAAACTCCTGGGCTCAAGGGATCCACCGACCTTGGCCTCCCAAAGTTCTGGGTTTACAGGTGTGAACCACCATGTCTGGCTGGTGACTGACATCTTTGACCCCAGCAGTGAGTGCGGTCATTTGGTTCAAGGAGGCAGGAAAATGTGCCAAGTAACTGGGCGCTCCCACATCTTGGAAATTTAAAATTTGATTATTGACATAAAAATTCAACAAGGGATAAATCCAGAACAGGATAGATAAAGCCAAGAGAAAATAAATAAGCTGAAAGATTGTGCTATTATGAAATATATATTTGGTCTTCAACCCCATTTCCTGACATACAACTCCTAAAATCCTTAGAAACACCAAAGTGTGATGTCGTTTTGTTTATTAATGAGTTGACTGATGTCTGGCAGCCCCTAGGTAGCTTCAGGATGGGGGCTGGTGACCAGAAAGAACAAGGGGAGGATTAGAGAGTTGGGACTTTCAGCCCACCTCCAACTTCCGGGGAGGGGAGAGGGGCTGAAGGTTAAGCCGATCACCAATGGCCAATGGTTTAATCAGTGATTCCTTTGCAATGGAGCCTCCATAACGACCCAAAAGGACAGGGCTTAGAGAGCTTCTGGATAGCTGAACATGTAGAGGTTCCTGAAGGGTGGCGCACCCAGTGGAGGTGCATGGAAGCTCCATGCTCCTTCCCCCATACTTTGCCTTATGCATCTTTTCATCTGTATTTTTTGTTATAAACCAGTAAACCCAAGTGTTTCTCTGAGTTTCATGAACTGCTCTAGCAAATTAATACAATGCAAAGGAGGAAGCCATGGGAACCCCAGCTTGGAAATGGTTGGTCAGAAGTTCTGGAGGCCCAGACTTGGAACTGTCATTTGAAGTGGGGGCAGTCTGGTAGACTCAGTCCTCAACCTGTGGGATCTCCTGATAAATAGTGTAAAAACTGAATTGGAGTACACTCAGCTGGTGTCCACTGCAGAACTGATTGCTTGCTTGCTGTGTGGAGAACCCCGCTCCGCCGTCAGTCTTCTGTGTTGATTGTTGTAGTGTGAAAGCACAGGAAACACATAGTTTGAGTTTCTCCCTCCTCATGATGATCAAGATAAGCCAGAAATTCCTCCACAAAGCCATATAAAAAGATGCATGCAGAGATGAAAGAAAAGTTAAATGATATGAAAAATAGATCCAGATGTTCCAAACTCATGTAACAGGATGAGGAGTTAGAGAGGAGGGGAGAATTGAGAACAAGTAAGAAATAAAATACAGATCTACCAAATAAGATTTGCTGATTGTGCACTGCACAATTTCAGGGGCTGTCATTTGAATAGTAAGATTTGCCAATGTGTAGTGTACAACCTACTATTGTGTAGTATGCAACCATAGTCATGAGAAAATAAAGGAATAAAAGGAGGATATTTCACAGGATCTAAATGCATACATACATCCTTAGATTGCAAGGTCCTATTAAATTCTGAGCATACAGGATGAGAAGGACCCTCACCTAGATTCACAGTGACAAAATTTGGGAACAAGGAGAAATTTCTAAACATATTCAGGGAAAATGCTTATGAAGAAATGGAAGTCAAATTTACATCCAACTCATTTGGGCTCCACTGGATATAAGAAGACACGAAGCATTATTTTTTAAAATCTAGGGAAAATAATTTTGAATTCAATTAAACTATCATTTAAGTGTGGGTGACTTTTCAGAATTCTATTCCAGCAATAATTTTAAAAAGATCATAAGGGAAGATGTGAGATAATGGAAGCAAAGGTGGTCATGTATTTGGTAAAAGATATTGCTAAACAAAGTGAATTTAGATTCTAGAAAATTAAAAAGAAAACCTGGAATTCAAATTCCAGGTGATGTAGAAGGGTGGTAGGGAAAGCAAGAGTGAAGAGAAGTAAAACAAGCTAAGTAAGATTTATGTTATAAATAAATAGGATATAGATATTATTACTGTAGAAGTTAGAAAAATGTGGGCTTACATGGTGGGTCACACATGTAATCCTGGCACTTTGGGAAGCTGAGGCAGGAGGATCACTTGAAGCCAAGAGTTCGAGATCAGCCTGGGCAACAAAGCAAGACCCTTGTCTCTACAAAAAGTAAAAATATTAGCCAGGCATGGTTACATGCACCTGTAGTCCCAGTTACTTAGGAGGCTGAAGCAGGAGGATTGCTTGAGCCTGGGAGGTCGAGGCTGCAGTGAGCTATGATTGCACCTTTGCACTCTGGCCTGGTGACAGAGCAAGTTCCTCTTTTTTTTTTTTTTTTAAGTCGGTTTAAAAATACATTTATATATGGCACTAGAAGGGTATATCATATTCATAAAGGTAGTGCTCCATTAAGGAATGACCATGAATTGTTTGCATTTAACAAGGATACATACACATATGTGCATATAAGTCAACAATCACAGTGATAAGTTTAATATACCTTTCTTAGGAATTGACAGATCTAGTTGACTGAAACTTATTGAGGATATGGAGAATTTGAAGAACACGGTTAATAAGATTAATCATAACTATAATTATGCCTATACCATCTTATATTCAAAATAGGAAAGTTACATTATTTTCAAATTCACATAGAATATTGACAAAAATTGGCCATAAGTGAGATGGCAAATTAAGCCTCAACAAGTGCTGAAAAGCTGAAACCATATAGGACCAGGGCATAGTTAACTGATTATAAAACAATAAAATAATCAAACATGCCCTCCTTAAGTTGTACTCTTAGGAAAAAGCACATGGGTTAAAGGGGATATCAGAATAAAAATTATACGCTCTTTAGAAATAACAAGAGCACTATAATTCAGCCATACCCTGAGACTTCACAAGCTTTGGTCCCAGTAAGCTAGAATTCAAATCTTAGCCCTATATTTAAATAACTCCTTGAATTGCCATTTCTTATCCCAATTATCTGTCATTCCACTGTGAAATATATTTCATGGCAAATAATATTAAAACCTACATGAAGCAGTCAGGAGAAAATTTGTAGCTTTAAAATGCATTTAAGAGAAAATAATTGGTAGGCAGATCGCCTTGGCCTCCCAATTATTGCCTCTGGAATTGGAGACCAGCCTGGACAATATGGCAGGACCCTGTGTCTCCAACAAATACAAAAATTAGCTGGATGTCGTGGTGCACGCCTATAGTTCCAGCTGCTAGGGAGGCCGAGGCAGGAGGATCGTTGAGCCTGGGAGGTGGAGGGTTACAGTGAGTTGAGATCATGCCACTGCACTCCAGCCTGAGCAACAGAGAGAGAATTAAGCTTTTAACTCCAACGCTAACAAAGGAACACAACAAAAACCTGTGGAAAGTAGAAGGCATAAAGTAAGATGAAAGCATAGTCAATGAAACAGATCATACCTTCCTATTCCACCAAAATGGAATTTATAAAACCAAACACTGTGTTCCCTGAAAAGAAAATTAAGAGTTAATCCTTCCGTAAACTTACTATTGAAAAAGCACATAAGTAATACTAGATATAGAAGATATTAAAATGATGTGTATTTTTGATATATATTTGCAAATGTAGACAAAATGTTGACTTTTCCATACAAATTACCAAAGTTGAGCTAAGAAAAGTAAAATACCTGACTAAAGAATTAACTATAAGAGAAACAGAAAAAAAAATCAGATATACATATCCTTAAAAATAGCACCAAGGCCGGGTGCGGCAGCTCATGCCTGTAATCCCAGCACTTTGGGAGGGCGAGGTGGGTGAATTATTTGAAGTCAAGAGTTTGAGACCAGCCTAGCCAAGATGGTGAAACCTTGTCTCTACTAAAAATACAAAAATTAGCCGGGTGTGGTGGCGTGTGCCTATGATTCCAGCTACTTGGGAGGCTGAGGCAGGAGAATCACTTGAACCTGGGAGGTGGAGGTTGCAGTTAGCTGAGATCATGCCACCGCACTCCAGCCTGGGTGACACAACGAAACTCTGTCTCAAAAAACAAACAAAAGCAAGCCCAGACAGCTTTACCAAACACTGAGGAGAGAATATATTATACAAATTGATCAAAATAATAGAATAGTATTAAAAGCCACCGACTGAGTGTGAGGCAATGACAAGAGATATTATGAAGGCTAAATGAAATAACCCATGAAAGGTAAATAAGCATTTGTTAAATTAAAATAATAAAGTTGACTATTAAGTGCCATGATATAGATTTCACAGTGGAATGAAAGGATAAAATAATTGGGATAAGAAATTGCAATTCAAGGAGCTATTTAAGTGCAGGACCAAGATTTTAATTCAGCCATATCCTGAAATTTTACAATCTTTGGTCACAATAAACTAGAATTCCAGGTAGAAAATGATTATTTTCTAAAATAAAGATGGTACTTATAAACCTATATAAATGCCCATTTCTCCTCTTCAAAGTATTTTTCTGCCCTTCCAGAAGAACTGGGCCTTGAAGTCACAGCCAGGCTCCAGAGGACTGCTGTTTCACTGGATATCACGCCATTGCTTCTTCAAAATTATCTTCTCAGAGAATACCATATTTGGGGAATTTAATTTACTTCTCGAGAATCCCTAACCCAATTATTTCTAGTCTTCCTTAGAGATTTTCTTTCTCCATTAACTCCCGTATTATGTCTGGGAATCTTTTACTTTCACATATGCTCCCTCTCCACAATTTATTCTTTTTTTATCTTCTCTAAGTGTTAAGGAGTAGTATACATGTGTGATAGGGAGATGAAGGGGAAAGGCAGAAAACTGAACTTCTTACCCTCATGGAAGTTTTGACCCCACATTTAGAAAAAACAAGAAGTGGAGAATAAAGGGAGAAGGACAGCAAGCAATTTTATTCGTTCCCATTTTCCTGCCAATGTGCATTAACAAAGAAGTCTGTACCTAAAAGACCTTATGCAAGACCAGATTTTCACATTACTAGCTTTGTGTGTGTGTGACATCCTGCTTTCCGTTGCCAAGCTTAATGTATATGTGTCTTAGGGTCTTTCAGTTTTTATACTATTATGGCTATGTTGTGGTAAACTGAGGAAAGGAGAGGCCAATATGGAAAAACAGGAGGATTGTTGTTTATTTTAGGTACGCACGGCTCAGCAGGTTTGCATCTAAAAAGCTGAGCACTGAACAAAGACAGAGTGGGGTTTTTATAAGCGGCCTTACAGACACAAAACAAAAGCAGTTAATCATACAGTGACAGGTCACATAATCTATAGCATAACATAACTTGTGACCTTGCATAGCTGGTGACCTTGTAGTTGCATCGAAAGAAAAACAAAAACTGGCTAAATACAGACATTTGTAAATAATGCTTAAGAGGCCTGGGGAAAGAGTAAGAGTAAAAGAATCTTTCTCTTTTTCTTCCTCCAACCTTGCTCTGGAAGGGAGGGGTGTCTGGAGCCTATTCCTTTGACCTTGGCTATTTGGACAGCGTTATCTTATAACTGTCCTTGAAGTAAGCTTGCTAGGCAGAGGAAAACTTGTTCTCTTCTTTTTAACCCTTGCCTTGCCACATTCTGGGCCTTAGCTTTTACTTTTCTTGGAGTGAATAAATGCAGTACTTATTATTTATTTGTTTTAAATTTCTGCCTCAGCTGTGAGACTGGTAATAATCATTCATTTATTTATTTATTTATTTATTTATTTATTTATTTATTTATTTTTGAGACAGGGTTTCCCTCTGCCACCCAGGCTGAAGTGCAGTGGTGCGATCTTGGCTTACTGCAGCCTCTGCCTCCTGGGCTCAATTGATCCTCCTACTTCAGCCTCCTGAGTAGCTGGGGCTACAGGCGTGTGCCACTGGCTAATTTTTGTATTTTTTATAAAGATGAGGTTTGCCATGTTGCCCAGGCTGGTCTCCAACACCTGGCTCAAGTGTCTGCCTACCTTGGCCTCCCAAAGTGCTAGGATTACAGACATGAACCACCGCACCTGGCCAATAATTACTTCTGAAGATTCTGACAATACCATTTACAATAACACAAAAATGAAGGACCTAAGAATACATCTAACACATCTAGAGAGAATATTATAATATTGTTGTGAGACATTAACAGTGACATAAATAAATGAGAGTTATACCTTGTTTATGGATTGGAAAGTCAGTGTTGGAATGATATCAATCCTCCCTAACCCTCTCCCTCCCGCCCCTGCCCCAAAAAGATCGACAGATTTAGTGCATTCCCACTCCAAATCCAATAGTTTTCTCAGGAGAATTTGACATAGTTGATCTCTCTTTCTTGAGACGTTTTATTCTCTGTTTTCCCTCCTACCTCACTGGTACTCCTTATCAATATCCTTTGCTACCACCTCTTCTACGCAACCTCTAAAATGTGGCATATTTCATGGCTCAGCCTTAGACCTTTTTCTATCTGTACTTCCCCCTTACATTGTTCTTTCTAGTCCCCTGACTCTAAATACCACATCTATATGATGATTGGCAAATTTGTATCTCTAGTCTAGGATTCTTCATATATCCATTGCTTTTTCAAGAGTTACACTTAAATGTCAAATAGGAATCTTAAAATGTCCAATATGAAACATTCGCTTCTTGCTACCCCGTTCCCCTCCTCCACCAACTTGCTGTTTCAATTCTGTCAATGGAATATTTATTGCTTTGACCCAAAATCTACGTGTTCCCCCCCCTTCTCTTTCTCACATTCCCTACATCTAATCAATAAGAAACTTTGTTGACACTTCCTACAAAACATCTTCCAAATGTGACCACTCTCAATAGCTCCACTGTTACCATGTTAGTCCAGGCTGCCGCTGCCTCTCACCTAGACTCCTAACTGGTCTCTTTGCTTCTACTGTTGTCTCTCTACAGCCCGGGGAATCTGTCTCCAACTAAGCCTGGTGGCAGTGAGGACCGTCAGCCCCCTCCCAGCCAGCTGTCAGCTATACCTCCATTCTGTCTGGTTCTCAGGGCTGGAATCGCTGGGCAGGTCTAGCTAATCCTTGGCCCTCCTAGGAAAATGTTCCTAAATCCTGAAGGCATTTAGCTAGGAAAGATCCAGAATGGACCCAACTATTCCTGTTTTACCCCAAACCGGTTGGTCTGCTTTGGGGATTACTTCTCAGGCTAGGAACCTCTGAGTGTTCTGAAACGGGCCTGAACTCTTACAGAAGCTCTTGTGGCCCTAGGATGAATTTAGAGGTCTCCATACCCAGCCTGCAAGGTGAAGAACTACCCCTAACGACCCACCCTCCCAACCTAATGCCGGTTCTGCTCCACTTGTCCACTCTGGGGAGCTGTGCTTTGGCTTGGAAGCTCTCGGATTGAAGGATGGGCCCAAGACCCTCACAGGTGAAGCCTCGGTAGGTCCCAGGGAGAAGAAAGATATTCCTCCACCCCACCACCCCTCTAAGTCCGACCCACCTTTCTCCCCGCCAGCTGCATCAGATCCCTCCAGGGGCTCATTGTCAGTCCTGTAATCTTTTCATCCGTGATAGGATGGGCCGTGGGCCCTTGTGGGTGAAGCTCGGCGGTTCCCGAGTCCATGTGGGGTGGCCCCTGCGGAGCCTGGAGCCTTCTTGCCCGCTGGCTTGCTGATCCCGCCGAGCCAGCTCCCTTCCTGCTTTTGACGGTGAGGGAACCAGCTGGGAGGTCCTCCGAGCTGGACGGGGAGGCGGGCGGCCTCTCCCACTCCCCACCCGCTCCCTCCCTGCCGCCGCCGCCTCCGGCTGCTCTTGCGACAAGCCAAGAAGCTGGGGCGCCTGCTGGGAGCCCAGCGCCGTCCTCCCGTTTCCTGTGATCTACCAGTCCTCCTCTCCGCGGAGGCTCGGCCGGGGGCACCTGAGGCCGGCAGCATCCCCGTGGCTTGGCGGCAGCTGCAACCTCCACAGACGGCCGCCAGGTGGCGCCGCGCCGGGGCCCGGGAGCAGGCGGGCCCGGGGCGGGGTTGGAGGGACTCAGCTACGCGCCTGGGGAGGCCGCGGGCCCTCGCAGACTACCGAACTTCCATTCTGCCGCCGGGTTTTCACACCTGCCGGCCCCGAGGAAACAATGACGTTGGGATTTTGGGGGGCCGCCCCTTGACTCGGGCGAATGGGACACGAACGGCGACCCCTTGCTCTCTTCCATCCGCCTGCCGCCGTTGCTGCCCACCGACTCCTACAGCTCATTTCTCGCTCCTGCAGGCTCCAGGAATGCAAATAATTTCTCACTGGGTTTTGGCGGGGGCGCGGAGCTGCGGCGAAGCGCGCGCCCGACAGCTTTCGCCGCAGCTGGGTCCCCGGGCGCTGGCGGCTGCGGCCCCCAGATACGGGCGGAGGCTGCAATATGCACATGCGGCCACAGTGTGGCGCCAGGGGCCCGCCGCGGGACACGCTCGGAGCGCGACGCCCCATCCCATCATTTACGGATCAAACCAAATAATCTAGAATCAAGTTGCTGTGTGTGTCATACTCCTCCTGTTTTTTTTCCCTAAACTTTTAGTAGAGTCATTTACATAGTTCAGTTTTTACCTCAGCTGTTACACAGTGGCAGGAAAATATTTTGTCTCCAAACTACAGCCCAAGTATGAGAGCAGCGTATCCTGAAGCTAATTAGTAACCAGAAAATCAGGAAGGTAAAGCAAATCTCTGGAGGCAAGATCTGGACTCTATGATATCGCCGCTTCTCCCCACTTGAAGCGTCTCTTTGCAGTGCCGCACTTGGAGATTTGGACTTAATCGTTAAACAAAAAGAACAGTTACATTCTGCCTTCCTACAGGGCAGGGGCCTAGGACTGGCAGCATTTTTGTTGTCTCTAGAAATAGAGGGGTTATGAGAGAGCCTCAAAAGAGAGGGCAAGAATAACACATCCATTTCTCATCATGAGTTACCCCCTTGTATGCCTAGAACGCGTATGGAGACATTCTCTTTTAGTAAAGTCAAAGAGAAAAGCCATGAACTAAGTATCCTGAACACAGAGGCGTGAGCCCTCTCAGTCTCACAGTCCCTTAGGAGTCATTTGTAAGTACTATTTCCTTCCTTATTGTCTATACTATTCCCTCTTGTCTCCCTGAAATCTACCCACTCCTGACTGTGTGTGTGTCTCTTTCTGTCTGTTTCTCTGTCTTAATCTTCTGTACATATGCACCCACTCACCTTTTTACCTTGTTCTGAGAAATAAAATACTATTTTTCAAACTATGTAATAGGATTATCAGGCTAGGCTTGACTTGTAAGTTTTTCAAGAATTCTTTAGAGTAGGCCTCATTTCAAGTCATCTTTGATGACCACATTTCCAAATGTATCCCAGTTGAAGTCAGTTCATTTATTTGCCTTAAGAGTTATATACCATGAGACACACAGTTCTGGTGTTGTTGAACTTTTGGATGTTTGTACGCAGTGCTCACGGGGAGCAAGTGGACAGGGGACGGTCCAGATCGATGGCCACCCACTGAGCCGCTGCTACGTGGCCCCCTGGGGCTCCTTCCGGTGCACCCCTTCCTGCAGCTGTTCTTCTTTTTGTTCCTGACATTTCAGCTCTTCTTCTAAATGTCTGTCTTCTTGAAGGCTGGAAATTACCTTCTTCTCATGACCAGAATCCAAAGAGATTTCTAAATTCCACTTTTTCTTTCTTTTCAGTTCTTTACGTATTGTCACCCAGAGAACAGTGTTCACTAAAAACATTATTCCCACTGCCAGATAGAAAAGGACATGAAACCAGACAGGAGTTGGTAACTGGAGGCCTGAAACAGAAAAAGACAAAGAGAAGAGATACTATTTAGAGACCAGAGGGGTCTGGCTGAGTTATGTTTGGAAGGGAAGGTTGGCTGAGACCTGATGTGCCTGTCCTCAGGGAGGCACTGGTCATTTCAGGGAGCAGGAAGGAACTGGCGGTAGCTCTAACTGGCTATATGGTGTATAGACAGGGACAGGCTCCTTGGAAGAGCTTAATTGCTGGGCCCTGTCAGTGGACTTACTTCCTAGTTCCAGAGACAACTGATATCTCTGTGCCATTTAATACTTGAAATGAATTTGGGTTGAAGATGAACTTTTTTCCCCCCCAAGGAGACTTTGTTCTGGAGCTCACAATCCCTCTGCCTCAGTTAAATAGAGATACTTGGGGAGGTGGTGATTTGCAGTTTACAAAATCACTGTCTGATAAATCCACCTTGTGAGCTCCTTGAAGCAAGAACTATACTCAAATGTCTTTATATCCCCAGACGTATGACAACAGATAGGAAGAACTTGATAAATTGTTGGTGAGATTGTTGGTGAGGAGGAGGGAGGCAGGGAAGCAGGGAGAGAGAGAGAGAGAAGCGGGGGTCATGGAGTGGAGGGAAGAGTGGGAGGGAGGGGAAAATAAAATGAAGGAGAAGAAAAGAAGGACAGAGGAGAAAATGAAGGAAAGAAATGGAGGAAGGAAAGGCAAAGGAAAAAGAAAAAGAAAGGAAAGGAAATTTAACAGTTTGCGAGGAGAAGAGTGATGTTGTGAATCAAGGATGGAAAGGCCTGCTTGTGGGCTTTTCCTGAAGAGACTTTCCCCTCCTGTCTGGGCCAAAAACCCTTGAACAAACCTCAGTCCCATGGGAGATAAGGGAGTCCCTTCTTCTGTGCCAGTGGCTTCCCATCATTCTCACTCACCAAGCACTTGAAGCTCCAACTCAGGGCTGCGCTTAAGGACATTTCCATCCTCTGTGGCAGCCTCGCACCAGTATAACCCAGAGTCTTCTCTTCTAGCAGTTAGTATTTAGTATTCAGAGGATGTGTTCCTGCCTCGCAGGGTCTTGCTGCCCATGTAGAAGGAGAAGTAAAGCTGCAAACCAGGCCTCTGCAAGAGCAACTTTGTTTCACAGCTCAGGGTGACCAGATTCCCCCCAGGAGTGGGGATGTCACAGATGCATTCAGCACTGGAGCTGGAAATAGCTCTAAGGAGAAAGTTGATGGGGGAAAGGGTTGCCTGTTTAGCATCCAGGTCCTTTTCACAAAAGACATGCCCTTTACCCCCTTGGGAAACCTGGCCTTAGAAAATGAATCCATAAGGCATTAACCGTTTTTACTTCCAGCAGAGAGCCATTCTTGGGGTGTCCTAATAGACATAATTAGGGTTGCCAGCTTGCTGAGTCCTACTGAGGATACCTCTATACCAGTGGTCCCCAACCTTTTTGGCACTAGGGATGGATTTTGTGGAAGGCAACTTTTCCACAGCCGGGGGGTGAAGTGGGGACGGTTTTGGAAGGTAACTGTTCCACCTCAGATCATCAGGCACGCACAATTCACAATAGGATTCATGTTTCTATGAGAATCTAATGTCGCCACTGATTGGACAGGAGGAGGAGCTCAGGCCGTAATGCTGGCTCATGAAGAAGCTCACCTCCTGCTGTGCAGCCCAGTTCCTAACAGGCCACGGACCAGTAAGGGTTGGGAACCCCTGCCCTACATGGTCCATCCTTCCCTGAATGACCATGTCATCTGGTCAATAACCATGCCCTTTTGGCAGTGGTCAACTAGGAGTGAACCCTGACTCACACACTTGCCATTTCAGTGACTTTATTATCATTATTATTATTATTATTTGAGACGTAGTCTCGCTCTGTTGCCCAGGCTGGAGTGCAGTGGCGCTATCTCGGCTCACTGCAAGCTCCGCTTCCCGGGTTCATGCTATTCTGCCTCAGCCTCCCGAGTAGCTGGGACTACAGGTGCCCGCCACATTTCAGTGACTCATTATTTTTGTTCCTGACTTTAAAAGATAATCTGGGACAATAATTTCTTTCCCACAGGAGTGAACTTTTTTTTTTCTCAGACAGAGAAAGGTTGCTAGTGATTGTATTAAGAGGAAAGGCCGTGAAAGGGTCAGAACAAGGCCATATGCAAACTGCTTAGCCTGCAGATGCTCAGGAAGAAGTGGCACCACAGAGGCTGCTTTGTCCCTGAGAGGTAGATGGACAGTATAGCCCGTTCCTCATATTTTCCAGGTTTCTCTTTCTATGGGGCTTCCATGAGATTCCATGGTATTATTTTCTAACTCTCCTATCTACCTAGAGTGAGTCTGTATTCTTTACAACTAAAATAATGATGGATGAAATGGATCACCATTATGCCCTGACATTGACATTAGCTCCTGTGATTATTGATGGGGCTTGCGGTACACTGGAAAGAGTATTGGACTAGGACCCAGAGACCTCAGTTCTGGTTCCAGCTACTGGTCATGGTGTGGCCTTTAGTAATGCAGTTTACCTCTCTGGAGCCCGGTTTCTTCACTTGTAAATTAAAGTGAGGAGTTTAGAATATTTATGATGGTCCCTCAGGGGGAGGGACTATCAGTTCTATGACTATTCCAATACAATACCTTTCACAGTGTATTGTGATATTCCTGCTGATGTGTAGTGATGCTTTCCCTTGCCTGAGCAATGGTAGGTGCCATTGTGACTTATGTTGGTTTTCAGAATGGTGAGGTTAGAATTCCAGTGGAAAAACTTAAAGGCTTTGCCATTTCGATAGTAAAGCACATTGTACACCAGCTTATCCTTCCACGCATGACACCTCAAGGCCAGAGGTTCTCCTTCCGTGAAGACTCTGCTGGAGACCTGCAGTAGTGGCCAGCCTGAAAAATATGAACCCAAAATGTATGTATACAGTGGAGGAGGTACAAGGAGGCCCAAGCTTGGCCCTGTGGGCTTCCTATTTTTTCTCCTTGCAACATCCAGCCTCAGAGCTCTGCTAAATCTCAGGCCTATATCCAGTTCCTCAAATATCTTTAGCTTTGGTGGAAAGAAAAGCAATCTTTACTGGCAACTGCGTACACAGCCCTTTCTTATCTTCCCTTTCCAGATCTCAGAAGTTGGTTGAAACAAAAACAGTTCATACAGCATGGTAGGCAGAATTCTAAAATGATCCCAATGACTCACTCCCTTGCATAATCCCCTTGAGTGTGGGTGGAACCTATGACTTGCTTCTAGCCAACAGAATATGACAAGGGTGATGAAATGTCACTCTTGGGATTGCTACATTATGTAAGACTCTATCTTAGCAGTCTGGATGGAAAGTCTCCTCCTGAACTTGAAGAGGTAAGCTGCCACGCCAGGAGAGGGCCTACAAGAGTGCCACAAGGCAAGGGCCTCTAGGAGCTGAGAGTGGCCCCCCACTGATGGGCAGCAAGAAAGCAGGAACCTCAGTCCTACAACCACAAAGAACTGAATTCTGCCAGTGACCTTGTGAGCCTGGAAGAGCTGCAAAAAGAAACACAGCAAAGTCAACACCCTAACTGCAGCCTTGGAAGACTCTCAGCAGAGCACTCAGCTAAGCTGTGATGGGAGTCCTGACCCATGGAAACTGGAAGATCTTAAATGTATGTTGTTGCTAAATTTGTTACACAGCAATAGAAAACAAATACACTCCAACTCTTGACAAATTTGTTAATAGGACCACGCATCCTGAGACAAACACACAGAAGGGCAAACATCCAGATATAAACATCCTACTACATTGATATGAATACTCACATATGTAAGATCAATGATATCACTAGCAAAACAAGCTCCAAGTCAATGGGTTTTTCCTTTCGACAAACACCTCTACACATAACCAAAAATGCTTCAACTACTTTTCTTTTCTCCAGAGGCAGTTGGTTTGGCTAAGTAAAAATGGGGTTCTTAGGAGACTAAGGCGGAAAAGAGACAATAGTGCCTTTTTCCCCTCCAGAACTTATCTAAGAATGGAAGGCAGGTGTTTCTATGCTATACATA
This sequence comes from Homo sapiens, assembly GCF_000001405.40. NCBI lineage: Eukaryota > Metazoa > Chordata > Mammalia > Primates > Hominidae > Homo > Homo sapiens. The sequence goes on along the minus strand of NC_000001.11, from coordinate 143,879,295 downwards.
GCATGAATTTTACAGTCATGGATACTGATATAATGCTTCCAAATAGAATTAATTCTCTTCCCTCCCTTATTCCCACCCACAGCCAGCAGATGCTGAAAGACTGCACTGTCCAAACACTGCCATCTTTGCTTTATATATCCAAAAGAGTGGGAAATGCTGTCACATCTCCATCAGAAACTGTCAAACACTAGTAATGGTAGAAAATATCTGAATGACACAATTAATAGGCTTGATTTTGTGGATGCTCTACTTTAGAAAGAAAATTCATATGCTTTTCAAACACACATGCAATATTAGAAAAATTAAGTGTGAACTAGGCCACAAAGCAATTTTCAACAAATACTAATGAACTGATACCATGTTTAACACAAATTCTAACCAAAGTGCTATAACATTAGAAATCAATAACAAAAAACTACCCTCCAAAAAACATCTAAGTAATTCATGAATAAAATAATGTATAACAGAAATTTATGAGTTTTAAACTTAAATGGTAATGGTAGTATTATATATCAAAACTCACGAGATGCAGCTTTTAGCAGACATTACTAATTTCCTACTCAACAATCATTCCCCTACCTTCATGACTTTGGTGTCAGCCATATGATTAGGGCTCGGGTCCACCAACCAGCTGCATTTTCTTGGTCTTAGCATATACTGATTAAATTGAAATGACTAAGAGTCAGTGAGCTGCAATTGAATTCCCCATGGCTGACTGTGGCGGAACATTTTAAAATAGGGCATAGACAGCACCAACCAAAAATGTTGGTGTATTGTACTGTAGTAAAATTAACAAGTCTTGTTCATTGAAAACAAACAAAACTTTAATATTATAGTGAAAAGAAAAGCCACAGAGTGGGAGAAGATATTTAAGACACTTGAAAAAGGACTTATATCCAGAATATATAAATAACTCCTATAAGTCAGTAAGAAAAAGACAGACAATAGAAAAATTATCAAAAAGAGCTTACAAAAAAGGATACCCAAATAGGTAATAAACGTGAAAAATGGTCAATATCATAGTCATTAGGGAAATGCTTAATTTGCATTTGTATATCCAAAAGAGTGGGAAATTGTAACATACCTCCATCAGATACTGTCGAACATTAGTAATGGTAGAAAATATTTGAAACATGTAAACAAAAATATCCACAGCATTACTATTTGTAAGTGGTCAAAACCAGAAGCAACCCGAGCCCCTCAGCAGAATGGGAAAATATGAAATATACAGTAATAAGAACAAATGAACTTCAATTTACAACATGTATACTGTTCACAATCATAATGTTGAGAAAAATAAACCAGACACAAAAGAGTACATCCTGTCCCATACCGTAGCCCTTTATATGAAGTTCAAAAATAGGCAAAAAACCTATGGTGCTGGAAGTCAGTGTCAGGGGTGGACTAGAAATGGGCAAGAAGGAGTTTCTGAGGTGCTGGAAATGTCTAAAATAGATCTGGATGCTGTTTACTTTGAAAAAATTTACTGTGGCGTACATTTATGGCTTGTTGTACATAAGTTATATTTCAATGAAAATTCACATTAAAATGTAATGTAAAAAAGATATGATTCTCAGTAAGTCACTGATGCTGAGTGTCCTAGAGTCTGTGTAGAGGTAAAGAAAATGGGCTCTTCCCAGCCCTAGTCCTTTTGTTGTCACTTGAACCATGAAACACTTCTGCTTGAATTACCCAAAGTGTCTTGTTGAAACAGCTCTGTCAGAGGTTGCAGTGAGCCAAGATCGCACCACTGCATTCCAGCCTGGGCAACGGAGTGAGACTCTGTCTCAAAAAAAAAAAAAAAAAAAAAAAAAAAAAAAAAAAAGGGAAACAGCTCTGTCAGCTTCCCTAACCTCTCCATCCTAAGAACTTATTTACAGAGACCTAAGGGACACATGAGGAACATCAAGCCTTCCCTCAGACATTCTCAACATTTCCTTGGCTAAAACACATTTCCTCTAACAGCAACCATGTCTGCATAAAGGCAATTTTGCCTCCAGTGTGGATTAACTTTTGCATTATCATTTTTAAAGAAGTTTAAACTCATCACTTCTGAATAACTAAATAATACATTTGGTTATTTTGTCTTGCATATTGAATGAAGCATTTTTCCCTGAAGAATATTGCAGTCTCCATCTCTTGATGAATAGAAACTCCTTACAGGTTTAAGTGGGTGGTGGGCTTTTCTGCTTCCACTTATTAAAATATGACAATAATTCCATGTCCAGAATATTATCTTACAGATACCCTATGAAATGTGCCCCCGGAATGTATGTATAAAGATAATTATTGCAGCAATGCTTGTAAAATCAAAAGAGTGGAAACATCTTATAAATTTGCTAATAGGCAGAATGGTTAAATTAATTCTGGTACAGCTGTGCAGCAGACATTTTAAAGTGGATTTCTATTAATATAAACAGAACTTCAAGGTATTTTAAGTGATAAAAGTAAGATATAGGACAATACTTAGAAAGTGTTCTACCACCCACAGCTTTAAAACTATATATATGTGTGTATATATATATATATATATATATATATAGTTTATATATAATAATGCTAATATATACATATATATGCATAATATGTATATATATATATTAGCAGTTTTGTTTCTGTGGAAGGTGACTGCAGATCTAGGGTTTTGGGTGGGAGGAAGATATTTCATTGTTCATTATTGCTCATTTGTTTGAATTATTATTATTTACTATGTACAGGCATACATTTGGAATAATGATACAATCTTAGGGCCGAAGTCTTAACTCTAGACATCCTACTTAGAGCTGGCCCAGCTGAGGTACTGTTGGTACACAGTTTAAGGACCCTGCTGTGATGTTTTGAGTATACTGATTTAGTGTCACCTGGTAGGTACGTAGTGCTGAGACCTGCACCCAGATAAATCGACACACACACATCTGGCATCCAGAAAGGAGAGAACGCAGAGGAAGACCTTGTAGTTTCCGGCCCTCCTGGTCCAAGTCATAATTACCTCTGTGGATTTCCAGCTGTATGGGGTCACTTCGCCCTGAGAGACCTCTCTGGCACCTGTATTCACCACTGTCATTGACACTGGCAGAGGTGATTCTGTAGCTGGGGGTCGAGGTCTGAGTGGCTGTGCCATTGAGAAACCACTGTGTGGAGCTGCTCCCAGGCAGATGGAGCACCTCACAGTGCAAGGTTACGGTTTCCTCTTGGAACACGCTGACCCATGGAGGCTGCAAAGTGATCACTGCCTTTGTGGTGTCTACTTGGAGATTACAAGAAGAAAAAGAAAAAGATCAAGTGGAGTAAAGGGGAGGGCTCTGAGCAACTGGTGAGGCTTTTGTGGATAGCACAAGGGAAAAATACATATTTAGATTTATTTGAAAAATAGGCAAGTGGAAACCTACAAAAGCCAGCCTTTAAGAGTGTCCTCCTGCTGCAGAGACCTCTGTTCATTGTTATTAAATCCTCATCTGGGTGTTGGGAATCTGGGGCTCCTGAGGATTAAATTACTGATGTAGGTTTTTCTGTTGGGAGCAATGAAGCAGGGTTTTAGACTTGGGCAAGCCAAGCGGAGCTGTTTTCCTTATCCTCTGAGCTATACTGTCTCTGAGAGTACATTGCAGGGCTTCAGCAGCTTGTACATTGGAAACGGAGGTTCAAACTCCTCTCTTTGAAGCCTTCAGTATTTGCCTGGCTCTTTCTGAGGAGAAAAAACCCACTCTGCTTTCTTGTAAAGGGGACTGGTTTAGGGGATGTTGGGAAACCCAGCAGACTACTTCAGTGTCAGCAGACTACTTTAGTGTTTGTGCAATTCTGGCCCTTTCCTGCTGTTATATATACATTCAGGCATTTCGCTCAGAGGAAAGAGCTCATTCAGAAAACTTTAGAAAGAAAGCTTACAAATCATAGTTTTTATGAAAATCATGCTCTGAATATGGGAGATTTTACATAATTTATAAATCTTTCTTCTTTCTCTGCTTTCCCTATATGCTCTTCTGCAGGTTAATAGGACCCATCCTTTGGAAGTAGGAAAGTGGCATAGAAGGAGAAGCTGAGTTAGAGATCACTCACCCACTTGCCCATCAACTGGAACTGCAAGAGATCAGAGAATAAAGATATCAGTTGGTCCAAGGAAAATAATGAGGAAGAGAGAATTGGGGAGACAGAATTAATGTAGACTCTGAGGGATCAACTCAGATCTCTTGAGTTTCTATTTCTCTTTCTCAAAATCCAGTACTAACAGAACTGAACAAGCTACAGGTGGTTATCAAGGAAACTTCACTGCGGTGCGTCCAGGCTTAATGCTACCTCAGGGTTGCCCTTCCCATCCTTTTCATAAAATAAGCTCTAATAAACCGTGGAAGCACAGATACAAGTTGCTTCATACTCATGAGTTCTACCCAGAGTTACCACAGGAAGACAAAACTCTTGACTCACAACAGCCACAGCCTGTACCCTTCTAACTGTCCCCTCTGAGTCCAACTTACCCCAAAGGAGCAGAGTTGTCAAGAACCACATGTTGTCTCCAAGCTGGTGGGAGCAGTGAAATCTGTAACATGCAAGATATTGAAGAGGTTCTGCTGGTGGCTCCAGAGCCAAATTAGAAAAGAGGAAGGAAATTGCCTTTTCTGACCATTTTCATCATGTTCCTTTTCTGGGAAATACATCTCAAATCCTTGAAACATGCTTTTCCCATGCTCATACCTGTTAGCCCATCTCTCCCAGTTTGAATCTCTGATTTTCAGGTTATGAACTCTCAGAATCCAGGGAAAAGGCTAAAGTTGTGTTGACATTCTATTCTATTTTTACCCTCTACCGTTTCTGTTTCTTACGGTTAGAATATGGCAAAACCTCACTCTTTATAATTGGTTCAATGCCTGGCTAATGCCTCCAAACAATCATTTGAATCCAGAAGTATCTATATCAGCCTCTATGAGGCCATGGGAAAAGTTACTCATCTACAAGAGCTGCCCTAATACAAACCAGCCTCTGCTCCTCTAGGGGACACAGACAGGATCAATCTCCCATTTTGGTTAAAAAAGAAAACAAACTCTCTTCCTGAAAGACATCATGAATTTGGAGTGTTTATTTTGGCTAAATCCAAGGTAATTAATTGTTTAATGTGGATGCTATGGAGAAGAAAAATAACTCATGCACATGGATAACAATATCTTCAAGAAAAGAGTTTCAGAGTACAAGTGGGGAGCTCTGTGCCACCAAACTGAGGTGGCTCCTGAGACAGAGTTGTAACCCCATAAAAAGATTTTTAGGTATTGTGGTAAGAGAGAAAGAGAGCTAAATGGAAACTAGGATGAATTCAATGAGTGCAGAGAGACTTTGGCAATCTTACTAGCAGAGAATGAAAAATGATGACAAATCATGCTGTAGATTGGTGTACTGGCCCCAGTTTCTCACCGCTCCCTGAATCTACACTCTCTCCACAGCCTCATGAGGGTACGTCTCTGACTCTTGACTGTGGCTCATCATGAGACTTTCATTGGCCAGCGAAATGTGAATGGAAATGACATGGTGCTAATTTCAAACTTAGCACTTAGGAAGCTTCACACATTATCTCTCACCCTCTTGTTCTCCTGTGATTGCTGAGACAAGAACATTTTTTAGCTAGTCAGCCACCGTGCGAAACAGAGCTGTCCTAGACATTGTGGCTTGAGGCAGAGCTGCCTCACCTGCCCTGCAAACTTGTAAGTGAGAACTAAATGCTTACCTTTATATGCTACTGAGATTTGAAGATTGCTGTACAAGCAAGAGCTGACTGACACAAATGAAAAGCAAGGAAGAAAGGCCGGGAAGAACTCAGGGTGTTCTGAAGAGACGAGAGAAGCCTCAGCTTGTTAAAATTTATATTCAAAGCCTATATCTGTAACTATTTTACTATTTTGTCTCCAAAGTTTTCTACTGTATGCATGTACCATAATTTATTTCACCAACTTCTCTTCATGAACATGTAGGTTATTTCTAATTTTTTACTGTGTGACCAGTAAAAAAGACTGCTTACTACCAAAATAGTCTTGTGACTACCTTTAAACATTTGACTTATTTTTTCCTTAGGACACATTCCTAGAATCAGTAGTGCTTACTCAAAGGAAATGCGCATTTTTTCCTTTGGATAAGATGCTATCAGATTGTCTAGGATCATTATCCTCATCGCTGCATAAATTTTAGAGTGCTTATTACATGCCAGACAAATATGCTTGATACATGTTTTCTTATTTAAGCCTCACAATAATCCATGAGTAGACACTAGTATCTCCATTTTACAAATGATAAACCTAGTGAAAGAGGAAATCAGTAATTTGTCCAAGGTTGTAAAAAATAGAAGCAGGATTCAAAATCAGACAGTTTGATTTCCTTTACATACTCACTGATGGAGTATAACAGTGCCCACCCCATGCCTTGCGATTCCTGCTTTGTAGTAAAATAGCTACTTCTTTGAAAAATAAGTGAAATCATTTCATTGATCAGGATAACATGAGGGAATTAGGATTGTTGTGTAAGAGGAATGTAAGATCTATAGCCTGGAAGGATAAAATACTTTCTTTCTAATAAGTATTGTTGTTTCCAAATGTTGAGGAAATAGCCATTGATGTAGGTTTAAATTCATGTAAGAAGAGCTAGAAAAATGGGGCAAACATAGTAACAAAAGCAGAGTAGTCTTCTAGCATTTGATGGACAATGAAAATCATGATGCTCTGTTCTCACTTATAAGTGGGAGCTGAACGATGAGAAGACACGGACACATGGTGGGGGAACAACACATACTGTGGCCAGTCGGGTGGGGTTGGGGGAGGGAGAATGTCAGGTAGAAGAGCTAATAAATGCTTTGCTTAATACCTAGGTGATGGGTTGATCTGTGCAGCAAATCACTATGGCACACGTTTACCTATGTAATCAAACTGCACATCCCGCACATGTACCCTGGAACTTAAAATAAAAATTCATGGAAAAAAATCATGATGCTCAGAAGAACAATTAGGAGAATTTACATCTATATATGACATTTGTATTTCCATACATTAATACTTTTTTTTTTTTTTGAGATGGAGTCTCGCTCTGTCACCCAGGCTGGAGTGCAGTGGCACGATCTTGGCTCACTGCAACCTCCACCTCCCAGGTTCAAGCAATTCTCCTGCCTCAGCCTGCCCAGTAGCTGGGATCACAGGTGCACACCACCATGCCCAGTTAATTTTTGTATCTCTAGTAGAGACGGGGTTTTACCATGTTGGCCAAGATGGTCTCAATCTCTTGACCTTGTGATCCGCCTGCCTCAGCCTCCCAAAGTGCTGGGATTACAGGCATGAGCCACTGCACCTGGCCACTGATACTTTTATAATGCCATCATACTCATAGGCTTCATTCTTTTAAAATCACTTTACAAATACAATTTTCTCAAAGGTAGATGCAAAATCTTATTTGCCAATTTTAAGAAAAATTGCTCTCTACTATAGAAAATGATTTATGAACAATTATTTGATATGTTTTTTTTAAAAGATGAGATAGGCTGGGTGCAGTGGCTCATGCCTGTAATCCCAACACTTTGGGAGGCCAAGGTGTGTGGATTGCTTGAGCCCAGGAATTTGAAACTGACCTGGGTAATATAGTGAGATCCTGTCTCTACTAAAAATAAAAAGAATTAGCTGGGCATGGTAGTTCATGCCTGTGGTCCCAGCTACTTGGGAGGCTGAGGCAGGAGGATTGCTTGAGTCTGGGAGGTTAAGGCTGCAGTGCGCTGTGATTGTGTCACTGCACTGTAGCCTGAGTGACAGAGCAAGACCCTGTCTCAAAAACAAACAAATAAATGCTAAGATAATTTAAATCTCATAAAGAATTGACCAATAATTTATTTTATTTTCATCTCTTTATGAGTAAAAAACAGTAATGCTTTATTTCCTACTCAATTCCTTCTTTGATGATCATGTGTTTTAGAAACTATTCAAATGTATCTGCTAAATTTTAAGTAAAGAATTGCATATAAGTAATTGTCTATAGTACAATTTTGCTTAATATGTTTTGTATACTGTTGTAACAGCTCTTGGACAGGTGAAATGTATAACTTTTATGTAGTTGCTAATGCTTGAGGTGTTTCTCAAATATTCATATAAAGTTTACCCAATTTTTTTCTTCAACTGCCATTCATTATAGAAAGTCCCCCAGTGGTTCAATTTTAAGTTTCCACTAGGAACTCATTAATTTTTTATTCTTAGTTATTCTTACTACTCAATCTTTTATTTTAAAAAATTATCATCTATGATTTTATAGGAATGTTTACAGTTAATTTCTGGAGATATTATAATTTATCTTTTATAAGTTATTTCAATTTGGGATGACCTTGTCCATTTCCTCTTCCCGACTTCACCTTCTTGTGTTGTCATGATTATGTCTATCAAGCCCTTTGCTTATTTTCCTATGTGCCCTTGAGATTCTTTCCTAAGCTTTTAAGGGATCAACTCGTTATAAATCTCAGTCTGTTTGCTTTTGCATATGCAGTTTTCATCTTTCCCCAGATAGCAAGGTCACTCCATTTTGATTTCCTTCCTGTATCACAGCAGCAAGAGGAAAAGGATGGGAAAAGGGTTAAAACATTTATGTAGCTTGTGTTCCTAAAAATAGCTATGATCTGAAATGGAAAAACTCTTCACATGAGCTCATTCCCCAGCTTTTAACTGCCTAATAGTGTGAGTCAGGTGCAGACACTGAAGCGCTATTCTGAAAGACCCTCACTTAGTATATAAATGTGAGAGGCTACAGTGGCTTGTCAGATCATAAAGTATGAAAGCTCATGATCTTCCCTGTCACCTAACCCAGCACCATTTTTCCTTGACCATCTTGGTGTGTCAGAAAGGCACCTTCAGAGTCATGGTGACAAGGACAGGGGGAGCTGGCTGAGATGGAGGGCTCTAGGTAGAAGAGGTAGAGGGGTCAGAAAGGTACGTGAGTTAAGAGGTTGGCCACAGACTCTTCCTACTTCTTTGCCCTTGTTCCGCCCCAGGGCTCTTCACTTTCTTTTAGAACTTAAAAAAGTTGACTAATATTTTACGCAAATGAAAAAATGTGTAATATATATGTGTATATGGTTAATGATGCAAAATAAGAAAATGAACATTTATAAACCCACAACCCAAATTAACAACAAGAATATTATTAATGATATACCAGATTTCCAGCCCAGATGGAGTAGCAGAGACTGGATTTATCCTCTCACCTGAAACAAAATTAAACTAAACAAAATTAAACAAAAGAACAAAATACATGAAACAATGTTTTTTTGAAACTGTGGACATCAGGCAACAAAAGACAGTCACCCCTGAGAGATAGGGAAGAAAAAAGATGAGCCCTGCAATTGCCTCATCTACTGCATTGAGAGGGTCTCCAGGCTGTGGTACAGGGGAACTCAGGCAGGTCCCAGTGGAGTCCCAGAATTGAGGAGACAGAGCTGAGTCTGGAGAGACCAAGGTGGCTAGAGCTCATGGATCCAAGAAATGGAAATGAAAAAGCTGCACACAGAGAGAATTCCAGAGATCTGCTGAGGGTCCCCACCAAGTATTCAGCAGAGTAGTAATCAGTGTGCTGATCTAGAAGGAAGGGGCTGAAGCACAAGATATAATTTAAAGAGTTTACTTGAGCCAAAGTGAGCACAGCTGCCCAGGACACACTTCCAAGTTAACTCAGGGAGTGCTCAATCAGCTTTTGTTACAAGCAGGTTTTTAAAGGCAAAGGTAAGAAGAAGTGGATGGATACAAAGTTCTTTGATAGAAATTTTCATTGGCTTACAGAGATGACATGGATTAGTTATTGGTTATACACTGTTGAACTATAGGATATGAGTCGTGGTGTCCAGCATATGTTATTTTATGGCTGCTTGGCATCAGTTAGTCTGGAGCCCGTATAGCAAGTGGCTTTACAAGATAATCACTCAAGGGGGAGTGATGTGACTGCAGTTTCATTCCAATGCCTCTCTGAGCCTGATAATTTAAAGGGGCTCACATTCCTCAGATAAAAAGTTTCTTCTTCTTTTTTTTTTTAATTTCACAGGTGCACGTGTGTGAAAAAACTACCCCAGGAAAGAACCACTTGAAAGCATTAGCTAGAACAGTACCCAACAGTCACACAGGGCTGGAAATAGTGCCAGTTCCCAAAAAAGGAGAGCACAATTCACAAGGCATGTGATAGAGAACCCAGAAGGGTCTTACCTCAATTAAGACATGGAAAATAGAAAAACACTAAAATCCAACTTCTAGAGATGAATACCAGTATGCTGGATGGGATTGAGAGCACATTAGACCACAGAAAACAAGATTAATGAATGCAAAGACAGAGCAATAGAAACAATCCAAAATGAAACAGAGGGTTAAAAAAAAAATGAAAAGAGCATCAGTGAGGTGTGGGACAACTTCAAGTGGCCTAATATATGTGTAATTTTGAAAGGAGGGGGCCAGCTGGGCTTCCTGAGTCAAACAGGGGCTCAGAAAGCTGTAAAACTCACTCATTTTCTGCATCAGAACTTACTTCGGTCCTGAATGAATAATATTAAAGATATATGCTTAAAATATTCCTAACACCAGGATTTGTGCATGTGTTTTCTTCCCAAAAAAAACTATAAACAGCAAAAATTTTGCTGTAAGCTTCCCTGTGTCCTCTCTCCCTCTCTCCCTTCCCCCTCCCCTAAAACTAAAAGGAATATTAAATGCCTGTTTTTCTATGACCAGCGAACTTTATCTATACTCCCAATTCCAATTCCTTGTAAACATACTTTATAAAGTCCTGTAAGATTGTTTCCTTTGCCATGCTGCTGCAAGGTCATAAAATAAATAAAACCTAAGTTACAATTCTGGTTTTCCTCAAAATCTAAAACATGTCACAAAATAATTTACTGCCTTTGTTTCTCGCTCTGGTAACATCTTCCCTCTACACGTATTTCCCGCCTTAAAGAGTTTCAAAAGCAACTGCATCATCGACCTCTGACTACCCGCTCGAAACCCCTTCCACGCTGAAAAGCTTTGTACTGTCACTCTGCTCAATAAAGCCTACAGCCTTTTTTCTCTTGGTCCGTGTTTCCATCGCCACGGGCAGCCGCCACACCAATTCTTTGGTCTGGCTAAGGCAAAAATCTTTAGCGTTACAATTGGAGTCCTTGAAAAAAGAGGAAGGTGGATATGTCAGAGGCGTTTGAACCAGAGCAACTCCATCTTGAATAGGGGCTGGGTGAAATAAGGCTGAGACCTACTGGGCTGCATTCCCAGGAGGTTAAGGCATTCTTAGTCACAGGATGAGATAGGAGGTCAGCACAAGGAACAGGTCACAAAGACCTTGCTGATAAAAGGATATGGTAAAGAAGCTGGCCAAAAGCCACTAAAACCAAGATGGTGATGAAAGTGACCTTTGATCGTCCTCACTGCTCATTATATGCTAATTATAATCCATTAGCATGTTAAAAGACACTCCCACCAGCACCATGACAGTTTACAAGTGCCATGGCAACGTCAGGAAATTACACTATATGGTCTAAAAAGAGGAGGAACTGTCAGTTCCTGGAATTGCCCCCCCCCTTTCCTGGAAAGGAATAATAATCCACCCCTTGTTTAGCATATAATCAAGAAATAACCACAAAAATAGCCAACCAGTAACCCTCGGGGCTGGTCTGCCTATGGAGTAGTCATTCTTTATTTCTTTACTTTCTTAAATAAACTTGCTTTCACTTTACTCTATGGACTCACTCCAACTTCTTCCTTGCATGAGATCCAAGAACCCTCTCGCAGTCTGGATTGGGACCCCTTCCTGGTAACAGATAGAAAAAATATTTGAACAAAGAATGACCAAAAAGTTTTCAAACTTGATGAAAACTTGTAGGAGACAGGCATGTGCCACCCTAAAATATGACTTTTTGGCATAAGGATTATTTTGAGCTGATTATTTTGAGAAACAGTAGACACAGGAGAATTCTAAAAACACAGTAGAAGTTACCCTTCTGTAAGGGAAATTTACATTTTTAAAAGAAATCTCCATTTCTAAGGCTATCTCCCTCTCTGGGCTGGGAAAAGAAGGAGGACTAAATCACAAAAGGCTCTTACCAATGGAGAAGGCACCAATTTAAATCTGCATAATAAACCTTACTCTTGTTTGATTTTCCTGAACGCTTTCCCATAGCTTGCTTTCCCAACACCCTTCTTTCTTTCTTTTAGTTGAAGATGCTACATAAGCCAAAATTCTAGGCCACCTCTTTGAGAGTTACTCATTTTTCCCTGATTATCTGCTTTTCTCTTGTTAATCTGTCTTGTTATAAAAGTCCCAGCTGAGAACTCAGAAGGGTAGAAGAAAAATTATTTTTTCTCCCCTACACTATAAATTTATAAATCCAAGATTCTCAATGAACCCCAAGCACAAAAACAAATAAAAACACCCCCCAAACAACAAAAACCATGAAGAAAACAGCATAAGGATTTAATAATCAAATTACTGAAAGTTAGTGAGAGAAAATCTCAAAAGTGATCGGAGATAAAAAGACATGCTACACACAGAGGCACAAAGAAAACACCAGATTTCTTGTTGGAAATAATGCAAGTGAGAAGACAATGTAGCAACAACATCTTTAAAAGGTACCGAAAGAAAAATAAGGTGTTATAGATGTGTAAATTTTTAATTTTATAAGATGATGCCAAGTTAATTTCTACATGGCTATACTACTTTGCCCTGTCATTAATAGGATATAAGGATTTCTATGTCACTAAATCCCTTGTCAACACTTAGTATTTGTCAACAAAAAAGTCAAACTCTGTGAAATATTTGAAGAGATTTATCCTGAGCCAAATATGAGTGACCAATGGCCTGTGACACAGCCCTCAGGAGATCCTGAGAACATGTACTCAAGGTGGTCAGGATGCAGCTTGGTTTTATGCATTTTACAGAGACATAAGACATCAATCAATACATGTAAAATGTACATTGGTTCAGTTTGGAAAGGCAGGACAACTGGAAGCAGCAGGCAGGGGTGGGGTGGCTTCCAAGTCATAGGCAGATTCAAAGATTTTCTGATTGGCAATTCGTTATTATCAATAGAAAGGAAGATCTGGCTTGTGATAAGGGGTTGTGGAGACCAAGGTTTTGTCATTCAGATGAAGCCTCCAGGTATCCAGGCAGCAGACTTCAGAGAGAATAGATTGTAAATGTTTTTTTTTTTTTATCAGACTTAGAGTCTGTTCTACCAGTAATTCCAAAAGGGAGGAGGGTATGATGAGGCATGTTCAGCTCCCCCTTCCCATCATGGCCTGAACTAGTTTTTCAGGTTCACTTTGGAATGCCCTTGGCCAAGAGGAGGGGTCCATTAAGATGCTTGGGGGGTCTTACAATTTTATTTTTGGTTTATATAATGTAAGAAGACTTCTTAGTCCCCATTTCCATTTTTGTAGTTATAAAATAGTACTCTATGGTAGACTTAATTTAGATTTCCCTGATTACTGATGAGGTTGAGTCCTTTTTCATATGTTAATTTACCATTTATGCAGTTTCTTCCATGAAATATCTGTTTGTGGCTTTTATTTTGTTCATAGTGTGCACTTTTGTCTATTTCTTATTGGTTTATAAAGGTTTAAAAATTTAGTCTGATACAAACCCTCATGGCTTACTTCTGTTGAAATTATTTTTTTCTGATTGGCAACTCATTTCCTGACTTTCTTTATGTTGTCTTTTCATGTACAAAAGTTCTTAATTTTGATGAGGTTTAATTTGTCAGTATTTTATTTTATGATTAGTATTTTTGTCTTGCTTATGAAATCTTTGCTGATTCCAAAGTATTTTCTTCTAAAAGTATTAAAGTTTTGCCTTTTACAATTAAGTCTTAAGTCCATGTCTGTAGGTGATGTGAAGCAGGTATCTAATTTCTTTTTTTTCCCTTGTGTATAAGCAGTTGTGTCAGTACCATTTAAAAGACCTAATCATCCTGTTTTTGATATGAACTGACAATTCTATCACAAAGTTTCATATATATGTGTTTTTAGAGCTTAGGCTATTTGACCAGCAATTTGCTTATCTTTGTCTCAATACCACATTGTCTTAATATTATAGCTTTATAATACATCCTTATATATGGTAGTGCACATCTCCTTAATCATCTCAGGATTTTCATAGTTATTCTTGGATTTTTGCTCATTAATGTACACATTGAATCAAGTTGTCAGCTTTCTTAGTATTTGTTGGGATTTAGATGATTTACATTGAATATGTAAACAAATTTGAAGAAAATTTGTACTTAATGACATTGAGTCTTCTAAACCATAAACTTAATGTGTCTATTAAATTATGTGGTCTTTCTTAATAACTTCCCATAAATTGCACAGTTTTCTTCATAAATGCCCTGCACAAATCTTACGGGATTTCTTTCTAGGTGTGTGCGTGTGTGTGTGTGTGTATCTTTGTTAATTCAAATGGTAATTTCTAAAAGTTTATTTTTGATATAATGGAAACACAGCTGATTTAGGGAACACTGATTTTTATATCCAGATACCTTACTAATGTAAGTCCTGGGAGATAGCTATTTGCAGGAAAATCTTACACTTTGGGGGATCAGGAGGAGCATGTGCAGTGGTTCTATTCCTTGAAAAAAAAATTTTTTGAGACAGGGTCTTGCTTTGTCTCTCAGGCTGGAGTGCAGTGGCATGATCATGGCTCGCTGCAGGCTTGACCTCCCGTGCTCAAGCGATCGTCCCACCTCCTGAGTGGCTGGGACTACAGGCATGCACTACCAGGCTTGGGTAATTTTTATATTTTTTGTAGAGTCAAGGTCTTCTTATGTTGCCCAGGCTGGCATTGAATTCTTGGGCTCAAGTGATCCTCCCACCTTGGCCTCCCAAAGTGCTGGGATTACAAGTATGAGCAGCTGTGCCTGGCCTGAAAGGTTTTGCACAATGATTTTGTTTCTTAGGGTTTTATCCAGTCTGTAAGGGTAATAGTGATCCTTACTCATAGTCTTGTTCTTTGTCACCACAACTTAGTTTCTCTTCCTCCAGTCACCTCTAGGCTGATTCTTAAGAAGTGAAAACAAGACGTATTGGAAAGACAGAGTAACAGAGAGAGAGAGTGAATGAGTGTGTGTGTGTTTTCCATCTATCTAAACAAGCCTGGAACACTCCAACATTTCAACATTTTACTTAGATGAGAACATCTTACTGTTGTCTCAATTTTGTACATGAGATAAAGCTACAAGAGGTTAAGTTACTTCATCAGGGTCAAAAAATTAGTAAATGGTACAGTGAGACATAAACTAGCTCCATGTCTAGTTCTGTGCAGTAGTGATATAAGAATTATAAGGTTTAACAGAAACAGAATTGTTGCTAATTGTCCCTGAGTATGCTTCCCTCTACACTGTAACTCAGCAGTCTTCTCTCAGGCAATTAGCAGCTTTATCATGTGGAAGAGGAAGAGGCTAAAATTCAGTCAAAATCAGGTCCTCTTTGGGGAAAATTAGTCTTTTGCAGTAGGGGTGTAGAAAGAGAGTCAAGAAATAAAGCATTGTTGGCTGGGCACGGTGGCTTACGCCTGTAATCCCAGCACTTTGGGAGGCCAAGGCAGGTGGATCACGAGGTCAGAAGTTCAAGACCAGCCAATATGGTGAAATCCCGTCTCTACTAAAAAAATACAAAAATTAGCTGGGCGTGGTGTTTTGTGCCTGTAGTCCCAGCTACTTGGGAGGCTGAGGCAGGAGAATTGCTTGAACCCGGGAGGCAGAGGTTGCAGTGAGCTGAGATTGTGCCACTACACTTCAGCCTGGGTGACTCTGTCTCACACACGCACAAAAAAACATAAGCATTGCTGAGCCTGGTGGCTCATGCCTATAATCCCAGCTACTTGGGAGGCTGAGGCAGGAGGATCACTTGTGCCCAGGAGTTTGAGGCTGCAGTGAGCCATGATTGCACCACTGCATTCCAGCCTGGGTGACAGAGTGAGACTCTGTCTCTAAATAAATAAATAAATAAAAATAAAGCATCATATCCTCATAGTGGCTTAGCATTTGGTAGGAGTAGCAGATGTTGTACATCTTCTGACTTTTCAGAGGGTGAGCACCGGCTTCTTGTAGTCAAAAGGGACAAAGGGGAGACCATTCTCCTTACAACTATAATTTACCATACTAAGGTAGAACTCAATAAAGACCCTGTTTAAGATACCGTTAGCATTCAAGACTGGATCCTCTGGCCTCCCTTCTTCTCACCTGACTCTATGAAGATGTTGTAATATAGGGTTAATGCGTAGTTCGTGTCAAGGTTTTCTTTTGAACAATTTTCCTAGAAAAAAGGGGGATAGCAATGCTTGTGCCCACTGCTGAGTCACAGAGGCTTGAATCAAATCCCTTCAGCAGCAGCCTAAGTAAACGATGACAAATGCTAACCCAGGAAGGACTGAGGTGGTTTCTAAGTTACGACTAGATTCTTTCCCATTCTACTACTCACTTCTAGATCCAAGTCCTGGCTCTTTGCACTTTAGAGACATCCTGTTTCCTACATGGAAGTCTTCAGTGCTGTCTCTGCAGTTTCAGGAACTATGACCTTTGATGCTGCTGGGGCTCAGAAAACAATACCCCAAAATATGGCACTTTGACATGCTGAACTAAAGAAGCAGCCTCAAGGTATCTCTCTCTGACCTCTCCTCACCCTTACCTACACCTCACCCCCATCCTCTTACTTTCCTGAAGCACTAGCAGGGACTCTCTATGGAATTTCCTCAGCTGACTAAGAAAGATTCTTTCCAAAAGAATTGCTGGGCACGGTGGCTAACGCCTGTAATCCTAGCACTTTGGGAGGCTGAGGCAGGAGGATCACTTGAGGCCAGGAGTTCAAGACCAGCCTGGCCAACATGACAAAACCTCATCTCTATTAGAAATACAAAAAATTAGCTGAGTGTGGTGGCATGCACCTATAGTCCCAGCTACTCAGGAGGCTGAGGCAGGAGAATTGCTTAAACACGGGAGGCAGAGGTTGCAGTGAGTTGAGATTGTGCCACTGCACTCCAGCCTGGGTGACAGAGCAAGACTCCATCTCAAAAAATAAAATAAAATAAAATAAAATAATAAAATAAAATAAAATAAAATAAAATAAAATAAAATAAAATAAAATAGAAATGCAATTGTCTTAAAACTCCCTCCCTAGGAATCTCATGAAATAACCAGGAAAGATTAACCACAAGAGAAGAAACTAGGAGTCCTCACCTTGCCCTGACAGACTTTTCATGTATTCCTCCAAGGGCAGCTCAGAGAGAGTACCTGAGAGGCTTTATCTGAATAATAAAACAACCTTTGTTCACAGTAAAGTTCTGTCCTTCACCTTCTGGCCACTGACCCCAGAGCTCAGAGGAACTTTGTCCCAGATCACTGTTCTTTGGGTTCACTCATTCCCCCTGAAAACCATTTACTGCTACACCCTTCATCTCCCCTTTCTCTATGAGGAAGGGCGTATAACCATTTGGACCTTACTGGGTTGTTGGGTAACCATCCTCCTTTAATTCCCCTGAGCTATACATGTTAAATACATTTTGTATGGCTTTTTCTCCTATTAATTTGTCTATAGTCCATTTTCAGCAAACTTTCAGAGGATAGAAGGGGAAGCTTTTTCTTGGTCCCTACAATGTCAAATTAAACAGATGAGACTAGAAGTCTGGGAGTGCAAGGACTTCTTGGGATCACATCATTGTTTTCCCTGCTTTGGTTAGGAATACTGTCTTACTAGTGCAAATCGATGGCAGTTGGTTCAGTTCAGAAAACTCACATGTGGAAAGGCAATTTCCTGTGTGTCACATTTGTGGGAACTTCACTTCCCCAAACCAGTGAGTTTAAGGGTGATTTCTCTTTCATTCACTTATAGAAGTCATACTCTCTAAAACATCTCCTTTCTCATTTTAGTGATTTCCAAGCTGTCTGTTCAGTCAAATGGACTTATTTCAGTTAAATTACAAATAATTGCTGCTAGGATGAATCCTGACTGAGAGTAATCAGTAATTCTCTTCCTGTCCATCCTCCATCACATTTAGATAAAAATTCAATAATATTTTTAAATCCCTGTGGGTTGGTTAGGAGAGGTGGGAGAAGATGACAGAGAGATGTTGGAAAGGGAATTTAGGTAATGTTGCTGTATTTACTCACGTGCTTCCTTATTCCCTTAGTCAACTCAGTTTCATAAATTTCTTCAGGATCTTTTTCAAGAAGATCTTTCGATTTTTTTTTCAGCCTACTCTAATTACTCCTTGTCTATGTTACTGTTCCTATTTGTACAGAGCTCAGACTACCCTATCATGTGTTCCTGCTTTTTCATTTCTTTTTTTTTTGAGATGGAGTCTCACTCTGTCACCCAGACTGGAGGGCAGTGGTGTGATCTCAGTTCACAGCAACCTCCACCTCCCAGGTTCAGGGGATCCTCCACCTCAGCCTCCCAAGTAGCTGGGATTACAGGCCTGTGCCACCACGCTCGGCTAATTTTTATATTTTTAATAGAGATGGGGTTTCACCACATTGGCCAGGCTAGTCTCAAACTCCTGACCTCAAGTGATCCATCTGCCTTGGCCTCCCAAAGTTCTGGATTGCAGGTATGAGCCGTCGTACCTGCCCCATGTGTTCTTTTTTATAGTCTATTCGTTATATACATGATATATTTACTTCCCCAATTGTGGTGTAAGCATTTTTAGAGGATGCTTACACCACAACTGGGGAAGTAAATATATCACGTTCCTATTCTATTTGTATATTGCTTTATAAAGACATTCAGATAACATATGCTTGATAATGAATACATAAATAAATGTATATTATTTACATTTAGCATCTTCTCTTCCCTCAGTCTTTGTGTATCCTGAAGACAGCTTATATGCAAAATTAGAAGTATGGAAGTTATCAGAGTCTCTCCTGGCAGTTTCTGTATCTGTGTGTCTTGTACACAAACATTTGCTTAATGACTTTATGTTTGAAAATCTTACAACTAAGTGAAAATATGTGAAGTGAATAAAAAGTTTTTGTTATTCTAAACAGAAAAATTAACCCAAGATACCCAAAAGATAGAAAACATATAGATTAAACAAACTAAATTTATGTAAATAATAGATAAAAATAAAATAAATACAGTTTTCACATATGAATTTTTATTGTATTCATCAAAGGAGGAAGAGGAGACTTGGTTATAGGTGATGGTCAATAGAGGAGGACTGGGAGGGGATTATTCTTTCAAAGTCAGTGAAGATTCAGTGCCAGACCAGCATTCAATATCAAATTTAATGTGATTAATAATTTCCTTTACCTTAAGGCTTTGACCAAATAAAAGCTAAACACAAAAAGGCTTTATAGAATATTGAAATGGTGAACATGTACAGCAGATTGAAGAGTCATAGAAGATGCAACCCTCTCATTCACTTTGCTTGGCATGTGTATGAAAAACAGTATTTTGGGTTCATCTAAATATGTCATTGATTTGGTTTGGCTGTGTCCTCACCCAAATCTCATCTTCAACTGTAGCTCCCATTATCCCCACATGTCATGGGAGGGACCCAGTGGGAGGTAGGTGAATCATGGGGCCAGTTACCTTCATGCTGTTCTCATGATAGTGAATGATTCTCACGAGATCTGATGGTTTTATAAGGGGCTTTTCCCCCACTTCGCTCTGTACTTCTTGCTGCTGCCATGTGAAGAAGGACACGTTTGCTTCCCATTCCACCGCGATTGTAAGTTTCCTGGGGTATCCCTGGCCATGCAGAACTGTGAGTCAATTAAACCTCTTTCCTTTATAAATTACCCGGTCTCAGGTATGTCTTTATTAGCAGTGTGAGAATGGACTAATACAGTAAATTGGTACTGGGTAGTGGGGCACTGCTGTAAAGATACTTGAAAATGTAGAAGCAACTTTGGAACTGGGTAACAGGCAGAGGTTGAAACAGTTTGGAGGGCTCAGAAGAAGACAGGAAGATGTGGGAACGTTTGGAACTTCCTAGAGACTTGTTGAATGGCTTTGACCAAAATGCTGATAGTGATATGGACAATAAAGTCCAGGCTGAGGTGGTCTCAGATGGAAATGGTAACTAGTTGGGAACTAGAGGAAAGGTCTCTTGTTATGCTTTAGCAAAGAGACTGGCAGCATTTTACCCCCTGCTCTAGAGATCTGTGGAATTCTGAACTTGAGAGAGATGATTTAGAGTATCTGGTAGACGAAATTTCTAAGCAGCAAAGCGTTCAAGAGGTGACAGAGCATAAAAATTTGGAAAATTTGCAGCCTATGTGGTAGAAAAGAAAAACCTGTTTTCTAGGGAGAAATTCAAGCTGGCTGCAGAAATTTGCATAAGTAATGAGGAACCAAATGTTAATCGCCAAGACAGTGGGGAAAAGGTCTTCAGGGCATGTCAGAGACCTCCCTGCTGTGTACAGCCTAGGAACTTGGTGCACTGTGTCCCAGCCACTCCAACCATGGCTACAAGGGGCCAAGGTACACCTTGAGTCATGACTTCAGCGGGTGCGAGCCCCAAGCCTTGGCAGCTTTCACATGGTGTTGGTCCTGCAGGTGTGCAGAGGACAAGAACTGAGGTTTGGGAACCTAGATTTCAGGGGATGTGTGGAAATGCCTGGATGCCCAGGCAGAGGTGTGCTGCAAGGGCAGAGCCCTCATGGAGAACCTCTGCTAGGGCAGTGCAGAAGGGATATGTGGGGTTGGAGCCCCGACACAGAGTCCCCACTGGGACACTTCCTAGTAAAGCTGTGAGAAGAGGGCCACCATCCTCTAGACCCCAGGCTAGTAAAACCACTGACAGCTTGCACCATGCACCTGGAAAAGACTCAGACACTCAATGCCAGCTGTGAAAGCTGCCAGGAAGAGGGCTGTACCCTGCAAAGTCACAGGGTCAGAGCTGCCCAACATCATGGGAGCCCACCTCTTGCATCAGTGTGATCTGGATTTGAGACATGGAGTCAAAGGATATTATTTTGGAGCTTAAGGATTTAATTACTGCCCTATTGAATTTTGGACTTGCCTGGGGCCTGTAGCTCCTTTGTTTTGGCCAATTTCTCCCATTTGCAGTGGCTGTATTTACCCAATGCCTGTACTCTCATTGTATCAAGGAAGTAACTAACTTGCTTTTGATTTTACAGGCTCATAGACAGAAGGGACTTGCCTTTGGATGAGATTTTGGACTTGGACTTTTGAGCTAATTATGGGATGAGTTAAAATTTTGCGGGACTTTTGGAAGGTATGATTGTGTTTTAAAATGTGAGGACATGAGATTTGGGAGGGGCCAGGGCAGAATGATATGGTTTTGCTGTGTCCCCACCCAAATCACATTTTGAATTGTAGTTCCCATAATAATCCCCACATAATGAGAGGGACCCAGTGGGAGGTAATTGAATTGTGGGGGTGGTTTCCCCCATGCTGTTCTCATGATAGTGAGTTCTCACGAGATCTGATGGTTTTATAAGGGACTTTTCCCCGCTTTTGCTCTGCATTTCTCCTTGCTGCTGCCATGTGAAGAGGGATGTGTTTGCATCTCCTTCTGTCATGATTGTAAGTTTCCTGAGGGCTCCCCAGCCATGCTGAACTGTGAGTTAATCAAGTCTCCTTTCTTTTTAAATTACCTAGTCTCAGGTATGTCTTTATTAGCAGTGTGAGAACAGACTAATACAGTCATGCAATTCAAAGTTGTTTCACACAATATTCTCTGACTACAAATGGTCATGTCAGGTAAATTGGTGAGTAGTACTGTGTGTCATTCAGGGTCTAAAAGGAAAATGGGCTGGGCATGGTGGCTCACACCTGTAATCTCAACACTTTGAGATGCCAAAATGGGAGAATCACTTGAATCTAGTAGTTTAAGATTAGCCTGGGAAAAAGAGTGACACTGTGTCTAAAAAAAATAAAAATTAGCTGGGCATGGTGGCACACTCACTTGAGCCCAGGAGTTTAAGGCTTCAGTGAGCTATGATTGCACCACAGCACTTGAGTCTGGGTAACAGAGCAAGACCCTGTCTCAAAAAAAAAAAAAAAAAAAAATAGAAAATGAACAGTATACCAGAGGGAATTTAACACAAGGAATTATACAGGTATTGGAGGTCTAAGAAGGCAAAAGGGGAACTGATGTAACACAGAGATAGTTAGTGTAGAAAGCGAAGCAGTGATCAACCCTAGGGTTGTAGAAACAAAGGTAAAATGGTTGGGTTGTTAGAACTTGGTAACTTGGATGAAGGGCCACACATAACTGGGAGGATGGCTTCTGAGAAGGAGGTTGCTGCTGGCCTTGGAACTCAGAGGAAGTACCTAGTGTAGCAGGGACTCAGACCTCTGAAGAAGAGGTGTCCACTGGCTGATGCTCATGCCTTTGAGAGGGGGCCACGAGGCTCCGGGATTGTAAGAAAAGAAAAGAAATGAAACTGGAAACAATGACCACTCTCAGAGTAAAAAATTATGGCTGGGATGATGCTAATTGAAACAAGAAACAAAATAGGAAGCAGCCAGACCTATATCCCTCCTCCAGCCTTTCAGTCTCTTTTTAACACCCCTTACTGACAGAAACTAATAAAGCCAGCAAGCAAAAAAAAGATGTGGTTTGCAGAGTCCTCACCTTAGCATCAAAAAGCAGATTACAGAGGGTGGGCCCCTCTTTGGCCACTTCCCTACTTGCTCATTCATACACATCCTTCTTTTTTTTTTTTTTGAGACGGAGTCTCGCTCTGTCGCCCAGGCCGGACTGCGGACTGCAGTGGCACAATCTCGGCTCACTGCAAGCTCCGCTTCCCGGGTTCACGCCATTCTCCTGCCTCAGCCTCCCCAGTAGCTGGGACTACAGGCGCCCGCCACCGTGCCCGGCTAATTTTTTGTATTTTTAGTAGAGACGGGGTTTCACCTTGTTAGCCAGGATGGTCTCGATCTTCTGAACTTATGATCCACCCACCTCGGCCTCCCAAAGTGCTGGGATTACAGGCGTGAGCCACCGTGCCCGGCCACATCCTTCTATATAGTGTCTGCTTGAAACCATGATGTCAAAATATAATTTCTTATAGCATGTTTATTTATTTTGGGGTGACAAATCATTATAATAAAAAAGGAGTTGTCCAAAAAGTGACATAGCTTTATAATAGCCATTATGGCAAAAAGTCATTAATTGAACAGTCATTACATGAGGGGATCAGGAACTAAAAATCAACGCTCATTATGGTCATAATGTAAAGAAACATCACAGGAAATCATATATATCCACCATTCATGAATAGAGGAAGTCTGAGACCTAAGAACAGGAACTGGTCCAAAGGGGTAACCTGGAGCTGTATCTTTTTAAAGACAAAACACCCTCCTCCAGGCTTAACAGAGCTTGAAGTGTGAGAACCAGGAAAAGAGGAGTCAATCTCTGGGAACTTAGCTAATATCTACTTTCATGGACACCCCTACAGTCTAACTTTCATTCATTCATTTAACTATTATATGTTGAGTACATAAAATGTTCTAGGCACTAGAGTGGTGAATGAGACTTAATCCATGCTCTGATGGAACTGATTCTTTTTCTTTTTCCTCGCCCAGGTTGGAGTGCAGTGGTGTGATCTCGGCTTATTGCAACCTCTGCCTCCCTGGTTCAAGCGATTATTGTGTCTCAGTCTCCTGCGTAGCTGGGATCACAGGTGTGCATCACCATGCCCGGCTAATTTTTTTATTTGTAGTAGAGATGGGGTTTCACCATGTTGGCCAGGCTGGTCTCAAACTCCTGGCCTCAAGTGATCCATTCACCTGGGCCTTCCAAAGTGCTGGGATTATAGGTGTGAGCTACTGTGCCCAGCCAGAATTTACTCTTTAGTGGGTGATTACAACAATTAACAGGTAAAAAGTAAATATATAAAGCTTAAACAAAGATATCAAGAAGTAGTAGGTACTACGAAAGAAAATAAACAGAAAAATGAACGGAGAATAGAAATTTAAACTAACCAGTAATAAGGGAGATGCAAGTCAAGACAATTAAATGTCTTTTTCACTTCCCAGATTGGTAAAAGTATAAATTATTGATAATAGCACCTTGTAAAGGATGAAATAAAATGGATATTTTCATACACTGTCAGTAGGAGTAAATTGGCAAAGCGTTTCAGGGGGATATTATTTAGTAGTATAGAAACAAATTTGAATTTTGCACATTAGGTTAATATATTAAGTTGAATCATATGAAATTGCCAATATTTGACAAATTTTGGCCTAAAAAATGAACTTGAAAATAGATCAAATGAAATTATCCACACTGAAACACTAAAAGGAAAAAGAGTAAAATGTTTTCAAAATTTCAAGAACATACTGGTCAAAAGGGAACTGAACCAAACCACAATTTATTTTTCTTTTTGGTAGCTCCAAAATGAAAGAGGCTGTCTGTTATCCACTGGTTAGATAAAGTGAGCATTTCCCTTCTACATAGGCGATGAGGGGATGGGTCAGATAATTTCAGTTGCTCCTTTTATCTGGTTTTTCTATCTCCTGAGAGAGCATCCTTCCTTTTCTGATTCTCAATCCATGTACATAACTCATCTGAGGGATCTTTATAAGCTTGTAAGTCATAGACTTGACTGTTTCCTTTCAAAGTCCAAGTATTTTATTATGTGTGATGTCTCTGGAGTCTATTTGCCACCTAAAAATTGAGAATATGGTCCCAAGCCATCATTTCTGGATATCATTTGAAGCAGGAAATGTGACAACCATTCAAATAGGAAACAATGACAATGACCATTCCCAGAGTCAACATTAGATAATGCATGGACCTGTTGCGTGGGATTTATGATGGTCAGGGGTGACCGAAATCAGGTTTCTTGGGTTCCCTCAGTCTAAGATGTCCTTCCAGTTGGAAAGGATCCCCAAATCATTCTACGGTATGGTCACAACCACAAAGGCACCTCTAGGATAAAAAGTGGTGGATAATTTCTCTACACTTCCTCGAAGTTCTGAGTAAGTCTCATCCTGTCCTTTTGAGTTTGAGTCACTTTGGCAGCACAGTCACTTTCCTGTGCTGACTTAGATCCTTTTATTTAAATCCCTGTTCCTGTCACTTGAAGGTGCTTGATGGAAACTGAAGCCCTTTGTTTATTAATTCCATGTGACCTGTTCTTTAGTGGGTAGTTAAACATTTCAAGGACACTGAAAAATACCAAAATACCAAAGAGTGTGCTGTCAGTTGTAGAGGAAACTAGGCTATGCCATCTGATTCAGATAGTTAAAGTTGGCATTGATAGTTCTATGGTAACATTCTTGATTTCCATTTGTGAAAATTTTAGCCCAATTTCCGGCCAATATACACAAATGTATATCTCTATTAGACTATTAAGAAAAATAATAAATGTTTAATTTTATATGATGTGGCTTGATTCTCTTTTACAAAGTAAAATCTGAGCATGTGTGAGATTACCAGCTGGGGGTTGTTAGATTTTGAGACCGGAGTTTTTGATCTTGTGGCCTAGAACCGATTGGTCACTGGATGACTTAAGAGGGAAAAGAAAAATTCTGCATTGCTAATAAAATCTGTATTTGTGGTGACCTGACAGTTTCACAGTGGGGGGACTGATTTGTGCTCCAGCTCATGGCCTCATCAACTTAGTTTCAAGTCAGAGCCATAGCAGTAAAATATGACTTTATTTTTTTAAGCATTTAGTATATTTTAAAAGTTGATGATACATTTCTGGTAACACTGACTAAGCTATTTAGGTAATATATAGGAAACAAATATTTTTAAAAGCATCAAGATGATGATTAACACTGAAGAATTACGAGGCCTGAAGTAAAGGAAAAACTGGATCCCAGAGCCGTAAGCAAGCAGAGGAACCATTTTTTGGCTAAGGACATTTCCTGACCTGCATATTAGGGTTTGACAGCCTTCTGTGACTAATGGGACAGAAATAGAAGACCAGAGTCTGCGCAAGTTGGGGAGTTTATCAGGAGAATAATCCTACAATAAGGTAGAACCTTACATTTCTATAATCTTGGGATAAAAATGGACTATAAAAGAAACATCCCTTATGTTACACAGTTTAAGTTCAGAGCATCTTTCACACCTTTTACTTGATTAAAGGTGGTTCTGGGCTGGAAGTACCCCCAGGTGCTGGGCAAGAAAGCTTTCATTGTAGATCTCAGATTATTCCAAAAATATTTTTCCAGATACAAGATATGGCACATACTCAAAAATAATAATGAACCCAAAGAAACTAAACCAGGTGTGAAAACCAGCAGACATGTCAGGCAGTTGAAATCAAGCCCCCAAATATTAGATATATTAGAAAGACTGCAAAACAATGATGTCTACATTATTCATGAAACAAAAATTTGGAAGAATTTTGCCCACTTGGATGTTTTCTTAGCTTCAACTTAACGTTCAGGCTCACAAGAATCTCAGAGGCCATACTTGGCACCAGATTAATCCGAGAGATGTAGGATAAGAATTATAGCTTGCTATTAGGGCAGCATCAGGCATGATATTTCTATAGGAGCAGTCCCTGCAGCAGCAGTCCACACAGTACCTAGGAGATAGTCTCTTGACTCTCCACCCCTCATTGTCTACTTGGGGACAGCTGAGGTGCATGTGGCACCATCCTGGAGCCATTATCTCTTGTTAAGAACTTAATAGAGTAGTTTCCAATGCCCATGCCAGGTGTATGCAAGTTATAGGAGTCACTGCATTCAGAGAAGCTCAAAGTCTGGCTTCTTCCAGATACTTAGTTTTCCCAGTCCAAGTGTAGTCCATCAGTTAGGAGTCTTTTTTATGATATGCAATGTTTGCTTAGTAACATAGTTGACATTTTGTCATTAGAAGGCTCTAGGTGGACAGAGCTAGAAAGTTAATTAAGGTCAAATTATCATGCAGAAGGAGAAAAGGGTTTTGTTAACAATTTACACACCAATTGGAAACAACAAAAAAATGACAGAATAGATTTAGAGAGAGGCAAATAGAAATTCGGAAAAAACAAAACAAAACAAAATTAAGAGCTCAATGGAAGAGTTTAACAGGAGAGCAGTCACAACTGAAAAGAGAACTAGTAAAATGGCAGATGAGGAAGAAGAAAAAAATTCAGAATATATAACAAGGAGAAAAAATAATATTTAATACACAAACACAAAAATATAACAAATAGAGTGAGAAAGTCTATTTTATTTTTAGTTAGAGGCTCAAAAGTAGAAGAGAGAGAAAATAGAGGCAATAACTGAAGAGATAATACTTGAGAGTTTTCCAGACAAAATGAAACTCAAAAGTCAACAGATTCTAGAAGGCCTACCAATCAAAGAAGATAAATAAAGGGAACTCCATACCTAAAGACAGAATAGTAAAACTGCAGACAATAAAAAAAAAAAAGACAAAAATAGTAAAGACAAAAAACAGAGGAAAAAAAGGAACATTACATTCAAATAAGCAGCAGCGAGACAATTGGCTGCCTTCTGAAAGAAACAATCAAATGCAAATATCTTCAATATGCTGAAAGAAAATAACTGCCTCCAGAATTACATACTTAGTAAAAATAATCTCCACTAATTAAAGCAAAATAAAGACACTTTCAGAGAAAAATAGCTGAAACAGTTTTTTCACAAGCAGACCAACACAAAAGGAAATTCTAAATGATGTTTCTCCAGCAGAAGGACCATGATTACATATGGAAATTCAGAGACATAGCAGAAATAAAGAGCAAGATAGCAGCACATATGTTGATAAATCTAAATTAACATTAACTACATAAAATATATGTCTAGTCTTCTGGGGTTTAAAACTATTAATACTTAGACCTAATAAATGATAACAGCATATATATAGAATGAGACTAAATGGAATAAAAGTATTCCAACATCCATATATTGTCCAGGAAGAGGATAACGGTATCAATTACTACTATGTTTAATAAATTAAGGATTAGCTGGGCACGGTGGCTCACGCCTGTAATCCCAACACTTTGGGAGGCCAAGGTGGGCGGATCATGAGGTCAAGAGATGGAGACCATCCTGGCCAACACAGTGAAGCCCTGTCTCTACTAAAAAAATACAAAAATTAGCTGCACCTGTAGTCCCAGCTACTCGGGAGGCTGAGGCAGGAGAATCACTTGAACCCGAGAGGCAGAGGTTGCTGTGAGCCAAGATCGCGGCACAGTACTCCAGCCTGGAGACAGAGTGAGACTCTGTCTCAAAAAAAAAAAAAAAAAAATTAAAGATTAAGATTGTAATTTTTAAAGTAACCACAAAAGAATAGAAGCAACTTAAATACAATTAAAGGAAATACAATAAGGAAGAAAGTGAAGCAAAGCATATAAAAAAGTAAAAAAATATAATGTTATAATAGTTAAAAATAACCAATCCAAAACAGACAAGAAAAGACATAGAAACAGAACAAGCAGAACAAACAGAAAAAATAAAGATGGTAGATTTAAAATTAATATATATCAACAATTACATTAAATGTAAGTGGACCAAATTATCCAGTAAAACAAACCCCCGAAATACTGCTACACTGGATTTTTAAATTAACTATATGACATATTTAGGAGTTGTATCTAAACCAGAAAGTGAGAGAAAGGTTGGAAATGAAAGGCGAGAAAAGGAGCTTGACTGAAAACATTAACAAAAAGGTGGCTATATTAATAGACTCTAAAGCAAAAAACATGACATCAGAATATCCCTCTTAGAGAATACAACCATTCCTTTCTAAATACTTTTTATGCTGACTGGTTATCATAGGTGACAATATATGTTAATCTGTCTGCACCATTTTGTTAAGACAAAAAGCTTTGGTATTTTCTTCTCCACTCTCCAACTATAAAGCTATAATAAACTAATAAATCTTTAAATATTCCTTATCTTTAAAATTTTTGTATAAGTGATTATTGTCATGTTATTTAGTGCAGTGGTTTACTTTCATCCTTTCTTCCTAATCTCCAAGTATTGCCAGGTACTTGAGCTTTTCCAATGTACACGTATCAAAGCCAGCACGAGTCCAGAACCCACTGCCTCTGAGAGCTGATCCATTGTAATTCTTTTCCCAACATCCTCTTGGTCTCTAGGACTCTAATGACCAAAGGAAAAGAGATTGCTGTTGCTTGGCTACTATGTTGGTAGATATGATTTAAGGCTACAGGTATGTCCAGATTTACACTGTGGAAAGGTCACTCAGGACACAGTGTGGCAAATGGGTTGGAATAGACAAGACTGGCTGTAGAGAGGCCAGTTTTTGATCTACTTATGTTAATGGAGGTGATGGATGGACCAGCGTAGTAACAAAGTGGGAATGAGTCTGTATAGAGTCCAATAAATTTAAATACTATAATTCTTTGGAAATGAATTGTCATGTTGGGAGATTGGGAGTGTTTAAAGAAGATATCAAGATCTGATTTGAGGAGCAGGATGCATAGCAGTGAGGATAGGTGTCTAGGCAGCGGTAGAAGCAGGTTTTAGTGATCTGTTGAAACACCCACGACAACACACTACTCTTTGGGAGATGCTGGCTTGGGGCTGATCATTGAGGTAGAGGGTAGTACATGATGCTGACAGGGATCTCACTGGTGTGTTGAGTTTTAGCATCTGTGACTCTGAGATGCATATGAGGCCTCTTGTAAATTTTGGGGTTGAGAGTAGAAAGTACAGGTTTGTATTTTAGAAAGAGATTTGGGAATAAATGTAGCTCTGGTTGACACAGACAATATGTGAAGGTTTGTTGGCCAGAACTAGTATGTGTCTTGGGTGTTGGGCAGAGAACAGATAGAGCCAAAGCTCTGCAAGGTCAATATGAAGGGTGATTTCCTTGTTGGGTTCAAGTTTATGACTCAGCCTGGACCTAGCTTGGCTTCTCAACTAGAGAAGAAGCATGATTCCATGTCATACACAACTCCTGTCGTTGAAAAAGTCATAATGACTCCCAGACCCAACAGGTGGGGCAAACTTTCCAGATTTTTCTCTTCAGTTTAATCTTTCCAGGGAAAATTGGGGAAAGAAATCTCTCTATTTGAACTTCATCAAAAGACCAACATGTTAATATTTCAGCCATTAAAATGTCTTTAAACCATGTTACTCCTTAAACAGCTATTACACGAAAATGTATTAACTGAGGAAACTGGGTTCTCCCAAACAATGAAACACTGACTGCAAGCATTATTCATCTTTTTATATCATATATTCCTTCAAATATTTTAGACATTTTAGAAAGCAAATAATAGTATTATAATGATTACAAGACTGATCATTACTCTTTTACAAAAAACAGCCACAAATAACTAACTCCATTAGCATTGCCTTCTGTCCTTTCATTTCCTCTTTCTTCATCTTCTTTTTTTGCCTATGATATTCTGGTATAGCATATTTCCTCTTTCTTCTAATTCTAATTCTGATTCTGCTTCTTATTTCTTCCCTAGATTAAAACTTTACTTACCTATGCTGCCAGTTAGTGCTTTCTTCCCAGAGCCACTAAAGCAACAGTTTGAGGTTGAGGTCCTAAATTGAAGATTTAGGATCAGAAACAAGGAACCCGGATGAATTTCTGATGTTTTTCTATAGGAGTCTGTTACGCAGTTGGAAGGAGCCTTTTTAGGAATTAAAGTTTGATCAAATAAGCTATTTTAATATTTATAGTTTTGTCTAGTAAAAGTATTCTATAAAAACCTTGGTTTTGGATGTCTACTGTTAGCTTTTAGTCAATACTGCAAAAAGCTTCTTTTGGAACAATTTCTGTCTTTTTCAGTATTGTATTTCAATTGTTTCTCCAGGACCACACATAAGAGCCGGATTGGTGGTCCAGTGGTAGAATTCTCACCGCCTGCATAGGAGACCCTGGTTTAATTCCTGGCCAATGCAACAAGTTTTGTGCTTCACTTCTCTATATTCTTTATACTTCTGCCCTGCACAGGCTATCCCATGTTTAAGGGCCTTGGTTGTGGAGGCTTTTGACTTATGACAATGGTAACCCAAGTGATGGCCAATGCCTGAAGCATAAGATATTCAGGAAATGATCTAATGATTTAGGGACGTTGCAGTTAGAGTCAAGAGCCATTCCTGTAATCCCAGCACTTTGGCAGGTCAAGGCAGGTGGATCACCTGAGGTCAGGAGTTCGAGACCAGCCTGGCCAACATGGTGAAACCCAGTCTCTACTAAAAATACAAAAATTTGCCAGGCATGGTGGCACACACCTGGAGCTACTTAGCATGGTCTATCTTTGAAAGTGGCAAGTGTTTCTGGTAGTTTGATGCAGTTTTGAATATTGGTATGTAAAACTTTTGTTACTTTCATCTATTTTCCAGGTAGATCCCTAGAATCCCAAAGAACCATCACGTCCCTGATTCGCATGCTAGACCTTGGGCTGACCGCTGGGTCACGCCTCACTATGGAGCAAGGAACAAGAAGTGAAGTCCCCTGAAGGAGAGAAGCTGTGGGGAGGAGCAGTCACCTTGGTGGTGTCAGGTGTCGGCAGTCCAAGAAAAGGGGAGGCACGTGGGGAGGAATCCGTGCGGAGATGAGGGGAGCAGTGGAGACGTGGCTTTGGGCAGAGGTGGCGAGTGGACCCTCAGGCCTGTACCCTGGACACCATGAACAGAATTAGTTAACATTGTCACCCACCATGGCCTCCGTGTGTTCCGTGAGCCCATTTGCTTTCCCAAAGGGATTCCTAGCAATGTGTGTCAACAGGTGTTGGCCTGATTTTTTTTTAATTTTTATTTTTTGAGACTGGGCAGTGCAGCAGTGGCTTGGTCTTGACTCACTGCAACTTCCGCCTCTTGGGTTCAAGTCCTTACCTGGCAATACTGTGTTGAAGCCATTGAAACTGTCCCTATAAACTTTATAAAATTAATCAGGGAAGAAGGGAAGGGGAGAAACAAAAATAAACAAGCTTGCAGCAATTTTGCATTACTCTTGAGAGCAGCCTGCTCTTGGACCTGCTTCCTCACAGTTGTTTGGTGCTGTTTGTGCTAGAATCAGGCAGGCCCTAGATTATAGTTCTCCTGAACTGTTCTATAGATAACAACCTGAACATTATGAAATGTTAAGTTTCCCATTAGAGATATTCTTTCAGATCCTGTGTACCAGTGAAACTACTGATGTCAGCTGGTCTGAAGGACCCCACTGAGGAACTGACTCAGTATGCAGTTTCCAAATCCTAATGATTTCATCCCCCTTCCCCTGCCCAATCAACAACCTTAATTTTCCAACCCCTCACCCTCCACAATCCCCTTAAAAACCCTAATGCAGAAGTTCTTGAGGAGATGGATTTGAGGGTCTACTCATATCTCTCCCCTTGGCTGCCCTGTGATCATTAAATTCTTTGTTGCAAACTGCTGTCTTAGTGTATTGGTCTATTACTGCACAGTGGGCATATGAACCTACTGCTCTTATAACACCAGAGTTGTTTTCTACTTTGTTTTAACTATTCTGGAAATCTCTGTATTTGTTGAATAAAATTGTAATGCGATATATAATGTTTTGTTTTTTTGTTGTTGTTTTGTTTTTTAGCATTTTTTTCTCTAAAGGAGAATCAGGCTTTCAGGTGAACAATCTAGGAGACTTGATTTACAAAAATGAAAATGACATTACTTATGTGATGAGGCACATTGAAAGAGCCCATAAAGTGGCAGCAAAAATTAAACCAGGATGATCAACTTCAAGACAATATCCTAGTAAAATTATTAGATTTTAAAGATAAAACATACTCAGGTCTCCAGGCATCACTGTGGAACAAGTTACAAAAGCAACTGAATTAGATGGGCACTAACATACAAGGCAAGGTAACAGTGAAGCAGCATTTTCAAAAAACTTATATATAGAAAGTGCAGTGTGGCTGGGCCACCCCAGCCCCCAGCAGTGGGGTAGGATGGCACTAAAGTGGATCCAGAAGGAATTAACCAACTTGCAGATGAATCCTCCTGCCCAGTGCTCCACGGGGCCTCTGGGTGATAATTAATGACAGTCCTTGCCAAGGAGGTGTTTTCTTCCTGACCATCCACTTTCCTACGGATTGCCTGTTCAAGCCCCCAAGGTTGCTTTCACAACCAAAATTTATCACCCCAATATCAATAGCAATGACAGCATCTGCTTCGACATCCTATGGTCTCAGTGGTCTCCAGCATTGACTGTCAAAAGTTCTCTTGTCCATCTGCTCACTGCCCTGCATCCCCAACCTCAATGATCCTCTGGTGCTAGAGATACCCCACACCTACAAGGCCAACAGAGAGAACTACAACAGACTAGCAAGACAGTGGACAGAAAAATATGCTATGTAAGTGCCTAGGTGATTTTACGGGAGACATTGTCTCCCTTGAATTCAAGGTCTTCCCTTGAAATTCTGGGCTGTGGGCTGGGCCATTCAAAGTGTCATCTGTTCTTCAAACAAATTGATATAGGAGTTAAAAAGAAATTATTTAGGCATTAGGGTAAGGAAGTCCTTGGTAAGGTTCCCTTTTAATGAAAAGCAGCCCCCAAATAATTTCTTTTCTAACAAAAAGCAGCCTGTAAAATGGAGCTGCAGACATAGATAAGCAAGCTGGAAGCTTGCACAGGTGACTGCTGGCGGCTGTGCCAATAGGACAAGGCTACCTGGGGGATAGGCATGTTCAACATGGTGGCTCCATCTTCCCTTTTCCTTTCTAACCACGTGTACAGTAAGGAGCAGACAACATGGCGTGAGTAAAGTAGAAAACCCATTTGCATAAGAAGAAGATTAGGGTTGGGTGGCCAGCTTCTTCCAGCGCTATGTAAATGTCACACCTGGTCCAACCAATCTTTGGGCCCTATGTGAATCAGACACTGCCTCCTCAAGCCAGCCTATAAAACCCTGTGCACTTCACCACAAAACCAGAAGTTCCACTCTGGCAACCCTCTCTCTCTCAGGAGAGAGAGCTATTTTCCTTTCTCTTTCTTTTGCCTAGTAAACCTCCACTCCTAAACCCACTTCTTGTGTGTCCACATCCTCAGTTCCCTTGGTGTGAGGCAACAAACCTTGGGTAATTACCCCAGACAACTATGCCACTTCAAAATGTTGGTCACCCACTCTCTCCAGCTGCAGCATGTTGGTGCCATTCTCAACAATTGTGGCTTTGACAATGCCACATCTTTGATGCCAAATCAGCAGCCATAGTTGTTATGATCTGCAGCCTTCCCGGTTACACTGGAATCTCTCTCTCTGCCCCAGTTTATCTGTTGGTCTTTTGGGGAGCTAGGCCCTGCACCTCTCTCCTACCCAGCCTCAAATGGTGCCACTGCTCACAAAAGTACCACACCAGGTCTTCAGCCAGGCCCCTCACCACATAACCTTTGCGTTTTAGAACTCAGTGCCATCCTGGGTAACCAGGGCTGAGCAGGGTTTCCTCACACCCTGTCTGCTGCACAACCACAGCCTGAGGAGGCTCAGCTCATGCTGGAGGGAATTGGGAACAGTGTCACTGGGAAGTGAAGGCCTTGCCCTGAGGCTTCCATCAGTCTTATTCTCCATTTGCCACATGCTGGCATTTCTCCCCTCAAACCAAGAAGCAGCAAGTGGAAAATGTTAAGATATAAAGTACATAACACCCCATAAGACATGACTATGTTTTTAGAAGCAAGAGGAAAATTATGAAACCTCTAGAGGTTTGGGTTATGTTTATCCATATGATGAGGATTTTCACCACCCCCGCTCCTCCCACTAGGAGCCTACAGTAAGTTCAAGTGTGAGCCATTCACGGACCAGAACACAAGGAGGGAGAGAGACTCCTTGGGTGGATCATGAGGTCAGGAGATCGAGACCATCCTGGCTAACATGGTGAAACCCCGTCTCTACTAAAAATACAAAAAATTAGCCAGGCATGGTGGCGGGTGCCTGTAGTCCCAGCTACTCCGGAGGCTGAGGCAGGAGAATGGCGTGAACCTGGGAGGTGGAGCTTGCAGTGAGCCGAGATAGTGCCATTGCACTCCAGCCTGGGCGACAGAGTGAGACTCCATCTCAAAAAATAAAATAAAATAAAATAAAATAAAATAAAATAAAATAAAATAAAATGCAATTTACTCATTAAAAAGAAGAAAGTGCAAATTAAGGATATTATATCCAATGAAACTCTCTTCAAGGTACAAGGTACAAGGGAATGGCTTTGCTTAAACTTTACATAGGTAAGGCTCAACCATACTATGACTCAAACCTTGACCAAATGCCCTCCTGGACCATGGTAAGGGAAGTAGTCTTGTGAGGCATTATCATAATACTATTTCTTACTCATCTCTTTTGGGGGCCTCCTTGTCTTGCAGCAGGCTACCAGCAGGCAGTTTCTCACCTGTTTCTGGTAAACCATGGAAATTTCCATCTTGCCCCGATCCCCTCAATGGTACAGCTACAGACTGTAACTGCCTAGCTGCAATATAAAATTGGCCCCTTCTTGACAGAGCAACCCACCACTTGGGTTGTCATCTAGTAACTCCAGTTTGGTGTCATGCTGTGGAATTATGGATGTGGGGAGCTGACAACATACTAATCTTTCTTATGCATAGATATCCCCTATTACTTATGCTGTGTGCGTAAGTCCAAGTGTGAGCCATTCACAGATTTGATGCCCAACATGGGACCAGTAAGGTCACAATGCCTTCTAGGAGAAAAAACAGAAAGAACCACATGGGGCCAGGTTAGGGGGCTTGAGAAGGGCCTCCAGGATCTGGTAGCAGATGTTCTCTCCCACGTAGTAGGTGTGAGAGGAGAGTAACAGTCCTCCTATTGTTCTGTGTGTTAGTGAATATTTGGAGGCTGAGCATTGACAGGGAAGACTGAAACCAGCCACCCAAATGGCATTTTTTGTTGTTTAAAGTTCATTGAAACTGAATGGACAGGCTGGGCATGGTGGCTCATGCCTGTAATCCTAGCATTTTGGGAGGCCGAGGCAGGTGGATAACCTGAGGTCAGGGGTTCGAGACCAGCTTGGCCAACATGGTTAAACCTCATCTCTACTAAAAATAGAAAAAATAGCCAGGCATGGTGGCAGGAGCCTGTAATCTCAGCTACTCGGGAGGCTGAGGCAGGAGAATTGCTTGAACCCAGGAGGTGGAGGTTATAGTGAGCTGAGATCATGCCACTGCACTCCAGCCTGGGCAACTCCGTTTCAAAAAAAGGAAAAAAAAAAAAAACCAAAAAACTGAATGGGGCCGGGCGCGGTGGCTCACGCCTGTAATCCCAGCACTTTGGGAGGCCGAGGCGGGCGGATCACGAGGTCAGGAGATCGAGACCATCCCGGCTGAAACGGTGAAACCCCGTCTCTACTAAAAATACAAAAAATTAGCCGGGCGTAGTGGCGGGCGCCTGTAGTCCCAGCTACTTGGGAGGCTGAGACAGGAGAATGGCGTGAACCCGGGGGGCGGAGCTTGCAGTGAGCCGAGATCCCGCCACTGCACTCCAGCCTGGGCGACAGAGCGAGACTCCGTCTCAAAAAAAAAAAAAAAAAAAAAACTGAATGGACAGCCTCTTAAAACCAAAAGCAATTGCAGAGTTGTGCTTTCTGTTGTGTGCCTGCTCTCTTTGTGCTCCTAATTCTTCTCTTCCCCTCAACCTGACTCAGGTACTTTAAAGAAAGAAGTCTCTCTACTGCTTCTTGATGGCTGGTCACATCTCCCTGCACTCCTTGAACTCTCAGTCAAGGAGGTAAGATATTCTCCTGGCAGGTGCTGCTGTAACTAAAGTGCATGTGTTAAACTTCTTGATATGTGTTCCTGTAGAGTGTGAATTCAACTGACAGAGTTTGGGTAAAACTTGTAGTAAAGGGGGAAAAAAAGTTAAAGTTATGAGTGAAGCCTCTGAGCCAATTCAGTGTATAGTTGTGAAAATGTGTCATTGAGATTGATGATTTACATGCTTATACAATGAATGGTCTTAAATTGTTAGAGGAGATTCTTCTGTTCAGAGTACCATCATGAGTAAAAAAAGGGCTAATGGGGCAAAAATCCCTTAACATTTGTCACCAATGAATGGGTCAGAATTTAGCCTGAGTGCCTGTAGCCTCTGATGTCTAAGTTTTACCATATAAATAATGTTCTGTTGGTTGGCAAGTCAAAATTTTAAAACTCAACTACTCTGACTGCAGTGTTATCACATCTCTGCTAGTAGGGGTGACTGATAAACACCATCCCACCCCCGCCAAAATCAATAGCTTGCTTGCCAAGTAAAGTTTCTTGGGACTATGCCAATGAATTCACAATGTTCAATTCCTCTGGCAGCCAAAAGGAAGACAAAGAACTAAAAACTCCGGCCTCTCACAAAGTAAAAGACTTGATTTCTGATATAGAAGCCACCATTGCATGCCAGATTTGTCACTCCTGCCAAAGTTTGGCCTGTTTGTTTTGGAGAAAATATTGTTGCTTCACTGCTTTCTGGCTTCCATACATTTTGATAAGAAACCTATGTTATGGTTAAAATTACAAAATTACAGAAATAATACTGAATAATAGTCTTCATTTCCTTTAACCTGAACTCTCCAAAATAAACAATACTTAAAATTTGTTGTATATAATTTCAAAAATGGTGGAATCAGAGTACTATCTGATAGTGTCTGGCCAGAGGACCAAAATTCCCAAACCTCATTCTGCCAATAACCTAGGTTCTCTGGTGGATGTGGGGATTACTGTAAAAGATATATACACAGATAAAACTGACAAGGTATAGATAATCACAATTTATGGCAGGGCTTGTGCCACAGTGGAGGGAATTCCAGTAAACTGTATCAGAGGATAAGGCTTAGTTCAAGACCTTAGGGTTTTTTCTTCTGTCTAAGCGTAAAGTCACCTTTATCAAACTTCTCCAAATGAATCTGATGGCTGCAAGTTCTCTG
Organism: Homo sapiens; assembly: GCF_000001405.40. Lineage (NCBI taxonomy): Eukaryota > Metazoa > Chordata > Mammalia > Primates > Hominidae > Homo > Homo sapiens. Next base: position 143,841,541 of record NC_000001.11, on the reverse strand, counting down.
AGAAGAGAGAACCAGAAAGAAGTCACATGGAGTGGGAATTCAAGGTTAGAAGCTCCCCTTAACACCAGCCAAGTTACCAGTTTTGATGCTCTGGTAGAAAAGGGACAGTAATAGCCACACCCCTTTGTACAATACACTAAGTCCCCATATAGTAACAAACAAGCTCAGTACTTGTCCTGGTATGTAAAGAATAAGAAGAGAAAACCTAACCTGAGTCTAGGTTTCCTCCTTTGTTTATTAAGGATTGGGGGAGAAAGACAGCAGAGAATTTGTCTTTTTTACACAATTACTTCATTCCAATTTTCTGATGTCACTCCAAGTAATGCTAAGGGAGAAGTTTATTAGGCAAGTCCTTCAGAAGGCTATTTTCTTCCCATTTTCATTCCTTTCGTGTATCATATTGGGCCAGGAAGTGGACAATTTAGTGGGCCAAGGAAATGCCATTTTAATATTACAGCATAGATATCTGAAGTATACAACACCATGCCATAAATTCAGCTATCTTATCCCTACACTATCTAAGAGGTTACCAACACTGTCCCATTATATTTAATTTACCTTTTGAAATTATATATGGTTATATATACATATATACACACACACGTATACATGTGTGTGTGTATATGCATATGTATATACACATGTATACGTGTGTGTGTATATGTAGTAATATGTATTACTACATAGTTGAATGTAATTCATCAGGTAGTGTTATACAGTGGGCAACATATTGACAGCACAAGCCAACTAAATCAAAAGTGAATAATGTAAGATGTGAAACATTATTTATTATAATTTATTATGAAATTATTATTAAATTTTTCTGAGACAAAGATTTATAGGGAAATTGATGATCCGATAAAGAGACTTTCCTCCACTAGTGTCTTTGTCAAAATAAAGTGGCCATCAAAATGAAAATTAAATTATGAAAATTTAAATCAAATTTAAATTTCATCAAAATAAAAATTAAATTATTAAATTATGAACACAAGCCCTCTCTGGTTTTGAAAAATCTGCTTTGGTTTAAACCAGCCTTACGTATTCAGGCGCCGTTGCCTTTATTACTGGTGCCTATTTACTCTGCCAACACTTCCAAAGATGGGTTTTGGGACCCTTCTGTGCACCAGGTGTCCCAAGGGCCTAAAGTCTCAAGCATACCCATGAGACCATCCAAGGAACCACATTCACAAAATTTAGACCCAGTGAGAACACTGTGAGCAAAACGTCCAGGCTTACATTTTTATTACATTTATTAATTATTTTTCTATTGTGTCCAATCTTAACTGGAAGAAAAGGGTAGGTGCCAAAACAGGAAAGAACAGAGAGACTATTGAATTCAAGTTTGCTGAAATTCTAGGCAGTTCTTCCAGCTTTGCCATCTCTTGCGGATTTATAGTCTAAGGGGAAATTGACTATGAAGAAATCCTTTGATGATAAATAAGCTTAAAATTATCTCTAAAAGACTGATAATTTCTAGCATTGGTTTTAAATTCTGGGGAAAAGACGCAGTCTCACACACTTTGGGGAATGTAATTGGTGCTTATACGTTGTAGGGCTGTATACATCGGAATCTTAAATTCACAATAAATTTCACCTAGCAGTTCCACTATTTGGAATTTATCCTAGATAAATAGCTTAAATGTTAGGATCGACATTAATTCCATTTCTCCAGCAGTCTTGAAATAATTGAGCCACAGCGGTGGTAGATGGCAAACACAGGAAAGAACAATACCTCACAGTGAGGCTGAGACCCAGTCCCCTGATCTGGAATCAACCAGTCCCGGCGGTGAGAGCGCCAAACTTTAGCCACTAGACTACCAGGGAACCACAAAGCACATACTTTTTTTTTTTCCTCCTTCAATTGCTTCAGCAGAAATTACGCTGACATTGACCTCTAGAAAGCTCCATCTACCCTTCCTGGTGCCACCCGCCCATCCAAGGAATAGTCCCAAAAGGCTGTCCTCTCCCTGCTTTCTCCAAGTTGCGAGCCCACACGCGACGTGCAGAGCTCTCTCCTTTCCTTCCAGCCAGTGGCGCTCCTCGAACACCTGCCAGGTTTACAAGTCCCGGAGCGAGTTGCAGCGTCCCGGCCGCACCTCACTACCGACCTAAAGATGCGCCTTTGCTAGGCGGCAGCGCGTGGAGAGACTGTCGCTGGTCGGCGGGGCCAGAGCGCACCAGGCTTCCGGGAGGAGGCTGGAGCGGGGAGGCGCCCGGGGTGAGACCGTGGCACCCTCAACATCATAAAGGACTCAGATTCCTGCATTCCCGACATCATAAACGACTCAGACGGATGCGGAAACCGAGACGGCCTGGATGGAAAACTCTTTCAAGGAAGACCCCAGGGCCCTGAACGGAATTCCGGATATTTTCTCTACAACGTACTACACCTGCCTTTTCTCACGTTAGTTAATGGCAACTCCACCCTCCACACGTTCAGGCCAAAAACTGGACGCAGGTCTTTCTCTCATGACCCACATCCGATTAGTTAGGAAATTATGTTCTTTTTTTGGTTGATTTTTTCATCTTTCTTCCCTCCCTCCAACCTTTCCTCCCTTCCTTCCTTCTTTCCTTCCTTCTTCCTTTTTTCCTAAGTAAGCTAACACAGGATCATGTTTCTTTTTTGGTTAATTGCAGACTTTGATCCACACAACTATTCTCTTTCTTGGTCTGAATTTTGGCAAACGACAAGCAAGGCATAGAGATCGCTTCAACTCGCTACCCGCGGCTCGCCCAGACGTTAGGGTTTTAGGCCGCCGTTAGACTTTGGCCCTGCAGGTCAAAATCAGCTACTCTAGGCCTGTCTTCTCGGAGGCCAGTAGCAGCACCTGGTCCTCTCCGCGCGGCTTCTCCCGCCGGGTACGCAACCCTGCACCCCTTTCCTGTGACCTGCAGCGAAGCTCGGCGGCAGACCGGGTATTCAACTGGCCAGGAGTTCTCGAGGCGCAGGTGCGGGTGTGCAGGGACGCGCGCGGTGAGTTTGCAGTTCCTGCCGGCTCCAGCAACATCCCGGGTCAGTCCGAACTCCGAAGGCGCCAAGGCAGGGAGGGACCAGTAGGTGAAGGGCAGCCGCCCTCTTGCGCCGTTTCAGTCCTCCAGTCGCTGTTGAATGGAGTTTCCGTCTCCAGTCTCAGCCAAAGCAGGCAAGGCGGACAACCTCGGCCTGGCAACCAATGAGTATGCAGTCCCTTCTCCACCCCGTTGGGCACTTGAACTTGTGCCGTCGGATTGTTTCTCCCCAAGCTTTCTGTGAATTCCAAGAATGCAACTGATAACTATTTAAAAACTACCCTTAACTTGAAGAAAGAATACTTTAAAGTCTTAGCAAAGGAAATGTTCTAGATGGGTTTTAAGTCGAGGACTTTCAAGGGTGGGAGTAACACGAAAATCACTACACCAGGGAACACAAATACTGTTGAGAATGTATCACACACACCAACTACACACTTGAAGCAGGTAGGTTGTACGCTTAGGTTGGGCTCATCCTATTTTAAGTGTACTGTTGGTGGAACTTAACCTGAGTCTAGGATGAATATTTTAATTTTACGTTTTTAATTTAAATACACATTCCAAAGGTTATACAGAAAGCATATAAAGCCCACCTTATATCATTTTAACAAAAACAGCAAAAGAGATAATATGTAAATGACAGCCTCATAAAATGGTCTTTAAGTACTGGTTGTTTCCACTAAAGTTTTTCTTCCTACAAAGAACAGAAATTGCAAACCAAACATTGTACTTCACGCTACTAAGTAACAGAAAAAAAAGAAATTCTTTGGCAAAAAAAACAAAACAAAACAAAACAAAAAAAACTACCTTGAAAATGAACTTTTTTTCAAAGAAAATCTAAATTCATTGCTGAATGTTGCAGACATTTTACCTCTAGATCAGCTCTTAAGGTAACTAGAGATTTATTTTCTCCAGAGGGTACAATAGAGGATCTTTGGCTAAGGGGTCAACCATTATTTATGAGAGCATGTGTCCTCTAGTGAAATGAGAGAGATTAAGTGACAGCATGTCTTGATTTTCATGGTGGCACCATAGGATGTACACATTTCAGGTTTATTGAGGTGTCAAACCTAGAGGACTTACTATTAAGCTGTTTATTACTATAAACAAAACAGTGTGAATGTGGCAAAAGGATACACATATTGATAAATGAAACTGAAGTGAGACACCTAAAACAGATCCTTGTTATATGGTCAATTGATTTTTTTTTCAAAAAAGGTACTAAAGTAATACAATGGGGAAGAAGTGTCATTTCAACGAGTAGTGCTGGACCAACTAGATATCTACTAGTGAGGAAAAAAATCTCAATCCCTACCTCACAACATACACAAAAGCTAATTTGAGTTGGATCACAGAACAAACCATACAAACTATGAAGTTTTAGAAGAAAATGCATGAAAATGTCTTTAAGACTTGGCAGAAAGCAAATATTTTCTAAATATTACACAGAGAAATAAATAAAACAGAAAAATGATAAATTAGGCTTTGTTGATATGAAATATGTCTTTTCATCCAAAGACACCATTAAGTAACTGAAAAGGCAAGCCATGGACGAGGAGAAAATATTCACAACACATATTTGACCAAGAACCTGTATCCAGAGTATACAATTAGCTCCTACACCCATTTTTAAAAATGGGCAAAAGCTTAAACAGACATTTCAGAGAAGAAAATATACTAGTGGCCAGTCAGTTCATAAAAGAGTGCTCAATATCATTAGTTGTGAGAGAAATAGACTTAAACAAGATTGAGATACCACTCCGCCATTTTAGCATGGCAAAATTATAAAGTCAGAAACCACCAAATCTTGGTGAAGATGTGGAACACCCAGAACTCATACATTTTTAGAGGGAATGTAAAATGTTATAATCACTTTGGTTTGACAGTCTCCTATACATTTAAACATAAACATTTTTTTCCTAGCAATTCTTCACCTAGATATTCTTCCAAGAGACTTTAAAACATATGTACACACATACACATACACACACACACACACACACACACACACACATTATAACAAGAACGTTCATAGCAGTTTTATTCACATACCCAAAACTACAAACAATCTAAGTGTCTATTATCAGGACACTGGCAAATAAACTGTGGTATATTCGTTCAATGGAATACTACTCAGCAATAAAAAGGAATGAACATCTGATATACTCAACAATGTGAATAAAACTCAGAGACTTTATGCAGAAAGAAGGAACTGGACATAACAGTGGGCATACTCCATGAGTCCATCTACTGGAATTCTTAGAAGAAAAACTAATTTAAGATGCAAAACATCAGCATAGTTGCTTTCAAAAATAATGCAGAGGAAAATGACAATGAGGAAGATCATTCTGATTGATTACTAATTAATCGTCAACCATATCCAGACACAGCTAACAATGGCAAACTGAAATAGACTACTTTTTTCTTTTCTTTTTTTTTTTCTTTCTTTTTTTTTTTTTTTGAGATGGAGTCTTGCTCTGTTGCCCAGGCTGGAGTGCAGTGGTGTGATCTCAGCTCACTGCAACCTCCACCTCCCAGGTTCAAGCAATTCTCCTGCCTCAGCTTCCTGAGTAGCTGAGATTACAGGTGCCTGCCACCATGCCTAGCTAATTTTGGTACTTTTAGTAGAGATGGGGTTTCACCATGTTGGTCAGGCTCATCTTGAACTCCTGACTTCAAGTGATCTGCCTGCCTCGGCCTCCCAAAGTGCTGGGATTATAGGCATGAGCCACCGCGCCTGGCCTAAGACTACTCTTATTAGCCCCATTTTACAGAAGAAAGATTGAGGCACATAAAGTTTAAGTTATTTATCCAAGGCCACACAGGGGCAGAACTAGACTTACAAACCAGAATACAGGTGTGGTTTGAGCACAGATCAGACCCAGTCTTTCTTCTTCTTGTGCTCTAATATCTTGAGCACAGATTAGACCAGGTCTTTCTTCTCCTCAGTTTTAGGTCTTTCTGGTTTTCTCACCTTGTAGGGGTGAAAAGAGGAGAGAGAAGGGAGAAGGCAAGGGGGCAGTGGGGTGGAAGCGCAAGGATCTATAGTTGTCAAAGAGCACAGCAGGAAACTACTGTAAATGTTACATCAAGGGTTATACAAGTTTCTGGGAGATTGAACTGTTGGTCTGCAAGTTGTGGATTTTATAGTGGTTAAGCATTGTGCTGAGATCAGGAGATGAAATTAAGAAGAATTATAGATTTAAAAATAAAAATAAAAACATGTTTCTGGAAGAAAATGTAGGAAAATATATTCACAATCATAGGGTAGGAAAGATGTCTTAGAGGTCACAAAAAATAAGAAAATTGGATTTCATCAAAATTAAAAACTGCTTATCAAAAAATTACCACAAGAAAGAAGGCAAGCCTTGTTAAGACTGGGAGAAGATATTTGCAGTATGCTTATTTGAAAAATAACTCAAATATTGAATATTTAGAGAGAACTTTTAGACATTAATAATAAAAGCCAAGCTATTTAAAAATGAGCAAAATACATGAATAGGCTTTCTTCACACACACAAAATTTCTAAATGGCCAAAAGACATAAGAAAAAATGTTCAAAATCATTACTCGTTAGGGAAACACAAATTAAAACTTCAGTGATGAGCTACCTTTATGCACTGCTATGGTCTGAATGTTTGTGTGTCTGCCTCCCCCCACTAAATTTATTTGTTGAACTCCTAATCCCCAAGTTGGTGGTAATAGGAGGTTTAGGCCCTTGGAAGCTGATCAGATCATGAGGACTCTGCCTTCATGCATAGGATTAGTATCTTTATAAAAGAGGCTGGAGGGAGCTTGTTTGCCCTTCCACCATGTGAGGACACATGGAGAAGGCACAGCCTATGAACCAGAGAGTGAGCCCTCATCAGGCACAGAGTCTGCTGGCACCTTGAACTTGGATTTCCCAGCCTCTAGAACTGTGAGAAATAAATTTCTGTTGTTTGTAAGCTACTCAGTTTAAGGTATTTTAACAGCTTGAATAGAAGAAATTTGAAAGACAAGAAGTACTGACAAGAATGTGGAGTAACTATACTCTCGTTGCTGGTGAGGAGGTAAAATAGCACAACCATTTTGGACAACTGTTTGGCAGTTTATAATAAAGTTAAATTTAGACCTACTCCATGACCTAGCAACTCCACTTCCAGGTATAAACTGAAGAAAAATGGGTGCATATGTCTACAGAAAGAATTGTACTAGAATATAGCAGCTTTGTTCACGAGAGCCAGAATTGGAAATAACCCAGTCATCCACACAGAAATAACAGTCATCAATAACACCAAAATAATATACTAAAAACATGGATGCATCTCAAAAACATTATGCTGCAGGAAATTAGAAGTCAGACACAAAAAAGTATATTCATTTATGTGAATTTCAGAAGCAGTCAACATTCGTCTGTGAAGATAGAAATCAGAATGGTTTGTCTAAGTGAAAGGAAGGTGGATGGGAATCTAAAGGAGGTTATTGACCTTTCTGGGCTGATGGAAATTTTCTATAACTTGATCTAGGCGATGGTTACGTTTCTATGCCCTTAAGATTTGTGCATGTTACTCTATGTGAATTATACTTCAATAATGTACTATTAGCGCTCCCGTTCCCCCGCCAAATAATTAGGTGGGGGAGGTGGAGGATGGCATCAAGTTTAGGTTCTATTACATTTATTGGGTTTTATATGATCAGATTTTATTGTAAAATACCCTGTTGAATGAGAACTCATACAAAGCTCATTGTCATTGCATCTAAAAAGGCCTTACTGACCTTTGAAATATCTCAGCCAGAAAAATGGTTATTACCACACCATTATGTCAGTTGAAGCTACAGACAAGGCTCCTGAAGAGTCAGGGCTTTACCTTTTGAGATGGTTCCTGCACATGCTCAGACACACGGTCCCTTCTAACCTTCCCCAAAGATTCTGCCGTAGGTTAGTGCACTGTGGGGGTTTCCTTCTCTTGTCCTGACTGCGTCACAGGGAGACACAGTAAACTCTGCTTTCTGACCACAGCTACTGGGTGCAGTTGGTAAGGGGATTTAAAAAGTGAAACTGTAACACATACCAAATCTTGCCAAGAAGGAAGCCAGATGCTACTGTGGCTCCAATTCCAGCCAAGGTTGCTTCGGTCACAATGAAGAGCACTAACTATTATATCATCATGGTGCACCATAAACCTGGGGTTGCCAGTGGGCTGCTTTTAATATTTTTGATGAAAAAATATCCACGATATTTTCCTGTTTTGTTCTTGGATAGCTACAAGTTCTTGTGTTTTTTCTCTTTCATGTCCTTTTTCTATTTCTTCCCATTCAAATACATGACAAAAACAATTCTCATCTCTCAGGATCCAGCCTTTGCCTCTGCACAAGTCTCCTGGGAGGTGTCATTGTCCCTGCTGTTTCCCTCTTCATGTCTCCTTTGGTCCCTGCCCCTTTCCTGATCTTGCCCACTGACCCCAAAAGACGTAAGAAAAATGTTCAAAATCATTACTCGTTAGGGAAACACAAATTAAAACTTCAGTGATGAGCTACCTTTATGCATTGCTATGGTCTGAATGTTTGTGTGTCTGCGTCCCCTCACCAAATTTATTTGTTGAACTCCTAATCCCCAAGTTGGTGGTAATAGGAGGTTTAGGCCCTCGGAAGCTGATCAGATCATGAGGACTTAGATCTCAGTTCTGTTGAGAGCCAGGAGCTGCAGCCGCACAGATGGCGCACTCTAGGCCTCTTTGTGGCCTACCCCATGGGACATTGCACACTTGGAAATCAATTGACCAGAATAAAGCCTTTAAAAAAAGAACTTCCCCCTTTGAAAAATCCTTTCATTTATTTTCCAGTCTCAGAATCCTTCAAAGGGCTAAAAGCTTAAAGATGACAAAGTGTGAAAACGAAGGCCCATCAAATGAAAAAAGCAATGGTTATTTATTCTGACGCAAGGGCGACAGCCACCGGCATCAGCCACCGGCACTTGCATTTTGACAGAGCTTAGAAGGCAGGTAGAGGAGTGGGACAGCTTTATAGCTGAGGAAAGGGAAGGCTTCAGGTGTGCCCTGATTGGAGACTGCTGGTGTGGGGAAGCTGCCTGTGGGCTAACTAGAAGGGGGACATCCAGTGTGCTTGGTTAGGGGTGCATATTTGGCTTTCCCTGGTTGGTCCTAAGTTGCAAGTGGGAACATAAATTAGGGAAAGTGTCAGTTACTAACCAAGCTCTTGCCATTTGGAGCCGATTATTATGGATGTTATTGTTTGTTACTACAGATAACTGCCTGGCTCCCTGTGAGTCTGACTTATGTAATAGCAGGCTGGCTTCCCCGGTTGTTTATTCGTAGATAAGGAAGTTGATTTCTTGGGCAGGTGGCCCCAGGTTGTGGATCAGAGTTATATTTTTACGTACAGTCCGGCCATTGTTCGATTGTATATTCTGTCTCTGAAATGTATTATTAATTCAACAAGTCCTAATTGAGCACCCTGGGCGTTTCAGCTTCCCTGGGGCCCAAGTCGCTCTAACAGGAGTCGCGATCCCGGCATCTCCGGAAGCGCCGGCTTCTGAGGCAGGTGAGGGGGCAAGGCGGGGTGCGGGGCGTTTCGGAATCACTCAGTGCACAGGTTTCAAGCTTGACAAACAAGTAGATTCGTCGCTCTGACTGCTCCGGCTTTCCGAGGCTTTGGAGATTACCCAGTCATTTTGCAAAAGGCGGATGGTGCTAGCTAGCGTTTAGTGACAGCTTACCCTCTTTTAGAACGAAATCAGGAGCTCAGCCATGTCTCTGTGGCGCAATCGGCTAGCGCGTTTGGCTGTTAACTAAAAAGTTGGTGGTTCGAACACACCCAGAGGCGTCGCTGATCTTTTATAACTCCCACGGTGGTCTGCTCCCTTGAAGACTACATGCCTCACTTCCCCTCCTGTCAACTAGTGGCTGCTTCTCATCCTCCAAGAAGGTCTCTGTTGGAAAGAAATGCAGTTGGAAGGTACAGAAGTTCCTTGGACCAGGGAACAAGAGAAATTTTGTGTGATCTGTTCACGGGTTCTGGGTGAAATCTTGCTTCTTTTTGTGCCTTTGGGCTATTGACAAGCTATTTGTACCTCAATATTTTTTCAACTGTAATATGAGGATGGTAATAATACCGCATTTGCAGGATGTGCCTAGATTTAATAATTGCTCAATCAATAATGTTATCAGTAGACTCAAGATTATTATTATCCTCTGCATTATTTTTGATGAAGGCATTTCTTCTTTTGTTTATTCCATCATGTAACCCTTTACATGTTGTTTTTTAAATTAAGTTTGTTCCATGATTTTACGATTACAAATAATGCTGCAGTCATCATTCTTGTACAAATATCTTTTGCTATTTGTACACGGATTTCTATAGGGTAGAGTTCTGGAAGCGCAACTGCTGTATCATAGTGGTTACAGTACACATTTTTTATTTTAATTAATAAGCCCTGTAAATTTGCCTTCCATAGAAGTGGTACCAATTTATATTCCAATTTGTTTTTTCAACTCAGAGAATCCTTTTCTTCATACTCTTGCTAGCACAATAAACTTTCTATACATCTGTCTGATAAATAGAGGGGCTGAGAGCTGTGGCTCACACCTGTAATCCCAGCACTTTGGAAGGCCGAGGTGGGCGGATCACCTGAGGTCAGGAGTTCGAGACCAGCCTGGCCAAAATAGCGAAGCCCCATCTCTACTAAAAACACAAAAATTACCACAGGTGGTGGCCTGTGCCTGTAATCTTAGCTACTCGGGAGGCTGAAGCACAAGAATCACTTGAACCTGGGAAGCAGGGTTGCAGTGAGCCAAGATCACGCCACTGTACTCCAGCCTGGGCCACAGAGCGAGACTCCATCTCACACACACATACATACGAAATAAAATAAAAAATAAAGGGAGTGTTGCCCTCCTGACTTAACTAAGGGGAGGTACAACAGATGACATGGCGCACATGGAGCAGTAGAGTATCTCCTCATCTCTTCAGCTAAACTTCCAAGATATTTTGCATAGCTATAATTTGTTTCTGTGGTGACCAGGTCTGGAGAAGATATTCTGATATTTATTACTCCACTCTTTCCTCTATAAATGGCAAGGGTGAATTCGTATGCTATCTGTATTAGTCAAGGTTCTCCAGAGAAACAGAATCATCCATCTATCATCTATTTTTATTGATTTATTTTAAGGAATTAGCTCACATGATTGTGAAAGTTCAAGGCAGGCAGGCTGGAGACCCAGGGAAGAGTTGTTATTTGAGTCCTAAGATATTCTGTTGGTAGAATTTCCTCTTCTTCCAGGAAGGTCAATCTCATTCCATTCAGGCCTTCAACTGATTGGATGAGGTCCACCCACATGACATGGGGCAACCTGCTCTACTCAAAGTCTACTAATGCAAATGTTACTCTCATCCAAAATACCCTTTCTCAGAAACCTCCAGAATTATATTTGACCACATACCTGGGCACTGTGGTCTAGCCAAGTTAACACATAAAATTAACCATCACACTGTCTCTATATTATTCCTTGACAGTTTTTCTTTTTTCTTGCTATGTCCACAAAGATTTGCCCACCTGAGACATATAATCTTAGCTAATAGAATCCTGCACCTTATGGGCATCCCATGCGGACCTGTAATCTCAGAGCTATTGGCATATGTTCCCTCAGTTCATCTGTTGAATCTCATGAGCAGAAATTGAGCTATTTGGCTTTTAGACACTAAATGTAATTCTTAGACAAGTATTTTTTCTCTCTCTCATTTGTACATTGTCAACCATTTTTTTCCATGATCCACATGGAATTCTGTTTTTGATTTTATGAAATGAACATCTGGGGATAGTGGTTAACAGGGATACATTATCTGTTAGGTGGTAGATGACAGCTTATCTAGTCTGTGAGTCTTTTTGGACTGGCTATTTGTTTGTCCTGAGGTTCTTAGTATTTCCTAGTATTTGAGTCTGCAGTGTTGAGAAGTGGTTCACATCTTATCTATCTAATACTAGATAAAATCTTACGGGTCCAACAAATGTCAATATCTGCAAAAGTGGAATATCTTTTGATCTACTATTGATTCACATTTGATCCACAAGGATGATCTCCATGCACAATGATTTTCCCTTAGGAACTCTGACTTCAATATGTCGCTCTAGCTAAAGGGATCTTGGAACAGAAAGAAAACTGAATTTCTGGCATCCAATATTCTACTTTCTTAGACTAAAGTTCCTAAACGCTATACCCATTAATTTCCCATTCTTCCCTCCCTAGCCCCTGGCACAACCACCATTATTTCCTGTCTCTATGAATTTGACTACTCTAGGTACTTCATATAAGCAGAATTCTATAGTATTTTTTCCTTTTGTGACTGGTTTATTTCATTTTGCATAATATCCTCATGTTCATCTATGTTGTAGCATGTGTCAGAATTTCTTTTCTTTTTTAAGGCTGAATAATATTCCATTGCATGTATTTGCCACATTTTGTTTATTCATTTACCTGTTGTTGGACACTTGGGTTGTTTCCCTTCTTTAGCTATTGTAATACTGCTATTGATGTAGGTGCACAAATATCTCTTTGAATCCTTGCTTTCAGTTCTTTTGAGTATATAGCCAGAAGTAAATTTGTTGGATCATGTGATAATTATTTTTAATATTTTGAGGAACCACCATATGGGTTTCCACAGTGGCTGTACCATTTTATTAGGTTGGTGCAAAAGTAATTGCGATTTTTGCCATTAAAAGTAATGACAAAAACCGCAGTTACTTTTGCACCAACCTAATACATTCCAAACAACAGTGCACAGGGGTTTCAATTTTTCCACATCATCACCAACACTGATAATTTTCTTTCCTTCTTTTTAAAATAATAGCCATCTTGTAGGCCTTACTTTTAATTTCCATTTTGTCCTCGAAATCTTGGAGATTGAGCAAGAAGGAGGGAATGCGCATCTTAGTGAGATCTTCTTAGTTACCACCAAGCCTAATGGCTCAGAGCAAGGGTCTGGATGAGTCCTGGCTCTCACTCTCATAGAGATGATGGGACCTTGGAAAGGTAAGCTCAGCCTTTCAGTGCAATGTTCTCATCTGCAACAAGGGGTTGTAATAATCAACACTATCGGCTGCGCGGGGTGGCTCAGCCTGGAATTCCAGCACTTTGGGAGGCCAAGGTAGGTGGATCACCTGAGATCGGGAGTTTGAGACCAGCCTGACTGACATGGTGAAACCACCCTGCCTCTACTAAAAATGCAATAATTAGCTGGGCATGGTTGTGGGGCCTGTGATCCAGCTGTTCAGGAGGCTGAGGCAGGAGAATCGCTTGAACCCGGGAGGCAGAGGTTGCAGTGAGCTGAGATCACACCACTGCACTCCAGCCTGGATGACAGAGAGAGACTCCATCTCAAACAACAACAACAACAACAACAACAACAACCACCAAACAAAAAAATCAACACTATCTTGTAGGGTCGTTATGTGGACTAAATAGGTTACTACACAGTAAAGCACTTAGAAACAATGCCAGTCACATAATAATGCTCTTGAAACAGTTATTATTATTATTACTATTATTATTATGTCTTTGTTTTCATTTCTAACTGTACCAGTGAGAAATTTTAACATTCCCTAAAATAAATTAGAAATATTCAATGGTTTTTTTGACCTCTTCTCCCCATATTAGTGGCCAGGTGTCTGAAAAACTGGTTACTTGAAGTGTCTACTCAAAGTACAGACGTAGAATCCTACAGCAGGATTCTATCCTCCAACAGGATCTCTGTTAGTGCACCAGAGGACTGGATCCAACCTGATCAAATTCTTGGACCTTGGACAGGCCTGATTGTTTAGGTCATGGTAGACAATCTTTGGCACATGATTCTAGCAAGAGCCTTTAATACCCATTCAGACTTACGCAAGTATTACAAGAAAAATGCAAGTATATACCTACCAATGGCCTCTTCTCTTTTTTTTTGTTTTCTTCAGAAATCAAGGTAGGAAAATTTGATTTACCTGGAATTTGTAGAAGATTTCCTCTTTCAGTTACGATGGAGTTTTGTGGCAAACCAGCACTCCCTTCGAAAAGAAGTAGATAAAATCTGGTTTAAAGGAATTCTGTTTGAAGTCTTTGAAAAGCTAGGACCCACAGGGCCAGCTACAGAAAGCGGGTGGAGAGAGAGAGAGAGAAAGAAGATCATTGGAATGAAACAATTTTTCCCCCTCAGGGTATTTGCTAGTTCTTGGCAAGGGACAAGAGGCTGAGAAGCTGGGGAGAGGGCAGTGGTTAAAAACCAGAGAAAACAGCAGCACTTTAAGTAACCTCATGGGGGTGGGGAGTGGGTAGACATGTGGAGCTGTCCAGGTATTTTGACTTGAAAAGCCAAGATTCTAGAATGAATTGAGATGTGAACTGAACACTTGGTAAAGGTTTTCCCCTCAAGGCATTTGTGAATTCAGCTCTGTGCTGGTGAGAGGCTAGCAGAGAGTGGCTGAAAGCAGTTTTCATTGGGAAGGATGCAAAGGAGACAGAAATCAAAATTCACTACCCTCCAAAAAAATGGCGCCTCTCAAATTGGGAGTCCTAGAGGTCTATAGCCTAGGAATGTGGGCAAACCAGATATAGACTGAGCCTTCCCATGAGTGCAAGCAAAGGTGGGTGGAATGGGAGTTTGGAAGGTTAAAATCGACCTCATATTAAATGAAACCCCTACACGTTGCTACTGCAAGGGAAAGGAAGCAAGTATCGCATTGGGATATATTATTTATTATGTATTAAAAGGTAATACAACATGAGGCTAAATTTATTAGTCAGACTTAAATGATTATTCTCCAGTTTTAGTCACTATACTCTTGAAAGAATGTAGGAAGTGAAAACCTGGAGAGTTCCTAAAAACGAAGAGTAAGAATCACTAGAAGTTAAAAAAAAAATCATTTAGGAAAAGCCACAAGAATTGTTTTTACTGAAATTGTCTTCAAGAAAGTAAAAGCTGCTGAGAAAATGTTTTGATGTTTTCAAGGAGAGGTATACTTAGGTTATTTTGCTGTGGTTAGAAATTGGTTGACAACATAAGCAAAAGGGTAAAAAAGCTGGCTATTGAGGGGGTGGCCTCCCCTGTTATAGAGACCTCCAGGGTGAAATACGCAGCCTTGCATTGAGTGTGGCTATCAGAAGGCAGGGCTTCCTTGGGTTCTGTAGCTACTTCCACATTCTAATTCTGTGATTGTGACTCAAGAGCTGGCACCCTGAGTCTTCCCCATAGCACTATTGTTGATGTCCCAGTGACATGGGATTTGAGCTCTGGCATCTCAAAATGTGTTCCTGCCTTCATGACTCTCAAAACTTGTGGAAGCAAAATGCTTCCTGACCTCTGAAGGGACATTCCCTGGGAACTTCATAAGAACCTTATCTCAGCTATAAGAAACAAAAATACTCATCCCTTAGCTTAGTTTAAACCCCATTTGTTTTCATTCATTTATTGCCTGTTTTTTCTTCTAAACACCTGTGGGACCTCCCCTTCCTTCTCATAACAGCACCCACCCCGACCCCACCCCAGCACTTGCTGCATCTTTCTTTTACCCAGTGGATTGTTGGGTCCTCATGGCTGAGGAAGTTGTAGGCTTCACTCTACTTCCTGGTAGGCTCTGCTCTTGAGATTCTATCGTCCTACGGGATCTCCACTAATAATCTAACCTCTGTAAGCCATAATTTTGTTTCAATTGCTTTAGGTAGTTTTGGAGAAAAGCCTGGCCATTGTGAAGACATAGACATCTTTCTTCTCTGTCCTTCCTTTCAAAGACGGCTGTAAGAGAGCTCTTCATGAGAAAATGTCCCAGCAGAAGGCTGGGATGCATCAGCCCTCAGAGAAGAAGGGACCTGCTGAGAAGGGAGTGAATGAGCAGAAGCCTCGGGTTGAGGAAGAATTCTCTGTATCCTGCAGTGGGCAAGAGACTTCCCACTATCAGCATTAAGTCATTGCTCGTCAGAGTAGCTTTCAGGGCCTGCAGCCAGCCTCCATACCTTAATTGTAGGGCTTTCTCTTAACACCTTCCTGGAAATTTCTTCAGAGAAAAATCTATAAAAGTTTTATTAGTAATGACTTTATATTATTCAGAGAAATTTGGTTTTATTCTAACTAACATTGCATGTATTCACCAAATATATGGCCTTTGTGGTTACCTGAGCTGGAAATCTTCCAGTCATGTGAGTGGTCTCTCTTCTGGATCCCCAGGAGCATGTAGGAATCTCCTGTTTCTTCATATGTTACTCTGGTGAATGCTGAACTGTCCCAGTTCCCGAGGAGGTAGATTTATACAGAGGCCCCTCCATTCTACTCCATCCTCTATGGAAACTCAGGTCCCTGGCTTCTGGAATGGCAGTTTTGATAAGCTGAATTTTAAAAATAAGCTTGCAGAATTGTCAAATAGTGGCCTGTTGGCTAAATTTGTCAGTTTGTTTTTCATGGCCATTTTCCTATAGCTTTTTGGAAGCATTTAAATAATATGGGGTTAATCCATTACGCATTTGCCTGTGAGCGCCAGTTACTGAAATACTAAGTTACTGAAATCACTAATTTGCCTAAGTGGTTGGTGCACAGCTTTGGAAGTGATTCAAATCCTGCTTCATGCTCCATTAGGTCACTGCCCAATATATTCCACTTAAATTTCACTGACCCAGAGAATAATGTTAGTTAGGGCTAAAATAACGCTAGGCCAGGCGCAGTGGCTCACGCCTGTAATCTCAGCACTTTGGGAGGCTGAGGTGGGCAGATCACTTGAGGTCAGGAATTGGAGACAGCCTGGCCAACATGGTGAAACCCCGTCTCTACTAAAAATACAAAAATTAGCTGGGCATGGTGGTGGGCACCTGTAATCCCAGCTACTTGGGAGGCTGAGGCAGGAGAATTGCTTGAACCCGGGAGGTGGAGATTGCAGTGAGCCAAGATAGCGCCACTGCACTTCAGCCTGGATGACAGAGCAAGATTCCATCTCAGACAAAACAAAACAAAACAAAACAAAACAAAACAAAACACCCAAAAAACTCTAGAGTCAGTTAGTCTCATTACCTCATTTTAGAACTGAGAACACTTAGGCCCTAAGAGATAGTCATTTGATCAAAGTTGCATAATAGCCTCTGGCAGAGATAACATTGGAATCCTGTGCTCTCGATTCACAAAGGCTACACTACACCCACTTCATCAAATATATTTTTAAAAATTATACTTCTGTGATCATTCTTTTTTTTAATGGACTTTTTAAGAGCAGCTTTAAGTTCACAGCAAAATTGAGTGGAAAGTAACAGAGAGTTCCCATATGCCCCCTACCCCTGCACGGACACAGCCTCCCTCACTATCAACATCTTGCCCCCGAGTGATAACATTTGGTACAACTGATGAACCTACATTGACTCATCATCACCCAAAGTCCACAGTTTACAGTGGGGTTCATTCTTGGTGGTGTATATTCTATAGGTTTTGACACAAGTATAAATGTATAATGGCATGTATCCACCATTGTAATAAAGAATGACTATTCCCTGCCCTAAAAATTCTCTGTGCTCTGCCTATTCATTCTCCTTTCCCTCCTAACACCTGGCAACCACTGATCTTTTTACTGTCTCCACTGTTTTACCTATTCCATAGTGTCATATAGTCAGAGTCATACAGTATGTAGCTTTTTTAGGTTGGCTTCTTTCACTTACACACTTAAGGTTCTTTCATGTCTTTTCATGGCTTCATAACTCATTTCTTTTTAGTACCAAATAATATTCCATTGACTGCATGTACCAAAATTTATCCATTCACCTACTGAAGGACATCTTGGTTGCTTCCAAGTTTTTGCAGTTATGAATAGAGCTGCTATAAACATCATGTGCAGGTTTTTGTGTGAACTTAAGTTTTCAGCTCGCTTGGGAAAATACTGAGGAGCAGATGGTTAGGTCATTTGGTAAGAGTATGTTTAGTTTCACAAGAAAATGCCAAACTGTCTTCCAAAGTGGCTGTACTATTTTGCATTCCCACCAGCAAGGAATGAGAATATCTGTTGTTCCACATCCTTACCAGCATTTGGTGTTATCAGTGTTCTGGATTTTGCCATTCTAATAGGTGTAGAGTGGTATCTTGTTGTTTTAATTTGCAATTCCCTAATGACATATGATGTTGAGCATCTTTTCATATTCTTATTTGCCATCATCTTTGGTGAGGTGTCTGTTCAGGGTTTTTTGCCCATTTTTTATTGTGTGGTTCATTTTCTTATTGTTGAGTTTAAGAGTTCTTTGTGTATTTGGCTTAATAGTCCTTTACCAGATATGTCTTTTGCAAATATTTTCTCCCAGTGTGTTGTCTTCTCATTCTCTTGATGTGCCTTTTGCAGAGCAGAAGTTTTTAATTTTAATGAAGTCCAGATTATCAATTATTTCTTTTGTGGATCATGCCTTTTGTGTTATATCTGAAAAGTAATCATATAGCTGGGCTCGGTGGCTCACACCTGTAATCCCAGCACTTTGGAAGGCTGAGGCAAGAGGATCACTTGAGCCCAAGAGTTTGGCTGCAGTGAGCCATAATCACACCATGATCACGCCCAAGGAATGCTTCAGTGAGCCATGATCATGCCCTCCAACAAATAAATAAAATAATTAATTTATTTAGAGACTCTGTCTCTAAATTAAAATTGGTATTGCATTGAATCTTTAGATCAATAAATAAAATAAATAAAAAGTCATCACCAAACCCAAGGTCATCTAGATTTTCAGCTGTTGTTATCTTTTAGGGTTTTTTTTTTTTTATCATTTTATGTTTTACATTTAGGCCTATGATCCATTTTGAGTAAGTTTTCATGAAGAATGTGAAGTCTGTGTCTAGATTCACTTTTTTTGCATGTGGATGTCCCGCTGTTCCAGCACCATTTTTTGAAAATACTATCTTTTCTCCATTGTATTGCCCTTGTCCCCTTGTCAAAGATCAATCTGCTATATTTTGGAGTCTTCTGGAATCTCTATTCTGTTCCGCTGACTTATTTGTCTATTCTTTCACAAATCTTATACTGTCCTGATTACTGTAGCTTTACAGTAAGTCTTGAAGTCAGGTCATATCAGCCCTCTGTTCCTTTTCAATATTGTGTTGGCCATTCTGGGTCTTTTGCCTCTCTATGTACACCTTAGCATCTGTTAGTTGATATTCACAAAATTTATTTGCTGAGATTTTGATTGGTATTGCATTGAATCTTTAGATCAAGTTGGGAAGAACTGACATCTTGACAATATTTAGTCTTCCTGTCCATGAACACAGAATATCTCTCTGTGTATTTAGTGCTTCTTTGATCTCTCTCAACAGAGTTTTGCAGTTTTCCTCATACAGATCTTGTACATGTTTTGTTAGATTTTACCTTGACATAATCACTTACTAGTTCCAGGAGATTTTTGTTGTCAATTCTTTCAGATTTTCTTTTCTTTTCTTTTTGTTTTTGAGATGGAGTCTCACTGTGTCGCCCAGGTTGGAGTGTAGTGGCTCAATCTCGGCTCACTGCAAGCTCCGCCTCCTGGGTTCAAGCCATTCTCCTGCCTCAGCCTCCTGAGTAGCCTGGCTACTATTTTGTTTTTTTAGTAGAGACGGGGTTTCGCTGTGTTAGCCAGGATGGTCTCGATCTCCTGACCTCATGATCCGCCCACCTCGACCTCCCTAAGTGCTGGAGTTACGGGCATGAGCCACCGCGCCCGGCCTTTTTTTTTTTTTTTTTTGAGTCAGTGTCTCACTTTGTCACTCAGGGTGGAGTGCAGAGTGGCACGATGTCATCTCACTGCAACCTTTGCTTCCCGGATTCAAGCAATTCTCCTTCCTCAGCCTCCCAAGTAGCTGGATTACAAGCGCATGCCACCACGCCCGGCTAATTTTTGTATTTTTTGTAAAGACAGGGTTTCACCATGTTGGAGATTTTCTATAATACAATAACTGCATCATGTGTGAACAAAGACAGTTTTAGTTCATCTTTTCTAATCTGTATACCGTTTATTTCCTTTGCTTATCTTACTGCATTAGCTAGGATTTCCAGTATGATGGTGAAAAGAAGTGGTAAGCGGGGAAATTCTTGCCTTATTGTTGATGTTAGTGAGAAAGCTTCTAGTTTCTAGTATGACATTAGTGTAGAGTTTTTATAGATGTTCTTTATCAAGTTGAGGAAGGTCTCCTCTATTCCCACTTTGTTGAGAGTTTTTATGATGAATGAGTGTTGAATTTTGTCAAATGCTTTTTCTTCATCTATTAATATGATCAAGTGATTTTTCTTCTTTAGCAAGTGGCAGGGAAAATGACAATCTTAGAAGGGATCTTTCACATAAAGATTGTTTTCATTTCCTTCATTCCTTTTACCATATTCAGGACACTAAACATATGCTAGAATTCAGTGTGTGGCCTCCTTTGGTGATACTCTCAAGTTCCTTCTCCTAAATTGCTATAACCTATCAGTTATTCCTATCTACCTTTACTTCTTTTTTTCTACTTTAGGAAGTATCATTCCTTGATTCAGGATCAGGCTCAAGAGTTAACCCACCTACGGCAGAAGATGAAGCTTGGGAGAGTGGCCTCTGTTCTTCTCATCCAGCATGTCAAGAACACACTAAAGACCTTTGAGGAGCTACTCCAGAGCAATAACATTGACCACTATATGGAGCAGCACTACTGCAAGCAGCTGGCCAAAGGAAGCCAGCTGGCAGAGAGCCTTGCCAGAAAATTCAGCACAGGTAAGTTGGCCGCAGAGCTTAGGAAGATTTTCAGTCTCTCCCAAGGTCCTAAGTTCACAGGATCCCACCCCCATTCACATGTCACTTTTCAACCTGGTGTCCTGCTTTGTAATCACCACCTTATGACCATGACAGAGTCAGGACTGGCTGGAGAGGAGCTCCAAGAAGAAGGGTTGAGGATGCCATGATGATCACCAGCACCTCCATCCCTCATGGAATATGACTGTTAGGGCAGGAGGCATCCCCAGGGATGATGGTATTCATCTGAAACTAATTGGCAGAAAGACAGAAGGAGCAGGGGCAGCTGGTTTTTGTGAAGGGCCCTGAACTGGGAATCCAAAAACCCTACCTCTAGCTTATATGTGTTCCTTACCAGCTCTGGACAGGTTAATATTTATTTTGATTTCTGTTTCTCTACCTAAAAAATTAAGTCAAATAATTCCAGCCCTTGAATGTTGCATGATTGTTCTAGGGATTAAATAAGTAACATTAATCGGCGCACTTCAAAAAAATGATAAAGAATCATGCTGACTTTGGCATGGTTCAGGCACTGTGTGTACTAGTACACGGTGGTGAGATAATTAGCTGTTTCAGGAGCATTTTACATGAAATTCCCCCTTGAGAACCCAAGGGCCCATAGTAGCAGAAGGCTTGAGTTCACTGTGCTGTCTCCTGATGGTAGGTGGGACACGGATGTCTATCATCTCCTTGGAGAAGGGAGGAAGTTCTGCATGAAAGCTATGGTGGAACACACAGCCATGGGTTTGGGTGCTGGCCTTGTGCCAGGACTTGGAGGCTTTGGCTGGAGTGGATATGTGTTCCATGATATGTGGGAATAAAGACATTTTTAGCTTTTTGCTGTGACTCAGGGCAAAGCAAGTGGAGATGATGACCTTCATGGTGGGCTCAGGAAAGCCTGCCAGGCAAGCTCTCTAAAGACTCAACCCAAGATCTGAGAAAATTCAGAGTATCCTGGAATCAAGGCAAGCATCAGGTAGTCAAGTCTCTGCTCCCAGATAGACCTCCATGTTTGTTTGCAGTCTGGGAAATGAGACCTGCTTAAAGCATGACTGGCCTTTTTGAATTTTGTTCTCAGATGACTGTACAAGTAAGAAGAATCAAGTAGGACAGGTGTCTTCGACTCTCAGGTAACTCCAAATTTTCAGGGGCTGTCGAAGATGTAATCTGGTGAAGGATCCAGAAGCAAGAGCCAGAAGCTCAAAGAAACAGGAACATACATGGCCAGTAAAAAACAAATAGCTTATTTATCCATTAAACCATTATGTATCCTTAGGGATAAGGCAGTCTCATTTTTAAAATTTTTTAAAAAATATATTATTCTTTTATTTTCACCAATTAATTCACCAATTTAGTAACATAGAGCTGCTCTAACCTATCTGGGTCTTAGGAGTCTTCTGAACCTCCAGGGATCACCTCTGGTTTCCCTTATTTAAAGACCAGAGTAAGATTATATCTGATTTCTTCAAGGGTGACCCAAGGAGTGCTGGAAGATGTAAAACAGCTACAAATTTTCCTTGCAAACAAAAGTTTATACTGTGTCTCTATACTTAGGGAAGGAGATCTAGAAACTGCAAGACACCAGTGAGGCTACATTGCCTGGGGAATCTGTTTTAAATGGCCTATAGCAAATACTATTTTAAAAATTATGTTCACAGAATGAGTTGAATTCTTTTTTTTTTAACATTTTTAAAATTTTATTTTTGAGATGAGGTCTTGCTCTGTTGCCCAGGCTGGAATGCAGTGGCACGATCACTGCTCACTGCATCCTTGACCTCCTGGGCTCAAGTGATCCTCCTCAGCCTCCTAAATAGTTGGGACTACAGGTGCACACCACCACACCCAGCTCATTTTTTATTTTTATTTTTTGTAGACAGAGGGTCTCACTATGTTTCTCAGTTTGGTCTTGAATTCCTGGACTCAAGCAATTCTCCTGCCTTGGCCTCCCAAATTGCTGGGATTACAGGCATGTACCGCCATACCCATACCTGGAGTTGAACTCTTATGGGTCTCTGGCTGTTTTGTGAAGGAATCATGAGTGTTATTTAAGGGGCCCATTACGGCTTCGTTTTTCCTCAGGATGTTTGTAGCCAATGCACCAGACAACTGTTGCTCTCTCTGTCCCTGCCTTCCCTCCATACTCTATCCTGAAACAGAAATGATTTGTTTGGCTTCTCCTCTGAAGGAATGATCCTCTTGACCTCCCCTTTACATCTCCTGTGAGCCTCCAGATTAGTACAGCTGTGGCATTAGGTGACCTTTATTTTTTCTTCTTTCTTACCCCACTAGTATCTTGAGGAAGATGCATAATATGAGTAAAGTGACAGAAGTCCTAGAGACCAAGTGGGATGCCCGGTCCCAGACTCAGCCCCAGATCTGGTGCAGCAACCACACCCGGTCTACCCCACATCACTCCCTGAGCAGCACGTCTCCACAGCTTGACAAGGAGGAAGTGCATCCTTCAGTGACTGTAGTCAGTGAGTAGCCACATGGCTCCAGTTTTTGGGGCTCATGCATTGTCTAGGCCAAGAGGTGGCATCTTTGCAGCCGGGCCCTGTAGATCCACCGTGATGTAGCTGGTCGGGCACAGCTCCAGGACTCAGTGCTGAGCATAAGCCCCAAGGCTTTCAGGTAGCTTTTCTCCATTCCCAGTCCCACATGTCATCAGTCACTAGATCCCCTCTGGCACATACATGGTGTTGGTCTTGGGGGGCATGGGTTGGGAAGGGGAGAAAGGGGGCAAATAGTTCCTCTTCACTGCACACAGTTATGTCATCTTTCAAACTAGGGACATGAGTGTTGCTAACATTGTGCACCTAATCCTGGAATCCCTGGGGTAAACAGCCACAGTTCCTATTTTTTGTTCATCACTAAATCATCTTTATCATTTATGCATTTACAGATCCCATCCATCATCCTAATAAGTTTGCTGCAACACCCTCTAAACTATCAGTGAATGGGGCCATGCTGTGAGGTTCAAGCTGAGTCCATCACCAACCAGCGTGTCCCTCCTGAGAATTTCCCTGAGAGGGTCCTTGGGATAGCCTTGATAGAGACGGGAAGAGGAGATTAAGTTTTAAACCAGACTTTCATTTTTCTCCTGCTCAGTTTTCTCTTTAATTTTCCTCTTGAGAAAAGTGTTTGAAGTTTTAGGCCAGTATGAATCATATCCTAATGTGGACAATACCAAGAAATTATTTTTAGTCCCTGGCTGTATCTGGTGTTTTTTTCTAAATTGGCAATTTTAAGTAATGAGTGAGCCATAATGGTTTTTAGTTGTTGTTGTTGTTTTTGAGACGGAGTTTTGCTGTTGTCGCCCAGACTAGAGTGCAGTGGCACAATCTCAGCTTACTGCAACCTCTGCCTCCCAGGTTCAAGTGATTCTCCTACCTCAGCCTCCCAAGTAGCTGGGATTACAGGTGCTTGCCACCACGCCAGGCTAATTTTTATATTTTTAGTAGAGATGGGGTTTGACCGTGTTGGCCAGGCTGGTCTCAAACTCCTGACCTCAGGTGATCCAACTGCCTCAGCCTCCCAAAGTGCTGGGCTTACAGGCATGAGCCACCATGCCCGGCCCATAATGGGTTTTGATCTGGTACTATTCCTGTTTCTCATTTCACAATGAGGAGCAAAGCGGCAAAATGTTTCCTCTAAGATTATAGCAGCCAAGGAAAGACAGGAACTTCTCATTGATTGAGCACCTATTATGCTCACAATATTGACCACTATACATATATTTCCTCATTTAATTGACACAGTGATCCCCTCAAATAGGTAGTGGTGTTCTGCTTTTATAGTGGAGGACACTGAGGCTCAGCAAAGTTAAGGAACTTACTGAAGACAAAGCAGCTTGGGGTAACATACACTTTGAGTCTACCTGACTCAAAGCTCAGGTTGTGAGCATTTCACTCTGCAGCCTGAGAAGTCAGGGGCTGCGTACAAAGGGTGCTCACTCCTTCTCAGCACCTCTTTTGCTAGGCTTCTGGAGCCAGGGTTTTTCTCATTCCACTTTTTCTGCTCTGTGCACCCAGCAGAGTTCTGGCCTCTGAAGATGGGACAAGACCTTACACATATTACACTTCTATCTAAGAATTTGTAAATAGATGAGCTGCCCTTGATATGTACATCACCTATTCCAAGGGGCCAATGGGACTTTTATGTGCATCCTTGATTCAGTTGCCCAGAGGCACTTGTTTCAACCTCAGCACTGCCCCAAGAGATGGCAGAAGGGCAAGCCCATGCTTCCCTTACCTGCAATCCCTGCCACTGCCTGCAGTGAGGTGTGGCCTCTGGAATGATGCTTCTGGAGAGCACCAGCTTTACTTTTTGCCACAACTGTCTTTCCTGAGGGAGATCGAAGCCCTTCTCTTTCCCACTTGAAGTCACTGTCCTTTCACAGGGGCAACTGTTTATCACCACTTCCTCTTTGGTTTTTGAACCAAAATTTCTAGAACAGTCAACCTGTAGTGCACTGGCATGACAGCTACATTGTGAGGCCAAATTTCCTTCACAAAAGTCTAGTCTCTGTTGCTTTCCATCTGCAGTGTAGGGCATGTTCCCCATGTGGTATGGCCAGGGAACGTTAAAACACTGATCACTGTTACTGATAAAACTTAGAGCTTCCTATGGCCATGGTTGAGAGTAAACTGATTTTCTGAGATAAAGGAGGTTTGAAAGGGGGTGGTAATCACATTTTGATTGAGTTCCTACTTTAAGTCAGGCATTTATTAAAGACTTAACATAGTTGTCGTTACTCTTTATCTCACAGTGATTCTAATTAGTATCTGATATTTTATAAATTGGAGAAGGAGAGACCTACTGGATACTGATTTAAATATACAGTTCCTAAAAGAACGTGATGTTGTTGAGGGCAAACAGAAACCTCACTCCCACCTGCTCAGAGGAGAAACTTGTCTATTCTTTAGCCCTTGATAATAATCCTCGAAAGGGAAAGACTCTAAAACTTTTCTCTGAATTATGGCCCTGCCACCCCAGCTTGGTTTTTCTCTCAAAGGGAGACAGTAATGAAGGGCCCAGAGGATCTGGCCATGTTCTCATGGCATCATTGAGCTGTAAGATGCCATGTATTTTGTGATTCTACAATCCTCTATGCAAGAGTACACTAGCTATTCTATGGACAGGAGCCAGACAATGTGAGCTGTACATAAGAATTATTTTTGCAGTGTCAAAAGCCATTCTAGGTGGAATCCAAATCACCACTTGCCTTAGACAGACACCCCCTCAGCTTCACTGCAGGTCCAGAGTCAGCCGAGGCCAGAGAGAGAACCACCAGGAGTGGAAGCAACACTCTCTAGGTTCTCTGCACATTGTCCAGAAGTGGAGGCCATTTTCTCCTCCTCCTCCAACAGCCTCAGTGTAGAACAATCCCAGGAAGGAGTAGCTGGTGTGTTTCTGGCAAGGGCATAGAATGTTGAATAAATAGTCACCTGTTTACAGACCAACAAAATGCTTCACCCCTCACTGTCTGAACTCCTAGGATTGGCTGTGAGTCCTGCTATTAGGAGAAACATTTCTGAAGTACCTCCCCAGGATCATTCCAGCATTGGGAATCATAAAGGGAGCTAGGAGAGGGGCCCCATATTTTTCCTGTATGTGCGCTGTGATGCTCAGATATTACAACTAACACTACTGCTTATGTCATAGGCTGAGAAATGCCAGTTACTTTAGGGTGAAATGGGAAGTCCTTGGGAAATGAGTCTGCTGACATCTGCCTTAGTCTTCATTCCGTGGATTGCTTTATTAGCTTTCGAGGGCTTCCAAAACAAAAAAACACAAACCGGGCGTCTTAAAACAGAAATGTATTCTCTCACAGTTCTGGAGATGAAGACGTCTAAAATCAGGGAGTCAGCAGGGCCATGCTCCCTCTGAAGACTCCAGGGAAGGATCCTTCCTTGCCTCTTCCTAGTTTCTGGTGGTTTCTGGGTTGTAGACACATCACCCCAATCTCTGCCTCTCTTGTTACATGGTCTCCTTCTCTGTGTGTCTCTTTATCTCTGTGTCTCCTCTCCTCTCATAAGGACATCAGTCATGTTGGATTTAAGACATACCCCCAATTCAGTATCATCTCATCTTAACTTATTATATCTACAAAAACCCCATTTACAAATAAGATCACATTCTGAAGTTCCAAGTGAACTGAATGAATTTTTGGAGGACACTATTCAACTCACTATAATTACCTTTAAAATACTCTTTTATGACTTCCCTGTTGGTTTCTCACTCACATTCCTTTCTGGACAGATGCCAGCCCTGCCATTTCTGCTGATTCAGCTGCTTTGCCCAGCAACCAAGGAACCAGGTCTGCCCAGCCCTTCCATCCTTCGAGCGGCACTGGCCCAGCAGAGCAGGACACTAGAACACGGTAGCAGTGGCCCATGGGAAGAGATGAGGCCTCAAAAAATGAATGCATCTGGAGACCTAGCCTCCTTCTCCTCTTTGTACCAACCCAACTCCGAAACCTCTGGTAAAACACAAAGGAGCATTTAGTGAAATCGAGCCCATTGGTAGGAATGACACATTCCTTTCCTGGCCAGAGGATTTTTTGGTTCCTCTGTTAGAACCTGGTTCATAAAAAATGACAGGACAATATGTAGATCAGCCAGACAGTGAGAACCAGCTCAGTGCTTGTTCTTTGAAAGTGCCTTCTCCTAGCCACCCTACCTAGGAACTCACTCTGGGCAGGAGAGTAGGAGAAGTCAGGGACATTCTGAGGTGCTCTACAAGGAGGATAAGTTACCTCACACTTAAATGTTGCCTTCTCTCTGTGCTACAACCTTCTTAGGCCTAGATTAAGACTGTCCTGGAATGCTAAGCTCAGATTTCCATGGGGAAGGTCTTCCTTAGGTCAGGAGCTACTGTCGGATGGGAAACTATTTCTACAGAGTCACCCAGCCCTACACACTCTTTCCACTCTTTCACACACATCTTTCACACACACTGTGCATACAACCACGTGCCAATCCTGCCCCCATAAATATTGCTTTTGGATTTGGAACCAAACATCCTGGCACCCGGCAGCTAGGAGTGCAGCTATTTAGAGGAATGGCTTGAAGCAGCTCCATTTCTGTGTCCCAGGTAGTGTAACAATAAGACATTTTAAATTCTCAGAGAAAAGCCTGACCCTACGCAAAATCTCCCAGTGGGTGAAGCCTATTCTCAGCCTCCTCTCTCTGTGCATCTTTTTCCTTCCTTGGAGATTGTTCCCTTCTCTCCTGTTCCCCCACTTCAGATCCTGATACCTTCCCAAGCTCTTCCATGTTCCTCTTTGCCAAAACTGGTTAAAGGAGAACATTCACTATCACTCATTATTCACAGCCTGGTTTAATTTCATATGCACTTACCTTGGTCTTTCTGTCTGTGAGTGAGTGAAATCTCAAAGGCTGTTGAGTCGGGATCATCATCGGGGAGAGGGATGAGGTAGAGAGGGAGATTCTCTGGATTGTTTTCCATACCAAGGAGGTAGACAGCCTTTCCCATTACTAGGCCAGTTCTGCCTAGAGGCCTTTAGCAGTTTCTCACCCTGTGTCCATCTCCCTTAGATGTACTTGGTGGTCTCTGTCTGGGAGGAGGCCTGTGGTGTTTCCTTACAGGGGGCCACCCTGTGATTGAAAGCCCAGGACTTTTAAGTAAAGTTGCCTGGTGCTTCCTGAATGCCCAGGAGAGAGGAAGAAGCTGACAGAAGGATAGAGATAGGTAGGGATCTTGCAGAGAGATGCCACGCAGGCCCCACAGCTGCCCAGGGATGATCAGGCTTCCCTACCTCCTACCTCTCCTATGTCTTGGTGTTTGCAGTAGGGGCAGACCTGCTGGAAAAGAATCTTGCTGAGATACAGAACCTGCGCCAGCGCCTGGAGGAGTCCATCAGTCTCAATGACCGCCTGAGGGAGAGGCTGCAGCATGTGCTTAGCAATGGTGACCAAGGAAAAGGTAGAAAGGCAGAAATTTTATGTTTCTGTCCACGTCTAGGGAGTCTCAAAAGGGCACATAGCTTCTTGGGGCAGAGTTTTACCGGTTTAAAGCACATTGGTGTGCATGATTTCACTTGTTCCTTACAATTAGCCCAGATAGGGAAGCAGAAGGGTACTATTGCTCCCACTGAGTGGTTTGCCCCAAGCAGGGATAGGTCTAATTCTCAGGACTATCTGAAGTGATGTCATTCTTATATGTCCTTATACTGCCTGGTGCTGTTCTTGGGCTTGTGGCCTGACTGGCGAGTGGTAGCACCAAGGTTTCCATGGTGCCCACTTCAGCAGAATGAGAGCAACGTTCCACCTTTATGCCATTACTACATGCCTTTGATATCACCTGGCTCTTCTCTTGTGCTAATGACCCTTATTTCCACACTCTTCACCCTGGATGCTCTCACTTGGAGACCAGTTCTTCCCCATCCCTTCTTCTCTCATATTAAAGCCAGAAGAATGATGACCTACAACATCATAACTGAAGCCAATTAGTGGGAAAGACCCTGATCCATACCTGAAGCCACTGCACATGAGAGTGTGTTGCCTACTCTGGTGTGCCCAGCAAAACCTGAGCCTGAGCCATATTGCACTGCTATCCCAGTGCAGGAGGACCTCAGGTTTTCAGATTAGCTGAGACTAAAACTTTAATGGATGCAGGAAAGTACATCTTTGAAAGTATCTGTTACCTAAAGGTATGACTTGTCTGGGTTGTTTTTATTCCCTGTGAAGTATCTACCTCCATCTTCCATGGGTAGGACCTGTAGTCCACACCCTAGTTGTGCAACAGGAAAAGGGCTCAGGGAAGCAAACTGGAGTTTTCAGGCTTCCAGAAGGAAAAAATCAAAGCTGAAGTCACTTCCATATTTCTTCCTTTCTGCAGCGATGCCCAGTTGTAGAAGCAAAGAGAAGTAGGCAGCACAAAAGTTGACCAGATCCACACAGCCTAAAACTATAATAGCTTATTCCCAATCTAGATAAGGCTGCTTCTTAAAAGATCCCACCTACATGTTCGCAGACTCCTGGCTCCAGGAGTAAATATCTCTGGAAAATCTACATGTCATGTTTAAGTTCCTTTCCCAATCTTTGCAGATAATCAGAGAGTCACTAGCTGTCAACTAGAAAGCTTGGTGTCTCTCTTCCTGTCTTTCCCACTTTCACCTGGGTACGGAATAGGAGAGAAGAAATTAAGTTTTTGTTTGGTACAATCAATGAATCTCCTAAATCCCTCCAGACTTCATTGCAGCCCTGTCTCTCCCTCCCTAGGTACTGCACAGTCCACTGTAGCCCCTCATTCATATACTCAGAGTCACTCTTCTGGCTGTGGTGAGGACATCCTGTGACATGATGCCTAGAGAGTCTGGAAGAATGTTCTCCAGAACTTTTCCAGCCCTATCCAACAGAATTCTTGGGTGGGAACTTGGAGGCATTGGATATTATCTTTAAATGAAGAGATCAAATTAATAAATTATTTTTAAAATTAGTGTTTATATTTATTTATTGAACACCTATAAAGAGTAAAATTTGTGTAGAAAAGAATAAAACCAGAATGGTCTGAAATGTGTGGAAAAGCTTAAAGGAGAAATGAGTTTTCTTTATTAGCTATCTCTGTTTCAGAAGACTAGAATGGGAATTTCACTGCTGTGGGAAGGTAAGAAATATTAATAGATAGTGAGGATGTAGAATTCCTTGACTTCCATTACATGCTTAGGAAGAACAGAAAAACTGTCACATGTGAAAGGATTGCAGAATAAAATCTGAATGTTTTAAAATGAGGACAACTTACCATACCAGGTGAGCTTCACTCAAGAGAATGACAGAACTCGTGAAGAGCACGCTTGCCTCGAGCCTGGAATATAGCCATTCTGACTACTGTGAGATGATATCTCACTGTAGTTTTAATTTGCATTTCTCTGATGATTAGTGATGTGCATTTTTTCATATGTTTGTTGGCCGCTTGTATGTGTTCTTTTGATAAGTGTCTAGCCATGTCCTTTGCCCATTTTTTAAATAGGGTTATTTGGTTTTGTCTTGTTGATTTAAGTTCCTTATAGAGTCTGGATATTAGTCCTTTGTCAGGTGCATAGTTTTCAAATATTTTCTCCCATTCTGTAGGTTGTCTGTTTACTCTGTTGATTATTTCTTTTGCTGTGCAGAAGCTTTTTAAGTTTAAGTCCCATTTGTCAATTTTCGTTTTTGTTGCATTTGCTTTTGAGGTCTTAGTCATAGGCCAATGTCAAGAAGAGGTTTTCCTAGGTTTTCTTCTAGCATTTTTATAGTTTGACGTCCTATATTTAAGTCTGTAAACCATCTGAATTAATTTTTGTATATGGTGGGAGGTAGGGGTCCAGTTTCATTCTTCTGCATTTGGCTAGCCAGTTTTCCCAGCACCATTTATTAAATAGGGTATCATTTTCCTCATTGTTTATTTTTGTCAACTTTGTTAAAGATCAGTTGGTTGTAGGTGTGTGACTTTATTTCTGGGTTCTCTATTCTTATCCATTGATTCATGTGTCTATTTTTGTGTCGGTACCTTGCTGTTTTTGTTGCTATAGCCTTGTAGTATAGTTTGAAGTTAGGTAATGTGATGCCTCCGGATTTGTTCTTTTTGCTTTGGATTGCTTGACTATTTGGGCCGTTTTTTGGTTCCATGGGGATTTTTTTTTTTTTTTTTTTTTTGAGACAGGGTCTCACTCTGTCACCCAGGCTAGAGTGTAGTGGCATGATCTCGGCTCACTTCAACCTCTGCCTCTGGGTTCAAGTGATTCTCCCACCTCAGCCTCTTGAATTAGCTGGGACTATAGGTGTGTGCTACCACGCCTGCTAACTTTTGTGTGTTTTGGTAGAGATGGGGTTTCACCGTATTGGCCAGGCTGCCCTTGAACTCCTGACCTCAAGTGATCCTCCTGCCTCAGCCTCCCAAAGTGCTGGGATTACAGGTATGAGCCACAATGTCCAGCCCCATAAGAATTTTATAATTTTTTTTTTTAATTCTGTAAAAAATGACATTGGTAACTTGATAGGAATTGCGTTGAATCTTTAGATTGCTTTGGATAGAATGGTCATTTTAACAATATTGATTCTTCCAGTCCACAAGCATGGAATGTTTTCCCATTTGTTTGTGTTGTCTATTATTTCTTTCATCAGTGTTTTGTAGTTCTCCCAGTAGAGATCTTTCACCTCCTTGGTTAAATATATTCCTAGGTGTTTTGTTTATTTGTGTGTGTGTGTGTGTGTGTGTGTGTGTGTGTG